>NC_000006.12:55225469-55871153 GCF_000001405.40 Homo sapiens
TATGAGTTATCATAAGCATGGTCTGTGTAGGCAAAGCATGTAACTCCACAAATGCTTCTTGAGAGATTCTAATATAATCTGTGCCAGACCTGCACAAGGCATAGAGAATAAAAATTTGCACCCCACACAGTCACTCCTCATTCATTCATTCAACAATAATCAAGTACCTGGTAATGCTAATGCAGTGTACTATAATTCCATATACATAAACTAATATTTTTAAGATACATGAAGGTTATGTTATAACTAATAGTCAATGTATTTTTAAAATTACTGTAATCAAATTGTAATTGTAATTAAGTATTTTCTTAATCAACAGAAACTAAAAGTATAATTTCCATCAACTCCTTTTAAGTATAAATGTAATTAAATGCCTGGCACATTCTTCACATTATATAAGGATCTTTATACTTAAGACATTTGGGAAACCCTACTTAGGCTTATCATTGACAAAACATTTTCAAAATCTTTTCATTTGGTCCTCACCACAATACTGTTAAAAAGACAGCCTAAGCTGTTTTGTGCTTCCTCCCTAGTTGGGCATCCCTGTGCAATGAGAGGGACAAACAAGGTGGTTTTAAGGTCAGAAACATCCAATTGCAGCATCATTGGGAAATTTGTAAGAGCAGCTTTTATAAAATGTCACCAACTCATGTATCTTTAAAAGATGTGCTGAATCTTATGCCTTGAGATTTTTCTTAGTTTCCTTATTTTCTATTCCCCTCCCACTTTCTCTTTGTCCCTTGGTGGCTTCATTAATCCCATATTACAATACAAAGTAAATAATAGTGCTCTGAAGTGCTTCCTATTTGTTCAGGATGAAGTCTGAAAAATGAAACTGCAATTTTTTTTCTTTTGAGACAAAGTCTCACTCTGTTGCCCAGGCTGGAGTGCAATGGTACCATTTCAGCTCACTGCAACCTCCGACTCCCAAGTTCAAGTGATTCTCCTGCCTCATCCTCCCCAGTACCTGGGATTACAGGCATGCACCACCACGCCTGGCTAATTTTTGTATTTTTAGTAGAGATGGGGTTTCACCATGTTGGCCAGGGTGGTCTCGAGCTCCTAACCTCAGATGATCTGCACACCTTGGCCTCCCAAAGTGCTGGGATTACAGGTGTGAGCCACTGAGCCCTGCCAAAAACTGCAATTTTATCTTAGGGGACAGGTAAGCATAAAAACATCCAAAATCATGTATTTATGTTTAGGCTCTGCTTGTAGAGTGATACCAAATTCCAGGTGTTTTTTTTTTTTTTTTTTTTTTTTGAGACAGAGTCTCGCTCTGTCGCCCAGGCCTGGAGTGCAGTGGTGAGATCTCGGCTCACTGAAAGCTCCGCCTCCCGGGTTCACACCATTCTCCTGCCTCAGCCTCCCGAGTAGCTGGGACTACAGGTGCCCGCCACCACGCCCGGCTAATTGTGATTCTTTACATTATCAAAGAATTCATGAAAACAGGATATGAAGATTAGTGAAGGATTCTTTTCATTAGCAAAGTAACTTTTCTTATTTCAAATTTAACACATCTATTTATAAAAGTTATAGAATTTAAATTTTAAAATATGAATGAAGAAAAACAAAATCAGCATAACATAGTAATACATATAATTGATATGTACTATTCTGTTACTTGGATTCATTACTTAACCCTTGCAGTATTCTATGATTTTTTTTTAATCCATGTGTTACAGTTAGGGCTTAGAAAGATTTAAGCACCTAGCCAAAATTATGCATTATGTTAAGTGGTTGATATCCACTTATTGACAAATATGTATTGATTGAGAATTAGTCATGGAGATATCAATGGGTTATTTTGATTACTTTTTCCATTACTCCCAAGTGGTCAGGATTAGTTTTAGATTATTTAAGTAGGTTGGCTGAGTTCACAAAAGCTATTACTATGGGGACCTTAATTGAAATCTAACTCTATCCAATTCTATTTCTTTTCCCTATCCCTCGAATGGGTGTATGTGTGTGTGTGTGTGTTTGCACACATAAAAACCTGTTCTAATTTTATGCAACATGGAAAGCATTAATGTTTAACATGTATGTTTGAACAGGGAATTTTGTACTGCATTAAAGATTATTCCTGTGTATTACATACAATCAAATATTTGACTATTGACTGTCTTAGTATGTTCATCTAATTGTTTCCTATTCCCATGAAAACTGTATCAGTCTGAGAACAGCTACTATATGATATGCATCACTAGTCTCCCCATGGTGCATAATACTTGATATAAATTAGATGCTGTTGGTTATACTTGGCGGGGGGAAAGGGGACACTAAAAAGGAAGAGTCAATTTCTACTGTGAACAAAGCAAAAAGCAAAAGGAGAGATAAATGGAATTAAATTAAAAATGAAATTGAGAGTGTAGATAAATCTATGTAATGAAGATGCTAGTAACATAGGAAGAGAAATAAGATAGGGTATAACAGTGATTATTTTTCCTAATAAGTAGTGTCATGGCAGTTGGAAGACAAGAGATTATCCAAGCACTGGTTATAGTCTGAAAGATGAGGTGGTAGCTTACTTGTTTGGGCCTCAGGCATTGCAGTACAAACAGACAGTGAGGGAGGAGTCAATTAAGACTTATACAAATGCAGAAGTCATGGTTGAGGTAGTGAGAGGATTTCCAGGACAGTGATGAATAACAGAACCTCAGCAGAAGGAGCATGTGGACCCAAAGCATCATACGAATAATGATAGGACCAAGGGAAAAGAAGTCAAGCGGAATGGGGATAGACAAAAGTTTTGAAATTTATGTGTAAGAGTTGAATGAAGAAAGTTATTAATAAGACTTACACAACAAAGAATTTCTACATAGAAGTTGAAAAGACAGCAACAGAGTTTAGAGTTTAGGAAAAAAAATTAAATATTAAATTTTAATATGTAATATTGTAGGATTTGAATACCTTAAAGCTGAAATTCAGTTTTTGATGCTGCTTCTTAGCATCTTTGTCTTGACATGTATATCAAAATGTAAGAATGTCTGTATCTTACAATCTGTGATTCTTGAGAAGTCAATGCCATATTATTCACTACATTCATTCTTTCTTATTGGAACCATAATACTTTCTTCAATAATAATGTCAGTAGACATTCTAAATAAATAAAAAATATCCAATAACATGCCCCAATGTTTCACAGGTATCACACCAATAGCCCCTGAGATATTGTCACATTCCATTTATCTGCAGAAGTCTTATTCAACTTTCTGTATTAAGTACCAAGAAATTTCTTAGGCAATTAGTAAGTTCACTTGTATTCTTAAAACTTCACAGAATGAAAAATTAAAAATTTTAATCTCTTTTTCTAGAACAATTGTTTTACAAAGACTTTTCAAGGTTTTTTAATCCTATTTTTTGACAAAATAACATATTTTAATGAAAGTAAACATGTAGAAATGACTTAACCAAAACTAGCTATTGACAACTTTTCAGCACTTTTTTTTGGGTGAATTCAGGAACAAACTTTGTATTCATTTTATTAATCCACTAAGTAGGGTTGCTTCACTTCCTTGGTTACTGTGCATGTGGACGAGGCTGATTTTCATGGTGGGATGTTAAAAGGAGGGATTTTTGCAAATCAAACCACAGAACCATCACCTCACACTTGTTAGGATAACAAACATTAGCAAAACCAAAGATGACAAATGCTAGCAAGGATGTGGAGAAATTGGAACTCCTGTATATGCTGACAGAAATATAAAATGATGCAGCCACTATAAAAATTTTTTGTTTTTGAGAATGTGTCTTGCTATGTTGTCCAAGCTGGCATCAAACTCCAAGACTCAAGTGATCCTTTCACCTCAGCCTCCTGAAGAGCTGGAACTATAGGCATGAACCACTGTGCTGGCTTGGAATATTTTTATTTTCCTCAAAAAATCAAAAATAGAATCACCATATGAGCCAGCAATTCCATTTTTGGGTATATATCCAAAATAATTTAAATCAAAATGTTGAAGAGATATCTGCACTCTCACATTCATTGCAGTAGTCTTCACAAAACAACCTAAATGTCCATCCATGGATTAATGGGTAAAGAAAATATGGTCTACACATACAATGGAATATTATTCAGCCTTAAAAAAGAAGGGTATCTTTCTGAATGCAACATCATAGATGAACCTGCAGGACGTTATGCTAGGTGGAATAAGCCAGGTATAGAAGGACAATTATTGCATGATTCTACTTACATTAGGTATTTGAAATAGTCAAACTCATGGAAACAGAGACTAGAATGGTAGTTGCCAGGGGCTGGGAGGAGGCAGAAATGAGGAACTGCTGTCCAATGAGTATGTAGTTTGAATTATGAAAAAATGAATAGGTTCTAGAGATCTGCTGTACAACATTGTGCCTACAGTTAATGATGCAGTATTATGCACTTAAACATTTATCAAGAGAGGAGATGCCATGTTGAGTGCTCTTTTCACAATGAAAGTACAGTAAAATGAAATGAAATATACAGCAGGCTTTACACACACCGCTTCACAGGCAAAAACTACTTGGGAAACAAAATGGAAGGTCCCCAGAGTCGTGAGGGAAGTAAGGTATGGTACAGGGTCAAAATGGCTGTACCTGGAGCTCTCTGACTGGTCAGGCACCAACCAGCAATACTCTCATGCCTTAATTATAGTTTACTGCTGAGATAATTGAGAATGAGAGCTCATATTTACTAACCAGGATATGAATAGACTGAGAACTTTAAATAACTTTCCTTTAATTCCATAAAAATCTCCATTCTGTTTTAAAGTCTTTAGTACAGATTTTAGATGTAATAAACTGCTAAGATTTGAGCAACAACTATAAGCATAATAAATGGTTTGCTTTATGGGCAGTTTTACACTAATGCCTCTAATAATAATAACAGTAGCAATAACAAAAATGACAGGATTCTTAGGACTTCATTACTCAGAGCATAATCCCTAGAAAGCAGCAGTCATTATCTAACCCAGAAACTCCCAAGAGTTTGCTTAACACTTTAAAATGTATAATCTAAATTAAAGAAAATATGAGTAAATGGTATTGTTTCCCCTGAATTGAAGTAATATGGGATGTGTTGAAAGAATACATCAAGACATTTTTCACTGTCACCTAGCCTGATGACTGACATAGATTAATTACTACATAAATTTCCTCTTCCATTTAATACTGATAAACAGATTTATGGGACTTAAACCACAGTACACAGTTTTGTATTTTGTACGAAATGGATAATCACATTTTAAAACATGTGTAAGGCATATTTGCAAACTTGAAACGTCGTCTTCCATAAATATATGCTGAACGAATGAATTAATGAATAAAAATTGAGGCAAAAACTCAGGTGTGGCTCAGTCATCTGAATGTTATTATCCAATGAAACAGGTCAAAGATTTTTTTTTTTTTTTACGGTTCATTTCTAGCCAATAAGACCAAGGTTCATTCACTTCACCTCTGTATAGAATCCTTTGTTGGGGGCTGCGAGGAGGCAGTAAGAAGTATCACATCTAATCTTTTCCATAATTAGCCAAGTTAGTTGGTACTTCCCATAACTCTGATACCCATAGGCCCTTGCTATTTCTAGACTTGAGTGTCATTCAGAAATATGGTTTAGGCGAGCACTAGGAAAGATACACAGTTTTTCTAAAACACATTATCCAATCAATATTCTACTTATAAAAGTCAACTACACACACTTCAGTCATGAGGTAAAAAAATGAAATTTATACATAACACTCACTTATGTTTATCACTCACTTATATTTATAATAATAGACATACAGGTATTCTATTAAAGGAACTTTTTAATGTTTGACCAGAAAAAATTTCAATATCCCTTTTTATTAAGTTTAAGTTACTGTAATGAAATTAAACATGTGAAGGGAGACTAATACTCTCTTTTAAGAGAAGTAAGAATGAAATATCCATATAAAATACACTGCATTATTCTCTTTGTTTCAATGGCAAATAGAATCAAAAGGAATAACCCACTTTATTTAACGGAATATCTGAAAGTGTTCCACTTATTTATTTCTAATTTTAACTATGGAAAGTACTTGCATTTTTTTTTAGGAAAGAAAGCCAAGATTTTATAAAGTAAAAATCTGCTTTGTGTGCCTTTCCAAATTAGAAGAGAAATGTATCATCTTAATACAGCAGATTCAGTTATTATAAAGACCTACTCCATCCAAAAAATTGAGTGAAATAAAAAGAAATTGACTTACTTGTTAAAGAGAAAAGATTGCCAAGGCTTGCAGACTTGTGAGGTGGTTAAATAACAAACTAAAGACTAGCGAATATGAGCTATTTTGTTTGACGTGCCTTCCATTTAATAAATGCTGTATCAATCTAGCTGTTTCTCTATTTTTAATCATACATTTTGTTGTTGCTCTAAATTTAATCTTACCTTATACATTGTATAATAGATGTCCCTTAAATACATCAAATTTAACGTGTTCCAAAGAAAACTCATAATCTCCTCATCTCCATCCACCTCACTCCTCCTGCTGTGATCAGTCTCTCCGTTTTTGTTCATTGTCCATCATCTTCTACAGAACAGATGTGTCCTAACCCACTTTCCTAAACACATTTTTGTATACAAAATAATTTCCTTTTTTTAATTTCAGAACTCTATTCTGACAAACATTTGGCTTCAACCTGTAATTAAAAACTTAACAATACTTAATAGTTGCCTCAAAGAGCATCCCCTCTTTGTCAATGTGAGACTATTTACATTAATTTACATGTAATTCAGTTTCATACTCATTCACTGGGGTGTGAATATTAGTCAAACGGGCAATTAATTAATACAATCTTTATATATTCACTTATTAAAATGCACCACACAATTCCTAATTTATTGAGAGTTCTCACTAAATCTATGGGATGTAAATTTTGAAACAGCTGCAGCTGTTTATGCCATTGCTCTTGTTGTCCAATAGAGCCAAGTGGACATTCTTTTTTGTTGTTGTTCTTTCCTTGAATAGAGTCGAAATTATGAATCTAACTTTCTCCGACATGTTGTCTAAAAGGATATCATCTTACCTTACTCAGTGTGAGCCCTAAAACTAGGAAATGTTTATCAATCTCTGATTGCAGATCAAGTTTAACTATCAAATACAGATTAACTTTTCAGCAAAAATTTGTTAAATATTCAGAGATAGAAATCTTGATGTTGGATGACAAAGATCACTTGTGAAGAACTTTATTAAGTTTTATTTGGTTGAAAAATCTATAATTTTTAGTGAACAACTATCATCCATTATGTTCCAAGCTTTGTGACAACTGTTTTTATGTCCATTAAAACAGTCCTATAAAATAGGTACAAGTATCTCAATCTTATACATGTCAAAACTAAAGCACAGAGATGCTAAATAACTTGACTAAACAAGATATTGAAGGTGAAGTCTGAGATAGATTTTTAACTCCGAAGTGCATAAACTTTACCTCTATATTATCTGTCTTCAAAAAGAATGATTTTAAAGATTAGGCTTTTTTATTTCAGAAGAAAATATTTTTACACAATTCTAGATTCTTAACAGTAATTTGAAGGAATGAATGTCTGATGATTCAAGAAAAGTGAGGTACATTTTAAAGGAAAAGTGACAGACAAAAAATGGATTTTTGAAAAATGAATAAAGCTGCTTTTTTTTTTTTTGATGGTGTCTTGCTCTGTTGCTCACGCTGGAGTGCAATGGTGCAATCTCAGCTCACTGCAATCTCCGCCTCTCGGATTCTAGTGATTCTCCTGCCTCGGCATCCCGAGTAGCTGGGATTACAGGCGCCCACCACCAGACTCAGCTAATTTTCTGTATTTTTTAGTAAACATGGGGTTTTACCATGTTGGCCAGGCTGGTCTCAAACTCCTGACCTCAGGTGATCCACCCACCTCGGCTTCCCAAAGTGCTGGGATTACCGGCATGAGCCACCACGCATGGCCAAAGCTGGTTTTTAAAAGGGATCATTGTACATTATTATCAAATTTCATTTGAACGTCAAAAATTCTGAGGCAAGAAGGAAATTGAGCCCAGGAGTTTGAGACCAGCCTGGACAAAATGGCAAGACCCCATCTTTACAAAAACAAAAATAAAATAACACTAGCCAGGCATGGTGGTGCACACCTATAGTTGTAGCTACTTGGGAAGCTGAGGTGGAAGGATTACTTGAGTACAGAGAAGAGGTTACAATGAGGGAGGATCGTGCCACTGCACTCTAGCCTGGGCAAAAGAGCAAGACCCTGTCTCTAAAGAATAACAAATAAATAAATAAAGTCTGGACAAGCCTAAAATCAGTAATATTTGGGGAATATGCAAATAGTCTTTGCTTTATTTACTCAATTATTGAAACTATATTCAAAAATAGGAAGTAAAACATGATTTAATATTATTTAGTAAGTTAAACATGTTATAATAATTTGGAAATCCATGTATGTTAGTTAAATATACATTACTATAAAATGTAAATCAGTGTGGTTTGTAGCAGAGACCTGGATTTTTTATCTTTGTAGTGTACCTACACCATCACAGAAAGGTTTGCCATCAGTCTCTAGATTAGGTGCAAATTCATTTAATGTGATCCATCCTATTATCTAAAAGGTCATTCTGTTGTTTTCAGCCTTCATCTAAGACACTCTCAGATACTATTTCAGGAATTTATGACAGCAAAATGATATAAGGTGACAAAGTAGAAATAGGTGCTATGCTGCTTTACCTATATTGAGTTATTTTCTTCTCTCCAGGATCAGATATTAATGATAAATTCTCTAACATCAAAAAATAAAACCTAGGTCATATAAATTTTACACAATCAATGTCAGTCACTCAGCAACCATTGAGAATCTACTATGTTTAGAATGGAACACCTGACTTATAGAAAAAAAGGTAAAAGATTGGTTTTGTAAAATGACACATACAATTTAAGAAAAAATAGGCTATCTATATTAGATAGTTAAAAGAAGATTTTAAAATACGATAAGAAGAGAGGGGAGAAATGGCTAGATTAATTTGAGGATTACCTAGTGTTAAAATAAGTCCAGATTTAAATCAAGTTTATTAATTCTGAAAAAGATCACATCCTAAAGAAGGCATCAAATTGACCCATAAATGTGGATAAAACTTCTGTAAGATAATGAAAGCCCTAGAGAGTAATGTTCAACTCCATTTTCTAATTGGCAACAAATGTATAATATGGGTACACCAGAATATCTAACTCAAAAAGTGGGGAAAAAAACTCAAAAAGTACGAAATGTTGGCAAAAATGCAGACAGCTAGGACACTCATACCAGCTGGTAAGTGTAAAAACTAGTACTGCACCAAGCACTTTAGAAAACTTAACGGCAGTTATGTAGTAATGGTGATCATATGCATACTCTATGATAGCAATTTCACTGTTAGATATATAACTAACAGAAATTTGCACATATGTGTCAGAAGACGTACATAAGAATGTTAGTAACAGCCCTGTTTACAATAGCCCTGAATTAGAATGAACCAAAATTTCCATCAATTGTAGAGTATTTCAATGATAATATAATCACACACTGGAATGAAAATGATGGAACTACTACTAAACATACAACCTGGATCTTACAAACATAATCATAAGTGAAAGAAATTAGACACAAAATAACACATAAATGTTGATTCCACATAGATAAAGTTAAAAACAGATAACAATTAATCTATGGTGTTACAAATCAGTATACGGATTTCCTTTTGTTGGCAGGGGGGATGTTGTTGGAGAGGAAATAGGAAGAGAGCTTCTGGGGTGCCGGTCATATTGTACTTCTCAGTCTGAATAGTAGTTACAAGGGTATGTACACTCTGCTGTAATTTGTCCAGTGATACATGATGGTTTGTACATTTTTATACATGTGTGATAATTCAATAAAAATATCTGAAAAGCTACAACAGCAGTGGCAACAACAAAGCCCATTAACCACAAGAAATAATCATGTAAATTGTTTTCTTCAAATAAATGTGTTGTAAATAACTTCTCTCACTCTTTGGCATATATTTTTGTCCTCTTTTGATATACCCTAATTTTAGGTTTGTTTAATTTTTCAAACATGTCCTTTATGTTTAATACATTTGAGGAAATCTGCTTAAGAAATGCTTATCTACTCCAACATCTTATCAATGGGAATTTTATTTTTTTAACTGTCAAATTTAGATCTATAAGTAACCTGGAATTTATGTTTGTATATGATGTGATGTAGAAATCAAATTTTTATTTTTTCTATGTAGATATCAATTTATTCAGTATCATTTGTAGAAAAGATACTTCTTTGATAATGCAGTACATGGCACTTTTGTCATATGTCAAGAGTCCTTATATACGTAGGTGTGGATCTCAACTATTTTTGTTTGTTTTGTTTTTGTTTTGGATCTCAATTTTTATTCTATTCCCTTGATCTACATTTATATCCTTGTACCAGTACTATACTGTTTTGTTTACTGACACTTTGTATTAATATTTGATAGCTAATGTAAATCCTTCAAATTTGTTTTTCCATAATATAATACTGACTAATTTTGGCCCATTATATTTTTATATAAATTTTGAAATCAGCTTGCCAGTCTTTACCAAAGGAAAGCTAGCATTTTAATTTGGAATGCATTGAATCCATATATCAATTTTAGAGAAAACTCACAGCCTTACAATACTTATTCTTCGATTCCATGAGTAGGGTATATCCCCCTATCCATTTAGGTTATTTTTCATATTCCTCATATTTTACAGTGCAGAAATCATGTGTTTCTCATTATTTTTTTCCTAGATGTTGAACATTTATTATTCTATTGTCAATAGTATCATCTATTTAAATTGCATTTTCTAGTTGTTTTTATTTAATAGAAACATAATTGATTTTGCATATATACATTATATTTTATATATCAATTTCATGTGCTCTTATGTTACATATTGTTTTATATTCAGCAAGTGTTACTAAGGTATTTATTAAGATTAGTAGTTTATCTGGAGATTCTTTCACACTTAATAAGTATGCCCTCTGTGGATAATGATAGGTTTTATTTAATCCTTTCCAAACTTCATTATTTTATTTATTTTTATTGCTTTATTACCCTTGCTCCAGCACAATGCTAAATAGAAATTACCATAAAAGACTTTGTGCACTTACTCCTGATCACTGAGGGAAAGACTATTTATGTGAATTAGTATTTGTAGATATTAACTTTTGAGAATTTAGCTGTCAATCCCAATATGACAACTTGGAGGTGATGCATTTTTTTCTTCCTGCTTTAAGATTTTTCCTTTCGTCACTGGTTTTTCAGCAGTTTTATGATAATATAAGTGGGTGTGATTTTCTCTTATATTTATCCTGGTTGAAATTTATAGCACTTCTTATATCTACAAATATATACCTTTAATTCGTTTTGAAAAATTCTTAGATAATGTATTTGCCTTGCCAATATCTTTTTAAAGATTGCTTTTGTCTCATGCTACTTCTATACACACATATTGAGAATCCAATCACAGGTATAATAGAATTTTCACCATGTGTTATGCACACTCTTCTGCATTTTCCTTTTTTCCTCTCTGTTCTTTAGCTTGGATATTTTCTATTAGTTTGTATAATCCTATTAGATGGTTTTATCTAATCTTTCTTTCTGTTAAATCTCTTTGTTGTGTTTCCAGTTCACATATTTTTAAGTTCTATAATTTCCTTGGACTATTTTTCTATTTTTTATATTCTTTATAATATATCTACTTTCTTGACATTATTAATTCAATCATTTTAAAATTTCTGAAATATTTTATGAAAAATTGTAGAAATTATTTTATGTTCTAGATAATATTATCTTCTTTCACAGAGAATTTGCTTTTGCTTTGGCCAGCAGCTAGTGTTGGGACAGAAAACCACTATCCCGTCAGTCACTGGAGGCTTTGGAAGCTGGGCTTCATTCTTTAGGAGAGCTTGTCTACTTCAGATTTATCCCTATCAGAGTTCATAACTTGGAGTTACAGCTGAAAGCCAGGGTTGTTTACCTACTTGATAGGCCTTGAACTCCAATTATCATCTTATTTTTGGTTAGGTACTAAATTTCCGGCTCAGCATCTCATATTATCAGCTTTGTTCTCTGTTTCTCTTCTCCTGTTCTTAGCTAGAGTTTGCAAATTGCCAAAAACTTTGAGAAGAAAAGAGGCTAAATGCCAGAGCATCTCCCTCTTGCATTTTCTCCAGGATATTGGCCTTTGATGTCCCTTCTGCCTTAGTAGCTTTCCAATGTCTTAAAGAAATGTGTAACACTTCTGGTTGTTTTAGGTGGGAAGTTTGTTCTGCAGTAAGCTTATCTGCCGTTACCAGAAATAGAAACTATTTTGTAATAGTAAAACAAATGTATACTTTCGTACTACAATATTTAGTACTTCAGAGAACAATTGGCACTTTCTGGATATTCTCAACCAGGAGTATGTGGTTGAAACTGCACAGTTTTCTGGAGATGATTTAGGTTCTTCCCTTCTTACTCTAATTCTGTCACTGGTTGATCTTATCCACTCCACAAGCTTTAATCACAATTTCTATTCTGATGAATCCCAAATATTTACATGTAAAGAAATTATATCCCCTGGAGTATAGAACCATAAATCTAAATGCCAACTGGGTATTGACACTAGGATAACTCACAGGTGCTTCAAAATTACATATACAAAGTTGAATTTCTCATCTTCTATCTACTCTTACAAAGCTACCTCATTATCCTTTATCCCCTAGCTCAGTGAGCATCCCCAGCTGTCAAGCAATATACCTGCTAATCATCCTCAGTTCTTCTTACTCTCTCATCCTCATATCTAATCCCTCACTAAGGCCTGATATTTCAACCTCGTTATTATTTTTGGCATTCACCTTTTTCCATTTTTTGGTTACCAACTTGCTTTCTTGGAATTTTAAAACTGTCAGTATTAATCTCTCTGCTTGCAACATAAAGACATATATTTTCCACATATTCCGCCTAAGTAATCTTTGAAAAATAGTAGTAAGATATTGCCATTCTGTTGCTTAAAATCTGTCAGTAATTTTGTAATTTTCCAATTCTCCATAGTCTGTAGGACAATATCCAAATGTTTTAACTGAATACACACACACAGAAACACACACACACGCTCACACACATTTTATGATTCATACTTTGAGTTTAATTGAAAGATAGAACATCTATAAGATGAAAACAGTTGTAGTCAGAGATTCTGGTATGCAAAGTAGGAGAGAGAGCCAAGAACTAGAGGTATAACTTTGAATTATAATATTGGGTTGGTCTTCTATAGATGAGACATAAAGTTGTGAGAGTCAATAAGAACAACTAAAGAAAGATAATGAAAGAACAAAAGACAAGTGGATTAAAGACAGATATGCGGTGAAAGAGAAAAGCATTTCTACAGAAAAGACCCCCAAAATAAGTTCATTGCAGGTAGTAAGATGAACAGAAGTCAAATGTCTTGGGGAGGATCGGATTGGTTGCTTGTGTATGTTAATTAATGCAAAAGGGTCAAAGAGAAGGACTGACTTTATGGCCCTGTAGAACTCTGAGAACAGGGTCAAAATCCAGATGCATTTCTAAGACATCACACTGGGAACGGGGACTTGTAATGAGTTATCTACAAAGTGTAAAAAGATGTGGGTGACCAAAAGGTTGTCATTTCCTCCAAAACAAATTTTCCTGGAGTGAAACTGTAACTACCAGGTATAGTCATTAATAGAACTGCAGACACTAAGACTATGGAACCTTCCGTCTTCCTAACCTTTTCCTCAGGCCAGCCTTAAAGGCCTGTGAAGATCTATTAATAACACTGCTGTTTTGTTCTCTGGCAGCTCTTGGTGCCAGAAGGCTTGGTGCCAATTTGTGGTTGAGCCCCTCCTTGGGAGAAATCATGCCATTCAGAGACAGCTGATAAGTCAAGCCTATTTTCCCACTTTCTTCACTGTATTTTTCCTGTCTGAAGAACTTGTTTATGGATTTGATTTCTGTAGAGATAATAATCACAGGATTCAGTGGTATAGCATTCCTCTATGCATTTTCTCCCTGCACATTTGTGTGTGTGAAGATACTCTTTCTAAATCCCTTTCAAGACAAATTATTAATTGTGATATATTAATTATTCTCCACTGTACCTAACGGTTATCAACACTACAGAGGCACCATTGGTTGACAAAAGTGAGAGCTTTTCTCAACATTAACATAATGAGCAAGTGGCAATGAGAAAATATTTGTCCAATTAGAGACTTTTATATTTTCTTTTCTTGAGGAAATAAAACCCGAAACACATTTAAGATACATTGCTGTTTGTGCATAGGCGGTAAATTTTTTTTTTTTTTTTTTTTTTTGAGACGGAGTCTCACTCTGTCGCCCAGGCTGGAGCACAGTGGCACGATCTCGGCTCACTGCAACCCCCGCCTCCCGGGTTCAAGCGATTCTCCCGCCTTAGCCTCCGGAGTAGCTGGGATTACAGGCGCATACCACCATGCCCAGCTAATTTTTGTATTTTTGTAGAGATGGGGTTTCGCCATGTTGGCCAGGCCGGTCTTGAACACCTGACCGCGGGTGATCCCCCCGCCTCGTTCTCCCAAAGTGCCGGGATTACAGGTGTGAGCCACCGCGCCCGGCCAGTAAATAGTTTTGAAGTTTTATTTAATCCCAGCACTTTGGGAGGCCGAGGCAGGGGGATCACGAGGTCAGAAGATCTAGACCATCCTGGCTAACACCGTGAAACCCCGTCTCTACTAAAAATACAAAAAAATTAGCCAGGCGCGGTGGCGGGCGCCTGTAGTTCCAGCTACTCAGGAGGCTGAGGCAGGAGAATGGCGTGAACCCGGGAGGCGGAGCTTGCAGTGAGCCGAGATAGTGCCACTGCAGTTCGGCCTGGACGAAAGAGCGAGACTCCAGCTCAAAAAAAAAAAAAAAAAAAAAAAAAAAGAGTTTTATTCATATTCATATTAGATAACCATTTGGGTGGCACATTTCACAACACAGATGCACTTCTTAAGAGTCCTCCATCCGTCAGCGTTGTAAAAAAGGAAGTGGCACGTTTGCATGTAGTTCTTCTGAGACGGAGATTTAGGGACAACTTTGCCA
Organism: Homo sapiens; assembly: GCF_000001405.40. Lineage (NCBI taxonomy): Eukaryota > Metazoa > Chordata > Mammalia > Primates > Hominidae > Homo > Homo sapiens. Next base: position 55,240,544 of record NC_000006.12, read on the forward strand.
AGGTGTGTAGGTGGAGAATGGGAGATTGAGACAGGCATATTGGCTCAGGAAGACAAGGGAGTAAAACTAGCAATAGAAAGGAGGGCCAATGCCGTAACAGTGTGATGGAGTGAAAACAAGAAAAAGGAAAATGCCTCAGGATTTGGTGGAGAGTTTGTTTTACCTTTTTAAGATAATACTCCTGGTCAGCTTCCCAGGTTCTTAAGTCTGGATACTGTAATGATTTTGGATGACTGCATTCCATGACCTGTTTCAAGGTAGGTTTTTTGAAAATAGGAGTTAAATATAGGCTTTCTTCCCTATGTATTCAGTTGCGTTTTTTTCTTTTTCATTTAGAAATGTTGTTTTATTTCACGTTCTCTTATTTATATTTAATTGAGATGGTGTTGGCCATTTTATCCTTCTTTTTTTTTGTTTTCTTTTCTTTTTTTATTTTATTATTATTATACTTTAAGTTTTATAGTACATGTGCACAATGTGCAGGTTAGTTACATATGTATACATGTGCCATGCTGGTGTGCTGCACCCATTAACTCGTCATTTAGCATTATGTATATCTCCCAATGCTATCCCTCCCCCTCCCCCCACCCCACAACAGTCCCCAGAGTGTGATGTTCCCCTTCCTGTGTCCATGTGTTCTCATTGTTCAATTCCCACCTATGAGTGAGAATATGCGGTGTTTGGTTTTTTGTTCTTGCGATAGTTTACTGACATTTTATCCTTCTTTAAACATTATTTTCTATCTAGAAAATCCAACTTCAAATAAATATACTCAGTTCTACATTATAAAAAGTATTACAATGAATTTAATGCTTAAAACTCATTCCGGAAGTGACGATGGAAGCAGGTTCAAATGCTTTCACTGACACTTTGTGGCAAAGTGTGGAACTACAGTATATTTTTCCAAGTTGTTTCCTGATATATTTTTTATGTACATAACAATCAATAAATTGTTATGCTATTTATTTATGTACTTATATGTAAATTAAACAACCAAGAAATCGCAAAGTGTTTTATTAAGATGATATCTAAACTGAAATATCACAACTTACTACAAATAATACTTTGTTTCAAAAATAATTTGAATTGCATATAAAAATCACAGTTGCTGTGATTAACATTGCATTGATATATTGGAACTAAGGTTTTTGGAAAAATTGTGTTTTCTTTCAATCTTTTAAAAAATACCATATTTATAAAATGAGTCATTAAGATTATCCCTAGGCATTTTCATTCTGTATTGAAGGTTTTTGAGGGACATCATTATTAGTTCAAAGTGTGTTTCACATTTTGTAGTCTGTCTTACTATGGCAACTAATTTTTTTTTTTTTTTTTTTTTTTGTGAGAGGGAGCCTCACTCTGTCGCCCAGGCTGGAGTGCAGTGGTGAAATCTCGGCTCACTGCAGCCTCCACCTCCCGGGTTCAAGCGATTCTCCTGCCTCAGCCTCCTGAGTAGCTGGGATTACAGGCTCCCACCACCAAGCCCAGCTAATTTTTGTATTTTTTAGTAGAGACAGGATTTCACTATGTTGGCCAGTCTGGTCTCGAACTCCTGATCTCAGGGGATCCACCCACCTCGGCCTCCCAAAGTGCTGGGATTACAGGCATGAGCCACCACTCCCAGTCGGCAACTAATTTTTAAAATTGTGGTAAAATATACATAATATACAATTCAACAACTTAATCAGTTTTAAGTGTATAGTTCAATGACATTAAGTATATTCACCTTATAGTGCAACCATCGTCACTATCCACCTCCAGAACATTTAAAATTTTTTAAAACTGAAACTCTTCACTCATGGAACAATAATGTCTCCTTCCCCTCTTCTCCTAGCCCCTGGGGGAAAAAAAAATCTACTTTCTATCTGTCTGATATGATTGCTCTGAGTACCTCATATAAGTGGAATCATGTAATCATTGTCCCTCTCTGTTTTTACCTTATTTTAATATAATCAAAACTAAATAAATAAGCAAATTCTTAAAATAAAATTGATATATTTAGTACAGATCCTTTTGAGACACTCAGTGGTCCACTAATTATGTACCATATCCAATCACATCACAATATCATAAATTTTATAGTCAATTATTAGTTGGCATTTCAAGGCCCAAGTATATGTTTAATAAGAGACACAATCTTACATATGCAGTTTACATGTTTTTAATCTAGTCTTAGCACCAGCATATCACCTTAGTTTACATTTGTCTAAGTGCAAGTATTGGTTTTGGAATGTAATTTTGCTCATATACAATCTGTAAGATACTAAAACAAAAGCTAGTTTATTATAAGTGAAATAATGGCAAAGGCCATTTTAAAAATATTGTATTATTTTCCCATTTGAAAATCAGTTTAGTCTTTAGCCCACAAAATAACAGGAAAATAACTTAAATCATAAAAACTATATCTGAATATTATTTAACATATTTTATAAAGATATCCTTCTTTGGATCATGGCTGCAGATGTTTTCATGCAGCTTGAGCCACTTTCCATGTCTTACGGAGAATGTGCAGGAGCTATATATCATCAGATTCTTTCAGAGAAAGAACCGGTAAGACAAATGACAGTCTGAAAGATAAAGGAAAAAAATAATTGATATCTTCTTGGCACCTCTGCATTTCAAAAATACTATTTCAATAAAGTCCATGTTAGAGGTGGAATTCAAGAATTCACTGAATCTGCATTCTTGCCTTCTGCTATCCTCTTTTGCCCTCATTTGCTCAATTATTCCTCACTCCTGGTTAATGAAGGCAGGCTTTTAAATACAGACTAACCATAAATTGACTTTAATATTGGTGTTTAATGGTTATTCACAGAACTGATTTAAAATGTGGTATCAAGTTCAGGTCCTGGGATTTACCAAAGTTCATCAGAGGACACAGTACATGGCGAATTGAGAACCATAGCCTACTTTATGTCTAAGAGAATATTGACAAACAGCTAAGTTCTCTGTGAGCTCTCAGATTTCACTCAAAAGAAATGAAGAAAGTAAATTCTCTGTTTAGACTTTGTGCCTTTTTTCTCCTTTTAAAGAATTTGCTCATCGGAAAATATACCATACCAATGGCAGCAACATACTATAAGTTTATGAGCAAATCAATTCCATCCATAGTTACTGCAGAATGTATTATAGGCAGTATTTTTGTTGGGAGAAAAGCAGCAGAAACTTAGCAAAGTAAGGGAAAGAGAAAAAGCAGCTTATAATGATAAAGAGCCTTTGTGCCCGTAGAGAGATAAGAAAAAATACAAAAGAAATCCATAATGATCCACAATAATTTTAGAATGCAATTTATGGCCATGAAGGGTACAACATGTGATTGGGTATCAAAGAAGAAAGAAGTCATGTTAATTTAGGCTAATTAAAAGATATTTTGTGAAGCAGAAAGTTTTTTATTTTGTTGGTTGACCAGTTGATTTTGGACAGTTTTGGATACTATTTAATTGGTTAAAAAGCTATTGAAATGGAGTATCAACCATTTCCAGACAGAGGAATGGCATGAGTGATGGTCTGGGCACGGAATATGTTTGACACACAGTGAAATATCAGATTCACTCTGATGCTCTGTGTATTTTACGGGAAACATTATAAGGGATAAAGGGCAAAAATTCAACAGAAACCCAGTTACTATTGGCCATCTGAGAATTTTGTACTGTCCAGGAGAAAAGAGAGCTCTCATTGAAATGGAAGAGTTAATACAACAAGACATTGTGCTTGTCTGTACTCCTATATATTTTATCCATTAAAGGAATTAATGGATTTTATCCATTTTATGACATTTATTATTTTATGACACTTATCCATTAATGACATTAATGGATAAAACATATAGGAGTACAGACAGGCACAACGCATGGGGAAACTATTAGGAGGTCACTGCAATACTCTAGCTAATGGTTACAACAATCTGACATTGGGTATTTGCAATAGGAATAGAAAGAATATAATAGAGGAAAGAGATATTTTGGAGATTTCAAGCATAATTAATGGGAGAAAATGGAAGCTTATACTTCAGAGAAGCACAAAGTCCAGTGATAAGTTTAAGTTGTATAAATTTAGTGTGCTCTCAGGAGAAGGTGATGTTTACTTTGTACTTTTACAACCTTGCACGGGTGAGTGGGTTACTGAATAAACAAATAAATGTTTGTGTAACACAAATTTAGAGAATGTGCAGTTGTAGATATATATGTAGTTCTGAATAGTCCATTTAAAGACAGATACTAGGTTTTCTTCCAGGGTTTCTAGAGTTTCGGGTCTTACATTTAAGTCTTTAATCCATCTTCAGTTGCTATTTGTATATGGTGAGAGATATGGGTTTAGTTTTGTTCTTCCGCATATGGCTAATCCAATTTTCCCAGCACCATTTATTGAGTAAGGCGTCCTTCCCCAGTGTCTCTTTTTGTTGAGTTTGTTGAAGATAAATTGCCTGTAGGTATGTGGTTTTATTTCTGGGTTTTCTATTATGTTCTATTGATCTATATGTCTATTTTTATACTATTAATAGTATCATGCTGTTTGGGTTACTATAGGCTTATAGCATAATTTGAAGTCAGTTAATACGATACCCACAGCTTTGTTCATTTTGCTTAAGATTCATTTGACTATTTGGGCATAGCCACAGTCTTTAAATATTTGAATGGACATAATGTGAAAACCACACTTAAGATATGTTTAAACGGCACAGTAATATTATCTAACACAAACTCAAAATTCAAATGTATCCAGTTGTCCCAATAGCTTTCTTTATAAATATCTTTTTTTCTTTTTATTTCTTCTTAGGATTGAAAGGTAAATATCCTAGCATCTACACAAGGGAACCGATGTGTGTGTGTATATATATATATATGTATATATATATACACACACACACACATAGGAATACATACATGTATATATACCAGTATACACATAGAATACATAGGAAGATTTTATATATATATATATATATATATATATATATATATATCTTCCCCAAAAGTGTGCCTTGGCTTTTAAAAAAGCTTACAAGATCTCAAACTGTCTTAATAGACTGACAGTAACCAAATCAATCATCCTTCTCATTGTTGCTCTGAGTAGATTGCACCTGGAGAAATGATTGCAGGTATGGATAGCTCACTTAGAGCTATTACTGATAATCTGAAGTGTGTTCAGAATAAAATAACCAGGGTGATGGGGAATGAAAAGCCCATAAGTTTCACATGATGGATTCTGATTATCTTTAGGCTGGAGAAGCATAGGCTAGGGAAGTGGGCATAGCTGTTGTTGTTAAATACTTGAATGAATGCCTTTTTGATTTGAATTGTGTTTCTCCAAAAATATATGATTAAGTCCTAATGATCATTACTCAGAATGTGACCTTATTTGGAAATGGGGTCATTGCAGATGTAATTTGATATGGTAAAGTCATATTGCAGTAGGGTGGGCCTTTAATCCAATATGACTGGGATCCTTATGAGATGATGGCCATGTGAAGATAGAAACACAGTAGAATGTCATGCACTGACAAAGGCAGAAATTGGAGTTATACTGCACAAGCTAAAGAGCACCAAAGATTGCCTGAAAACCACAAGAAAATAGGAAGAGACTAAGAAGAACTTTACTACAGCTTTCAGAGACAGGACAGCCCTGCTGACACCTTGATTTGAGAGTTCTAGCTCCAGAACTGTGAGACAATAAGTTTGTATTGTTTTAAGACACCAGGCTTATGGTACTTTTTTACAGCAGCCTTAGAAAACAAATACAATGTACATATATAGGTAAAGCTTATTCATTCAGTTCCAAGAAATAATTAGGATCTTGTAAGCAGAAACGAAGGGAAAACAGAACATGAACAAGAACTTGCTAGTAATTAAAGCCACTGCAAAATGAACTCAAGGGCTCCAGCAGGTTTTAAATTACCTGGTATTATAAATGTTCAAGCAGGATGAATCAGAGATGGTGCAGAGGTGATTATTCATGCATCAGATGGAAGGTTAGACTGAATAATCTCCAAGTGAAAAAATTATATGATCCTATCTTAAAGCCCTGTCAAATAGAGGTTGGTAGCTTCCTTTTCATTTTCTGCTTCAATCAAGAGGATATATGGATGATATAGCTTGGTGGATAACACTTAAATTGAAGACCTAGTACTTAGTTTTACTTTTACTTACTCTAGTACTTAATTTTTCTTAGGTAGGCCCCTTAACTTCTCTCTCCTTATTTTCCCACCTGTTAAACAGAGATATTAATGCTATTCACTTCCTAGTGTTATTATGATGAAACTAGTTAATAATTTAAAAAATGCTTAGAACAAGGCACAGCACATAGTAATGACTAAAGAAAGAAGTGCTTTTGAACATATATTTGCTCTACTATTGTCTAGATTGTCTAGATATAATGCATTAAGTCTTCCCACCAGTGCCATTGCTCGTGTCCAAAATACAGAGTTAAAAGATTAGAAATAATTGCATGTTTTCTAAGAGTCCTGCGCATTTTCCTAGATCCAATATTGTACTATTTGGACAATTTATTGACCAAGTACCAGAAATATAATATTTTTGCCAATTTTCTCATAACAAACTGTGATAATGTGTATGTCAACTGCTAGGGTGGGTTTGTGTGTGTGTGAATATGTGTGTGTGTGTGTTTCAAGTGTTTATAGAAAATAAATCACTCAATGGCATAATTTTCAAATAATAAAGACTACAGTTACCCTGATTAAGGTTCACCTGAGTTTTGGATATTACCACGTGAGAGTTAGAGGACAATGTGAAGTTTTCAAAATTAAATCCTCTGAAATCCAGGTATCTTGTTAAATTGACATCTGTTGGTAGCTGACAGCCAATTTCAGCTTCAGGAACTAGTAAGAACATTTTCCAGCTTATGAAACTATTAATAAATGTTACATAATTGTCCAAAGAAATCCTCATTCAGTGATTCAAATTTAACAAAATTAGGTTTTATTTATTCGCTATGTAAAGATACTAATCCCTGCATTATTTGGGTGCATGGGTGACAGCTCTGACAGGTTTGTGATGCCCCAGACAAATTCAGTAACTTTCAGTGAAGCAAACCCATGAATAGATGTGATGGCAGCGTGTACACCTATATAATTCCAGAGCTAGTGATTATGTAACTTTTATATACGTCAGACCGAAGGAAGACAGAGAATGGAGGAACTGGGTGTTCTTTCAGTAAAGAGCAACTGAATGAGACAGTACATCTTTTGAACTGGGGATATACTACAAGGCAATGAGGGAGGCTGGCTATGAAAGTATTGAAAAATATGTTTGATTGCTGGGTGATGTTTAGAGGCCCTAAGGTAATAGAAAGGAGACAAAATTGAGAGTCTGGAACTTATATGTACTTTATTACAGTACTCTCATTTTCACCAAAGAAGGCAACCCATGTGGTGAAAAGACCACAAGCATTGGAGCTAAAGCCAAGTTATAGCTGTAGTTTTATATTTTGTGAGCCCATATGTCCTCAGACAAGTTTTGTGAGTTAATTTCCTTTGTCTCAGCTTCCTCTTTTATAAAATGTGGGTGATATCATTGTCCCTTAAGATTGTTGTCAGCATTAAACAACATAAGTATATGAACCATCTAGCTCGGTATTTGGCAATGGTAGGAGCTGAATAATTGTTAGCTCTTACCTTAAAAAATTATTTGTTAAAAGTTCCAAATGCAGGGTTCAGGAGAAGATATGGGTCAAGGTCATGGATGAGGCAAACACTACAATTCAATAAAAATTGTTAGTTCTTAATTTATCTTAACTCAGCAACCGTTTCTTGAGACTCTACTACATATTGAGTACTGAGGGAATAGAAAGATGAATCAAAGACCATTTTAAAACATCTGGCATTTGCAATTCAAAATCAAGTAAAAATAAATACAGCCTTATGATTTATTGAGAAATGTCATGCAAGGTAAATGAACTGATTTTAAGCATGTACTTAGCATTCACACAGATTGACAGATTCAGTGAAAACACGGCACAGCCTTCAATTATTTTTCTTTTTAAATACATATTTGTGGACTTTATAGAAATACTGACAGTGTTTCCTCACCAATACCTATTTTCTTTGTTGAGTGCCTATTCCTTTTTCTTTTCAAATTAGTTTGTGTGGCAGTGTGGAAGAACCACCACATGAGGACGGTAACCAACTACTTCATAGTCAATCTTTCTCTGGCTGATGTGCTCGTGACCATCACCTGCCTTCCAGCCACACTGGTCGTGGATATCACTGAGACCTGGTTTTTTGGACAGTCCCTTTGCAAAGTGATTCCTTATCTACAGGTAATTGTTTTTAATGCTTTTTTGAAGCTACTAAAAAGAATGTTCAGCCATAGCGATGGCCCTTATGGTAAATTAACTAGTGAGTTGAGAAATATATTTGCCTAAGGCATTGACAAACTGAAGGAAAATAATACTTGAGAATTTCTGGAGAAATAAGTTAAGTTCTGGGTAAAAATTAAGCAATGAACTGCCAAATCATCATTAGATGCTGCACAAACATTTTTGCACAACTTTTTTGATTACTAATTTGATTCCAAAAGTTTGATTTTGCACAAACTTTTTTTATTCCAAATTTGATCCCAAAAGTTTGATTTTGCGCAAACTTTTTTGATTCCTAATTTCCCCATTGTTAAATAAGAAACTTGAACCAATTAATGATTTAACCAATTAATGATCTCCCCAAACCAATTATTGATCTTTCTCTTGAACCAATTAATGATCTGCCAGTCCAAGTCATTGAGCATATTTGTTTTTACAAGTGATTTTATTTTATACTGAAGAATTAAGACCTACTTGGTCAAATCAGTGCCATGAACAGGTTTTAGTGTAGATTCTAATTCAAACTACCGGATTTGGAATCTCCGTTCTGCCATTCACCAATTGTATGCTATCAAGCCAAATAGTTGTAATTCACTTATTTAAAAGAATAATTTAAATGAGATCTACCTCATATGGTTGCTGTGACCATTTACTTACATAATTCATATAAATAAGTTGGCACAGTGATTACCCTCTGGAAGAGATGATCTTATAAAAACAGTATATTCTCAATAAACATCAATTATCAGCATCAGAATCATCATTACTAGGTGTTTTTCTTTCCTTAAGAGTGAAAACAGCTTCTTTTTCTATTTAATTGCCATTTCAGTAATTAAGAATGAATACTTTCAGAGATTAGTGTTCTGATTGTTATTATAGCTCTAAAATTTTTGAAACAAAAGATTCATCAGATAATGTTCACATTCACTCATCCATCCTAAAAGATGGATTTCCCTTAGGAATTGGACAGCAAATGAAATGGTGACCACTCTCTGCTTGTCTTCCCATAGCTTTCCTGCACCCTCAGTTTTTACGCCATGCAGTCTCCCAGATGGTGCCTATAATATTTTAAGAAAACAGAAAATAAGCTCCCAGTAACAAAAAATTAGGGAGGGGTCACAAATAGCCTATTACTAGACATTATGCCGATTAGGCTTTTGGAATGAAATGTTGCAAAGAGATATTTAGTTCAATAGTTCCTCAATTACCTCTTATAAAAAGAAGTGAAAAATTTTTAAGGTTAAACATTGTTTATAGAATAGTAAGTGGAAAATACTATAGAAGTTATAAGCTCCATGCATATATTATGTTTAATTATAAAGCTAGTTTGGATCAGCCTGCTGAAAATCATGAATGGATTACAAAACGAACAGTAGCACATTTTTTTGTGTGTGAGGAAAAACTACATGGGACAATAGAGAAAAATATTCTCATAGAGGAAAAGTTAGTAAGAAATGAATGGCTCTGGTGGTGTTTGCATAGAGGCACTAGGAAAGTAATACATTTCAGATAATTCTAATATTTCATTATCTCTGTGGTACTTCCAGAAAGCCTTTTACCTCTCTTGGTTTCAATAACTACCCAGGAGAATATTTTGAGGATTCTCTTAAGTTTTGGGATGGCTGCAGTTGCCCAGAATCTTCAACTGACTGGTAACATTTCATGTTCTCTCTGTGAAACAGAAGATTCCCTGGTGGGAAGTGAAGTGATAAGGGCAGGTGCAGTCATGTGCTAATGCACAGCGATAGCTTTCTGCAGAGCAGGCATCTCAGAGTTTCCTGTGAGTATTTGCATTAGAGGACAGAATGGAAGCAGTGTAACCAGTGAGTGATGCAGAGCATGGGTATCTCTTATAATCACTTACAGTCCTCTTTCACACAGCAGAACTATTTAACAAGTCCTACAGTTCAAGGAATATCCTCATCTCTGGAAGGATTCTGTCTGCCTCTCTGCACACAGTGTCCAATCTAATCAATTCCTTAGCTGCTCCTCTTCTCCATAGAGCAAGGGAAAAAACTACTGGGTAACCACATGATGCAAAAGACTAGATCCATTTGTTACCCCATCTAACATTACTTCTTGATGGAAAGGTGTAAATGCACCAAGAGATTGGTGCACAGGTAAAACTAGTATCTCCAAATTCTTCATATTTATTGCCTCATTTTTCATAGAATGTTCCCAAATGCAATGAACAGTGCCAATGGGCAATAAACATATAATTTAAATTTGAGCAGATTTTCTCCCTAGTTGTGACATTCTGTAACTAATGACTTATATCCCTGATATGATATTTATGTCTTACTGAATATTTAAAAACATGTTACATCATGCCCAGCCACATTTTAAAGTTATTTGGTTGCATTTTAGATTACTTGGACGTTTATTAATTTGCTATAATTTATATGTTCTTTTTCTTCTAAATACAATACAGCCTTTAGATTTATGAGTGATATGCTGTAACGCATTGGCAAATGCACAAAAATCTCAAAAGTCTCACAAATGTTATAAAGCTTAGCTGAATAATTAAAATGACTCTTTTGTATCTTTAATAATTGCATAACTCCAAGACCATTAACATGTATTCAGCTATTTGCTGAACAATTATCATGTATTTCACTTCTCTTCCAACAATGACAAGAGCATTGGTTACTTTTTCAGAGTGATTTTTTTTAACTGCAGAAGACGCCCTACACAGAAAATGCCAGAAAAAAAAGAAGCCAAGTGAGATGTGGGAGGTGGGCAGTGGGTGGTCAAACAAGCTCCCTCTCTTTCAGTCATACTTTGAAACCTTTCTACCTATTAGTGCTTATCATCCAAATCTGTGATTTGGCAAAATTTTCATTTCTCCTTATAGTGAATCTTTAAGATACCTTTGCCGTATCTATTTGCTAGTATAAAACAGTGGACTTCTCTACTAAAGGAAATCCCCAAACATTATCCTGTGCGAAGGGTGCCCATAGTATAGGTCAAAGACCAAGTACCTGAAGGCAGAAGAAAGTTCCCATTATCTCACTCCACTTCATTCTCAACATTCATAATCCACACTAGATTCATTTCTCAAATGACTTACTATTCAACAAACTTGAGCTAATATCAGAATCCAAATGAAAAAGACACCCAGAAGTGCACTCTTAGAAGTTAAAAGCAACAACAAAACTTTCACTTATAATTACTTATGATAAAATGCAATTTTACATCACCTCCAAGAAAATCTTATACATTGCACATAATTGTATATTAATGTGTTAATTGCACAAGCAAATATAGTAGGTCAAACAATGAATATTAGCTCACTGATTGTCAAGGGTTCATTCAATGGATTGGTTCATTCTACTGTTAGATACATCACACTAGCATATTCCTCCCTTTTCTGTGTGATGAAGGGCAGTGCTCCCTGGGTCACTATTGGCACTGGATGTCAGTCTTCCAAGTGAACTGATATGAATTGATTATTATGACCTAATGGCATTAGGAAACACTAGAAATGACATTGATATTTGAACCATGCTACATCTATCCCATTTATCCATGTTGATTAAATTAATGGATTATAAATTACTAAGGCTTGATGAACACTTTGTACTTCTAATTGCTAGAGAGGATTGATATATCTCTAGCCCAGAAGCTATGAAAAGGCGACTGTGCGAATCTATACAACCATAGTTCTATTCCCAGGTTAGCAATGGTATTGAGGGGCCCTAGGTGCTTAACTTATTTGCAGAGAAGGAATGGAGGTTGTAGAGAATAAGGTGATACTGGTTTGAGAAAGAGAGTTGAAGGTACCCTCAGGTAGCACTAAGAAATTTCTAGGAGTCACTAATCAACTTAAGCCCATTCTCATAGAGTCCAGCCCCTTAAAATTACACTTAAAATGAAATTAGCCTCCAATAATTTAGCAAAGGTTAGGCTTTCACTTGTAATTTCTATGAATATTCTTCTCTGAAAAGCAATCTGTTCCAATTAAAATATAGAACTTCAGACTCAAGAATGAAAGATAAAACTAATAGTATCATCATCATTATTATTATTATAATCATAAGAAATAGTAAACACACAGCACTTATATGCCAGCCCTGGAATAGACATTTTCATCTCAACTAACTGTCCATACAATTCCATGGTTAGGTACTATTAATCATCCACATTTTACAGATGAGAAAACTGAGGAATGGAGAGGTTAAATAATCTCCTTAAGATCACTCCATATGTCAGATGGGATTCATGCCCAGAAAACCTGGTTGCAGACTCGATTCCAGCTATACTCTTCTGCCTCTCCCATAGAGAAACAAAAGAATCATACTTGATAAGAATCTTATCCTGTTGATTTACTTCATTTAGCACACACACACACACACACACACGCAACACACAACACACAACACACACATTAGGCCTAAAGCTGTAAAGTGAGTGACTCAATAGTGTGCAGCTAGCTGATCAGAGAGAGAGAACAGATAGTTCATCCTGACAGCCCAGAGACTTTCTGCACTGTTGCACTGGATCTTAGATCTCTTTCACTCATTTGTACCTATAATCAACATATCAACAAGAAAGGTCCTCATGTAAAAGACAGAGATAACTACCCTTTCCACATATTATGAGATCAATATAACCAGGACAGAAAAATAGAAGAAGATGACTGGACTATATCTACTGCCTTCAATTAAGGCTCACCACTATTAATGGATTAACAAATATTTGTTTTAAAGACACATGCAAGTATACGTTCACTGCAGCACTATTCACAATAACAAAAACGTGGAATCAACCTAAATGCCCATCAATGATAGACTGGATAAAGATAATGTGGTACATATACACCATGGAATACTATGCAACCATAAAAAAGAATGAGATCATGTCCTTTGCAGCAACATGAAAGGTGCTGGAGGCCATTATCCTTAGCAAACAAATGCAGGAACAGAAAAGCAAATACTACATGTTCTCATTTATAAATGGGAGCTAAATGATGAGAACACATGGACACATAAAGGGGAACAACACGCACTGGGGCCTTTCAGAGGGTAGAGGGTGGGAGAAGGGAGAGGATCAGGAAAAATAACCAGTGGATACTTGGATTAATACCTGGGTGATGAAATAATCTGTACAGCAAACACCCATGACAGACATTTATCTATGTAACAAACCTGCTCATGTACCCCTGAAATTAAAATAGAAGTTAAAAACAAAATATTTCTTAAATGCATAATGGATATCAAATGTTGTATCAGATATTGGGGACACAGTTGTGAAAAAAACAGAAGCAGTCCCTCCTACCACAGAGCTTTGTTCCAATAGAGAAAACAGATGATAAATAAGCAAATTAAGCAAATAATTTACTACATTATACATGCTGAAAGAAAAATAAATAACAATCTGTAAAAAAAAATGTAAAAGAAATCAGAAGTCTTTTTAAAGGGAGAGGGGATTCTGAGAGTGATATCAGAATCAATATTTCATCCAGTATAAGAGAGCACATTGAACATAATTACATTAACTAATAATGTGGATATATGAATTTTTAAAATTTTTTGTTGTTGTTATTTCCTTAAAGTGTCAAGTTAAAGAATGATTTGTGGCATTGTTAATTATATACAAATTTTGACTGGGTGAACTTACCTAGTTTTTGGAATCACATTGACTAGGCTAGCAGTGAGCAAACTGTCATAAGGAGATTCGCATACAAAATTCTCTTTTAATATGACTCGTAACTTTCCTTGGGTGCTACATGTTGAAAATGCACTGATGTACAAATAGCCCTTATTATTTGAAAATATGAAATAAGCTACCCATAATTTAAAAATGTTAATTAAATATAATTTCAATCAAATTTCTATGTGGTAATTTAGAAGAAAGACATATTATTCTTTATAATTGAGGCTTTTCCAGTTTGGACTAAACATATGTGTTTTTTTTTTTCTATATGAGGGTATGATTTCTTCCAATCAATGGAAAAATTACAGGACAAAATAATTACAGTAATTATTTAAAGAATGCCATATTATAAATTAAGACATTTGGAGTAAAAAAAGATTGCAAAGTTTTCATCATACCTTTTCATGTTTAACAATAAATTTACATTTAAAAGTATATTTCTAATATTTCATTTTTGTGATATAATTTCTTTTTAAATAGAAAGCACTTGCATGGATTGTTTATTTTTGGCAGCTTTGAATTTGCTTATATGTTGTGACTACCTTTCTCATATAGTAAATATATTAAGAGTAATTCTTTTAACAGCTGGTGCTTCTCTATTACTATGATCTTTCTTTTCTCTAGACCGTGTCGGTGTCTGTGTCTGTCCTCACACTGAGCTGTATCGCCTTGGATCGGTGGTATGCAATCTGTCACCCTTTGATGTTTAAGAGCACAGCAAAGCGGGCCCGTAACAGCATTGTCATCATCTGGATTGTCTCCTGCATTATAATGATTCCTCAGGCCATCGTCATGGAGTGCAGCACCGTGTTCCCAGGCTTAGCCAATAAAACCACCCTCTTTACGGTGTGTGATGAGCGCTGGGGTGGTAAGTACCTTATGGCCCATCAACTGACATTTATATTACAGCAGCAAATTGAAAATTGGATTAGCATAGCCATTGTAAAGCTGGGCTTATATATTTTATTGACATTTGTGAATACAGTTTTGCAAGAGCATGAAAACCAACTTGAATTTCAAAACAATTTCACAGAATAACTCTACCTATCTGAATCCTTTGGAAATGTTATCTATTATTTTCTCATTTTCATATCTTTTGGATAGGAAATGAAAGGAGATTATTCTACAATTCAGATTTGATTATTTTAGTTTTTCTTAAACTCTTTAAACAAAAAGCAATATGGAATACAAATCCGATTATGTATTCTGGAATGATCCACGATTTATAAGATGGTTCAACACTGTGTTGTCTAGTGTCAGGGTCCCTAATGGGCTTCAAATACAACTGAATTTTTTCATTTTAAGACCATGTCCTGGATCACATGGTCCTGGGAACATGGCCAGAGTCAGCATGTGGTTCTCTAAGTCAAATAATCCAAATTTGTTTTCTCTATTCATAATACATTATTGCTACTCGCATAATTATTATCCAGTTTAAGAATTATATTAATTATGAATCAATCTGGTTTCCCATCTGACAAGTATGATGTGAAATTTAAGCAATCAGGTTTGAAGGCTTTATGTTTCTTTGGTTAGAAATTCTTAGAGTCAGTCTGAGGTTTTTGTGTAACAGTGAGAATACTGCTATCAACACCTGGTGCTAGCACAAATCTGGGCACAGGAAAGAATGACAGAAAATAAAATAACCCTGCATTTCAGCATAGCATGCACTGATTCCAATATATCATATGAAATATATATTTAAAAAAAAACCAATCTGACCTCTTCTAGGTAAGTATACTAAAATGGCTGATATTTAGAGAATTCATATGTTAACATTGTTTTTTATTAGAAAGATGTATCAAAACAAGCAGTGCACACCAGGGACTGATTAAGGATAATATTCTTAAATATTGTAATCTTTGAATTTCTGTTATTTCCTACCTTGGTGTTTGTACTAGAACACCGAAAGGAAAAAAAGCCAATCACTGATATATTAGGCATATACTACAGGATATATCTACAGCAAGATAATATTTAAGAGAGGCTGGGATTATTTCATATATTGTTGCAAGACCTATAATAACTAAAATTTTATAATTTGCTTTATCTATTACCCCAAATATCAAATATCTGTCTTTTATTGGGATTTACTTTTCCTTTTTAACATTCCAACTTTTTTTTGCTGTATTTTTCTCTGTATCATTTTCAGTTTTTTCCAATTTTCCAAATTAATAGTGCAGACAAAAAAAAAATCAATGGAAATTTCCAAAATGGTAGGAATATTTATGAAGTGTCTTATGTCCCATTCATTTAATGCTCAAACACCACCTTGAGAACTTAGTATATGTCAGGCATTGTGCCCACCTGGAGAGAAACAGACTCTGCTTACGGGAGCACACTCTATATAATAAGGCTCAAAGGCCAATAAACAAATTTTTATAGGGTAATCAGTATTTTAATATATTTATATACAAAATGCTGAGAACACAAATGAGAGAACAAACTCAGTTCTGGCCATTTGAACAAAAGTTTACAGAGGAACTGCTAACATTCCAGCAGAACATTAAAGATAAGCAAAAATTCTCCAGACTGAGAAGAGGGAAAAGGATGTCCAGAAAGCAAGAAAATCCACATCATGGATACTACATTACAAAGCAGAAAGAGTGAATCAGCACTTGTAGTTTCTGGAACATAGGGGCAGATAGTGTAAATAATTGAATTTTGAAACAAGATGGGTTGGGGACTGACTGTGACATGTCTCTTATACGATCCTTTTACACTGGTTTATATTTAGAAAGCCTAAAAAGGTCTTTCTCAGAATCCTGTATTAAACTCGAGACTAAATTTAACCCTAGAAAGATTATATTATTTTTTCAAGATTATGAAGCAAATAGGTACATTTAAATCTAAAGCTTCCAACTTGTAAGTTGGGATTCCTTAAGTTTTATAGGGATTGCTATTAGATAAAATATAAAAATATTTTTCAATATGTGTCAGCAGTATTTTCTCTAATATTCCGGCAATTAGTTTCACTTATATGTTTATGGGTTGCTTTTATAAGCTTTTCTTTTTTTAATGTTTCCCTGAATAATCAAGTAACAGTAACCTCCATTAACAAAAAGATTGCAAAGTCATGGATTCCTGTTCAGTTATTATGATTATGTAAATAGACGTATGATTTTTAAATTACCTCTGAGTGGTAAATATAAATACATAAAGCTCATTTCTACTCTGATATTTTATTACATAACTCTAGCATGGACATTTTCATTAAAAAAAGGAAACAATTGTTGAATATGTAAAAACCTAAACTTAGCCTTCAGAAGTCATTTAAGAAAACTATTTGAAGGTGATTTTATAATAGCCTATAATTAAATGCTTGTAAAGACTAAAATTAAGTATTATTGGACTGAATTGATTAGCTACAAAATCCAACTTAGTAAAAGCTATACAGTCATTTAAATATTAAATGAAATTGCTAAGAATATTTTTAAGAAAAAATAATTCAAGGCAGATTTTTATCTTTCTTATTAGATATTTATTATGATGATTTCTACATAGCATGTAAAATCATTGTTCATGTAAACTATTTATAAGTCCATGTTCGACTTATAATGTTAAACCTTTGTATATGTGTGATTGTCACAACTTTTTAAAAAACCATAGGAAAGTATATTTTACAGTGTCATCTCTCTAAATTCAAATATTTTTAAAGGCCAACTGTCATTTAGCCTGATTTTTAAAACTATTGTAAAATATCTTCTATTTGAGATTAATTCATAATCTGTGTTTCTTATCTTTATTCTAAGTTAAATCAATAATGTAGTTATAAAAGTAGAGAGTAGAATCATAATTATCCTACAACCAATGTGGCAGTGGAAAAAAATTTGGAAAAGCAATTTGGTCAGTTGATACATATCTATCAAATAACTTTTGGAAAAGTTCTGTAAATGCTGTTTTACTCATGGTGCAAAATAACTGAGAACTCTGTCTAACTAAAAAATTTACCAGCAATATGTAATTATATATGGATAAATGATTTCTAAAACTAATTATATTCATTATTGCCTATTACTTCTTCATAAAAAGAACCATAAGCCATGATTTCTGGCAGACACACACAACACTCAAGAACATATAAATAATGTAAATACTTATTTTAATAACCTTTAAAATATACATTTGTATGTGTTCACTGTTTGCTTCAGTCACATCATTTCATACTTCTAAAATTATTAAATTAACCCACAATTTCTTGCTTGCTTGGTTTGTAAATGCATAGTTCTACAGGAAAGATCCTACAGAAAGAAATTCTTTGCTGGGTGTGGTGGCTCAAGCCTGTAATCCCAGCACTTTGGGAGGCCGAGATGGGCGGATCATGAGGTCAGGAGTTGGAGACCAGCCTGGCCAACATGGTGAAACCCCGTCTCTACTGAAAACACAAAAATTAGCTGGGCATGGTGGTGGGCGCCTGTAATTCCAGCTACTCGGGAAGCTGAGGCAGGACAATCGCTTGAAACCGAAAGGCGGAGGTTGCAGTGAGCCGAGATCATGGCACTGCACTCCAGCCTGGGCAAAAGAGCAAGACACCATCTTCAAAAAGAGAGAAAATAACTCTTTTTGTACACTCAATCAAAGTTATATTTTCTTCACTATTCATTCATCCAGTGTTTAATTAGCATGTACCCTTGGTCAATTGTTCTGGACACTGGAGATTAGTAGCATCTCTCTTTTTGAATATTACTGACAAATTGTTCTTTGGTAGGCTAAAAAAAAAAAAATGGAACCATTTTTACAGTCAAAGTAATTATGGCATCTGGCCTATTATGAGGTTTGAAAGCATATAAATATGTGTATAAGTCTATTAATGGGAAGATTTATTAAACATATTTATTAGGGAGAAGATAGTAAAACATATTAAAGATTCAGGTAAACTTAATGAACCCCTAAACTTTGAAAAGACATTCCATGTTGAATATTGGGAAATTATATTTAATTTACTTGTTCATTCAATTCCTGATAAGTGTACCATGAAAGAGGAATGTTTCTAGTTTCTAGATAATTAAGATAACATGCTGGCTGAATAATGAACCTTAAGTCATCTGAGAGAAATTAAGTTTTGCCTGTCAAATATACAATATAACTCTTTAATCTCTGATTTCAAAGACTAAAGATCCACATTTGTTCCTTATTAGTTAGTTTCATATATATATATATAAAATTTATTTAGATTGTGCTTATTCATCAGTTGAGTAAAAACAGTAATTTTTAATGATTATCAATATTTAAAACTTTTTTAAATTAAAGTAATGCTTATGTGAAACAAATTTTGTGTAGTTATATTCTAGGTTATATACAAATGTCTTAAATACATTGAAGACATTGCTTATGAAGTACAGAAAGACTTCAAAGATATTTTCATCACACATAATTTAAAATTTCAATGGCATATCTGAGTTTTTAATCAGCTTAGACTATCATGTTTCCCTAGTTATCTATTATAATCTCCTTATTCAAACAATCTATCCTACCCTGGAAGGATAATTTTGCTTGATCTTTTTTCCATATCAGTGTTCATTATAATAATTTGCATTTAGCAGTCAATTACATATTTTTTCTAATTATTCATAAATATACCAACCACATAGGAGCTTTTGCTACCATCTATTCAAAACGCCAAACTGTTATCACAGTGATGCTATCCATAGCTGCAGTGGAAAAAATTTACCTCTCAAATCTACTTTCCTCTATCCACTCAATTGGTCTTATGCAGACAACAGGGCTTCGCAGGTATGTAAGCTTCAAAGTTATATAGATTTTGTCATGAGGAAAGCTCATGTGACACCTCTTCAAAACAAATAAAAGTTCAAAGCCTCTTAGGTGCCTGGGAAGTGCTGAGATCACTTTCAGATTCCTTTGAAATTGGCCCGCCATATGCTGTGTAGGCTGTGGCACTTCAAAGGGAAAGACTGTTATTTCTCAAGTCAGAATGCTTGAATGTTATCACTTTTTATGTAACTGGCCTGCTTTACAGGATCAACTTGAAAGAAAGTTGGAAACTGATGAGGTAGGTGAGTGCTACCTGGGCCAGAGAGTAGCTAAAAATGACACCTCAAATTGGTCTCTTAGACCTGCCAACACATGCATCCTACTGACCCTGCTGAAGACTGCAGCGGATAAAGACATCTAAACCAAAAGAGAAGATGGGTTTAGAAGCATGAATATGGAGAAAATTAGACTCAAACTCAACTGCATCTGAAAGACAGCCTATGGAAATAAGATTGTGGAGGATATTAAACTCATAAATATGTTAAAATATATCCAGCAAGAATCAAATGCATGATTGCTCAATAAATATTATCTATTATTATGACAATCATCATGCTTATTATTGATTAATCCTGACTGTAAACTGCTCTTATCACAAATCTGATCACATAACCAAGCTTTCATGCTTCTACATCCCCTTTATGAAGTAATGAAAAGAATAAAATACATAGAGGTAATAGCATTATTCCTCAACAATACTATGGGATAAACCCCCTTGTCAATAGAAAAGTCAAAACAAAGTATGTAAATTTTAGAAGAAAAACAAAACAGCTCTGTTGTGTTAGCATTCAATTAGAATTATAATGAGTTAATTACATTTAATATCTATGGAATCTATGCAAGATATATTGCTTCCTCTTTTACATTGCAGTAAAAGTAGGTAGACCATTGTGATATATTCGAATACAAGTACAAAAATATCTTCTAAAATCTACAGGGAACTCAAACAAATCAGGAAGAAAAAATGCAAACAATCTTATCAAAAGTTGGCTAAGAACATGAATAGACAATTCTCAAAAGAAGGTATACAAATAGCCAACAAGCATATGAAAAAATGTTCAGTATCACTAAGAATCAGGGAAATGCAAATCAAAACCACAATGCAATACCACTTTTTTTTTTATTTTTTATTTTATTTTTTGATGGAGCCTCGCACTGTCGCCCAGGCTGGAGTGCAGTGGCATGATCTCAGCTCTCTGCGACCTCCACCTCCCAAGTTCAAACGATACTCCTGCCTTGGTCTCCCAAAGTACTGGGATTACAGACGTGAGCCTGTAATTGGTGTCTGGCCAATACCACCTTACTCTTACAAGGATGGCCATAATCAAAAAGCCAAAAAATTAAGGACATTGGAATGAATGTGGTGGAGAGGGAACACTTTTACACTGCTGGTGGGAATGTAAGCTAGTACGACAACTATGGAAAACAGTGTGGAGATTCCTTAAAGAACTAAAAGTAGATCTACTATTTGATCCATCAATCTCCCTACTCTGGTAGCTACCCAGAGGAAAATAAGCCATTATACTAAAAAGATACCTGCACATGCATGTTTACAGCAGCACAATTCGCAAATGGAAAAATATAGAACCAGCCCAAATGCCCATCAATCAATGAGGGAATAAAAATATGTGGTATGTATATAGCATAGAATACTACTTAGCCATAAAAAGGAACGAAATAATGGCATTCCCAGCAACCTGGAGGGATTTGGAGACCATTATTCTAAGTGAAGTAATTCAGGAATGGAAAACCAAACAACATATGTTCTCACTCATAAGTGGGAGGATGCAAAGGCATAAGAATGATAAAATGGACTTCAGGTACTCAGGGGAAAGTGAGGGAGAGGGGGTGAAGGATAAAAGACCACAGATTGGGTAAAGTGTACACTGCATGGGTGATAGATGCACCAAAATCTCAGAAATCACCACTGAAGATTCATGTAACCAAACACCAACTGTTTCCCCAAAACCTATCGGAATAAAAAATTAAAAAAATACATACATACAAAAATTCAGATTCCCGACATAATATATAAATATATATTATATGTTATATATAATATTATATATAAATATATAATGTATTATAGTTATATATAATATTATATATAAATATATAATGTATTATATGTTATATATAATATTACATATAAATATCTATTAATATATATTATTTATATTATATCTAAATATATAATATATAACTTATTATTATATATTATAATATAACTTATATATTATATATAATATATATAATATAATATAACTTATTATATATTATATATTTATATATAAATAAAATATGTACTATATTAATATATGAATATATCTAATATTAATATACAATATATAAATTTATAAATATATAATGATTATATATTATATAATATATAAAATATATATTATGTAGGGAATCTGAATTTATTTATGTATTTATGTACATATATAAGGTAGGGAATATATATATATGTATTAGGTAGGGAATATATATATATATATATATATCTTCTAGAGCATTTACAAAGTTAGTAATCAATATAATTTAGAAAAGCTAAAATATTAAACCACAATGCCATGAAGTGATTAATCGACTTATTCGTAAGTGTCTAATCTGTGATGTGTATCATTTGTGTACATAGGATTAATTATAAATAAAAAATTACTACAGTCCTAGAGGTGTTTATGCTTAATAAGTGAGAAAATATTCATATTGGATTGGAGAAAATAAATGTTATAAAGCCTTAAAATTCTCATTTTTATTAAAAGTATATACATGTATTTTTAATAAAAGCATACACACACCACAGACATACTATGCTTAAAGAGGAATTTTGTATATGTTCCAATAAGTCAACAAAAATAATCATTGTCAAATTTGTATTGTATTTAGTTTTCAAAATTTTTTTCACATTTGTATTTGGAGATACAACTGAGAATAGCCTCCCATTTCTCAGGGAACTTACATTCTAATAAGGAACAACCAACTGAGTTTATATTTTCTTCCCATTTTAACCAAAGCATTAGTTTTTAGGTTTTCATTGATTCATGTCCCTTTTTGTAAATAAAAGTTTAGAACAACCCAAATTAATTTTGTTAATTAGCCAGATGTAATCAAGTCAAATAAAGGGCCTTTTAATAACTGAACACTTGACTTTGGGTAGCACAAATTAAGAAATAGCTAATGCTTATTTTTCTGAGTACATTAAGTGAAATTACGACTTCACATTTGGCATGTGTATACCCATATACTGAGTAAAATAAGTTGTTAAATATTATGAATTATTTTTCCCCTTTGCATACATAATATGACAATGAAATCATATAAAAGGTAAATATGCACTTTGAAGAAAAGCATTGACATGTATCTTTTTTAAAAGTCCATCAATTGTAACGTAAGGTTTTGTTGTTTTGACTTTCATCCTAGGTGAAATTTATCCCAAGATGTACCACATCTGTTTCTTTCTGGTGACATACATGGCACCACTGTGTCTCATGGTGTTGGCTTATCTGCAAATATTTCGCAAACTCTGGTGTCGACAGGTATATAGTTTCAAATATTTTGCGTGCATTATTCCTCCACACATAATTTGTTATTTGTTATTCCTTCCAAATATTTTGTCTGTGCTTTTTTTTTAGGATGCACTTATAAACAAAATTTAAGAATGCATTGAACCAATATAACATGTTCATAAAAGTATTATATTGTGTGTTCTTTTAAAGTAATGAGAACCCAGACATAGAAATATGTCTAGGCATTTTTAGAGTAATATTCAGGAAATGTATTTTATAAACTGATTAAGTACTTTACATTTTAAATAAAATTTAACATCTGTGATTAATTGTCTTTTGTCTAGGAATAACACTAATTTCGCTTTCTATGAGAAATAGCAAATAAAAATTCCTTTAGAGATTTTTGAGACTCTAAGTCTGAAAGGTTATATTTGTAATCAGATTTATTTAAAACATTGGAACATATAGGTTAAATCTCCAACTTCAAAGATCTTATTTTTTAGAATATTATAAGAATCAGGCAGAATGTATAATTTTAAAAACTGTATATAATGCTGATTTGGGGTTACTACACTTTGTTAGATAATTCTGCTGTATCAGTGAATGTTTGTATTCATTCACTCAGTTATTCATTCCTGAAATACATATCATGAACTTTTCACATACATGTCTCACACAAAAGCTAAAAATTCTACTTTTTGCCATTGAGGAATTCATAGTCTAGAGGAGGGGCATCATCAGATGCAGGGCGAAAATTACTTTAAATATAAGCACAGAGAATCAGAGCAAAATGTACTAAAACCATATCTAATACAGGAAAGGTAACATTTAACTTAAACCTTGATGATTTGAAGGATATTACCAACAAACACATTTAGTGGTTTGTAAGATAGAGACAAAAAGGATATGGCTCAGTCTCTCCCATTTTGTAAAATGTATCTTAAAATGCCACAATTCTTAGAGATGTATTTCTCTCGTTCTCTAAACTTACTGCCGATACTTACTTTATCAGGCTTGTGGAAGGACATGCCATTAGTCTGTTTTCTCTGACACATTTTATCCAACTGAAAAGATTTACTGGAGTCACCTTAATTCATTAAAAAGATTTCACAAACACTTTATTTGGTCTTTGAGGATGTGTCTTTGTTTTTTTAATCAACACTTGTTATTCAAAGCATTTTTCAAGATCATCTTTCACTGACTGGATATGAGCAACACTCATTTTTTTTAACACTATATGGCTCATAATTTCAATATTTTCTCTTTTCCTCTGCTATTACAAAGAAGTCATTTCTTTTATGACCTTACAAGTGAAACCAGTAGCAACATTTATTAACATTTTGTTTCCCATCATTTTTTACTATAAAAACTAATGTGGACCACTATAAAATATGAGTGGTGATTTTCTAGATGTTGGTGACAGTTTTCTCAGCACTCTCCACCTCCCTATGAAGCCAATGCTTATATTTTAGGGTGTTTGTTACTGCAGCATCCTGCTTCCTAGTACCTATTATTGTATCTGTCAGGTTTTGCTAGGTTATTATTCTTCTATTAAAAAATGTGGTTTGCAACAACAGTTCTGTTTCACTCCTATTACAGGTCAGTGGGGAGGGCTGGCTGGGGCACTGTGCTCCATTTGTTTTCTCATTCCAGAACCTAGTCTGAAGAAATGGCACTTTCTGGGACATGGCATTCTGAGACTGAGAGAAAAAGAAAACTGGAAGAAAAGTATATTTTCTTTTAATGTCTTTTATGAACCGGCATGTGTTACATCTCACTTTTCATTGGCTAAAACAAGTCACGTGGTTAAACTTGATCATGAAGAGGGGACACATTCTTCTCTGACAGAAAGACATCACACATCACAGGGTAATGGGGAGCTTCCTACAAGCTGGGGATGAATGATCTGGAATGATACACTATACAGAAGTCAAAAACACAAGGGCCAGACTGCATGAATTTAAATCCTGACTCCACCAAGTAGTAGTGACATGAATTTTGTAAATGGCTTAAATTTTTGTGACTCCCTTTATTAACTTTAAAATGGGGTTGTATAGCATCTTCCTCATAGGTTTGGTACATGCATTCAGGTGTGTCCAAGGGAGAGAACACCGTCGTGGGTTCTCAGTTTCTATTTCTATTTGGGCCAGTAAAACCCCTTCCTATCCCTCTTTTCTGCTTATTACTAGAGACAGAAACTAAAAACCAGGGCTTCAGGCTGCTAAAAGCCTAAAACAAAACAAAACAAAACTACAACAACAAAATAAGGTGGGTTGGACAAGCTTGCTTAGATGAATTAACTCAAGTGCCTAAATATAGACAGTGCTCATTAAACAAAATATCTTAATGGATGTTGTTTAATAATGGCCTCTCAACTAATTGTACTTACATTTAAATAGCAAGCATGTGTTGAATTGGTATATGTGACTATTTTTTAAAAAATGCACATTGAAATACCAGTATGGTGCTTCTTATTTGTCTGGTTCTTCTACTCTACTAAGATAAAGATAGTCTCGCTGTCATCTTTGTATCCCTATAAATAGCACATGCTCAGCACACATCAGTTGCTTTTTTCATAAGAACAAAGTGAGTAGAATAGGAGAAAGTGCTGGGAAAGTTTAGAGAGGACATAGAGAATCTATTGCCCAGTTACTCCGATAAACATTTGTAGAAATGGATTAGAATCTGAAAAATTTCTTGAAGGGGAAAAAGCAATTAATGAGCATGTAGGAATAAAGATATTTTAGATTTAGATTCAGATTTTGTTGGGGAATGTTCAGTGTTAAGATTATCCCCTATTTCCTTATTTTTACTAGTTAGTGTGCATTGTATAAAAGGTATGCTTATAATTTCTTATTCATTTATTTACAAATTGACATACCTTTAAAACTCTTTCAAGGTTGCAATGTATCTGTCTTGTTACTTTTACATGGTAAAACTTTACCATGATACCATGGTTACCCTAAAGTTTACATGGTACCATCAGAGAAAATGTTTTAAAAAGTTTGTTAAATGAATGAGTGACACCAAAATCCAAACATTTTAATTTTCCACCATTTAAGCATATAGTTTGACATTTCCCAAACTCTAAAATAAATTTTAAAATAAATTGCATCACAGATTCATAAATAATCCACATTCTTTTCATGAATTATCCTCATTAGTACAAGCCACATGATTCAGAAGATTTGCAGTAAAATGCTTGGGCTGTGAAACTAAAGTCATTTACAAAACAGATTGGAATGGAAAATACCAAGTTCAGCTGAACTCACTTTAGCAGCCACAATAAAGTGAATTAACCCCAAATGCGTGATTACATAGAATTCTGCTTGAGCAACTCTCAATTTCCAACTGTTAGTGTCTATAAACAAAGTTGTAAGGCATTATGCGTGCCATAGGCTACATCAAGTGAGCCATCAAATGAAGAGCTTGTCCTATTTGCTTAAAATTACAGAGATGCATGAAATCTGTTATGTACTTTTGAATTAGTAAGTGTAAGATTATTAGTGAGCAAATTGTGTGTCCTTGTCTGACTTTCTCAAGAAGTTTAAGCCTCATTAAAAGAATTAGCTAATGCATTGCTGTGAACTACTTAAATTCTCTCTCTCTCTGTTTTTTTTTTTTTTTTTGGCAATTCGACTCAGAGTACTCAGGAAATTCTACAGATTATTTGCTAAAACTTATTTTTTTAAAGAACTTAGCTTGCTTGACTCTTTCATTTATCTGTCAGCATTTTTTCTAGTTCAGACCCTTCATATAATTCAACACTAAATCTTAATCGTCATGTGCTTGTGTTAATTTATTTCACATTTATTAAGCACGTACTCTGTGTCAGCTATGGTGTGAGGTACTGAGGATGGACTGTAATAGATATTTGGGTCTGAAACTATAGTTCAGCTTTTCAGGGCCTTTGAAAGACCTTCTTGTTCCCAGCTCTTATCACAAAGTTTTCTGCTGCTCTTTATTCAGCACTCTTCTAAGGGAACTTAAGATAAATAATATTTGATGATGACAAATCAGTCTAGTGTGAGAAAATAGGCAGCAAACAAATTACAATTGCAGGGGCAGAATCAGGAAGGCAGTAACTCGAGTCCATACAAAAAAAAATAAGGAGCACCAGTAAAGGTAACTACATAGGTAAATACTGTAGACAGAATAAACATATTTATCTTCTGTTATCTGATGTAAAGAACAACTGCATAAAATAATAGCTATAAAATTGTGAAGATTCACCTTATAATGTATACAGATGTAGTTCAAAAAAGGAGGAGGAAATGGAGCTGTATTGGAGCAAATTTGTTTTATACTATTGAAATTACATTGGCATAATCTAAGCAGCTTGTTTAGATTAAGTTGCTAATTTTAATTCCTGGTGTAACCACTAAGAAAATAATTTTTTGAAGAATGTAGAAATATAGGTAAAGTAACAAAAGAATTAAAATAGTATACAGAAAATATTTAACACAAAATAAAGCAGTAGTGAGGAAATAGAGGAAGACAAGAGATACAATATATATAAGTCACAAATAGTAAAATGGCAGATATATATTATATTTTCTTAATAATTAGATTAAATGTAAATGGATACAATACTTCAATCAAAGGGCATAGATTGACATAATAGATAAAAACCAACCAATAATTTAAAAAAACCCATGATCCAACTTTATGCTGTCTACAAGAGACATACCTTGTATTCAGATATACAAATAGGTTAAATGTAAAATAACAGAAGTAGTACTAAAATAATCACAAAAAGGGAGTTAATGTGGTTATACTAAAATTAGACAAAATAAATTTTAACAAAATATTACTATACATAGAGAGGGACATTTCATAATGATGATGGAGTTGATCCATCAGGAAGATATAAAAGTTGTAAACATACATGCATTTAGCCACTGAAACCCAAAATATACCAAGCAAAAAGTAGTAGAATTAAGGAGACAAGTAGGCAGCTAGACAATTATAGTTGAAAATGTTAATACTCACTTGTAGTAATGGATAGAAAACACAGGCAGGGTGCGGTGGCTCACCCCTGTAATCCCAGCACTTTGGGAGGCTGAGGCGGGTGGATCACGAGGTCAGAAGATTGAGACCATCCTAGCTAACATGGTGAAACCTCGTCTCTACTAAAGATACAAAAAATTAGCCGGGTGAGGTGGGGGGCACCTGTAGTCCTAGCTGCTCAGGAGGCTGAGGCAGGAGAATGGCGTGAACCCGGGGGGTGGAGCCTGCAGTGAACAGAGATCGTGCCACTGCACTCCAGCCTGGGCAACAGCAAGACTCCGTCTCAAAAAAAAAAAAAAAAAAAGAAATAAAGAAAAAACAGGCAGAATAGCAACAAGGAAATAAAAGATTTAAACAAACTATGAAACCACTGGGCTTAACAGATATTTTAGAACACTCCACCAAAAACAGAAGAATGCATATTTATCCCATTTGCACATAAAACATTTTCCAGGTTTTCTGACTAAAGTCAGAAACAAGACAAGTATGTCTGCTACAACCATTTTCATTCAATGTTGAACAGAACTGATTCTTTTCAGGGCAAACAGGCAAGAGATAATATTAACAATAATAAAAAATAAAAGGCATGACGATCACAAAATAAGAGGTAAACTATTTCTACTTGTAGGTTATGTGATATTTTATATAGAAAATCCTAACGAATTATTTTGCAAAAAAATACATTAGAACAAATAAATGAGTTCAGCTAGTTTTCAGGATGAAAGATTAATATATATACAAAAATCAATTTCATTTTTATACATTAGCAAATAAAAATTTAAAATGAAATTAACAAAAAATAATTTAAATAGCATCAAAATTAATCAAATACCTAGAAGTAGATTTAATAAAAGAAGCTTAATAAGAGACTTCATCCAGGCTTGATTGCTTATGCCTGTAATCTCAACACTTTTGGGAGACTGAGGCGGGAGGATCACATGAGGCCAGGAGATCAAGACCAGCATAGTCAACGTGGTGAAACCATGTTTCTACTAAAAACACAAAAATGAGCCAGGCATGGTGGTGCAGTGCAAGACTATAATCCCAGCTACTCAGGAAGCTGAGGCATGAGAATCATTTGAGCCTCAGAGGTGGAGGCTGCAGTGAGCTAAGACTGCACCACTGCACTCCAGCCTGTGTGGCAGAGTTAGACTCTTGTCAAAACAAAAAAAATTCTTCAGCATAAACATGTATATTTAGGGAATGTCCAGAAATTATAGAGACATGGATTCCATGCAGCAGTTATAATTCCCTAAAAAGAGAATTATGAATTCACTGTATTGCTGAGGATTCTAACATAACCACCAAAGATCCAGGGAGAAAATTACCCTATTTTTGTATTTAAAAAGATGCATTTATTAAATGATGTGGTACTAGTCTCTATATAGGCAACAAAAATAATGAAAAGGAAATAGCTCTGGATTATTAAAAATAAATAGTCTGTTAATCAAATCAATTAAATAGATAATGTTCCTTCAACATTTTCAAGTCCTATACATGAATATCATTTACAATCATAATTATTAGCAACTTCAATGAGTAGGCCACAGTTATACAAGTTTCTTGAGTCAGTTTGGAACTATTTCCATTCAAGCAACATATAGTCCATTTCTGTAACATTTTGTTCTCCATCATTATATTCAGTCTCAGAAAGGTTACCAACACAGTCCTTGAATCACATGTAGTACAGGTTAAGCATCTCTAATCCCAAAACCTAAAATTCTAGCTGCTCTAAAATCCCAAACTTTTGAGAGCTAACATGATGCCAGAAGTGGAAAAGTCCCCTGCTATCTCATGTGACAGGTCGTGTCAAAAGTCAACAAAAACTTTGTTTCATGCCCAAAATTATTAAAAATGTTATATAAATTTGTTTAAAGACTATTTGTATTGGGTGTTTATAAAATGTAAGTAAGTTTTGGGTTTAGACTTAAGTCACATCTACAAGATATCTTTTTATGTATATGAAAATAATCCAAAATCCAAAAAAACTCACATCTGAAACACTTTTGGTCTCAAGAATTTCAGATAAGGGATATTCAATCGGTACACAACATATACACCTACAATTACAAAATATCATTGAAAAAACTTAAAGAAGGACTACCTAAATTAAAAGATATTCTGTGTTTATGGATTGGAAGATTCAATCTTGTTAAAATAGAAATAATCTTCAAATTAATCCATGAATTCAATACAATTCCTATGAAAATCCCAGATGGCTTTGTATTTTGGACACAAATTGACAAACTGATCCTAATATTAATGTGGAAATGCAAGGGATAGAGAAGAGCCAAAATAATCTTGAAAAAGAAATGGAAAACTTACTTCCTAATGTCAAATCTTAACAAAAAGCCACAGTAACTAAGACGGTGTGGTACTTCCATACAGTTAGTCATATAGATCAGTGGAATAGAATTCATGGTCCAGAAATAAACTCATATTTATGATTAATTGAGTATTGATAAAGGTTTTAACACAGTTCAATGGCAAAAATCATAGTCCTGACAACAAATGGTGTTAAGACAATTGTATATCCACAAGCAAAAGGATGGAGTTGAACCTCACCTCACACCACATTCAAAACTTAACTCAAAATGAATCATAGATTTATATGTAAGAGCTAATCTCTTAGAAGAAAACACAGAAGAAAATCATCATGACCTTGGCTTAACCAATAGGTTCTAAATATGACACCAAAACCAAAAGCAACAAATGACAATGTAGATACATTAGACATTATCAAAACAAAAACTTTTGTGCTTCAAACTGCACCATTAAAAACGTTAAAAGTCAGCCCATATAAATGCAGAAAATATTTGCAAATCATATATGTGTTAAGGAATTTGTATCCAGAATATACAAAGAACTCTTATGAATTAATAATTTAAAAAAATTACAAGTAGGCAAAGACTTGAATAAACAATTCTGCAAAGAAGATATACAAATGGTCAATAAGCACATAAGAAGGTGCTTAACATCATTACTCATTAGAGAAATATTAATCAAAATCATGAGAAACCTATTCACACTCAACAGGATAGATTTGTTTTAAAAGGCTGTAATCATTATTGGT
This sequence comes from Homo sapiens, assembly GCF_000001405.40. Taxonomy (NCBI): domain Eukaryota; kingdom Metazoa; phylum Chordata; class Mammalia; order Primates; family Hominidae; genus Homo; species Homo sapiens. The sequence continues at coordinate 55,271,876 of NC_000006.12, forward strand.
AAGGATGTGGAGTAATTGGAATCCTTCTACATTGTTGGTGGGAATGCAAAACGATGTAACTGCTTTGGAAAACAGTTTGGTAGTTCCTTAAAATCTTAGAGAATTACCACATTACCCACTAATTCAATCTCTAGTTATAGACCCAGAGAACTGAAGACATGTTTACACAAAAACTTACACATGAATGTTCATAACAGCATATAATTCATAGTAGCCAAAAAGTGGAAACAACCCAAATGTTATCAATGAGTAAATGGAATAACTCATTGTTCTATATGCAAGCAATAAAATATTATTCAGCTACTAAAAGAAATGAAGCACTGATATATGCCACAAGATTGATGAATCTTGAAAACATACTAAGTGAAAGAAGCCAGGCACAGAAGGCCACATATTACATAATTCTATTTGCATGAAAATGTTGAGAATAGGCAAATATATAGAGCCAAAATAATTTGTCCTTGGCACGGGCTGGCAGAATGGGACAATGAGAAGTGACTGCTAATGGATTTGGAGCCTCATTTGGAGGTGATGAAAATGTTCTAGATTAGTTAGTGATGATGTGATAGTTGCACAACTCTGTGAATATTCTAAAAATCATTTTTTGAACCCCTTAAAGCAGTGAGGTTTATGGTATGTGAATTATATCGCAATAAAATGTTTTCTTTTAAAAAGAAAGAACAAAAATGATGGGATATTTTAAAATTTTAAAAATTGAAGACTTTTTTTTTTTTTAGAAAGTTCTGCTGCTGAAACCACAGGGAAGCAAAAAAGGTTGAACACACAATTTGACATGTTAATGTAATGAGAGACTATAATAGGAATTATCCACGGGTTGTTTTATCTGTACTTTCTGACTAAAGTTTTTTTCCGTACTTCTATAGACTTTAAAATGGTCCATAGATGTGCAAAAAATGAGAGAACCTATTCCATGAAACCATATATCAAGTCCCAGAGAGCAGAGGGAAAACCTTTTTTTTTTTTTTTTTTTGCAAAGAAGAAGTCATAGACTGTGTGAAAGAATAATGTTGCGAGACAACAGATCTGGAGTTGGACAGGGGCAGGAGGCATAGTGAGAAGATCAGTTATTGCAGTTGTCATCCATAAGGGCCATCTGTACACTCTGAAAGTGGAGCTATTCATAGTGAGAATGATGTTAAGAAAAGGAACAAATAAAATTACAGTCCTCGTTATAAGAATTTAGCATGCAAATCTTATCAGAGCAGTACTGAGGTAAACAAAAAGTGTCAAGAAATCATGGGATTTAATGTGAAAAACTCCCTCAGTGTTGGAATACAGTCATCTTCATATGGTGGTGGGTGTAAGGGGCAAGGAAAATTTTCATGGTCCCTGCTGAACAGGGAAATGTAAGGGGATTATTGTTTCATAGAAGACCGCCAGTGCCTACCAAATATCTGTTATACTCTATTATGATGAAATGGGTAATAGGTTAAGGAATACCATAAGGGGAAAGGAGACTTGTCCTACAAGTTTCTTAGCACTTAGCAAATGGAGCAGGCATTTGCTATGCATTAAAAAATAAGCATCATCCAAACTCTCAGACTCATCCAGCCACAAACTTAACTTTTTGTTCCTCCTCCTCCCAGATAAAATTCTCGACTTATTTCCATTTGTCATCTTTTTCTCACTAACCGCCACCTCCACTGATGTCTCAGCCCACTTCAGTGTAGCTTCAGCTTTCATCATTACAGTGAAACAGCTTACATGAAAGTTACCAATGATTTCTAAAGAATATATATTTTTAAAGTTTATTTATTGATCTTTTGGCAGCATTAAGCAATGTTGTTTGTGGTTTCATTGCTCATATACTTTCTTCCTACTTTGATTTGAATACTTTTTGCTTTGAATACTTACCTTTCCTTCCCTGACCAGTAAATGCCACTTTGCTAGGTCTCTTCACAGCTCCATGCTTTTTTTCAGGTAGTCCCTTGCCCAGGTACTTTTTAAGTGAGGTGAGTATCAAATATATATACACATCAGACTAGTCCTCTGGGATACACACAATCACAAATACACTTAAACACTCAATGTACCTTTATTATAAATCTTGAAATGAGTTTTTATAAGTCTTGCAACCAAAGTTTAAAAAAGAATAAATTCTTTTTTTAAATTGCTTTGGCTATTCCAGGTCTTTTGCACTTTCATAAAAAATTAAAATTAGTACTTTCATTTCCAGAAAAAAGACTGTCGTGGTATTGAACGTGATTAATTGCATTAACTCTATAGATCAATTTGGGGAGAATTGCCATATTAACAATACTAAGCCTTTTAATGCATGTCCACAATGAATATATTTATTTAGGAGTTCTTTATTATCTCTCTGCAATGTTTCATCATTTTCAGTATATATATATATATATAATGAAATATATATACTTATACATATATTTTATGAAATATATATACTTATATATATATTTTATGAAATATATATACTTATATATATATTTTATGAAATGTATGCCTAAAACACATTCTTTTGATATTGAAACTTTTAAAATTTAATTTTCCATTTATTGCTAGTATGTAGAAGTATAATTGATTTTTTTGTTTATTGATTTAATGACCTGCTCCTTGCTAAATTCTTTTATAAGTTCTAGTGGGTTTTTGGTAGATTCTTTAGGATGATCTTTGTAAGCAATAATTTCTTCTCAATAGAACCAATCTGTAGGCATTTTATTTATTTTTCTTTTCTTCTTGTATTGGCTCAAAGTCCAGTACAATGTTGAGTACGAGTGGTGAGAGAAGACTTGATTTTTTGAGTGGTAAGCCAACACTGCATTGCTAGAATAAATCTGATTGAGCAAATGGTATTATCCTATTTATATATTGCAGGATTTAATTTGATAACATATTTTTAAAGAGATTTTTATCTCTATTCATGAAGGATATTTAGTTGTTAGCTGTCTTTTGTTGCCATATCTTTGATTACAAAGATAAATGTGACCTCATGAAATTTGTTGGAACATATTATATTTTCTGTACATTTCATTAAAAGTCTGAACAAGATTGGAATTATTTATTCTTTACTGTTTGATTGAATTCATTAATGGACCTATCTGGGCCTGGAGATTTTCTTGTAGCATAGTTTGTAAGTACAGAGTCAGTTTTGGTCATCTTTGTCTTTCAAGGGCTTTGTCCATTTCATGTAAGTTGGCAAATTCATTGTTTATTCATAATGTTTTTAATGTTTGTAGCATGTTTGCCTCTTCCTCATAACTTTATCCTGGTCACAAACATTTTTTAAGACAGAGTAGGTTTTAAGGTCCATCATGTACATGCTATTTCCAATTCATAACTGTGGTAATACATTTTTCAGGGTGTATTTTTGCATTAAATATGATTTATAAAGTTTATTCATAATAGTGAAATAAAAGTGGGGTGCATGTATTTTACTTAATCCTTCTCAGTGCCTGCTTGATTGAAACCTCTGAGATTTACAATAATGTACTTTTAGGGATGCATTAAGGATTACTAGTGCATAGTTCCTGGAGCTCAGTAATGTCAGTTATTCCTCTTAATTTTATACGGAGTTTCTCTGAATTCTCCATGTCTCTAGACAGCTTATCAATGGAGAAATTTATGTGTCCTCAAAATGAATGCAGGATTCAGCATCTTCTATCCTTATTTAGATCATTATCTAAAAAGGGCATCACTACATTTTTTTTTTCCCGATTTCAGGGACCATAGCTTTCTCTTTATGAAAACTGTATTTTTTTTTTTTTTTTGAGATGGAGTTTTGCTCTTGTTGCCCAGGCTGGAGTGTAATTGTGTGATCTCATCGGCTCATTGCAACATCCACCTCCTGGGTTCAAGCGATTCTCCTGCCTCAGCCTCCTGAGTAGCTGGGATTACAGGCATGTGCCACCACGCCCAGCTAATTTTGTATTTTTAGTAGAGGCGGGGTTTCTTCATGTTGGTCAGGCTGGTCATGAACTCCCAACCTCAGGTGACCGAAAACTGTTTCTAATGGCGGCAGAAGTCATCAGATGCAGAATGTAGATTCTCTCCTTCAGGGGAACAGTCAGTGATAGAATCACTAAAATTTAATTGATCTATCAGAGATCATTTAGAAGACAGTTCAAGATCATTTAGCAGACACATACAGGCTTTTCATGATAGGAGTCTCCTGGAACATTCCAGCATCCATTGCTCATTCTTTTCAGTTATTTTTTAAAATTGCTTTTTAAAATGAGAGTCACAGAAGAGAAAGTTCCTATCTCTCCCCAACCAGTGGGTTAAAAGATTGAGTTGAACCACTACTATGTAAAAAAGATTGTCTACATGACAAGACATACAGAGTGAGAAGAAAAATAATTTATCCGATATTTTCCATTCAAGGGCAGGTCTTTGTTAACATCATTTGCCTCTTCAAGAAAGAAAATGGTCAAAGGAAATGTCATATTAATTTATCTGTGTGGACATATAAGTAAAATTCTGTTCTCAAATTAAAGATTATCGAACAGACTTTGATCTGGTGGTGTAAAAAGCAACAAAATCTATCGAACATCTATTCTGAGAAACCACAAGGACACATTGGTCAGTACTGGTTTGCCGCACAGAGACAGAAAGTAAAAGCTGAATAATCTTAACAGAGCTAAGGTGGCCTTTTCTTGTGTTTGTTGGCACATTTTCCTCTTTAAAAAATTATGCATGCTGAATTTTATTGTTCTGTTCACTAAACCCTATCAATCTTCATGAGCTTACAATTAAGAGAATATTGTACTTGGAGGGATTCCCTGCTATTATCAAATAACTTTGAAAAGAAATGGAAAAGTACAAGTTGTGTAATTACTGTTACAAATTCCAGCTATTTGAAATATTAATGTAAGACCGCAAAAAATCCTCAATGGGTTTGTGTGCATTTTAAAGGGCTGGACCACAAAACTGATTTCAAACAATTTCATAACTACAAATAGTGAACAACAAAAAATACTTGATTTTTTAAAAATATCCTTTCATTCAAAGGTTTGCTTTGTCCGAACTCGAGAAGCAGAAAACCTGAAAAGCTACAGGTAGTTAAGTTCTATCTCTCTGGCAGCAGATGGCAGTATTGATGCGTGAAAAATCCATAACAGGTTGCTTGACGTTACTTGCTGGGTTTTCCTCTGCTTTAAACTTTGGTATCTGAGCTGAACAAAAATTCCTAATAAGATAATATGGCTGACATCCCTTTATCATTCTCCTTTCCCAAGCTTTGTTCTTTTTACAAGGAAATATCTTTTCCACTTGCAGCTTTCTTTAGACATTGACAAAATTTTGATGTTTTAACTTTTTTTTCCACACAAACTCCTATTTGGTATTCGTCTGAATTAACGCCAAGCACATACTAAGGTCAGCAAATGCTCTGGAGAAACAGGCGCTCAAACCTCCCACACCTCAGGCGTCTGGAAGCCTTTCCTTACTGTGTTTTCTAATTACTTCCCCAAAGTGGAACTTTCCTAAGTCAAATTGCAATAAGGGTCTGTCTCTTCTCCTTTCAGATCCCTGGAACATCATCTGTAGTTCAGAGAAAATGGAAGCCCCTGCAGCCTGTTTCACAGCCTCGAGGGCCAGGACAGCCAACGAAGTCCCGGATGAGCGCTGTGGCGGCTGAAATAAAGCAGATCCGAGCCAGAAGGAAAACAGCCCGGATGTTGATGATTGTGCTTTTGGTATTTGCAATTTGCTATCTACCAATTAGCATCCTCAATGTGCTAAAGAGGTAAAACTTATCTGTTATTTGAAAATGAAATAGCCTGCCTTTTCTTGATTCTTAATTAACTTTTTTTTTTTTTTTAACTAAGCCAGAGAAAAATCTAAACTTTCTGCTTAGATACCTTGTCAGGCCAGATGACTCAGTTATGTTGTTACCAGCAGGTAAGGCGAACAGCCTTTAAGAGTGCTCAGACATGTGCTTTTGTCATGCGTATTCTCAGTTGCATGGCAGACATAAAACAGATGTTTCTCCAATCTCTTCAAGCTAGTTGCTAAACCTTAGATGCAGACAAAGTTCTAATGCGTAACAACTCATTTACAGCTTGCAGTTCTTTCTTGATGAGAACAAACGGGTTTTTCAAAACTTCGTTTCCAAAAACATAGGCAATTGTGAGAGAATTATATCTTAAGGATAAAAAGAGATAAGAACCTTATGTTAGTATTCTAATTATACTTAAAAGTGCATTGGCGAGCACTTTTTAAAAAAAGCCATCAAGGCAGATATGTATGTCGAATGTCTAAACAGAAGAATTCATTTCCTGAAGTCACTGAATGAAGCTCAGGGCAGATAGTAATAAAAATCAATGAGGGAAAGTATGCTATTTGCTACAATGCAGGCACAACTATTAAGTTAAAAATTTTGACCCATGACATGAGCAGCAGATGCAGAGGCAGTGGTACACACTAAACTTCATGGCCAGCCAACTTTATTGGGAATTATCGAAACTGTTCCACATAGACTGGTCCCAAGGCAATACCAATTCTTGTTTACAACAGGCTTCGAACTTAAGCTAGAATTGCTCCTCTCACTTTGGCCTGATTCAGAATCAATATTATATTCCTCACAGCTGGGAACTCTGAAGAACAGCAGCTTTGGCTGGAGTCAGAAGAAGTGGTATAATCAGCCGCAAAGGGTTCTCATTCTCTTTGGCCCCTGTTTTTGATGGTTTAACGGCTTTTTCAATGGAGAAGAAATGGAGAACAAACTTCTGTTCAGTGATACTATTTACTACAGTCACAGCCTTAAAGATATATGATTTTTTTTGTGGCCTGGGTCCTTGAGACATATGCCAGCTCACAAGAAAATAGAAATTATTTTGCCCTCCATATCTTTTTGTGCTTTGCTTCTTATTAATTATTATTATTATTATTATTATTATTATTTTTGCTAACAGAAATTTAATACAAATTTATTATGGCCACCTGCTAGATACTCTCTTCTGCTTTTAAGAACTTTATAAACATGTTATGTTACTGGATGGGTTTTATTCTTTCTTTCTCTTTCTAATCTTTTTTCTCTTTTAGTCAGTCTAAATTCAATGAAAATTGGATTTACCTCTCTCTGGGTTACGTATTTGGATTTCCTGTATCTCAGAACTTGCTCTTTCCTTTTATTTCCAACTACTTTTTTTGTCAATAATATATGTCTTATTCTTCTGACTCAAATCCCTTCCTTTCCAAGGAAAACAAATAACTTTCAAAGGAGCAAGGCTGTGTTAAATTTAAGATATTTCAAGTTTTGGGGCATTCTACTCTTTTCCACAACATAAAAACTTTTGAAAAAAAGAACTTGAAAATTGTTTTTCTTGTTACCACACACATTTTTTTTCAAATGCTTATATTTATTTATCCTTGCATATGAAATTTGTTTTTTCTTTCTCCCACAAAAACCATTCCTAGCTTTTTCTCCTTAAAACTTAACTTTTTGCCGAATTAGTCAAAAGCAATTTCTTTACAACAGTTCAGGTTTGTCCAAGATTTCAAAGACATTTTGAGGTAAAGGGTCATAACATAGTACAAATTTCTTTTGTCCGTATTATTTCACTCTATATAGTATTTTTGTAAAACTCTAGTACTCTTTATACCAGAAATGGTATAAGGTACACCTTATACCAGAAATGCATTGTTGTCATGCCTTCTTGCTGTAACACACACACACACACACACACACACACACACACTGATACAGACAATCGAAGATGGAGACTTTAGCAGGAAATATATATGATTTTTGGCCTATAATCTTATTGAGTAGCTGTAAGTTATCTGTTATAGGTTAGTGATTAGAATTTATAGATGGAATATTTCTAAGTATGGAGAAAATTTTTTAATAGTCTTTAAGGATAGCATAACAAAACATTTTTTAAAGTTTAAAATAATACATGAAAAATTAACACTCATTAATTTTTAAAAATTACCAAAATTCTGCCCATCGAGAACTGTTTCTTCTCTGGGTATTAAGGAGTCCCAGAAGGCAAGTTTCAGATAGTCCAGGAAGATTGGAGTTGAAGGCATATGATACTTTGATCAATACATAAATGAAAGTAGGAAGAAGTACTTGAAGACTATCATTTAGGAGTGATTTTTAAATGATACACATAATAGAATATTAATACAACATTATTCAATTGTATTTAGAAAGAAAATGAAATAAAGAAGATATATATTCAACTTCCATATTCTTATTTACAAGAAATACTGCATCTGCTATTTGTGGGAGGGAGAGACCCTTCTCTGACCTGATTTGGCTTTTGATTTATTGATTGTGCTGTGGAGGTTCTGTTCAGGCACTGAAGTTATTCTAAACCAATTATGGGGTCAGAAACCAATCTGTGGTCAATTCCTGCAACTGAAGAGGACAGGAGTCAGACCATCCTCTACCAATAGCCTTGTTCACCTTTGAATTTAATTATTTAAAAGACACTTTTCTGTTGTTTCTTTTCCTGCAGAGTATTTGGGATGTTTGCCCATACTGAAGACAGAGAGACTGTGTATGCCTGGTTTACCTTTTCACACTGGCTTGTATATGCCAATAGTGCTGCGAATCCAATTATTTATAATTTTCTCAGTGGTGAGTTTTCAACTGTTCTTCCATAAGCCACAATTGTAACCAAGGATGAGGAATCAATGAACACTCTTCAACTATATGAGGAGTTTAGTTGCTATGTGAGTTGTATTTTTTCCCTGACCTGATTTATCTTGAGTTTCTTCTCTTTTGAGGCAAAGTATTTGTTACTGAACTCATCAGAGAAAATGAACTGATTTTTCCATGTCAAACGTATAAGAAATGTTATAATAGAAGAAAAGTAAACATTCTGAGAAATCAATAACACAAAATCTTACATGACATACTTTAAACTCATGATTTACAAAAATATAAAATACTTTGTTCTGTTTTGCCTTGCTATATTATTCCTTTGCCAAAATGTGTAGCCTAATTGAGACAGAATTGGGATCTATTCACTTTTAGATATTTTACTATATTTACGTTTCTCTTGTGAGTATCATCTCTTGGATTTATCTCAATATTTCCCACTGACTACCAAAAATAGTATTACTCCAAAATAACACATAAGTTAAATGATACACACATACATATATGTGTAACTTATACAATTTGTATCTGTTTATGGAATCAATATAATTATAAAAGTCATTTAAATCACTATTGTTTATTCACATTTTGCCCGACTGACTTTTAGAATTATGTTTTAATTAGCTACCTTTTTACATTGCCTTAATCTCCAACTCATTGGCGATTTCTTTGTTATTTCTATCTTCAAATATATGGTGATTTTATGTGGAAGAATAGAAATTCATTTTGTGGCATATTTAATAAAGCTTCTGCATCTTCCAACTTGATCTTTGGCCTTCTGGTTTGCATAGGTTTAAAAAAAAGGCAACAAATTAGATTGATGAGAAATAATTTTGTTCTATTTAAAAAAAAATCTAGCACAATGACTAAAGCTCTGAACCTCGCACTAAGCAGGTAAAGGCTATGAGGAAGTTGTAATGAGAAGTGTTTGAAGCAGAAGTCACAGAACCAGGTCAAAGTCCTAGTATGGAGGATAAAAGTGAGTTAGAGGAGGCAACTGATAATCACTGATAACTCATTATGTGACTGCTATTGTGCTGGGCCCGTGAACATTCATCTTCTCATTTAATCACTGATAACTCAGTGCGTAGCTGAGGCTAAGAGAGAAGAAATGATTCGCAATACTGCCATTCACACTAATAAAAGTGATTCATTCATTCTCATAGTTCTCCAATATCTCCTCCATAATTTAAAGACAAGGAATAGCTTCTACAGTATTTTTCCCCCTTCAGTTTTTGTTCTTTCTTATATAGATTATGAAACTGAAAATTTTCTGGATATTTGAGTGTATGTTTCTAGGTATTTTGTGGATTTAATTGTTTCAGTATCAGTTATTTAGAGTAAAATGCAGGAGTAATTTTTGTATAATTTTGGCTTTGTATGACATAAGTTTCATTGTGTTTAATTATTAAATATCTCTGAGAGTTCTTCTACTGATGATCACTTCCATTATAGTTATGTAGATAAAATATACCAATATGCGTAAATATATGAGGTTTGACTATAAAGGAATGAAGCAAATTCCAAGCCCCATATGTGAAAGGCAGCCTCGTTATTTTATGAAAATATTCATTGTTTCAAGAGTCTACCAAGCTTCCAATAAACTCAATTTCCTTATTCTATTTTACCCATCTTTGCAAAATATTACACCTCATTGTTAGTTTGGCTCAAGGGAGCAACTCAGTTGTACCCTATTCATAATTTGTTGAAGCATTTATGTATAATTCCTTTTCCTTTCATTCTCTCTGTTTGCCAGGAAAATTTCGAGAGGAATTTAAAGCTGCGTTTTCTTGCTGTTGCCTTGGAGTTCACCATCGCCAGGAGGATCGGCTCACCAGGGGACGAACTAGCACAGAGAGCCGGAAGTCCTTGACCACTCAAATCAGCAACTTTGATAACATATCAAAACTTTCTGAGCAAGTTGTGCTCACTAGCATAAGCACACTCCCAGCAGCCAATGGAGCAGGACCACTTCAAAACTGGTAGAATATTTATTCATATGACAAGGATACCTGAGTAAAACTATCCTTTTTAAAATCACTGGGAACAGAAATTTTATTATCCTATGATGTGAAGCTAAAATTACTTGTGGATCTTTTTTTTTTTTAATCTATTGCTCTTTGGAAATAAAAAAAAAGTCAGTTTAAAATGATTTCTCAACTTTTGATTTAAATATGTTAGAAGTTTAACCTTCAATTGAGCTTATTTCAGGCTATTTCACTTTTAGTTTCATGTATTAAAATGTGTCAATTAAATGTTTAAACATTTCTAATTCTTTTTATAATCCCTTGTTATTTTAATCTCTCACATTCAGATTGGTTCCTAAAAATTACCAGAATCTATCCAATGATTTTTTTTGCTACTAAAAGAAGTAGCAATTACTAATTCTGAATTAACAATAGACATGTTAGTTGACTTAATAGTTTTTTTAAAAAAAATCACAAGACTGTTGTTATAATGTGATATCTGAGAAAATATTTATATATAAAATAGCATATTGTGTTAGGTAATTCAAAAACTATCTTACAAAACTATATACTCACTCATTTACACAATTTTCTCAGGTTTGCAAATTGACCATTGCTAACATTTCTTGTCTCAACATATGGCCAGTAAGACTCTATCACAGTAAAAGTTTTAACGTAATTTCCATCTCTAACACTTTAACATTTAAGAATAAGCTAAATCACATCATTATATTCTTTTAACAACAACAACAAAAAGTGATATAGTCAGCCTTGCTGGATTAAATTAAAAATGCACCACTGTGCTAGGTGCTAGGGAATGAGATGGCGTCGATGCAAACATGCCTTCAAAAGAGCTTCAGTCTAGTGAGGGAGACATGTTGACAGAGTGCAAGGCAGCAAACAATCTGGGGGACAATTCTTGGTCATGGCAGAGCAGTGAAGCTACCAAGGACAGTGGTCTTCACCAGAAAGTTTGTAGCGCAGTTGCACTTTTTTTTTTTCTTCAATTTAATTACAATGACAGTTGATGTCAGTGGATTCCATCTGGGCCTGGGGCTGAGTACCAGGTGGTTAAAAAATAGAGGGGCTTGCTCTTAACTCACACATACATGAATAGACTATCGTATATTTTGTAGAAAATGTAAGATCTGGGAGTCAAAGCACTGAGTATTCAAACTTATTCCCCTGAAAAATTCTTCTGATTCAAATATTTACTTGAAAATTAAACTAAAAGTAAAAGAAGTGTTTATGAAAGATGATTTTCATCTCCTATTATGGTAACAGGTGTTCTGATTGTATTGAAACAAAAGATATGGGGCACAGTGTTTAAGAAAAACTTTCATAGAAAATTAATTTTTGTTATTTTTTCATTTTTCCATTACACTCAGAGAAAAGTAAAAGAGCCTAATTATCCACAACTTGTTTTCAAATCTTGGAATTTGGGATTCTGTTACCTTGTGCCTTTTATGACTCAAAGCAAAAACTATCTTCTTATACAAGGTTTATTGAGATCATATTGTAAAATATCAGCACTATATCAGTGAAAGCAAGGTATTTTAACTCTCTCCTTTCTCCCCTTTGTATATTTTAGAACTTCTTTTCTTATTTATGCTGCATGAAAGGAGAGTTGTAATTTTCGGATCGTGATGACAGCACTTTAAAAAGTTTGAGGATAACTTCAAATAACGTTGATAATATGCCTTAATAGCCAGTAATAGCTCAGAGGAAGAGTAAATTCCTTAGACCCAAATATACCTACTTATAATTTAAAAGAGAGAAAAGGGAGAGAGATTGAGAGGGAAAGGGGGAGAGAAGGAAAAAACTGACTCAGAGAGCAGCAGTTATGTGACGTATGGGAAGTCAGAATTCCTTTGCTCTAAATCAGTGATTCTCAAAATGTGGTTTCTATACCATCGGCATCAGCATCATCTGGGAACTTAGTGGACATGCTAACTTCCACCCTATCCCTCACCTACTTAACCAGAAACTTTAGGGGTGATAGCCCAAAAGCTGTGTGTTAAGCACTACAGGTGTTTCTGAAGCACTTTAAGATTTGAGATCCACTGCTTTAAGTGATACCATCTGACATCAGTTTATCTGCCTGTGTGAAATAAAGTCTTTTACTGCACAGGTGTCTACAACAGGGGCCACCATCATCGCTACCGTCAACGTGGTTGGATGTCTGAAAGAAGAAGCTGAGTATCAATGTTGACTCTCACTCATGTCATCTTATTAAAAAAAAAACAGTTTACAAAACAATTGCTACTGATAAATGCAGTGTGAAAGACTGGTTTTAAGGCACTGGTTTAAGGCACTGCTTTATGTCCACCCAGATAACTTGAGTTTTTAACTAAAAGTTTCAAATCACTATCTTCTTTATACTTACTAAAGTTCGTTTTGCAGAAGCAGATAGTTTCTAAGAATGATCATTTCATGGAAGGAGATATAAAATAAAATAAAACCAGTACTTAAACTCTGGGAATGTAATAGGCCATGTACATAGCACTCAACATGTGAATCCAGGAATCCTTCTAAGAGGTCTAGATTTAGTATGGTTACCTTAATAGGACAAATGGTAAAGAAATAGGTGTTCCCAAACTCTGCCAATCTTATGAAACAAAGAGTCAACTCTTTACCTCATTATTTGCTAATGACACAAATGCAAAGACATCTTTTGAAAAGAATGTGTTGGGACTGTTTTATGCTGTACCTTGAATGTGTATCTCTCTTTTTTTTGCTATATTTCAAAGATTTAATGTAAGTTGTCAATGTCATTGAGTTCTTGTTATCAATAGGGATGATATAATTTTATCTAACATGGAATCCATTTTAACTTTGTTATTTCTGAATTTCTATGAAACCACAAAAACCTTCATACTTGAATTTATTTATTCTTGGCTAAAGATTACTCCCAGTTTGTGAGGAAATTTATTTCTGAGTTTCCAAAGCTTGGAGAATTTATTGGATATTAAATACCTGTTATAAATTATTGATGAGTTAATTGCAAGTAGCAGACACAATGATATTGAATTTCACTCCCAATACACATTGTTTTAATGAAGATTAAGGTAAATATGTTTATAAAATTTAGTCTGGCTATGCTTAAACCTGAAATAGCAGAATGGCAAAAAACCCCAAAGCTGTTTATGGACCCAAATTGTGAGGAGGGCTATTATTTTAATACTTGTGTAATAATAGAATGCACTTGATGTAAATTGTAATAGCCATCAACTGCATTTCAAAAACCTTTCGCTAGCCACTACAATTTAGAAAGCTTTTCAGTGTCAGTTAGTTTTACAACAAATGCCTTTTCTACTTTCTACAAGTCACAAGTCAAAAAAAAGTAAATTCCACCAAGTTTTATTCAATTAGTTTTCAAATTGCATGAAGCAAAAAATAGATTTTTAGAGACAATATATAAATAGAAAAAATATTGTAAAAGTCTACTCTATTACCTTATGTACCACAAAAAAATAAAGTACAAAGGCATGAAAAACACTATTATTTCCCAAAGTTCAAAGGGAATTGTTTTCTACGCAACTACTGCTACTAACAAGGGGACAACAACCCCCTCCACTTGCCACGTATTTTTATTCTCTTTTCTTTATATCTTTGGAGTTAAATGTCTTTTATGTTTTTCATGAAATGTATTCTATAATTGTTGTATTTCATGTGTGTAACATTATGTCAGTTGTTTTAACAATTATCTTATATCTTGAAATTCTTTATGCCTGATTGTACTGTGTCTTCATGAAGAAATTTCTTATCAAATCCAATGTGATTACACACTTACTGCTGTAAAGGATGCGCATTATGTAGTTTTTAAGTAAAAACTATAGTGAGAATTCTATAATCACATTCACACTCCCCTCTCTATTGTATGAAAAATCTTGTTGTTGTTGATTAGATAAGGTGGATATTCACTCATAGTTAATGTCAAATCTCTGCAGTTAAGGATTGAATTAAGCCCTCTGGTGCAGTACCTAATGATCAAAACATTTTTTCCAATAAGTTTATATAACCAAGGATAATAATGATATAAAAGGTTTTTAATGTTGTTTTTAAGAGCAGGTACTATAACAAAGAAGGTTAACACTGGTACAGAAATATTTCATAAAAGTTATGAAAACCAGATAAATACAGTATTAAATTTTGGAGCTTTTATCTGAGTTGAGAGATTTAGTCTACATTGACTGAGATGAAATGATGAACTCATAATTTTCAATTTATTATCAGAATAATAAGTGACATTTACATAATTAATTTTTTTCTGGGCCATTTTGTATAAGTCATTTAGGACTATTTTAAGTTCACTGGTAAATTTTAAAATGTATATTTTCAGCTTTTCAATTTTTTTCAAAATAGTTCTGAGAAATTACAGAATCAGATACTAAGGATATTAATTTAAAAATCAATTTTTATTCAGCACTATTTATTCTAACATATATAAAAAATGAAGCCAAAGTAACCCGTCAAGGTAAATACTTGACTCCTAGGAAAATGTGATTTTAGTAGGCATCTCAAGAGGAAGTGAAACTTCTCGTGGTGAAATTACAAGAAAAACAAGTTATTCAGTGGTGAGAATGTGTTGCTCTAAGCAATCCATTAGCACAGACTAGCTACTTGGCCACTCCTCTTCCTTCTGGAGCCAGCCCTGAAGAGTGGTCACAGCATCTTCATTTTTATCCAGGCCAATGGCCATGCATGAGAAGTTGGGTAGCAAAATTCTTGAAGCACCTCTTTGTTCTTGCTCTTCTTTCACTGTTTTCTCACTCTCCACCTGTAATGCTCACTGCCAGTTTTACCACCAAGCTAAGTATCAGCAGACCTCCCTCCACAGCGTGCCTTGCCCTGTAGAACTCCTGGTCCTTCCTTCAGCCCAACCCCATCCAATTGCCTAGGTTCTTGTTGTCTCCTGAGATGAACAAGAGGCAAGTAGCTAATTTGAGAACAAATGAAGCAGAGCTGAAGGAAAAAGTAAAACATTTATTTTTTCATATCCCAAATTTTATAATTTTACATTTTTTTAAAACCCATTCATTTTCTTCCCAGAACATTTATGCTTATCAGTGGTCTTCTGAATCTGTGACAACTCCCTTTTCAAGCCCCAGCTAAGCTTCTTGCCTCAAGCCAGAAGGAATCCCAGTTTTGAGTCTTGTGTTAAGGCCATGGCAGGTCAGTAGGGAGATTATCTGAGGAGGTACCGCTTGTGACACCTTCAGAAACAAAACAGCTATTGCCTTACGTTTCATAGGCCCAGGCCCTGAGCAATAGCAAAAAGATAATACTTATTTTTTTAAACTGTTGTTTATTAGGTGATCGATTTCTAATTAATTTCAAAATATTTAAGGTAATATTTTAATTACCGAGGAAGAATGGTACAAACAAAATGTTGTGGAACTGGAAAATCCTCAGTGCTTGGCAACATGAAACTTATTTAACTTATTATAGATGAGATAATGAGAACATCTTCAGAAAAGAAGCTATGTTCCTTAAAACAGGGGTACAGATTTAAAAGCTCTGTTTATATGGTTTTGGTAGACTAAGTGAAGAACTTGCCTATAAAGCTGAGTCTAGATCATATAGCATATCCATTATAAAGTGAGAAAATTGCAATTTTAGAGTATTGTCAATACATCCAAAAATTTTTACATGATTTCTAAATGCAGATGTGTGTGTGTGTATGTCTACGTATGTCTCTCCATATGCAACAAGCAGTTAATTAGTCCAAATATATCCCACAGTGTAGATTAGTTTCATATCTCAGCTCTTCAATGTCTCTTCTTCATTTAATTCACTCCTTGGTGTCTAGTTTTCCTCACTCTTTTACAAATATCCAGGTTCTATATTTCTGCTTTTCTAGAGAGCTTTTTCCCTCAAGAATATATTTCTTTTTCTTTCTTTCTCTTTATTTTTGTTTGTTTTTAACTAACATTCATATGGTTATAACAATTTGAGACAAGTGAAAAGGAAAGATCTGTAAACTGCCTATCTCCTTTGAAATTCATTGCCAATAATCCTTAAGAATATAAAGTTCCTTGATGCCAAAGACCTTCTCATTAGTGTTGCTGCCTGTTGTTTCATTGGTTCCCTAGAACAATGCCTGGCACATAAAAGTTATTTGATAAATATCTCTGCTATTAATGAATTAATAATAACTGCATGACAATTCTTTCCTCAATTCATCATTTTGCTTCATTTTCTCACAGTTGCTTCAATGTGTCTGTGGAACTATCTTTCCATGTGAACAAAACACTCTACATTCTCAGTGTCTACAAAGCACATATTTCCTTTTATTAAAATTAAACTTTGAGAGCACCAAATCCTAATGTCTAACCATCATCAAACTGGCAGATAGCACCAGTATTCTTTTTGCTCACCAATTTTATGCCCAGGCATCTACTGTTTCTTTCATGAATAAAACCTGACACCTGTAAGAGGATTTATCATGGTGAACTTCTCTTTGTTACTGACATTTTCAGCCTCTTGGGCTCTCCCCTCCTTACTTATACACATTGGCACCCAGCTTGAAGTCATACTCTCTAGACCCTGGGTCAATGTGGGTAATGCATCCAGGAATCCAGCTTAACTCTTCCTTGGTCTCTTTGATGTGACTGACCTTTATTTCTACATTTCTTCATCAAACCAGTCTCACAGTTTTGCACAGTGCAGATCACATGCTGCACCGTGTGCTTATTATCTCCTATAACAACAGATGCTCCACTGAAATGCAAAACTCTGTGTTAAGCCAACAACTGCTTCTCCATCCTTTCCTCCTATACGTTTCTTCTCACTACAACTTCCCTTCTCAACCCCAAAGGGACTACTGGATTCTTTACTCTTTTATTTTACCCCAGTCTATCAGTCCCATCCTGGACTTCCTTCCTTCTCTGCTTAGAGGAAAGCAAGATGCTCAGGTAGAATTGCACTTATGACTAGATATTATTTACTTCAAACAAATTCTTACTATTTTGTCCTGATGAAATTCATGACAGTTTTCATACAACAGAAAGCCTGCCCTCTTAGAAGAGAAGAGAACTGAAAAGAAATGGTTGAAGTAAGGTAGAAAGCCCTCATGGAGTTAGGTGGCTAGGCCAGCAGAGCTAGGCACTGTTCTCCTGTTCAGAATTGCACTCCTGATACTCCAGATGGGAAGCCTGCCATGGCACTAACCACAGCACTTTTTATACCCTATCTCTGCTATTATGAGCCCACATTAGTTTTTCTTCTGCTTCAGAAATTGTTGCAAAAAATAATTTTATTATTTACAAATTATTTTTAAACCATATAAATCTGCTTAGTTTGATTTCTCAAACCCTCTAAAACTTACACTTCTTGTTGTCCAATCTTTGCTTTTAATTGGGTATAATTTGAGGCAGAAATAAATTAATCTCATTTTTAAAAATGTACTAGCTATTAATAATTTTTAAATTTATCTTCTAAAATTGGAAAGTATCCACTTTAAATGCATCTGTAGCAAGGACTTTTTACATACATTCTGTAGCTTTATTACTTCCATTGAGAACTGTTAAAATAACAGAACTTACCTCACTGTACGCTGGCTTTTGAAAAGGCAGCAGAACTGTTTATCTGATTATCGAAGTAATCATATTACATTTCTTTTTCTTTTCTAAGAGAAACCTTCTTCATGTGCTCAGTCAAACATTTTGGTGTTTAAGAATTGACTTATTAGGTCAGGCGCGGTTGCTCACGCCTGTAATCCCAACACTTTGGAAGGCCGAGGCAGGTGGATCACTTAAGGTCAGGAGTTCGAGACCAGCCTGGTCAACATGGTGAAACCCCACCCCTACTAAAAATGCAAAAAAAAAAAAATAGCAAGGTGTGGTGGTGCACATCTGTAATCCCAGCTACTTGAGAGGCTGAGGTGGGAGAATCATTTGAACTCGGGAGGCGGAGGTTGCAGTGAGCAGAGATCACACGACTGCACTCCAGCCTGGGCGACAAACAAGAATCTGTCTCAAAAAAAACACAAAAAACAAAAAACAAACAAAAAAGAGTTGACTTAGTTAATGAAAATATTTTTATTAGGAAATTATACTTCTCTTTACAAAGTATGTATTATTTGTTGCATCTATATAGTCTATCAATTCTAAAAGCACACTTTATGCGAAAATGTAGTCTAGGCCTTCAGAATGTATTATTACAAGAAAGTATCTATCAACCATGTTTCATTTGTTTGCATGTTTTGTTTTGTTTCCAATAGACTATGAATATTCAGCTTCAAATGCTACCTCATGATTGTTACATTCCTGTTGTTGAAAGAACCCATCTCTTTCTTACCTTCTTGTCCCTAAATTGTGTTCTTCTTATAACTTACTTTGCACATAACCATAATGGAGTGAGATCATAGAATTAAGAGGATTGAGAAAGAAAAATACTTCCCTCATTCCATTGGCAGTAATCTGTGATTCAAAAGTTAACAACATACCATGTATTCTTGTAGGAGATTCTTTCATGCTTATCACTGATCAACTTACATGCAGGTTAAAACCAGCCCTGAAAAAATGCTCATCATCACTGGCCATCAGAGAAATACAAATCAAAACCACAATGAGATACCATCTCACACCAGAAGAATGGCGATCATTAAAAAGTCAGGAAATAACACTTGCTGGAGAGGATGTGGAGAAATATGAACACTTTTACACTGTTGCTGGGAGCGTAAACTAGTTCAACCATTGTGGAAGACAGTGTGGCAATTACTCAAGGATCTAGACTAGAAATACCATTTGACCCAGCCATCCCATTACAGGGTATATACCCAAAAGATTATAAATCATGCTACTATAAAGGCACATGCACACGTATGTTTATTGCGGCACTATTCACAATAGCAAAGACTTGGAACCAACCCAAATATCCATCAATGATAGACTGGATTAAGAAAATGTGGCACATATACACCATGGAATACTATGCAGCCATCTGAGCAAACTATCGCAAGGACAGAAAACCAAACTCCGCATGTTCTCACTCATAGGTGGGAATTGAACAATGAGAACACTTGGACACAGGGTGGGGAACATCACACACCGGGGCCTATCATGGGGTGGGGGTAGGAGGGAGGGATAGCATTAGGAGAAATACCTAATGTAAATGATGAGTTAATAGGTGCAGTACTCCAACATGGCACATGTATACATATGTAACAAACCTGCACGTTGTGCACGTGTACCCTAGAACTTAAAATATAATTTAAAAAAAAAAAGCCCTAAATGCAACTTGTTCAGATAACTGGAGCCATCTTCCTAGCTCTTTATTTCTCAGACAGTGTGGGTAAGTCCTGCTCCGTACGAATGCTTATGTCAGTTTTGAAGTTCAGTACTTTCTTAAGAGCCAGAGTCAGTCAAGATGTTCCCTTAACAAGATTTTTCAATGGGGTTACACATTAATGAGTTCTTTTTCCTCCTTTAAGTATTTGAAAATTTTGGTTTAATAAAAGGTTTAACTATGATGAATTTAGGATCCTTTTTCCTGTTACAGAACACAGAATAATAGTTAATATTTTACATACATATTGCAAGTTCATGTTGCCACTAGGAGTGTCCAGAATAGACGATTGAAACAGCCTTCTAGCTACTACTATCAAAAAAGAGCTTTAAATAACATATTTTAATTAAATAACATTATTTTCTATAGCTATACCTCAATAAAACCATCAACCAATGTTTGTACAATTTGATGCCCCCACTCTAAGATTTTTAGCTAGTGTAAATCAGAGTCTCCTATTTAATGAGACACTTTATCCAATCAGGTTGTGTTTATTATTCAACCAGATGATCTTGGAACTTATAACAAACTAGTAATATTTAAAGCTGGGCTTTATGTGCGTGATTTACTGGGATGTTTGCTTATACCTTGTTTCCAAGCTAAAAATATTGTGACCAGGTGTGTTAGTCTGTTTTGAGTTGCCATATAGGACTACCTAATGCTGGGTCATTTATAAAGAAAAGAGGTTTATTTGGATTATGGTTCTGCAGGCTGTACAAAGAGCATGACATCAGCATCTGCTTCTGGTAATGCTCTCAGGAAGCTTTTACTCATGCCAGAAGGCAAGGGGAGCCAGCGTGCCACATGGCAAGAGAGGGAGGAAGCACAAGAGAGAGGAGACGTACCAGGCACTTTTTAACAACCAGCTCTCACATGAACTAACAGAGTGATAACTCACTCAATACCCGGGGGATGGCACCAAGCCATTCATGAAGGATTTGCCCTCATGACCAAATACCTCCCACTAGGCCCAACCTCCAACACTGGGGGTCTCATTTCAACATGAGATTTGGAAGGGACGACTATCCAAACTATATCATCAGGATTTTCTGGCATGGACTACCAAGCCATTTCTGCTTCAAACTCCCCTGAGATTCTTGTTAAAAATGCAGATTCTTTGATACCACCCCCAATACACTATTTAGTCTGAGATGAAACTCAAGGATTCTGATTTAATTGATCTAGACTAGCATTTGACCATTGATTTATCATCTGGGATTCTAGGAAGTCAACCACTTATATGTTTTAGAGCAGACTTCATTATAATTGAGGAGAATGTTTGTAGTCTGTGGGCTCCTCTGTCCACTTCTGATTGGGGCCCCTTTGCCTGATTCTGACTGGATCAGGCAGAGTTTTATTCAAGCCACTGTCCTTTTTGGCTTCTTAATGTTCAAAATATATTAACACAATCTCAGTTTTCTAAGAGCTAAATTATACGACTTGGTTCTTGTCTGGTAACATAACTGCATTACTGGCTCTTGTCAAGATTCAGAGACATTCTCCCAGTTTCAAATTTGTAACTAACACTGTTTGATCACAAAAAAGTTCTAAGCCAAAGCAAAACTCTTTCTACCACCACCAGATGGCGTTACTTTGGACTTACCTATAAATGGATTTCCAAATGGTTTTTCAGAAACCAACTGGAGGTACTTAGAAAAACTTATGGAACTCACAACTATTCTTTGCATGTCAAAAGCTATAACAGTAAATAATATTTGTGGAGAATATTCTGTAAGATTAGGCTGCCTTTCTTTTCCTCCAGCTTATTTAAACTATATCCTTATATTAACCCTTGTTGGAGATGTGTCCTCTTATTGCACTGTATGTGAGTGTGTGTGTGTGTATCCCATCACGTTGGTATGATGATAGCACCCTTCATTGAGAAGCTTTGCAAAAAGAATATAAGAACATGTTATTATGTTTACTTAAAAGTATAAGGCCGGGTGTGGTGGCTCACACCTGTAATCCCAGCACTTTGGGAGGCCAAGGTGGGAGGATGACGAGGTCAGGAGTTAGAGACCAGCCTGACCAACACGGTAAAACCCTGTCTCTAATAAAAAATACAAAAATTAGCCAGGTATGATGGCACGCATCTGTAATCCTAGCTACTCAGGAGGCTGAGGCGGGAGAGTCCCTTGAACCCAGGAGACGGAGTTTGCAGTGAGCCTAGGTGGCGCCACTGCACTCCAGCCTGGGTGACAGAGTGAGACTCCATCTCAAAAAAAAGAAAAAAGAAAAAAAAGTATTGAGGACATTGCTCATGACATTCCAAGGTTATATAAAAGAATATATAAAAAGAAATTTCTGCCTGGACTTAGTGCCAGGAATACTTGTACTTTTCTTGCTTTCTTCTTAAGAACATTGCACAATAGAGTATTTTTAAAAATTGTGCTTGCTGTTCAAATTGCCTGCTGGAAGGATTAGAGGCAGATCTGTAGCATGCCGAGTCCCATCTTTGCATACAGGCTATCATGACAAACATTGTATGTGCTAATTCTGTCTGGCTTCTCTTTATATTCCTATCTGTCTCTATTTCCTGTCATTTTAATGTTTTAAAATTGTACTTTTTACTTAAATGGTTTTTGGAAGAAATAAATATAAGTAAAGTCTGTTAGAGGCCCGGCGCGGTGGCTCACGCCTGTAATCCCAGCACTTTGGGAGGCCAAGGCGGGTGGATCACAAGGTCAGGAGATTGAGACCACCCTGGCTAACACGGTGAAAACCCATCTCTACTAAAAATACAAAAAAAAAAAAAAAAATTAGCCAGGCGAGGTGGCGGGTGCCTGTAGTCCCAGCTACTCGAGAGGCTGAGGTGGGAGAATGGCATGAACCCAGGAGGTGGAGCTCGCAGTGAGCCGAGATCTCACCACTGCACTCCAGCCTGGGCGACAGAGCGAGACTCCGTCTCAAAAATAAAAAAATAAAATAAAAAAATAAAGTCCGTTACAAAGCACAAAAAAGAACGGCAAAGCCAACAAACATATGAAAAAAAGCTCATCATCACTGGTCATTAGAGAAATGCAAATCAAAACCACAATGAGCCATCATCTCACGCCAGTTGGAATGGTGATCATTAAAAAGTCAGAAAACAACAGATGCTGGAGAGGATGTGGAGAAATAGGAATGCTTTTTACACTGTTGGTGGAGGTGTCAATTAGTTCAACCATTGTGGAAAGCAGTGTGGCGATTCCTCAAGGATCTAGAACCAGAAATACCATTTGACCCAGCAGTCCCATTACTGGGTACATACCCAAAGGATTATAAATCATTCTACTATAAAGACACATGCACATGTATGTTTTTTGCAGCAGTACTCACAATAGCAAAGACTTGGAACCAATCCAAATGCCCATCAGTGATAGACTGGATAAAGAAAATGTGGCACATATAATATACAGCATAGAACACTATGCAGCCATAAACAAAGGATGAATTCATGTCCTTGGCAGGGACATGGATGAAGCTGGAAACCATCATTCTCAGTAAACTAACACAGGAACAGAAAACCAAACACCACATGTTCTCACTCATAAGTGGCAGTTGAACAATGAGAACACATGGACACAGGGAGGGGAACATTACACATCGGGGCCTATTGGGGAATGGGGGCTAGGGGAGGGATAGCATTAGGAGAAATACTTAATGTAGATGACGGGTTGATGGGTGCAGCAAACCACCATGGCATGTGTATACCTATGTAACAAACCTGCATGTTCTGCTCATGTATCCCAGAACTTAAAGTATAATAATAAAAAAAAAGAAAGCACAAAAATAAAAGTACTTGGAAAAGTTTAAAGGGTTAAATATTATGCAAAACTGAAAACTAGCTTCAGATACATTTAAGTTTATATCATGTTAACAAGTTATTTCTTTCTAAAAAATTCTAACCTGTAACACAGAGAGTGGACTTGAACTTGAAAATATGGTTAAGGTACAAATGCAGATTTGGGGTCCCAGTCTCCCAGACTGTGGCTTCTATGGAAGAGATTGTACTGGCTCCAAATTCCACAGATGATTGAACAACTTGTTTCTGCCTGTGTCAGAGCTGAAGAGTGAATATCTCCACTATATATATCTCAAAATCTCCCAAATGAAATTTGGTAACCCTCTATGCCATAACACATCACATTAATAATTTGTATTCAAAAGTCTCTCAGAAAAGATTTTTGAAATGCCAGATACTTTAATTTTTTTATGTTTATATATTTAGGGTGTATGAGTACAGATTTCTTACATGCCTATATTGCATAGTGGTGGAGTCTGGGCTTTTACTGTAGTCATCATCTGAACAGTGAACTTGTACCAAATAAGTAATTTTTCAACTCTCATCCACCCACCCTCCCATCTTTTGTAGTACCCAAGGTCTATTATCCCACTCTGTATGCCTGTGTACCTATTGTTTAGCTTCCACTTATAAGTGAACACATGCAGCATTTGACTTTCTGTTTCTGAGTTATTTTACTTAGGATAATGGCCTCCAGTTCCATCTACATGGCTGCAAAAGTTATGATTTTATTCTTTTTTATGGCTCCATTATATGTATGTGTGTGTATCTCAATTTTCTTTATCAAACCCTCTGTTGATGGACACTTAGATTAGTCCACATTTTTGCTATTGTGATAAACATGTAAGTGCAGGTATCTTTGTAATATAATGATTTCTTTCCCTTTGGATATATACCAGGTAGTGGGATTTCTGGATCTAATGGTAGTTCTATTTTTAGTTCTTTGAGAAATCTCCATACTGTCTTCCATAAAGGTTGTACTAGTTTACATTTCCACCAAAAGTGTATAAGCATTCCCTTTTCTCTGCATCCTCACAAACATCCTTTGCTTATTGACTTTTTAATAACAGCCATTCTGACTAGTGTGAAATAATATTTTATTGTGATTTTAATTTTCTCTGATGATTAGTGATGTTGAGCATTGTCTCAACATCACTATGCTAGTGGCATGCATGTTTTCTTTTGAAAAAAAGTTTGTGTTCTTTGCCCACATTTTAATGGGGTTATTTGTTTTTTTTTTTCTTTGAGTTGTTTGAGTTCCTTGTAGATTCTGAAAATTATTCCTTTGTCAGCTGCATAGTTTACAATTTTTTTCCCATTCTGTAGTTTGTCTGTTCACTCTGTTGATTGTTTATTTTTCTGTCCAGAAACTTTAGTTTAAGTCCCATTTGTCTATTTTTGTTTTTGTTGCATTTGCCTTTGAGGACTAGGTCATAATTTTTTGCCTGGGCAAATGTCCTGAAGATTTTTTTCCAGGCTTTCTTATAGTATTTTTATAGTTTCGGGTCTTATGTTTAGGTCTTTAATCTATCTTGAGTTAATTTTTGTAGCTGGTCAGAGGTAGGTGTCCAGTTTCAATCTTCTACATATGGCTATCCAGTTTTCCCAGCACCATTTATTGAATAGGGAGTCATTTACCCAGTAAATGTTTTAGTTGACTTTGTTAAAAATCAGTTGGTTATAGGTGTGTGGTTTTATTTCTAGGTTCTCTATGCTGTTCTATTCATCAATGTGTACATTTTTATACTAGTACCATGTTGTTTTGGTTACTATAGCTTTGTAGCATAATTTGAAGTCATAATATGATGCCAACAACTCTGTTCTTTTTGTTTGAAATTGCTTTGGCTTTTTTTCCTTGTGAGAGTTTGCTGAGAATGATGGTTTCCAGCTTTGTCCATGTCGCTACAAAGGACATAATCTCACCCTTTTTTATGGCTGCGTAGTATTCCATGGTGTATATGTGCCACATTTTCTTAATCCAGTCTATCATTGATGGGGGGAGGGGGAAGGGATAGCATTAGGAGATATACCTAATGTAAATGACGAGTTAATGGGTGCAGCACACCAACATGGCACATGTATACATATGTAGCAAACCTGCACATTGTGCACATGTACCCTAGAACTTAAAGTATAATAAAAATAAATAAATAAAATAAAATAAAATTGCTTTGGCTTTCTGGACTCTTTTTTTTGGTTTTATATGAATTTTAGGATTTTTTTCTAATTCTATGAAAAATGGCATTGGTAATTTGATAGGGATTGTGTCGAATCAGTAGACTGCTTTAGACAGCATGGTCATTTTAATAATATTGAATCTCTAATCCATGAGCCAGGGATATTTTTCCATTTGTTTTTGTCATCTAGGGTTTTCTTCCATCAGTGTTTTGTAGTTCTCCTTATAGATATCTTTTACCTCTTTGGTGAAATGTATTCCCAGGCATTTTACTTTATCTTATCTTTTTGTAGCTATTATAAATGGAATTGCTTTCTTAGTTTGGTCCTTGGAAATGCCAACTACATTTAAAATCCTTTTCCATTTGATGGATTTCAGGTCTTGATGAACATCTCAGTTGCAATTTTCTTAAGATTGAAAAAGTAAATATTTTTTCTATATGTATATATAAAATTGTCCTCTCTCAAAATTTTAATTCAATAACCTGCTAGATATCACTTTAGAATCTTGCAGTACTAGTTTTCTTCTCAATTAATTGTAGATCTTAGCCTTTTAATTTGGGCATGTTTTTCCCTATTAGGACTTAAGTTATTAGGACCTAAGTTTGTAGACAAGAACTATGTTATATTTGAGAAATTTGTGAGTCATGTACTGGGCCTAGCACAGTGCCTCATAAGATGTAGACCCTCAATAAACTTGTTGAATAGGTTAATAAATAAAAAAGCCCCTATCACTCAATTTTTTTTTTTTTTTTTTTTAGATGGAGTCTCACTCAGTCACCCAGCCTGGAGTGCAGTGGCACGATATCGGCTCACTGCAAGCTCTGCCTCCTGGGTTCACACCACTCTCCTGCCTCAGCCTCCTGAGTAGCTGGGACTACAGACACCCGCCACCATGCCCGACTAATTTTTTGTATTTTTAGTAGAGACGGGGTTTCACCTGTGTTAGCCAGGATGGTCTCGATCTCCTCACCTCATGATCTGACCCCCTCGGCCTCCCAAAGTGCTGGGATTACAGGCATGAGCCACCACACCTGGCCTATTTCAGTCAATTGTTAAAAGTGCTAAGAACAAGTGGAGATCTTGTTAATGAAGAAAAAAAAAATAGTATTTACTACTTACCTAAACACTCTACTAAGAAGGGATATACAGATCAAAAGGATTAAATCTCTGCCTGCATTAAGCTAACTGTTTTGTAAAGAAGAACGTAAACAAAGTCAAAAATGCATTTTTTAGGTGCTAGAGATTAGACAGGACAAAATCTTCTGGCTCTGCCTAGAGTTAAGTGGCTTTGGGAGAGGCTTTGCTGTAGTTTAAAGGCAGAGGTGGGGAAGGCCACTCTGGCCACAAGGACAGATCCACAATGGGATGGGGTATGAAACAGCACGAACCCTTCAGGAAATTACACATAATTTAAAAGGAAAATGGGAGCCCATGGCAGAAAATAGAATTGAACAGCAGGAAAAGGGTAGATAGTAAAAAGCATTTTATAATATTCAAGGACATTTGAAACTTGTGGTATACAATGAGGAAGAATTTAAAAATTCTATACAGAGGAGTGACATAGTTAGATTTGTGTTCTGGGGAGCATAATAATAGCATTACAGCGGGTGAATTTGAAAGCTGGGCCTCAAAAGTTTAGATCTCAAATAGGTTTTTATGGGAGTATTCATCCTCATGAAACATGATTTGGAACTAAACCAAGGCAGTGGCAATGGGGCTGGAAAATAAACACTAGATTTCATATCTAGATGAAGATTTGTGGAATAAGAGAGGCCACATTAATGTTTAATTCTATTTACAATGGATCCCAGCCACCATCCGCTTTAACACAGAGGTGCTTTTCCAGTAGCTAAGAGGACTAGGTGCTTTAGATACATTTGTGAAGTTGTCCTCCCATTGTTAACATGCTTTTTTTATTGTCTGTGTGTAGGTTGATGGGGGAGGCAGAGTTAGGATCACACATAGAAGTTCAGTCTTTGAAATGCTTTCTTTCTCTTTTTCCCCAAACAATGACCCCCACCTTTTCCTTCTGGCATATGTTGCCTCAAGACCCTAACACTGCTGCCAATCTGCTGGTCTTAGAGCCAAGAATCTGCCACCACCTGGCCCACCACAGCCTGCTCTGCTAGCTGCTCTCCTGCCAATACTGGCCTTCATGTACAAGTGTAGGTTTTGAGGGTTCCGTTCTCTCCCCCTTTCTCTCTTTGAGTGTGGGTTTGTGAGTGTGTGTGTCTTCTGTAATAAGAAGAAAACAGGCCACATTTTCTCTACTCGTGTTATACACTTCCCGGAGTGTCTCACATCAAAACCTGTCCTAAGTCCAAGCCTTAGAAGCTCTTTGCTGGCCCAGCCTACACTTGGGTTGTTACTTCTCAGGAGCTACCTTTCTGTCAGTTGAGATTTTAACAACCCACCACAGTACTCCAAGCGTGCAGTCCCTCGCATCTTGAAATCTGTGCTTTGGCAGCAGCAGAATCAGGGGTCTGTGGATTCTGAACCCAGAATGTGTCAAACCAAAGGGTGACATATTGGGACATTTAATAAGTCAGAGACTATTTCCCAGGAATATTTTTTTTGAAGCATTTAAACTAAAATACAATTGAACTGAGATCTCAAAACAGGAAAAATGAACTTGACAAGAATTAGGCTAAGCTGCATCTCATGACGTAAATATTCACATTTGCATATACATTAACAGAGTCAAGTCAAAAATTGATTTTTTATTGGATAGGATTAACTTTAGCTACAGAAAACAGAAAGTTTAAATGACTGGCTTTAAAAAGCGAAAGTTTACTTGCTTTCACTTATATGCAATCTGGGGGGTTGCGGGGGAAGATTTGTTTGTGGGTTTCCCATTCTCAAGGTGCCAGGCTCCTGTGTTTCTGCCCCATATCCTTAGAGGGAGGGTTTCCTCCTCAGGATTGCCTTATGTGCAAGGTGACTACTGAAGCTCCATTTTTTATGCCCAAATTGTAGCAAGAAAGAGAAAAGGAAGAAGGAACAGAAAGGCACATGACATCACTTCAAATAAAATTAGGGGGAAAATAATAACAGATATCTGATAGGAAACTAACAGTACCTTCTGCAATAATGATTACATTTCTGGAAAATAAATGTTAAGATCCTTGAAAACAAGGAGTAATAGTTGAGGAAAAGCTTCTTAGCAGCCTGGGACTAAAAACTTCAAAAAATTTAAGATAAAAATCTGAAAACTGGTAGAGAATTGGGGAGAAAAAGAGAATTTGAACAAGGCATGCAAGAGTAAGAAAAATGTCATCACAAAATTACTAAGAAAGCATAAAAGCAACTATATTTTATTAGAGTAAAAATAAATGGATTGAATAACCCTAGTAAAATAAATTCCAGCCATACATTGTTTATAAAAAGTGTATTTAAGGTGATTAGGAAAAAATAAAACTAAATTTAAGTGCAAAGATCTCCCAGGGAAGTCAAAGCAAAAATAAAGTCAGATGTTGCTGTCATTAGACAAAGTAAAATTTAAGGTGAAAACATGACAAAGAGGGACATTAAATAAGGATAAATGTACAATCAATGGTGACAAACTTTTATAAACTTGAAATTATATTAACAAAACATAAACCATGTAAAACTAAAATACCTTGATAAAATGCAAATTATCAGGTAACAAGAATATATCTATTGCAGAAAGTAATATATCAAACTAAAATAATGTGTATCTATTACAAGTATACAATACTTTGTAGCCTACAAAATAAGAATATACGATTTCTTCTTAAAATGTTATACATTTACAATAATTAATAATTTGGCCACTCAGAAAACCTTGGTAAAGCAAGGAAAGTAGAGATATTATAAGCCAACTTAATAATTTAGTAACATTGGGTAAAAATGGAAGAAGTATCATATTGTGGTTGTGAACATAAGCTCTAGTTCTCCTAGTTTTGTGATTTGGGAAAGTTAATTATCTTCTCTCTACCTCGTCTTAATTTTCAGTAATATTAGGATAACAATAGTTTGTACATCATCAGTGTTTTTTTTTTTTGAGGAATAAATGACTCACATGTATTAAACACTTAGATCCATTGTTAACATATAATATGTATAAATAATGTCAGTATAAATCAATGTCAGCCTAAAAAGTTAAGACTGTGATTTTAAATAATACTAGATTTAGAATAAAATCAAAATTGAAATGACATTATTAACTTAAAAATAACAAAAAAAGAGAAGACTTTAAACACAATGGATGGAAAGCAGCTATACCAATAAAAGACAAAAATGTGGAGTATTATATGTTCTTAATGTTTTTTAAAATTATAAAAATAAATAAACTAAAACATAGAATTTTAAAAATTAAATGTTGGAGGGATTAGGTCAGATAAGAGAAATTTCTGTTAGCAGCAGCTGAATTTTCTGCTAATGACAGAGAATTGTGAAAAGATGATTTCATAAATATGGCAAATGTTTGTAATAGCCATCCTAGGAGCACGGATATTAGTAACTAATTGAGGAAGTACTGTTGGGCAGTGTCAATATACTGGTTAAGAATAGAATTTAAAATAATGCTAATTATAAGGCCAAAAAACTCAGTAATGCAATTTTTTTAGTATAATTCAGTAGGGGAGAAGGAGAGATAATTAAACTTGGAAATTGACATACAGTTGTCCCTTGGCATCCATGAGGAATTAGTTCCAGGACTCCCTATGGATACCTAAATTCACAAATGCTCAGGTCCCTTATATAAAATGGCAAAATATTTGCATATAACTTACACACACCCTCTTTATAATTTAAGTCATTTCTAAAGTACTTATAATACCGAATGCATTATAAATGACTGTGGAAATAGTTGTTGTATTATTTAGGGAATAATGACAATAAAAAATATATGTATATGTTCAGTAACAGATGCCTTTTTTAAAAAAAAATTGTTTTTGATCCACAGTTGGCTGAATCTATGGATACAGAGCCCACATTTACTGAGGGCAGACTATATTTAGAGTACTTAAGGATCACAAGGGACACACATCTGAGGGTACTGAAGAGTGGGAAGAAATTACTAACCAGAGGGTCAGACTAGAAGGCAAGGAAGTGAAGCCAGGAGATGATTAGAAAATAAGAAAATCATACAAGCCTGGAGATTATGTTGAAGTGTAAGAACATAATTAGAGTGAGAAACATGAGTCAAGGAAGAAGGAGATTGGTGCTTGAGAGATGTGGCAGACTGTATCTTTCAAAGATGGCTACACCAATATATATCTCATTCCACAAGCTGTTTTTACCATGCTGTATTGACGCTCTTCCATATGGAGGTGGGGCCTATGTCCCCTCCCTTGAAACCAAATGAAACTTTGTAATTGCCTTGATCAACAGATTGCAGTAGGAGTGATGCTGGATGATTTCAAAGGCTAATACACACAAGAAAATAATGGCTTTCATTTGACTCTTTCTTGGAACATGTGCCTTGGAAACCATGAGCTTATTTGCAAGAAGCTCAGCTATCCTAAAGTTTATCTACTGGGTAGACCAAGTGGAGAAATTACACAGACATTGAGATTATGTTCAAGGGGTCTCAGAGGTTCAAGGCCTCCCAATTCAGGCACCAAACAAGTGGAGAAAAGGCTTTCAAGATCATCCCTCTGAAATAATTGTCTGATTGAAACCTCAAAAGAGTCCCTGAGCCAGAACCATCCAGCCAAGCCACTCTCAAATTCCAAATCCACAGACACCATGAATGACAGTAAATCATTATTGTTGTTTTAAAGCACATAAGTTTTGGGGGGTTATTTACACACAGCAACAGAAAAAAAAACTGATGAATGGGAAACATGGAGAGAAATGCAAATAGAATAAAATGGGGAGGAATACAAGGAGAGGAAAGTAGTATTGTGCAAAATAGGCAATCGGATGACCCTCAAAAGGAAATTTTTTTTCTGAGCAACTTAATGAATATAAGGTCAGATTAAATTGGAAGGTAACAGGTACAAATATCATTAATGCTAAATTCTATTTGTAGTAAGTCAACTATTTGTAAATTATGCATTGGAGACCGACTTTACATCAATCAAAAGTTAAATTTATTTAGAAATCTATAGAAGAAGAAAAAGAATAAAAGCCATTGGAAAAGTTTTTACAATTATTCCATTAAATAGACAAAGTCCTTTAAGGAAAGGGATTAAAATGAAGGTAAGGTGATCTGCTTAAAAATAATATAGCAATCTGGGAGCCATGGCTCATGCCTGCAATCCCAGTGCTTTGGGAAATCTAGGCAGGAGGACCTCCCAAAGGAGGACTTGGAGTTTGAGACCAGCCTAGGCAACACAGAGAGACTCCATCTCAAAATTTTAAATTTCTTAAAAGAAAAAAAATAAAATGAAATAATATTGTATTAATTCCAGTAAAAGCATCAGACCAATTTAGAATATGGATGAGAGAGAAAAACTAGAAATAACACCACAACAAGGAAGGAGAAAGCTGGTCTCTGGCAGGGACTTCTAATTTAGAGAAAGACAGATGATAGCAAACAGCAAAAGTTGTATTATAGATGTAACTTAAAAACTAATTTGATTTTTATTTTTAGTCAGAAAACTGCTTTAGGTATGGAACAAGTATAACCTGGTATTTCCAGTATCTCTCTGTTGACCTCACATCTCTCTCCAGATACTGCCTCAATTCTCTGCTTCTCTTTATAGCAAATTCCCTTGAAAGAGAGACTACCTGGATCAGAAATTCCTCTGCTTCAATTTGATCCTGAATCCACTTCATCTAGATCTTCCTCACCAATTCCCCCAAATATTTGTCTTATTATGGTCACATGGGACCTCTACTTTGCTATATCAGTAATTTTGTTCTCATTTTACTTTTTTGTAGTTAATTACTCCCTTCTCCTTGAAACACTTTCCTTGTTTGGCTTCTAGGATGCCCTGTTCTCATGGATTTCCTTTCACTTCTCCAGTCATTTCTGTTTGTTTTTTCAATATCTTCGTGATCTTATATTTTTAATGCGTCCTGCTAGCTTCCCAACTAGGTTTCCTACTTTCACCTTAATTCCCTATGGTTTATTCTCTACAAGAAAGGAATTATAATCCCTTAAAAATGTCAATAAAACTCTATCACTACTCAATACTCTCCAAGGGGTCCTTATTTTATTCAAGTAAAAAACTAAAGTCCTTACTATATGTCTGTAAATTCCCATAGGATCTGGCCCCACAGCCTCTCTGGCCCCTGTCCATTCTGCCCCTTGCCAATTCTGCCCGGCCACAGTTGCCCAATAGCTGGTCTGTGAACACATCAAGCACATACTTAATCTCAAGGCTTTTGCAATCATTCTTTCCTCTAGTTGTAATCTCTCATTACTTATTCTGAGTGTCTTGTTTCTGCAGTTGCTTTACTTACTTGACCTATATAAAATAGTAATTCTTACCCCTACAACTCCATTATGTCCTATCTTCTTTGCCTTGCCTTATGTTTTTTTCTTGGAGTTACAGATACCTGATGTAGATAGTATTTACTTTTTTTATGCTTGCATTAATCACCTAGAATATAAACTCCAAAAGAGGAGCTATTTCTCTTTTATAATCTATCTAATATATCTTGGATATTTGCTCCCACCTAAATTTCATGTTGAAATGTAATTCCCTGTGTTGGAGATGGGGTCTGGTGGGAGGTATGTGGATCATGGCGCGGATCCCTCATGAAGGGCTTGGGCCATCCTTTTGGAGAGAAGTGGGCTCTGGCTCTGACTTCACACGAGATCTGGTTGTTTAAAAGTGTGCGACAGCTCCCCTGAGCTTCCTCTCTCACTTGCTCCTGCTTTTGCCATGTGAAGTACCAGCTACTGCTTCATTTTCCACCATGAGTAAAAGATCCCTGAGGCCCTCCCTCAGCAGTACATGTCCCTATGCTTGTTGTGCAGCTGGCAGAACCATGAGCCAATTAAATCTCTTTTCTTTTAAATTACTCAGTCTCATGTATTTCTTTATAGCAATACAAGGTTGGCTTAATACATATCTCTAAAGCAAAAGCTGGGCCTGGTATGTAATAGGTGTTCAATAAATATTTATTGAATAAATGAATAAATACTAGGCTAAATAAAGTTTAAAACATCATAATAGAACACTGGGTAGATGTCAAGATGACAGTTTTGTTATTCACATATGGACATGGAAAGGTCTTTGTGGTGCATTGTTAAGGGAGCAAACCAAATTACAGAACACTATATAGAGTAGAGCTGTATAAAATACATATGGTGTATGTTTATAAATATGTCTAGAAAAATTTGAAAGCTATATATCAAATATCATATCATTTATCTTTAGAAGGCTAATTGCATATTTTCAATTTATTGTTTATAATTTTTTTTATCTATTATTATAGGTTACTTGTATAATCACAAAAGACAACTGAATAATTCTTTTTGTCTTCATCAACTTTTATTTTAAGTTCTGGGATACATGTACAGGATGTGCAGGTTTGTTACATAGGTAAACGAGTGGCATGGTGGTTTGCTGCACAGATCGACCCATCACCGAGGTATTAAGCTCAGCATCCATTAGTTATTCCTCCTGATGCTCTCCTTCCCCTTGGCCCACCAATACACCCTAGTGTATGTTGTTACCCCTCATGTGACCATGTGTTCTCATCATTCAGCTCCCCCATATAAGTAAGAATATGCAGTGTTAGGTTTTCTGTTCCTGTGTTAGTTTGCTGAGGATAACAGGTTCTAGATCCATCCATGTCCCTGCAAAGGACATGCTCTTGTTCCTTTTTATGGGTGCATAGTATTCCTTGGTGTATATGTACCACATGTACAACTAATTTCCACAACAAAAAATGTACTATTACATGGATATAATGTTTATATTCTCTTCACAGAATTTGAGTCACTTGAATTTTTGCTTTAACACTTAGAATTTGGAGGGTCTGTTTTCTTAAAAAAAATTAACACTTTAAATCCAATAAGTAAATGTGGAAGGTTGGTGGAAATAGTTAGCTGGAAACTCAGAATTGATATTAACTTTCACCAAGCCTTTGTTCACATTATTTTCTTCTACAATTTATGAATGAATAATCCTGCACTATCTATGCATTCAAACAATGATACATATGGTGCATATGTATATATGGCAAAAATCTAAGAAATGTAGCCAAATATTAATATTGCTTACACGTAAGTAGTCAAATCATGGTGGTTTTTTTTTATTTTCTTGATTTTGCAAGAAAATTAATAAAGAGGCTATTTACATTTTAATGTACAAATGTGTATACAAATATAATAGTTATGCTTTAAAAATCCAATAAATAAATGTAAGTAAAACATTTCTGAATTTTTTAAAGATTTCTCAATAGATCTAGGTATTCTTCTTAACCAAATACTGATACTACCGTTAACCACTTCTGGAAAATTCTGGCAATTGGTCCCTTTGGGGAAGAACTAGAGGAATCACTACTATACACACTTACTGTGGTATTCAGTGCCCTTCCTCAAGGGGAATTCGCCTATCTTTTTTTTCTTAAGTAATATTTTATCTTTAATAGACAAATAATGGTTGTATTTATTTACGGGATACAAAGTGACATTTTGATGCAAGCATACCTTGTGGAATGATCAAATCAGGCTAATTAACATATCTGTCATCTCAAATGCTTATCCTTTCTTCATTGTGGGAGCACTTAAAATCAATTCTTTTAGCTATTTGGAAATATAAAATATATTATTTTCTAACTATATTTACTTACGATGTAGTGTAATAGATCACAAGAACCTATTTCTTCTATCTAACTGAAACTTTGTACTCTTTGACCAACATCTCCCCTTTCTTTGTCCATCCTCCTAGCCCAGCCTTTGGTAGCCATCACTGTACTCTGTATTTCTATCACTTTGCCTTTTTAAATTGCACATATAAGAGAGATCATGCAGTATTTGTTGCTTTGTGTCTGACTTATTTCCTGTAGCAGAATGTCCTTTAGGTTAATCCATGTTGTCATAAATGACAAAATTTCCTGCCTTTCAAAGGCTGAATAGTATTCCATTGTTTATATATACCACATTGTCAAAATCCATTCATCTGTTGATGGGCATGTAAGTTGTTTTCAAATATTGGCTTTATTAATAATGCGGCAGTGAACGTGGGAGTTCAGACATCTTGTTGACATACTGATATTAATTCCTTTGACTATATACTCAAAAGTGGAATTGCTGGACTGTGTGGTAATTTTAGATTTTTAGTAACATTCATACTGTTTTCCAAAATAACTGTATGAATTAACAATACCATCAACAATGTACAAGGGTTCCCTCTGCTCCACATCCTCATCAACACTTGCTAGTTTTCATGTTTTCGATAATAGCCAGTCTATCAGGTGTAAGATAATATTTCATTGTGATTTAATTAGCATTTCTTTGATAATCAGAGATTTTGAGCCTTTTTTAATATATCTGTTGACCACTTTTATGTTTTCCTTTGAGAAATGTGTATTTAAGTCGTCTGCCCATTTTTAATAGGATCATTTGTTTTCTTATTATTGAGGGGTTTGAGTTCCATGCATATTTTAGATACTAGCCTTTTATCCAATGCGTAATTTGCAAATATTTTCTCCCAATCTGTGGGTTGTCTCTTTAACCTGCTAACTGTTTCCTTTCCTTCCTGCAGAAGCTTTTTAGTTTGATGCAATTCCATTTGTCTATTTTTGCTTCCATTGCCTGTGCTTTTGGGGTTAAGAAATCTCTGCTCGATTACATTTATTGATTTGCGTATATTGAACCAGCCTTGCGTCCCACGGATGAAGCCCACTTGATCATGGTGGATAAGCTTTTTGATGTGCTGCTGGATTCGGTTTGCCAGTATTTTATTGAGGATTTTTGCATCAATGTTCATCAAGGATATTGGTCTAAAATTCTCTCTTTTGGTTGTGTCTCTGCCAGGCTTTGGTATCAGGATGATGCTGGCCTCATAAAATGAGTTAGGGAGGATTCCCTCTTTTTCTATTGATTGGAATAGTTTCAGAAGGAATGGTACCATTCCTCCTTGTACCTCTGGTAGAATTCGGCTGTGAATCCATCTGGTCCTGGACTCTTTTTGGTTGGTAAACTATTGATTATTGCCACAATTTCAGAGCCTGTTATTGGTCTATTCAGAGATTCAACTTCTTCCTGGTTTAGTCTTGGGAGGGTGTATGTGTCAAGGAATTTATCCATTTCTTCTAGATTTTCTAGTTTATTTGCGTAGAGGTGTTTGTAGTATTCTCTGATGGTAGTTTGTATTTCTGTGGGATTGGTGGTGATATCCCCTTTATCATTTTTTATTGTGTCTATTTGATTCTTCTCTC
Organism: Homo sapiens; assembly: GCF_000001405.40. Taxonomy (NCBI): domain Eukaryota; kingdom Metazoa; phylum Chordata; class Mammalia; order Primates; family Hominidae; genus Homo; species Homo sapiens. Next base: position 55,308,999 of record NC_000006.12, read on the forward strand.
TTTTTCTCTTTATTAGTCTTGCTAGCGGTCTATCAATTTTGTTGATCCTTTCAAAAAACCAGCTCCTGAATTCATCCATTTTTTGAAGGGTTTTTTGTGTCTCTATTTCCTTCAGTTCTGCTCTGATTTTAGTTATTTCTTGCCTTCTGCTAGCTTTTGAATGTGTTTGCTCTTGCTTTTCTAGTTCTTTTAATTGTGATGTTAGGGTGTCAGTTTTGGATCTTTCCTGCTTTCTCTTGTGGGCATTTAGTGCTATAAATTTCCCTCTACACACTGCTTTGAATGTGTCCCAGAGATTCTGGTATGTTGTGTCTTTTTTCTCGTTGGTTTCAAAGAACATCTTTATTTCTGCCTTCATTTTGTTATGTACCCAGTAGTCATTCAGGAGCAGGTTGTTCAGTTTCCATGTAGTTGAGCAGTTTTGAGTGAGTTTCTTAATCCTGAGTTCTAGTTTGATTGCACCGTGGTCTGAGAGACAGTTTGTTATAATATCTGATCTTATACATTTGCTGAGGAGAGCTTTACTTCCAACTATGTGGTCAATTTTGGAATAGGTGTGGTGTGGTGCTGAGAAGAATGTATATTCTGTTGATTTCGGGTGGAGAGTTCTGTAGATGTCTATTAGGTCTGCTTGGTGCAGAGCTGAGTTCAATTCCTGGATATCCTTGTTAACTTTCTGTCTCGTTGATCTGTCTTATGTTGACAGTGGGGTGTTAAAGTCTCCCATTATTATTGTGTGGTAGTCTAAGTCTCTTTGTAGGTCACTCAGGACTTGCTTTATGAATCTGGGTGCTCCTATATTGGGTGCATATATATTTAGGATAGTTAGCTCTTCTTGTTCAATTGATCCCTTTACCATTATGTAATGGCCTTCTTTGTCTCTTTTGATCTTTGTTGGTTTAAAGTCTGTTTTATCAGAGACTAGGATTGCAACCCCTGCCTTTTTTTGTTTTCCATTTGCTTGGTAGATCTTCCTCCATCCTTTTACTTTGAGCCTATGTGTGTCTCTGCACGTGAGATGGGTCTCCTGAATACAGCACACTGATGGGTCTTGACTCTTTATCCAATTTGCCAGTCTGTGTCTTTTAATTGGAGCATTTAGTCCCTTTACATTTAAAGTTAATATTGTTATGTGTGAATTTGATCCTGTCATTGTAATGTTAGCTGGTTATTTTGTTTGTTAGTTGATGCAGTGTCTTCCTAGCCTCTATGGTCTTTACAATTTGGCATGATTTTGCAGTGGCTGGTACTGGTTGTTCCTTTCCATGTTTAGTGCTTCCTTCAGGAGCTCTTTTAGGGCAGGCCTAGTGGTGACAAAATTTCTCAGCATTTGCTTGTCTGTAAAGGATTTTATTTCTCCTTCACTTATGAAGCTTAGTTTGGCTGGATATGAAATTCTGGGTTGAAAATTCTTTTCTTTAAGAATGTTGAATATTGGCCCCCACTCTCTTCTGACTTGTAGAGTTTCTGCCGAGAGATCCGCTGTTAGTCTGATGGGCTTCCCTTTGTGGGTAACCCGACCTTTCTCTCTGGCTGCCCTTAACATTTTTTCCTTCATTTCAACTTTGGTGAATCTGACAGTTATGTGTCTTGGAGTTGCTCTTCTCGAGGAGTATCTTTGTGGCATTCTCTGTATTTCCTGAATCTGAATGTTGGCCTTCCTTGCTAGATTGGGGAAGTTCTCCTGGATAATATCCTGGAGAGTGTTTTCCAACTTGCTTCCATTCTCCCCGTCACTTTCAGATACACCAATCAGACGTAGATTTGGTCTTTTCACATAGTCCCATATTTCTTGGAGGCTTTGTCCGTTTCTTTTTATTCTTTTTTCTCTAAACTTCCCTTCTCACTTCATTTCATTCATTTCATCTTCCGTTACTGATATCCTTTCTTCCAGTTGATCGCATCGGCTCATGAGGCTTCTGCATTCTTCACGTAGTTCTCGAGCCTTGGCTTTCAGCTCCATCAGCTCCTTTAAGCACTTCTCTGTATTGGTTATTCTAGTTTTACATTTGTCTAAATTTTTTTCAAAGTTTTCAACTTCTTTGCCTTTGGTTTGAATTTCCTCCTGTAGCTCGGAGTAGTTTTATCGTCTGAAGCCTTCTTCTCTCAACTTGTCAAAGTCATTCTCCATTCAGCTTTGTTCCATTGCTGGTGAGGAGCTGCGTTCCTTTGGAGGAGGAGAGGTGCTCTGCTTTTTAGAGTTTCCAGTTTTTCTGCTCTGTTTTTTCCCCATCTTTGTGGTTTTATCTACTTTTGGTCTTTGATGATGGTGATGTACAGATGGGGTTTTGGTGTGGATGTCCTTCCTGTTTGTTAGTTTTCCTTCTAATAGACAGGACCCTCAGCTGCAGGTCTGTTGGAGTTTGCTAGAGGTCCACTCCAGACCCTGTTTGCCTGGGTACCAGCAGCGGTGGCTGCAGAAGAGCGGATTTTCGTGAACCGCGAATGCTGCTGTCTGATCGTTCCTCTGGAAGTTTTGTCTCAGAGGAGTATCCTGCCGTGTGATGTGTCAGTGTGCCCCTACTGGGGGGTGCCTCCCAGTTAGGCTGCTCGGGGGTCAGGGGTCAGGGACCCACTTGAGGAGGCAGTTTGCCCGTTCTCAGATCTCCAGCTGCGTGCTGGGAGAACCACTGCTCTCTTCAAAGCTGTCGGACAGGGACATTTAAGTCTGCAGAGGTTACTGCTGTCTTTTTGTTTGTCTGTGCCCTGCCCCCAGAGGTAGAGCCCACAGAGGCAGGCAGGCCTCCTTGAGCTGTGGTGGGCTCCACCCAGTTCGAGCTTCATGGCTGCTTTGTTTACCTAAGCAAGTTTGGGCAATGGCGGGCACCTCTCCCCCAGCCTTGCTGCCACCTTGCAGTTTGATCTCAGACTGCTGTGCTAGCAATCAGCAAGACTCTGTGGGCATAGGCCTCTCCAGCATATAAACAGAACCAAAGACAAAAACCATATGATTATCTCAATAGATGCAGAAAGGGCCTTTGACAAGATTCAACAACGCTTCATGCTAAAAACTCTCAATAAATTAGGTATTGATGGGATGTATCTCAAAATAATAACAGCTACTTATGACAAACCCACAGCCAACATCATACTGAATAGGCAAAAACTGGAAGCATTCCCTTTGGAAACTGGCACAAGACAGGGATGCCCTCTCTCACCACTCCTATTCAACATAGTGTTGGAAGTTCTGGCCCAGGCAATTAGGCAGGAGAAGGAAATAAAGGGTATTCGATTAGGAAAAGAGGAAGTCAAATTGTCCCTGTTTGCAGATGACATGGTTGTATATCTAGAAAGCCCCATTATCTCAGTCCAAAATCTCCTTAAGCTGATAAGCAACTTCAGCAAAGTCTCAGGATACAAAATCAATGTACAAAAATCACAAGAATTATTACACACCAATAACAGACAAATAGAGAGCCAAATCATGAGTGAACTCTCATTCACAATTGCTTCAAAGAGAATAAAATACCTAGGAATCCAACTTACAAGGGACGTGAAGGACCTCTTCAAGGGAAACTACAAACCACTGCTCAATGAAATAAAAGAGGATACAAACAAATGGAAGAACATTCCATGCTCATGGTTAGGAAGAATCAATATCGTGAAAATGGTCATACTGCCCAATGTAATTTATATATTCAATGCCATCCCCATCAAGCTACCAATGACTTTCTTCACAGAATTGGAAAAAACTACTTTAAAGTTCATATGGCACCAAAAAAGAGCCCGCATCACCAAGTCAATCCTAAGCCAAAAGAACAAAGCTGGAGGCATCACACTACCTGACTTCAAACTATACTACAAGGCTACAGTAACCAAAACAGCATGGTACTGGTACCAAAACAGAGATATAGCTCAATGGAACAGAACAGAGCCCTCAGAAATAATGCTGCATATCTACAACTATCTGATCTTTGACAAACCTGAGAAAAACAAGCAATGGGGAAAGGATTCCCTATTTAATAAATGGTGCTGGGAAAACTGGTTAGCTATATGTAGAAAGCTGAAACTGGATCCCTTCCTTACAGCTTATTCTAAAATTAACTCAAGATGGATTAAAGACTTAAACGTTAGACCTAAACCATAAAAACCCTAGAAGAAAACCTAGGCATTACCATTCAGGACATAGACATGTGCAAGGACTTCATGTCTAAAGCACCAAAAGCAATGGCAACAAAAGCCAAAATTGACAAATGGGATCTAATTAAACTAAAGAGCTTCTGCACAGCCAAAGAAACTACCATCAGAGTGAGCAGGCAACCTACAAAGTGGGAGAAAATTTTCGCAACCTACTTATCTGACAAAGGGCTAATATCCAGAATCTACAATGAACTAAAGCAAATTTACAAGAAAAAAACAAACAACCCCATCAAAAAGTGGGTGAAGGATATAAACAGACACTTCTCAAAAGAAGACATTTGTGCAGCCAAAAAACACATGAAAAAATGCTCATCATCACTGGCCATCAGAGAAATGCAAATCAAAACCACAATAAGATACCATCTCACACCACTTAGAATGGCAATCATTAAAAAGTCAGGAAACAACAGGTGCTGGAGAAGATGTGGAGAAATAGAAACACTTTTACACTGTTGGTGGGACTGTAAACTAGTTCAACCATTGTGGAAGTCAGTGTGGCGATTCCTCAGGGATCTAGAACTAGAAATACCATTTGACCCAGCCATCCCATTACTGGGTATATACCCAAAGGACTATAAATCATGCTGCTATAAAGACACATGCACACGTATGTTTATTGTGGCACTATTCACAATAGCAAAGACTTGGAACCAACCCAAATGTCCAACAATGATAGACTGGATTAAGAAAATGTGGCACATATACACCATGGAATACTATGCAGCCATAAAAAAGGATGAGTTCATGTCCTTTGTAGGGACATGGATGAAATTGGAAATCATCATTCTCAGTAAACTATTGTAAGAACAAAAAACCAAACACCGCATATGCTCACTCATAGGTGGGAATTGAACAATGAGAACACATGGACACAGGAAGGGGAACATCACACTCTGGGGACTGTTGGGTGGGGGGAGGGGGGAGGGATAGCCTTAGGAAATATACCTAATTATAAATGACGAGTTAATGGGTGCAGCACAGCAGCATGGCACATGTATGCATATGTAACTAACCTGCACATTGTGCACATGTACCCTAAAACTTAAAGTATAATAATAATAAAATAAAAAAATAAAGAATAGAATAAATAAAAACAAAAATAAATAAAAAATAAAAAGAAATCTCTGCTCATATCCAGGCCATGATGGTTTCCCCCTGTGTTTTCTTCAAGTAGTTTTATAGCTTCAAGTCTTATGTTATATTAAGTCTTTAATCCATTTTGAGGTGATTCTTGTACAAAGGCTGAAGTAAGGGTTCATTTTGATTCTTCTGTGTGTGTGTATCCAGTTTTCCCAACACCATTTATTGAGAAGTCTGTCATTTCCCCATGGTGTGATCTTGTTACCTTTATGAAAATTTAATTGACCATAGGTGTATGGGTTTATTTCTGGGCTTTCTATCATATTCCATTGATTGATATGTCTGGTTTTATGCCAGTACTATGCTGCTTTGATTACTGTGGATTTGTAATGTAATTTAATGTCTGAGAGTGTGAAGCCTGCAGCATTATTTTTTCTCAAGATTGTTATCTGTGGCTATTTGTAGTCTTTTGTGGTTTCATATATATTTTACAATTTTTTATTTCTGTGAAAAATGCATTGGAATTTTCATATGGATTACATTTAATCCGCTTTGGGTAGTATGACCATTTTAACAATATTAATTGTTCTAATCCATGAGCATGGGCTAGCTTTTCATTTATTTGTGTCATCTTCAGGTTTTTTCAACAATGTTTTATAGTTTTAGTATATGGATCTTTCACTTCCTTGGTTAAATTTAGTCCTAAGTGTGTGTGTGTGTGTGTGTGTGTGTGTGTTTGTGTGTATGTGTGTGTGCATCAACTAACCATAGTCATGTGGGTTTATTTCTGGGCTTTCTATCATGTTCCATTGATTACTTCTAAGTGAATGAGTGTGTGTGTGTGTGTGTGTGTGTGTGTTTAAGATACTGTTGTAATTTTAAAATTTCTTTCTCAGGTTGTATGTTGTTAGTGTACAGAAATAATATTAATTTTGTAAGTTGATTTTGTATTCTGCAAATTCACTAAATTTGTTAATTTGTTTTAACAATTTTTTGGGTGTAGTCTTACAGGGTTTTCTATATATAAGATCATGTCATCAGTAAACAATTTCATTTATTCTTTTCCTATTTGGATGCTTTTTATTCTTACCCAATTGTTTTGACTAGGACCTCCAGTACTATGTTGAACATAATTGATGAAAGCAGACATCCTTGTCTTGCTCCTGATCCAAAAGCCTTTAACTTTTCACCACTGAGTATGATGTTCACTGTAGGCTTGTTATATATGGTCTTTGTTGTGCTGAGAAACATTCCTTCTATAACTGATTTTCAAAAGTTTATCATGAAAGGATGTTAAATTATTTCAAATGTTTTTTCTTCATCTATTGAGGTGATTATATTGTTTTTATTCTTCATTCTGTTACTATGGTGAATCATATTTTTAATTGTTTTTTACTTGCATAAATTTATTTTGTGATAGGTAGAAAAGCACATCTGCAGACCTAGAAGCAGAGTGAATCTAAAAAATATTATTTATAATTATTATGAGTACACAATAGGTATATATTTTCATGGGGTACATTCAATGTTCTGATACAGGCATATGATGTGTAATAATCACATCAGGGTATTTGGAGTATTCATTACCTCAAGCATTTATCATTTCTTTGTGTTAGGGAATTTCAGTTTCATTCTTCTAGTTATTTAAAATATACAATGAATTATTATTGACTGTAGTCACCCTGTTGTGCTATCAAATAGTATGTCTTATTCATTTTATTTAACTATATTTTTGCACCCATTAACAATCCCCACTTGATTTGAATATGGTAAGCCATTCTTGCATCCTAGGAATAAATTCCATTTGACCATGGTGAATGATCCTTTTAATGTACTGTTGAATATAGTTTTTGGTATTTTGTTGAGGATTTTTGCATCCATGTTCATCAGCGATATTGGCCTGTAATTTGCTTTTCCGGTAGTTTCTTGTTTTTTTATTATACTTTAAGTTTTAGGGTACATGTGCACAACGTGCAGGTTAGTTACATATATATACATGTGCCATATTGGTGTGCTGCACCCATTAACTCATCATTTAACATTATGGAAAATCTCCTAATGCTATCCCTCCCCGCTCCCCCCACCCCACAACAGGCCCCGGTGTGTGATGTTCGCCTTCCTGTGTCCATGTGTTCTCATTGTTCAATTCCCACCTATGAGTGAAAACACACGGTGTTTCTTAGTCTGGCTTTGGTCTCAGGCTAATGTTGGCCTTACAAAATGATTGTGGAAATATTTCCTTCTCTTCAATTTTTTGAAGAAGTTTGAAAATAATTATTACCAGTTCTTCTATAAATGTTGGGTAGAATTCATTTATGAAAATATCTTTTCCTGGGTTTTCCTTGATGGCGGACTTTTCATTACTGATTTAATTTCCTTGCTCATTACTGTTCCATTTATATTCCTCATGATTTGATCTTGGAAGGTTATGTATCGAAGCCTTTATCTATTTCCTCTCCATCGTCCAATTTGTTTGCATGCAATTGTTCGTAGTGGTCTCATAAGATCCTTTGTATTTTTGTACTATCAATTGTGATATCTTTTTTCATTTCTGCTTTAGTTTACTTGAACCACCTGTATTTTCTCGTGGTTAATTTAGCTAAGGATTGTCAATTTTGTTTGTCTTTTTGGAAGACCAACGCTTAGCTTTACTGATCTCTTGTATTGTTTTTCTAATTTCTATTTCATTGATTTTTGCTCTGAAATGTTTCCTTTCTTCCACTAACTTTAGGCTTAGATTGTTCTTCTTTTACTAATTCATTGAGGAGTAACATTAAGTTGTTTATTTAAGATCTCTCTCTCCTTCTCTCACTCTCTCTTTTGATGTAGGCATTTAGTGTTACAAACTTTCCTCTTAGAACTGCTTTTGCTGAATCCTGTAAGTTTTAATATGTTGTTTCCATTTTCATTTTTCTCTAAATATTTTTAAAATTAATTTTTGAATTTCCTCTTTGACTCAATAGTTTTTCAGGAGCATGTTGTTTAATTTGCATATACTTGTTAATTTTTCTTGGTTTCTCCTGTTATTGATCTATAGCTTTATATCATTGTGATTGAGAAAGATACTTGATATAATGTTGATCTTCTGACACTTGTTAAGATGTTTTGTGGTCTATCAATTGATTTATCCTAGTGAATGTTACATGTATACTTGAGAAAAATGTATATTTTGTTGCTGTTGGATGAAATGTTCTGTATAGGTCTATTAACTCCATTGGTATACGTATAGTTCAAGTCATATTTTGTTATTAAAAATTTTTTGTCTAGATAATAGTTCTGTTGTTGGAAGTGGGATATTAAAATTATTTACTATTATTGTGCTGCATTTATGTCTCTTTTCAGAACTCTTAATCTTTGATTTATATATTTAGGTGCTTCAGTGTTGGGTGCATATATATTTACAATTGTTATATTATCTTGATGCACTGATCTTTTTATTATAATATACTGACCTTCTTTATCTCTTTTTACAGTTTTTTTTAACCTAAAGTTTATTTGGTGTGAAATAAGTATAGCCACCCCTGCTCTGTTTTATTTGCCTGGAATATCATTTTCCATCACTTCATTTTCAACCTGTAAGTTTCCTTTAAGGTAAGGTGAGTCTTCTGTAGGCCCATATAGTTGGATCTTGTTTGGTATGTATCATGGTACTGTATGCCTTTTGACTACAGAATCTAATCCATTAAACTTTAAAGTAATTATTGATAGATGAGAGGTTGCTACTTCCATTTTATTGTTTTCAAGTTGTTTTCTAGATCCTACATTTTTTTTCTTATATCTTGCTTTCTTTACTTGTGATTTGATTGCTTTTTGCAGGGATATATTTTGAATTTTTTAAAATATTTTGTGTATCTATTATAGGCTCATGCTTTGTGGTTACATAAATCATCTTATACCTATAACAAGCTATGCCAAGTTGATAACAACTTAAGTTTGATCACTTACACAAAGGCTACACTTTTACTCTCCTCCTTCTAAATTTTATGTTTTTGATGTCATTCTTTACATCTTTTTATAATATGCATACTTAACAAACTACTGTAGCTGTAGTTGCTTTTAAGAATTTTGCCTTTTAACCCTTATACTAGAGAAATCCTTGATTTGTTCACCATCATTACAATATTAGAATGTTTTGGAATTGAAAAATGCCATTAATTTTACCAGTGCGTTTTATACTTTCATATGTTTTCATGTTTCTATTTTGAATCCTTTTCCTTCAGCTTGAAGAACTCCCTTTAGCATTTCTTATAACGCAGGTCTAATGGTGAGAAACTCAGCCTTTGTTACTCTGAGAAAGTCTTTAACATCCCTCATTATTTAAAGACAGGTTTGCTAGGTATACTATTCTTGATTGGCAGGTTTTTTTCTTTTAGAATTTTGAATATATTATCCCACTCCCTTGAGCTTTCAAGGTTAATGCTGAGAAATTTGCTGATAGTTTTATCAGGGTTCTCTTATATGTGACAATTCAATTCTCCCTTGCTGCTTTCCATACTCTAAGTTTTGACAGTTTTGTTATGATGTGCCTTGGTGTGAGTTTCTTTTCCTTTTTTAAATTTTAGATTCAGAGGGTACATGTGCAGATTTGCTGCAAGGACATATTGTGTGGCGTTGGGCTTCTGTTGATCCCACCACTCAAGTGGTGAACATAGTATCTAGTAGGAAGTTTTTTGTTTTTTTGTTTTTTTTTTAGCTCTTAGACCCTTCTTTTTCCCTTTTTGGAAGATGCAGTGTCAATTGTTTCTATATTTATGTCTGTGTGTACCCAATATTTAGTTCCTACTTATGTGAAAGAACATGCAATATTTGGTTTTCTGTTTCCGTGTTAATTTGCATAGGATAATATTTTCCAGTAGTCTGTCCATGTTGCTGAAAAAGACATGAGTTTGTTCTTTTTTATGGCTTCACAGTATTTCATGATGTATATGTACTTGGTGTGGATTTATCCGGATTCATTTTATTTGGTATTCTTTGGGATTCCTGTATCTGGCTTTCTATTTTCTTCCCCAGTACTGGGAAATTTTCTGCCATTATTTTTTGAATATGTTCTGTGCTTGTCTCTCTCTCCTCCTTCTGAACACCTATAATGTATATATTGCTCTGATTGAGGGTGTCAGTATGTCTCTTAAGATGTGTTCATTCTTTTTCATTCTTTTTCCTTTTTGCTGCTTAGATTGGATGATTTCCAGTGACTTGTCTTTGAGTTCATTGATATTTTCTTCTGCTTAATCTCATTTGTGGGTGAACCTTTCTGTCAATTTTTTCAGTTTAGTTTAATATTCCTCAGCTCTAAGATTTGATTGATACTTTCATATACTTTCTCTTTGTTAAAGTTCTCTGTTTTTGCATTTCTCTCTGGACCTTAGTGACAGTCTTTATAATCATTATTTTAAATTCTCTATTGGGTAAATTACATCTCTTCTATTCACTTGGGTCAATTTCTGAACATTTATTTTGCTCTTTATTTGGAATATATATTTCTTGTTTCTTTAGTTTCCTTGACTCTGTGTTGTTTACTGCACATTAGATAAGACAGCTGCCTTTCCCAGTCTTATCAAACAGGACCTGTGTAGAAGAAAAATATCACTAGTCCATTTGACAAAAAATTTTAATGTGCCTCTCAAAGCTTTGTTTGTCCAGGCCACTGTTTCTGTTATTGGTGGCTCCCAGGAGATTGGGATATGCCATGTCCTATCAATACTCTGTGAACTATAAGATAGAGGCCAGACTTTCAAAATGTAGCCAGAAAAATGTCAAGTATTAGATGTGTGGTCCAGTTCCTTCTATCCTCATGTTGAAATTGGGTGCAGGTGTTACTTCTCCACTCTCTCTGCATGAAGCCAGGGAGAGGTACTATGGAAACTGCCTGTATTTGTGTTCAGGCCACACTTTTTGATTCTGGGAAGATAGCTTTGGGAGTGGGGCCACTGTTTGTCTACATCTTTGTTATCTGTGATCTAGAGTAAGTTAGGAATGCAAAGCTCCACCACTCCCAAGCTTAGGCTGTTAAGAATTCAGTCCTTTGGGTGGGAGCTGTAGAAGTTGTGACACTTAATTGTGAACAAACTCTTTTCAAGAAGAATAGGTAGGCTATAAAATAATAGAAGAAATGAATAGAGCTATAGAAGTTGTGACACTTGGTATGTGAACAAACTCCTTTTAGGAAAAATAGGCTGGGGACAAGCCAAGTTCTGCTTAGTCTACCTGAGAGCTACTATTAGTCTGTCTTGTTAGCTCCCTGATGCAAGCTGGAGGTTAAGCTATGTAGTTGTCACTGGATGAGTGTGCAGTAAGCTGCTAGAGAAAAAAAAAAAAAGGAGCTGTGCATTCTAGCCCCTGTTCTCCACTGCTCCCAAGAGATATAGTTCCTGGAAGAGTTTGCATGCCTGTTTAAAACCACCTCTTTGTTCTGTGATCTAGGGAGACTTGTATATGCCTAGTCTCTTCTGCTCTTAGAGCCAGGAGTTTTGGGATATAGTATTTCTGGTAAATGCTGTAAAAGGGCATTTTGTGGGTGAACACACTCCTTCCAGGGAGAATTGGGAGAGCTGGGATTATTGCTGAGTTGAGCTGGAGGAAGTCTCAGGAAGTGTTAAGCTGCTGCTCAGGCTGTTAGAGAGCTACTTTTTGCTTGCCCCTTTAACTCTCAGATGCGTTAGTTAGAAACCAGACTGTCAAGTAGCCGCTAGGGGAGTATGCTGTAAACCTCTTCCAGGGAGAACCAGGTAGTGGTATTTTTGAGTCCTGTCTCTGTACTAATTCTACTAATTCACAGTGTTAAAGCACCTGAAAAAGTGCTTGCACACACATATAAAACTGCCACTGTTTTCCTGTGGTCTAAATAAACTTGTGTATGTCTAATTCTCTCTAACTCCCAGAGTTGGTGAATTAAGAGCCAAACTGTTGGGCATCTTATAATTGGGGTGCCATATGTAAGGTCCCAATCCTCTCCACAGGGAGAATCTGAGTGTTAGTGATTCCAGTTATATGGTGAAGTACCTGGAAGGGGTCCATGCTCAAGTATGCCTCAGATTTGTCTACCCATTTGAAGTGCATGTTTGGGTTTTTATTTTGCTTTTGATGTGTTTTTTTTTGTCTTTTTTTTTGAGACAGAGTCTCATTCTGTTGTAAAGGCTAGAGTGCAGTGGCACAATCTTGGCTCACTGCAGCCTCTGCCTCCCTGGTTCAAGTGATTCTCCTGCCTCAGCCTCCCGAGTAGCTGTGACTACAGATGCGTACCACCATTCCCAGCTAATTTTTGTATTTTTGGTAGAGACAGGGTTTCATCATGTTATCCAGGCTGGTCTCAAACTCCTGGACTCAAATAATCCACCAGCCTTGGCCTCCCAAAGTGCTGGGATTAAAGGCATGAGCCACTGCGCCCGGCCATGCATGTTTTCTTTCTTGCCTGGTAGGCAGGAATCTCTCAACTTATTTCTGACTTTCTCTCACAGGGAATTAATTGAGATGTTCATTCTGTGCATTTGTGAGTATTGGGAGTGCCAGGAGCTTCCTATTCTGCCATGTTGCTGACATCAGTCTAAGGAAAACAGTTTAAAGAAAGTTCATCAAAAAGTAACAGTAGACACATCTGGGTGTCTTAAATATGAATACATTTCTTTCTTTCTTTCTTTCTTTCTTTCTTTCTTTCTTTCTTTCCTTCTTTTCTTTCTTCCTTTCCTTCTCTTTATTTCTTTCCTTCTTTTTCTTTCTTTCTTTTTTTTTTTTTTTTTTTTTTTTGGAATTTTGCTCTTGTCGCCCAGGCTGGAGTGCAATGGCACAATCTCGGCTCACTGCGACCTCCGCCTCCTGGGTTCAAGTGATTCTCCTGCCTCAGCCTCCCGAGTAGCTGGGGTTACAGGCATGTGCCACCATGCCCCGCTACCTGCTAATTTTTGTATTTTTAGTAGAGACAGGGTTTCACCATGTTGGCCAGGCTGGTCTCAAACTCCTGAGCTCAGGTGAGCCACCTGCCTTGGCCTCCCAGAGTGCTGGGATTACAGGCGTGAGCCACTGCACCTGGCTACTTTTATTTCTTATATTTTTCAAATGCTATATATATAAGTATCAAAACTTTACAATGTAAAAACTATTTTGAAAAGGAAAAGATCATTATAACAGTTATAGATCTGTTTTCAGTAGCCTTAGCAACTTATTAACAATCCTTTTATGTTCCTGTCGGACATCTCCCCCCATGGAATGTCCAAAGCCCCTTTCCAATGCACCATTGAGAGAACTGGCCTTACAAAATTGCCCTATCTGGAATTCAGCAGGACCATACACTACCCCCATTCAGTCGTCTCTCTGAAAGACAATGTTGGCAGTGTCTGGCCACAATTCAAAGGTTACTATCTCCTATTTTTAAAAAAAGGACTAGAACATATAAATTTGAATACAAATGTATAATGTTTTGAGGTGATCTGGTAAGATGTTGGTCTTCCTTCATTTAGTAATAACCTCGCTGGATCAACAGGTACATAACATCTTTTCACGGTGATAATTGGAATGTGCACTAGACTCTAGCAGTTACATAAAATGGGAAACAGAGAGTAGCAAACGAGTTATAAGGAATTTAAAGGCGTTATGAATGCTTTTTAATAGTTGGTCTTAACTATGGTCTTAGAGATGTAATAAATTTCTGAAAATCAGACCCAACTAATAGAGTAACACGACCATCACCAAAACACAACCATGGAGACTTACTCAATTTTAGCTGAAAGGGGATAGCACTGTCTCAGCCAAATTGGACTGATATGATTGAGTATATTAATTTACCCAAAAAAGAAAGAAAATGACATATACCTCCTTATCATGAAGAGGGCTACATGGGGTTTATTCTAACCTGATGCCATTAAATATTCAGGTTATATAGAATGAATTATGGAACTAATCCTCTTTAAATATTTTCACCCACCAATTTTATGTTAGCATACCTACATTAAGATACTGGCTAGCATTTAGCTTTTTTTATAAGTAAATAAATTGGCAATATCATTAACACTTCCATCAATATCATTGTTTAAAGCATAAATAATAAATGAGTCCATTCTTTATTTCCTACTAGACTGAGGGCCAGAACTTAATAATAATCCTCTAAGGCAATCTTATTTTTTGGAGCTGTTTTAGTTCTCTTGAAGACAGGCAGCGTATCTTCCCAAATGATGACATGAGCCAAAGGAATGGCTGTTTAATTAAAATTTTTAACTTCATCAATGGATTGAATGATTTTGTATAAAGAGTATTGAACTGTGAGTCTTGTGCCTTGATAAATGGTGACAACCAACACCAAGTAACGCAAAACAAAAGTAAGAATTCATTCCTCCTTCTCAACCCGCCCACCATCTCAAATGGTTGCCAGATCCTGTAAATTTTAAATTCTGAAATTTCTTGGACCTACCATTTTCTCTGCATCATTACTACTTTTAGTTCAGCCCTTGTCATTCTCCCCTAAACTACTGACATAGCTTTGTGACAGGCAATTTACCTTGTTTCCAAACCATCTTCCATAGCATTGCATAAGCAATTTTTCAAAACCCAACCAGGTTACTCTGTTCTGGAACTCACCAAAAGCCTCTCTTTCTTCTGTTAAACTCTAGTCTTCTTGGTAAAGCATAAAAGGCCACCCATAATTAGCACTTATCTTTTCCTCTTCATCCACTGAGTCTCAGTAACGTTAGTCCATCTGAACTCCGCAGAACAAACCTCAGAGTCTTGGCTCCTTGTGGTTTCTCAGCTTCTCCCAGTTTTGGCGGCCTTGTCCCTCCATGCCTGGCCACATCTCATCAGGTTGTGAGTGAGGAGCTTGATGGGCAAGTTATGGTGAGGTGATTAAGTATACCTAATTATTATTATTTTTTTTGGTGAGGTCTTCCAATAAAAAAAGCAAGAGTTTTTTTGTTGTTGTTGTTTAATTTCTCCAAAAATTACTGCTTCATGTCTGCTTTTATTACTTGGCATCTTAGAACTCTGTTTACAGGTCTTTTAGCCAAGAAACTCATGACCATATGTATGTATTCTTTTCAGAATGTCAATTTTAGGTTGGCTAGAGCTGAACAGACTCCTCCAGACAGTAGCATGCTACAAAAGTTTTAAGTAGACAAATATAGTGGTAATGCAAAGGTGATTGGAGGAAGTCGAATGTCACTGAACAAAAGCTTTAAACAACTTTATGTTCCAAAAAGAAGTGCCCTTGAATATGAAGTTTTTTTCACTGATTTATCATAGAGTTTTATTTAACAATTTTTCTTTTTTCGCTTTTATATGTAGCTTAATTTGCATTCTAGTTTATCCAATTCATGCAACTAGTGTCTGTCCCTCATTTTTGTTTTTGTAGAGTCTTTGATACAAAAGTCTTTTAGTAAATATTACATGTCTTTTGCCAAGGTGTGAGGTCTAGTGCATTTAACTGTCATGAGAATGATACGTTAGCTAAAACAAAATTTATCAAAAAGCAATTACATAAATTTAGGGAATTTTGAATGGGAATTTCAGAGCCTTTGGGATGCTTCAGTAGCAGCTGTGAATGTGCTGGCAAAGCCCAATAAGTAGAGCTGAGGACTACTCATGAAAATTCCCACCGGAGCAGCTGTACTTTCTTCTGTTTCATTTATATATTACAACATTTTACTTGAAATGTAGAATACATTTTAAAATTAGGCACACATTATAATTAGAAACTATCAAAATTGATAATTCTATTTCTACAATGTTCTGATTCAATAGCAGCTTTCATTTAAATAATCGAGAGTATTATTTTCGTAGACATTAAATTTGGGTTTATGAATTTGAGGTTCTATAATTTGCTTGGGGTAAAATTGTGTTATCTTTTTACTAAACTCATTGAAATTCAGTACTTCCTGTGCTATCTTTGTCACTAATAGAAGTTACAGATATTTTTATATAACATTTTATTAGTGGAAGTTCTTTCAAATTAGGATCTGTGATAATCACTACACTGAAACAACAATATTTTTAGACTCACTTAGATCTTGATATTTCCTTCTGCAATGAGGAAGCATATGTATTACTTTATCACAAATTTAAAACATATTTTGACAAGTATATTTTAACATACTTAATTTCCTTTATGATCTTTAAAATTTTTTTTTGCCATGAAAATATTATCCTGAGAAGGAGTCTATACACAAAGAGGACTGATGGCTCAATGAACAGGCATTCAGTGGTAACACAGCTGATATTATTTTGTGTTGGATAAACAGCTATATGACCACAGGTGCTTTCTATACCTATAAGTTATAGACCGAAGCAGCTGTACTTGTCTGGCAAAGATTAGCACCATTCACAGGGTCTTATATTCAGGTTCTGTGGATCACTGCACTCTAGAAAGTCATAACTATATCGCCTTCCTTGAACAGAAAATTATGTTATTCTCTTCCTTTGTTTCATAAGTTTATTTTCCTTGTGGTTGCTCTTCTTAAACTCAGCACTTAGATACATTACTAAGCATGTGGTTTTTGCTGCCCCAAGATCCCTTCAGCTGCTTCTTCTAATACCATAATTTTCCTTCGTGATGCACACCTTCTGCACCATCAGATTCTGTGCTTTGAAAAGGGCCAACTACACTGACAACCTGTATCTATGATACTGGACATGGGGTAAGTTCCTTTTGTAAAATTGATTGGCACTTGACACATCTAGAACTGATGTGACTTAATTCTGCAACTTTAATAGTAAAAGAATGACACTTTCTACCCTGCTTTCTAAGAGAGAAGGATGTTTGCCAAGGGCTTCACAGCCATCTTCCCACCAGAAGGAAATAGCCTTTCTGGGAATAGAACTGGTAGAGAAGAATGCAGGTAAGAGACAGGAGGAAACAAACAACTTAGACCCAGAGAAAACAGTTTAAAACACACCTGAAATTAATTCTTCCCACGGACTCTTCAACTATGGTAGTAACCAACTCTGTCCTAGTTTAAGTCCTTTTAAGTTGGCTTATATCTAAGCTTGTCTTGGTAGAAGTCATTAGGAAAGTTTAGTGACTCAATCCCTTGAAAAGAAGAAAAGATTGATTAATTTTATGATATTATAATCCTTCTATTATGTAATAATTAAGTCAGTGAATGTAATATAATCAATTTTTTTGTGATATAAGCCCCTCATATACATACCTTATATTACAGCAAGAATTAATACAATTGACACATTTTACAAAGGAGTGAATAACTTCCAATGCTAAGTCACTCATCTAGATCTATAGAGAAAAGCAGTGTTATAATTTTTGTTTGTTGGACTCTAGAGTCTGTGTTTTTTCATTATGCCTGCTGAAAACAAAATATAGTATAACTTCTCTACTGGTATAAAATAAACATGAACAATATGCAATCAAAAACTCAATGGTGTAACTGCACAAATACTTCTCTCCCATCCCTATCTCTTCTTAATTTCTTGCCAAAGCAGCATTTTATTTTTTAAGCATTCATTCTAGAAAGGCCTCCAGGTGATTTAGAAATAGAAGTCTCATGACACCCCAAGAAAGATGATGTGCTGTAGGTTTACATGAGGAAGGGCGTAGCCAAACCAAGGCATAAGATAAATAAGTCCCTTCATTGAAACTAGGAAAAAAAATAGTTGTCAAGTGATGCACACAAATGTAGATGATTATCTTTCCAGTGGAACATAGAATTTCTGCATCACTGAGAAGAGTATGTTTTTTACACTGTAGCTGTACTTGGAAGGTATCAGATACTGTAGCTGAAGTGGCATAATTTTTAAGCATACTGGGGTTTGTGGCACATGTAATACAACATTCTTTGTTTGGGAAGCAGCTTCCCAGTATGTTTGAGTTATATCAGGCTAATTCTAGTAGAACTTCGATTTTGCATACATTTTCCAGGGCTATTATGCGTTTTTAGCTTTTCTATATCCTCAAATGACATGAAATTGCCTTAATGAGGCTAATTAAACAAGTGGAGACTGAGTATGCTCAAGTGTCTTTGAAAATTTTGGGTCATATTTGGGAGGCTTTTACGTAGTGTTGTATTTTAGTTAAGGAAAATAAACCTTTTTCATGAACGTGCAGATTATGTATCATTTCTCTTAGTATTTGGCTCATGGGCTTTCTTAGAGGCATAATATCCTAATATTCAAGACCAGCACCCTCAGGAGAATAATCGAATTTGAATATAATTAGAACAGTTCACAACTTAGGAAACACTGGGGAGGAAATGATGATATAGGAAGCTGACTTGAATTGGTAATGCCTTTAGGAAGCAAACACAGAGGCTGAAGCCTTATTCTGGACAGTTACTCTTAAGAAAGTTGTCAGAAGAAACGCATCTGCCTTTTTTTCCAGGTGAACTGCCGTGAGTTGTCCAGCATGATAGTGTTTATTTTCTTGGGTAAGTGAATGGTGCTTCTGGTTTATCTGAATTATTCATAATACTAATTCTTTGTAAACTGAATACCATCACACTTAAGCTTAACAGGGGCTTATAATATGAAGTACCAAGTAAATTACAAATTTATGCTTTAACATGGTTTATTCTTCTTGCAAAAATGTACACTCACTTTTACTCACTTATTTCTAACTCTATAGATAATGCAGCATGTGAAAATTGTATTAATCTCTCAGCTTGTTTCTGTTTTATTGTATAGAATGACCCAATGACTTTGAGTTACTTATTAGGATTAATGGAATTCACACATGTGTTAGAACCTTTTAGAAATAAAAATAAAACCTTCCAGTATCTATTTACAAGTTATAAGATGAAAAATTTCAAACTGTTATCTATTTTATTTATTTTGCTTTGAAATTAAACAAAAATAAGATTAATTTAAAACATTCAATTTACCTACAGTGTTAATATTTGCTAACTAGAAGTAATTTAGTGAAGTAAAACCACTTAACACCATATCAGAATGCTTCATATTTTCATTAATTTTTATGACCTAGAACTCAAGTGTGGACTTACTTCTCTTGTATTGGATCCGATGAATGTATTATAAGATGTTGATGAAAAATAATTTATTTTTATTTAATGTAGAATCCATGAATCTATTTGCTAGATGTGTGACTGGAGAATATTTTATATCTTCTTTAGCATTTGGTAGAATCTATAAACTGAATTCAGAAAAGGAATAATTGTAACTGTAGCTAGATTGTAATTTTAAAAATATGGCATTTTATGTTTAAGCTAATATATACTTGAATAAAGGCATAATTATGGGCCAGAAAGCAAAGAAGTTTACTTTAAATTGTATCGAACATAAAAGGAGAGTCATATCAAGTCAAGGAAACAAGTTAAGAAGGAGAGAAATCCCTTATATTTTCAGTTTTTCTTTTGTTTAAGTAATATTTTTCCATTGTTCCATAATTTTGCTTTTTGTAATTATTCCTAAAATATTTTCTTATTTTTATAAAGATTGTTAATATTTCTTTAGTTCTTTTTTGTGATAAAGAGAAATATAGGAAACTTTAATTTTTATAGATCAGGCAGCAATATAATGAAGCTCACAAAATACATTACAGACTCATTATGACCTCAGTTGAAAAGGCAATGGCCTCTTATTTTCATCTTTTACTTCTAAATTAACTTGACACCAGGTTGCATGAAGGAGGGAAATAACTTCTTAACATTGTTAGAACTAAAATTATACTATTTGATATGTTGTACCAACATTTCCCATATTATATTTTTTAGAATGCTTGTTTGACATTATCTAAATAGGTCTTATAATGAGGAAAATGTCTGTTGGTAAAGAAATGTGGAAAACAATGAATTTTAAAATCTCAGAACATTTAGTAGGATAATAAGCCCCATACATCTTTAAAACACTGATATAATTTGCAGCATTATCCATCTTATTAATTTAAAAATAGAAGTTATTTTTCATTGAGTATTACAGGAAAATTCTTGAAAAATCCTAGGTTAAATACAAAACCACAAGTCATAGTTTGGAATGAATAAGACAGATTTTGGAGAGGTAATACATTCTTGATTCTTGTGGACCAAATCATTGAGGTGGTTTTCTTAGTTGAGTCAATATTTTGTTGAGTAGGAAGTGTGGAAAATCCTATAAAATAATCTATTAAGAAGCTTGTTCAACCAAAAACTGAAAATGTGAAAGGAAGTAAAACATTAAAAACTGAAAATGTGAAAGGAAGTAAAACATATTTGGGGAAGACAACATGTAGTATTTCTAAGTGATTATTACTCTGAAGTACTGATGAAGTTTTGATGATATATCTGGGATATTATCACTTATAAGATTCTTGAAGGGGCTTTTCACAAGATATAATGATTAATGGCAAATAAAATACCATTTTCTTATAAGTTGAGTTTATGACTTCAAATTTCTATTTCTGGGTCTTTGGAAAACTGGATTTGACCAAGTAAATTTGTGCTAGGATCAAAAGAGTCCTCTTTTTCTTTCTTTGGGCTAGCCAAATAAGGAGTACAAGGGCTTGGCTAGATGAGGTTGTCCATGAACACATGAGAAAACAGAAAGCTGATATGTCCATTTCCACTCCAGCCCTCAGCAAGAAAAATGTTACCAAGCTACACCCATGGGCCTAATCTCCAAATGCAGTGACCCAGCAAGTAGTACACATGGTCCAATCAGTTGTCTTGGATTCTTCTTATAAGATGAGATTTGCAAAGAGGTAAGATTTAAAAAAAAAAGAGAGATTTCAAGCCCTTACTTGAAGCCTATCACTCTACATTGTCACAGGTGATTCATAATTAACAACAGCATTTAAAAATTCAAATAATTTGGCTCTTATTTAGTTATAGCTTGACTCTCTTGATGACAGTTACTACAACTGTCTCTGTAACACAATTTCAATCCCTGTATTTTTTTCTATTAATTGATTTGGCTAGTGTCACTTCATATGTTTGCAGAATCAATTTGACTAACTTGCGTAACATATTAAATTAACATTGCTATTTTCTTGATTGTTTTTAGAAAACTTGCTGGATTTCTCCTCTAGCAAAAGTAACTTGTAAATATCTGGAAGGTATTATTTTTTAGATGTTATCAGTTATTTATATATCTTATATATAAACATCTAATAACTTGGGTATAAGCCAATATTCATTTATTGAATACCTATACTGCATCACTGTGTTTGGTGACAAAAATACAGTTATAAATTATCCTTAATGTCTGTGGGTAAAGCTGTACAATCCAGTGGTGGAGACAGGCACATGAATATATACACTACAGAACAGTAAAATCTGTAATTGCGGGATCCCCACAGTTCTAGTAAATGGATGGAAGATGTCAAATTCAATTTGAGTGTGGAAAAAGGGGAGTATAGAATTCAAGTAAAGTTTCCAGAAAATAGCTAATGATTGTGTTCAGTTTTAAACAACAAAAAGGGTTATTCCAGAAGAAAAAGAAAGAAAATACTTATCAGGGATCAGACAGTAGGTATGCAGAGGTAGAAGACAGCATGGATCATTCGGGAAACGATAAATGCTTGAGACCTTCCAGATTGCACATGGTGAGGAATATGAGAGCCCTGATATGAGAAATAGTTTAAAGGATATAAAACAGAAAAATGGCAAGACTAGAATAGTACATCAGGTAGATTAGGGGTTACAAAGAACCTATCTGAATAAGGTTCTGAATAAGATTCAAACTGGAGGCAGACTGACTAATAAGTTAAACAAATGCTCAAAGTGAAAGTCAATAAATTTAGCAAGAATGAATATGGGAGAGTGAAGTTGAGGATGGAAAATAGTCTACCACAAAACCAAGATTTCTAGTTTGAGTTCTCATGTTAATTGTGGCATTGTGAATGAAGTAGTGGTCCACAGTGGAACAATGATGATGAAGATCCTGTGAAAGTGTTTCTGAAACATTCAAGTAGAGATAACAATTACGTACCTATGACAGGAACGCTGGAAATACTGAGATTAAATTATACATTTGAGAATCATCAGACTAACATTTTAGTTCAAACCATAAGAGTACATGGAATTTTCTGCAGAGAATGTATAAAATGAAAATAGAAAAGGTCTGAGAAGAGAACCTAAGCTAAAATTATACTTTACTAGAAGAATAAAATGATCCTGGGAATAATTTTAGCTATGGTCAGAAAATACAAAGTGGATAAATATCAAGAGAACAGAAGGGAGGGCTGGCAAAGGAAGAGTTTCAAAAACAAAAAAGTCAACAAAATGGTCAATGGTGAGATAAAGTTTAAAACCATTAAGTTAGATTTTAAAGGGGTAATTAGAGACTTTTTTAAGAGCAGTTTTAATGGAATAATAGTAATAAAAATAAATTATAAGTTGAGGAATAAATAGATGATGAGACGTCAAAATGAGCAAATTTAAAATATTCATTTAAGAATCTATAAAAAGAAATACAGATCTACAGCTAGAGAGGAGGTTAAGGTTATTCCCACCATCAATTATTTCACTACATGTTATTTTCCATAATTCTGCTCTTTATCATTAATAACTTAGATTTGAAGAAAATGGATGCCAAATTTATATTACAACCTTGTTTTTGTTGTTGTTATTCAAGCTATGGGGTTAAGCTTGGAAAATGAATACACTTCCCAAACCAATAATTGCACATATTTAAGAGAGCAATGCTTACGTGATGCAAATGGATGTAAACATGCTTGGAGAGTAATGGAAGATGCCTGCAATGATTCAGGTAAACAAGTTGCTAAAAATACACTCAAATGATTTATTTTTACTAAGATAAAAACAGGATTTGATATTTTGTCATTATCCTAAGAACTAAGTTTTTTTCTATGTATCTTATTTAATCTTGACCCCCATCGATTCACTTTTAATCATGTATTAGCAAATTTAATTACAAAAGGATTTTCTTAATTACTAAAGAGCTTTAATTACTGAGGGCAGCATTATTCAAGATTTCAGATTATTTTCTTACCTCTCTCACCATGTATAATGCTACAATTTTATGCATTCTTCTGAGAACCATGGCACTATTTTTTTTCAAATAAAAGGTTATTTTGATTACATATGTCAATGATAAAATAGAAAAAATAAGATTTGTTATAATAATTGTTGTGCATTTGTCCATGCACAATGTACAATGTATATTCTTGAAACATATATGCGGTATTTCCAATTCTATGTCAAGAACAAGTAAAGCTATAGTTTTGTTTTTAACTTGGCCTACCTTCCAAACATTTGTGGGGAGGTTCAAGAGTTGAGAATGTGAAGATTGGAGAGTGACTGGTATTTTCTTTCTTTTTTCTTTTTTTTTTTATTTTGAGACTGAATCTTGGTCTGTCGCCAGGCTGGAGTGTAGCTGCGTGATCTCGGCTCACTGCAACCTCCGCCTCCCGGGTTCAAACGATTCTTTCTCCTGCCTCAGCCTCCAGAGTAGCTGGGACTACAGGCGCATGCCACCATGCCCAGCTAATTTTTGTATTTTTAGTAGAGACGGGATTTCACCACGTTGGCCAGGATGGTCTCAATTTCTTGGCCTCGTGATCTGCCTGCCTCGGCCTCCCAAAGTGCTGGGATTGCAGGCGTGCACCACCGTGCCTGGCCTATATTTCCTTAAAAAGAAAAAATATATATATTTTGAATATTCAAGTAGCTAAATAAGCATTGAATGAGAACATTATAGTAAGACTCCTTTCATTAAAAGTAAATAGAATAGTATAAACTACAAATAGAATAAAGTAAATAGAATAAGTAAATAGAATAAACTGTCTATGTGGTAGAACATAGTCAATTTATACAGTAGAACATTGTTCTACAGCATAATCTATACAGATTACAGTATAATCTATCTACAGTATAATCTAAAAATAATCTATTTATTTTGATGATTAAACTTCTTGCTACATTTTATAAGGCAATTTAAAATATGTTGTTAAAATATTATATTTAGGTGTCACAAATTGTACCTTATTTAATTTCAGTATACAAATAGTCTTTTGCAGTAAATTGCAATAATATTTGCATAATTATTTTATGTATGAAGCTGAAATATGCGTATTCTCAAATGTACAAATGAAATAAACTAAGGTAGTTTTATTCAGAATAATAAATAAAAGAAAATGTTCAGGTAGAGGATTACATATTTTTAAATTAATGTAGAAAATGAAATATTGGTAATTATGAGACTTATTCAATAATATTTATTGAGTGCTATGTGCCAGGACCACATAATTTTTAATGATAAATTTAGAGCTACCTGCACATATCTTTCTATAGTCTGAGAATGATATGAAAATAAAAGATCAGATTATGACAAAATAGCTAATAAAATAGATAAGCTGACAAAATGCTAAGATTAGAGAGCATTCTGGTCACCTCCTGTAAGAGTAGCCTTATTTTTACTGAAAAGCAAGAAATGATATTCTAAGTAGGAAAAAGCTATTTTGAAATGCAGAAAGTTTTAATATAGAAAGTACATTATGGAAAATATTCAATGAAAATACAGGTTTTTCATAAAATGTCACTTATATGGATATCTTGCAGCAACCCCAGATAATCTTACCATATTAATTAATTATTCAGGTTAATATGTTAAAAGTACTTTGGGGAGGAAGAATCCAAAATTATAATCAGATTAATATCTATAGTGTTATGTGTTTGATTGTGAGATCCAGGTGACCCCTGCAAGATGAGGAATTCATCATACTGTAACCTGAGTATCCAGTACTTAGTGGAAAGCAATTTCCAATTTAAAGAGTGTCTTTGCACTGATGACTTCTATTGTACTGTGAACAAACTGCTTGGAAAAAAATGTATCAATAAATCAGGTAATATTTTGTTTTAAGAAATGTTTATAGTCATGAAAAAGAAAGCAACAATTTCAAAATTAACCACATCTATGTAATGTGATTAATGTTTTTTGTAATTTGATTAATTCTTTTCAAAGCTTTATTATTTTAAAAATTTTGTTGGTATATAGTAGGTGTATCTATTTGAGGGGTACATGAGGTGTTTTGATACAGTTCTTGATGTACCTTGGGGTTCTGTGAGCCATAGACCTCAGTAAGTGCACGACATACTTCTTTCATTACTAACCACAATTCTAAGCTTCATTCGAGTCAGTGGAATTATAGATTCACTCATTCAATTCATATATTTGTGGAGTTTATTGTGGCCTTGCACAAAACCTAGATGATAGAAGGCAAATAAGATATTATCTTTGTTGTTAAGGAACTCAGTGTCTCCTGGGAGAAATCAAAATGTAACTAATTGCTAGAGTTATACTTGCCTTTGCATAGGGACATTTAATCAGGCTAATACACTGGAGTAGGGGTGATCAGTTAGCCTGCATGTACCCTTAACTGTACAACAAAGACATTCCAAGAGATGTGCGAGATCAAACAGTTCTAAAGTCAACAGTTTCCAGTCTTCAATGTCCCTATATACTCCGAAAAGTAATCAGCAGAGGAATGCACCTGTTATCACAGAGTGCTCAATTCTTCTTTCACAATCAACCTTCTCTCACTTTACAAGAGGTAGATTTACCTCTCATCTACACGGAATGGTCTCATCGTCCAATCCAACCCATTCAACCATCCGTTGTGGGCTCATTGGACAAATTTCTGTTCCATAATTTTGCCATTTCCAGAATATCAACAAATGAAGTTATGCAACATGTAGCCGTTTTAATTCAGTTTATTTTGTTTAACATAATACATTAGAGATTCATTAATTTTTCTCATGTGTAAGTTTATTTTTCTTGAAGAGTAGTATTTCATTGTGTGAGTATATCACAGGTTGGTTCCATTCATTATCGAAAGTAAATTGCATTATTTCCAGGTTTTCAGGGATTAAAAATAAGGCTGCTATAAATATTCACATACAAGATTCAGACAAACATAAGCTTTACTTCACTTATGAAATTGTGGGGTCACATGGTAAGTATATGCTTAATGTTACAAAAAGCTTCTAAACTGTAATTCAGATTTAGTGTAATCATCAATGTATAAAAGTTCCTGTTGCTTCATATTCCCAGCAACACATTTTTTTGCCATTCTAATATATAGTGGTACTATATTGTAGTTTTAATTTGCACTTAATTATAATGTTAAGCATATTTTTATATGTTGTGTGCCATCTATCTGTCTATCTTATTTGGTAAAGTATTTCTTCAAAGTTTTGTCCATTTTAAAATTGGTGTTTGGTTATTGCATTGAGTTTTGAGAGCTGTTTCTGCAAGTTGAATAGATTTTTTTTAATCAGAATATGTGTTTTGTATTTTTTTAGTCTGTATCATTTAAGAGTGTCTTAAAAAACAGAATTTTAAAAATTTTGGTGAAATTGAGTTTATCATCTTTTCTTTCATAGATCATACTTTTGATGTTGCATCTAATAAATATTTAATTCACATTAACAAAGATTTTCTCATAAGATCTAGAAATGATGTAGCTTTAGGTTATATATTTAGGCCTATGTTACATTATGAATTAATTTTTGTATCCAGTACAAGATATAAGTCAGATTTTCTTCCCTGCAAATATCTAATTGTTCCACCCACATTTGTGGAAAATAATATAATTTTACTTTTCTCAAAAGTCATTTGGCCATATGTTGGTGGCTCTATTTCTAGACTTTCTATTCTGTTCCATTGAGTTAATTCTGTACTTTTGCAAATATTTTATAGTCTTACTATAGCTTCACAGAAAGTCTTGAAATCAAGTAGTATGATTCCATTAACTGTTACTTGAAAAATAATTTTGGCTATTCTATTTCTTTGTCTTTATTTTATTTTATTTTATTTTATTTTATTTTATTTTATTTTTGTTGTGTTGCTGTAGTTGTTTTTGAAACAGGGTCTTATTCTGCCACCCAGGCTGGAGCATAGTGGCCCAATCTTCACTCAGTGCAGCCTCTACCTCCTGGGTTCAAGTGATTCTCTTGCCAAAGCCTCCCAAGTAGTTGGGATTACAGGCATGTGCCACCACACCAGCTAAGTTTTGTATTTTTAGTAGAAACGGGTTTTCGCCATGTTGGCCAGGCTGGTCTGCAGCTCCTGGGCTGAATTGATCTGCCTGCCTCAGCTTCCAAAAGTGCTGGGATTACAGGTGTGAGCCACCGGGCCGGGCCACTTCTTTGTCTTTCCATAAACATTTTAGAATCAGCTTGTCAATGTCTGCAAAGAATCCTGCTGACATTTTGACTGAACTTACCTTGAAATTATAAACCAATTTACTATGTCGAGTGTTCAGATTTATTAACATGATATATTTCTTCATTTATTTATAACTTCATTGATGTAGTTCATCAGTATTTGATAGTTTTCAGTATATAGTTCTTGCACAACTTTTTAGGCTTCTACAAACACACTTCAGGTTTTGGTGCTGTTACAAATGGTAATTTATTTTACATCTTAACTTTCTATTGATTATAGTGATTATATAGAAATACAATTAATTTTTCTATATGGACTTTATAGCCTATGACTTGCTAAATGCAATTATTCTATTTTTTTGTAGAATCTGCAGGAAATTCTAAATAAATATTCTTGTCATCTATAATAGAGTTTCATTTTCCCCTTTCCAATCTTTAGTCTTTCATTTATTTTCCCTGCTTTATTACCCCAACTAGAGCTTTCAATATATTAAATAGAATTGTTGAAAGTGGACATCTTACCTTTTCACCTGTCTTAGGAGAAAGGCATTCAGTTTTGTACCATAAAGAGTGTGTGTGTGTGTTCTTTGCAGGTTCTCTTTATCAAGTGGAGGAAATTCCTTATTTTTGGTTTTCTTCGTTTTTAAAATCATAAATGTATAAATAAATGCTGAATTCTGCAAATACTTTTTTAGCCTCTATTACTATTAATTACTTCAAACATTTATCTTTTCCTTTTTTGGGGAGTATTTCTATTTTTCTGGCCATTTTAAAATATATAGTAAATTAGTGTTAACTATAGTCTCCCTACTGTACTATCAAGTACTAGAACTTATTCCTTCTATGTTAATGTATATTTGTATCCGTTAACCAACTTCTCTCCATTTCTCCTCCCCCGTGTCCTGCCAAGCTTGATCACATTTTTTCCTTTAGTTTTTTATATGGCGAAATTCATTATTTGATTTTTTACTGTTGTTCCAGCCCTTCATTTCAAGGCTAAATTCTGTTCAATCATGGTGTATTATTCTTTTTGTATTTCTGGATTCAACTGCTAATATTTTGTTTAAAAAACTATGTTCATAAAGTATATTGGCATGTTGATTTGTTTTCTTATAATGTCTTTGGTTTGGTATCTAAGTTATGCTGGCCTGTAAAATCAACTGGGAAGTATTTCCTCCTCTTCAATATTCTGGAAAAGCACAAAAAGAATTGGTGTCATTCCTTCCTTACATGATCTATTTCATTAACCAGTAAAGATATCTGGCCCATGCTTCATTAAAAAGATTTGAAAATATAAATTCAATGTGTTAACTTGTTGTAAGACTATTCTTGTTATCTATTTCTTCATGAGTGAGCTTTGGTAATTTGTGTCTTCCATTTGCTGAATTTATGTTGGATTTTTATCCTTAAAGTTTTCAGTTTACTGTTTCTTTTTGGTTTCTATCTCCCTACAAAATTGCTCCTAGTATTTCCTAATTGTCCTTTTTAATATCTGTAGCAGTTGCAGTGATGTCCTTTTTATGTTTACATATTGATAATTTGTATAATTTGTGTCCTTTCAATTTTACTATTCATTGTTTCTTTATGTGTATGTCTGATTTGATTTTAATGTGTTCTCCATTTTCTTGCTTCCTAACATAAAACCTTGAGCCACTGATTTGAGATTTTATTCTTTCCTCATATAAGCATTTAATACTATGAATTTCCTTCCAAGTACTGATTTAGCTATAGCCACACATTCTGATATGTAGTTTTAATTTAAATTTATGTCAAAATATTTTCTCCTTTTCTTTGTGACTTCCACTTTGTTATGATTTATTTTATTATTATTATTATATTTTGAGGCAGAGTCTCTCTCTGTCGCCCAGGCTGGAGTGCAGTGGAGTGATCTCAGCTCACTGCAAACTCCTTCTCCTGGGTTCAAGCTATTCCTCTGCCTCAGCCCCTGAGTAGCTGGGATTACAGGTGCTTGCCACCACACCTGGCTGATTTTTGTATTTTTAGTAGAGACATGGTTTTGCCATGTTGTCCAGGCTGGTCTTGAGCTCCTGACCTCAGGTGATCTGCCAGCATCAAACTTCCAAAGTGCTGGGATAACAGGCATGAGCCACCATGCCGAGCCAGAAGGTTATTTAATTTCCTAATATCTGAGATTTCTCAGATATCTTCATTATTGATTTCTAGTTTAATTTCAGTATCATAATATAACATATTTTGGATGATCTCAATTCTCAATTCTTAATTAAAATAATAATTGCCAAATATCACCTATACAATGTGATACAGTCTACACACATAATAAGGACACACACATACACACACAGACAAAGTACTAGAAGCCATAGAGTAAAAAATAATGGTGACTCAGAAGACTTCACAGAATTGTTAGACTTGGGCCTTTTAGGGTAAGTTGGTTTCATTAGGTAGGCAAAACAAAATGGATAATTTAAGCAGAAGAAACAGAATGAAGTGGGGAGCATTTGGGGAGCAACAATTCCCTTGTTAAGCTGGATACTAGAATGGAAAAGTATTTAACACTGGAAAGAAATCAGCTATTTATGAAAAGGAGGAAGGCTGA
Source organism: Homo sapiens (assembly GCF_000001405.40). Classification (NCBI taxonomy): domain Eukaryota; kingdom Metazoa; phylum Chordata; class Mammalia; order Primates; family Hominidae; genus Homo; species Homo sapiens. The sequence continues at coordinate 55,338,846 of NC_000006.12, forward strand.
ACTTACATATCTTTCTAAAGAGATTAGACTTTAAACCGTTGCTATGAGGAGCTATTACATATTTTAAATAGAGGAATGTATCATCAGTTTCTCAAAAGTTATCACAGGCAATAACGTAGAGAGGATGGAATGGGAGGCAAAGAAAGATGCAGGTCAAGAATATCAGTTAAAAAGCCATCAAAATAATTTAAGAGAGAGGTAATGCATGCCTGAACTAAGGCACCGGTCCTGAGAATTATAATAAAATATATACTTAAGGTATATTTATGAATAATAATCAATAGGAATTGGTGACCAGTTGGATATGAGGAATTTAAAATGTATTAAGCGTAATCTCCAGGTGGCTGGCTTGGGACAAGGGGATTGCTATACATTGAGCCAAGAAATGAAAAATTGTACAGGACTGGGGACGAAAGTGATGAGTTGTATTCTGAAAACATTTCATCTGAGGCATGCTTTGGAATATTCGAGTTAGGAATGTTGGTATTTTTTTTCTAAATTTGCAATGATAAAAAAATAGTCTAAAAATGTAAAGGAGCATGCCTCATCAAGCTGGCATTGGGAAGCAGGGATCTTGAGGAGAGAAATCTAAAACAGAGATATAGAGGTTTATGAGTAGATAAAAAACATAAAGGAGAGTAAGACTGCCTGGGAAAAACACAAAGGGAGGAGAAAGATATTTTCAGAAGAATTTTATGACCTATTTGAAGAAACCAAAAAGAAGTTTTTTAAATAGGAAAAGAAACTACAGAGAGTGGAATTTTTGAAGCCAATGAAAGAGAGGACATGAAGAAAATTGTCAAAATTCTGAAAAGTCAAAAAAGATAGGGACTGATAATGGCATTAATTTGCTACTTAGTAGATATTACTAGTTTTAGATTAATTAGGCTGAAATGTTAGCATGCTGAAATGCTTATTAAAATATTTAGTGAGTTTTTTCAAGATGGTAAGACATCTGAACTTAATAGCCTAAATTGCCACTTTTAGCATATCAAATTTTGACAAAATATTGTATATCAACAGAACTATACATATTTAGAGCAGTTAAGTTGAAATCAGTTTACATACTAAAACTATTTTTTCCACAATAGAAATTTATTAAATGCTGTTATGTGGAAATATTGATGAATCAGGCATACAAAAACCTTGCACTCGATGAGAGTTTCATATGGACAAGACCTAAAGGAGAAAGCCTAAATATTCCCGATGGACTTCGTAAAGGACCTGACCTGGATTTTGTGTTTACAGAAAGCATTCAGCTGATTTATTATAATTCATGACAAAGAATTATAAAGAAATTGATAATTTAAATATGAGAAAGAACATGATAATTTAAATCTTACCATTCCTTCTATGTCAACTGCAGCATCCTCCACAGACCTTCTAATCATCACTTCAACAAAATGGTTTTCTCTCCATGCTTTGCATTCCCAAAATATTCTCCAGAGTACACAGACATGCACTTTTCTATTCTCAAGAAAATCAGTTTTGTTATTTCTTTTAAAAAATATGCTAAAGCACCCAGCAGAATACCTGACGCTTAGCAAATTATTAGTAAATATATAACGTAAATATTTTTCATTAACTAAATATTGAGCATCTCCATGATGTATCCATTAATAAAATATTTATGTGTAAACCCTGGAGAATATAAAGAGCATCATCAAATGAAATGAGCAAACAAAAGTGGTTGGCAGCAGTTCCAAGATGGCAGAATAGGAACAGCTCCAGTCTACAGCTCCCAGCCTGAGTGATGCAGAAGACGAGTGATTTCCACATTTCCAACTGAGGTACCAGGTTCATCTCACTGGGGCTTGTCAGACAGTGGGGGCAGGATAGTGGGTGCAGCCTACTGAGCGTGAGCTGAAGCAGGGTGAGGCATTGCCTCACCCGGGAAGCACAAGGGGTCAGGGAATTCCCTTTACTAGCCAAGGGAAGTGGTGACGGATGGCACCTGGAAAATCGGGTCACTCTCACCCTAATACTGCACTTTTCCAGTGGTCTTAGCAAATGGCACACCAGGAGATTATATCCCGTGCCTGGCTTGGAGGGTCCCACGCCCATGGAGCCTCGCTCATTCCTAGCGCAGCAGTCTGAGATCAAACTGCAAGGCAGCAGCGAGGCTGAGGGAGGGACGCCTGTCATTGCTGAGGCTTGAGAAGGTAGACAAAGCAGCTGGGAAACTCAAACTGGGTGGAGCCCATCGCAGCTCAAGGAGGCCTGCTTGCATCTGTAGACTCCACCTCTGTGGGCAGGGCATAGCCGAACAAAAGACAGCAGAAACCTCTGCAGACTTAAATGTCCCTGTTTGACAGTTTTGAAGAGAATAGTGGTTCTCGCAGCACAGAGTTTGAAATCTAAGAATGAACATACTGCCTTCTCAAGTGGGTCCCTGACCCCCAAGTAGCCTAACTGGGAGGCACCCTCCAGTAGGGGCAGACTGACACCTCACACAGCTGGGTACCCCTGTGAGACGAAGCTTCCAGAGGAACGATCAGACAACAACATTTGCTGTTCAGCAATATTTGCTGTTCTGCAACCTCTGCTTCTGACACCCAGTCAAACAGGGTCTGGAGTGGACCTCCAGCAAAGTCCAACAGACCTGCAGCTGAGGGTCCTGACTGTTAGAAGGAAAACTAACAAACAGAAAGGACATCCACACCAAAACCCCATCTATACATCACCATCATGAAAGACCAAAGGTAGATAAAACCACAAAGATGGGGAAAAAACAGAGCAGAAAAGCTGAGAATTCTAAAAATCAGAGCAACTCTCCCCCTCCAAAGGAATGCAACACCTCGCCAGCAATGGAACAAAGCTGGATGGAGAATGACTTTGACGAGTTCAGAGAATAAGGTTTCAGATGATCAAACTTCTCTGAGCTAAAGGAGGATGTTCGAACCCATTGAAAAGAAGCTAAAAACCTTGAAAAAAGATTAGACAATTGGTTAACTAGAATAAACAGTATAGAGAAGTCCTTAAATGAGCTGATGGAGCTGAAAACCATGGCACGAGAACTACATGATGAATGCACAAGCTTCAGTAGCCGATTCGATCAACTGGAAGAAAGAGTATCAGTGATTGAAGATTAAACAAATGAAAGGAAGCGAGAAGAGAAGTTTAGAGAAAAAAAGAGTAAAAAGAAATGAACAAAGCCTCCAAGAAATATGGGACTATATGAAAAGACCAAATCTACATCTGATTGGTGTACCTGAAAGTGATGGGGAAAATGGAACCAAGTTGGAAAACACTCTGCAGGATACTATCCAGGAGAACTTCCCCAATCTAGCAAGGCAGACCAACATTCAAATTCAGGAAATACAGAGAATGCCACAAAGATATTCCTTGAGAAGAGCAACTCCAAGACACATAATTGTCAGATTCACCAAAGTTGAAATGAAGGAAAAAATGTTAAGGGCAGCCAGAGAGAAAGGTTGGGTTACCCACAAAGGGAGGCCCAGCAGACTAACAGCAGATCTCTCGGCAGAAACTCTACAAGCCAGAAGAGAGTGGGGACCAATATTCAACATTCTTAAAGAAAAGAATTTTCAAACCAGAATTTCATATCCAGCCAAACTAAGCTTCATAAGTGAAGGAGAAATAAAATACTTTACAGAAAAGCAAATGCTGAGAGATTTTGTCACCACTAGGCCTGCCCTAAAAGAGCTCCTGAAGGAAGCACTAAACATGGAAAGGGACAACCGGTACCCAGCCACTGAAAAACTCATGCCAAATTGTAAAGACCATCGATGTTAGGAAGAAACTGCATCAACCAACGAGCAAAATAACCAGCTAACATCATAATGACAGGATCAAATTCACACATAACAATATTAACCTTAAATGTAAATGGGCTAAATGCTCCAATTAAAAGACACAGACTGGCAAATTGGATAAAGAGTCAAGACCCATCAGTGTGCTGTATTCAGGAGACCCATCTCACGTGCAGAGACACACATAGGCTCAAAATAAAAGGATGGAGGAAGATCTACCAAGCAAATGGAAAACAAAAAAAGGCAGGGGTTGCAATCCTAGTCTCTGATAAAACAGACTTTAAAACAACAAAGATCAAAAGAGAGAAAGAAGGCCATTACATAATGGTAAAGGGATCAATTGAACAAGAAGAGCTAACTATCCTAAATATATATGCACCCAATACAGGAGCACCCAGATTCATAAAGCAAGTCACTAGAGACCTACAAAGAGACTTAGACTCCCACTCAATAATAATGGGAGATTTTAACACCCCACTGTCAACATTAGACAGATCAATGAGACAGGAAGGTAACAAGGATATCCAGGAATTGAACTCAGCTCTGCACCAAGCAGACCTAATAGACATCTACAGAACTCTCCACCCGAAATCAACAGAATATACATTCTTCTCAGCACCATATCACACTTATTCGAAAATTGACCACATAGTTGGAAGTAAAGCACTCCTTGGCAAACGTAAAAGAACACAAATTATAACAAACTGTCTCTCAGACCACGGTGCAATCAAACTAGAACTCAGGATTAAGAAACTCACTCCAAACCGCTCAATTACATGGAAACTGAACAACCTGCTCGTGAATGACTGCTGGGTACATAATTAAATGAAGGCAGAAATAAAGATGTTCTTTGAAAACAATGAGAACAAAGTCACAACATACCAGAATCTCTAGGACACATTTAAAGCAGTGTGTAGAGGGAAATTTATAGCACTAAATGCCCACAAAAGAAAGCAGGAAAGATCTAAAATTGACACCCTAACATCACAATTAAAAGAACTAGAGAAGCAAGAGCAAACACATTCAAAAGCTAGCAGAAGGCAAGAAATAACTAAAATCAGAGCAGAACTGAAGGAAATAGAGACACAAAAAACCCTTCAAAAAATCAATGAATCCAGTAACTGGTTTTTTGAAAAGATCAACAAAATTGACAGACTGCTAACAAGACTAATAAAGAAGAAAAAAGAGAAGAATCAAATAGAAGCAATAAAAAATGATAAAGGGGATATCACCATTTAATACAGAAATACATCCCACAGAAATACAAGCTACCATCAGAGAATAAACACCTCTACACAAATAAACCAGAAAATCAACAAGAAATGGATAAATTCCTGGATGCATACACTCTACCAAGACTAAACCAGGAAAAAGTTGAATCCCTGCATAGACCAATAACAAGCTCTGAAATTAAGGCAGTAATTAATAGCCTACCAACCAAAAAAAAAGTCCAGGACCAGATGGATTCACAGTTGAATTCTAGCAGAAATACAAACAGGAGCTGGTACCATTCCTTCTGAAACTATTCCAATCAATAGAAAAAGAGGGAATGCTCCCTAACTCATTTTATGAGACCAGCATCAACCTGATAACAAAGCCTGGCAAAGACACAACAAAAAAAGAGAATTTTAGACCAATATCCCTGATGAACATTGATGCAAAAATCCTCAATAAAATACTGGCAAACCGAATCCAGCAGCACATCAAAAAGCTTATCCACCATGATCAAGTGGGCTTCATCCCTGGGATTCAAGGCTGGTTCAAAGCATACGCAAATCAATAAACATAACCCAGCATATAAACAGAACCAAAGACAAAAACCACATGATCATCTCAATAGATGCAGAAAAGGCCTTTGACAAGATTAAACAACGCTTCATGCTAAAAACTCTCAATAAATTAGGTATTGATGGGATGTATCTCAAAATAATAAGAGCTATTTATGACAAACCCACAGTCAATATCATACTGGATGGGCAAAAACTGGAAGCATTCCCTTTGAAAACTGGCACAAGACAGGGATGCCCTCTCTCACCACTCCTATTCAACATAGTGTTGGAAGTTCTGGCCAGCGCAATCAGGCAGGAGAAAGAAATAAAGGGTATTCAATTAGGAAAAGAGAAAGTCAAATTGTCCCTGTTTGCAGATGACATGACTGTATATTTAGAAAATCCCATCATCTCAGCCCAAAATCTCCTTAAGCTGATAAGCAACTTCAGCAAAGTCTCAGGATACAAAATCAATGTGCAAAAATCACAAGCATTCCTATACACCAATAATAGACAAACAGAGAGCCAAATCATGAGTGAACTCCCATTCACAATTGTTTCAAAGAGAATAAAATACTTAGGAATCCAACTTACAAGGGATGTGAAGGACCTCTTCAAGGAGGACTACAAACCACTGCTGAACAGAATAAAAGAGGACACAAACAAATCGAAGAGCATTCCATGTTCATGGATAGGAAGAACCAATATCATGAAAATGGCCATACTGCCCAAGGTAATTTATAGATTCAATGCCATCCCCATCAAGCTACCAATGACTTCCTTCACAGAATTGGAAAAAACTACTTTAAAAAGTTCATATGGAACCAAAAAAGGGCCCGCATTGCCAAGACAATCCTAAGCCAAAAGAACAAAGCTGGAGGCATCTTGCTACCTGACTTCAAACTATACTACAAGGCAGTAGTAACCAAAACAGCATGGTACTGGTACCAAAACAGAGATATAGACTAATGGAACAGAACAGAGCCCTCAGAAATAATACCACACATCTACAACCATCTGATCTTTGACAAACCTGACAAAAACATGAAATCGGGAAAGGATTCCCTGTTGAATAACTGGTGCTGGGAAAACTGGCTAGCCATATGTGGAAAGCTGAAACTGGATTCCTTCCTTACACCTTATACAAAAATTAACTCAAGATGGATTAAAGACTTACATGTTAGACCTACAACCATAAAAACCCTAGAAGAAAACCTAGGCAATACCATTCAGGAGATAGGCACGGGCAAGGACTTCATGTCTAAAATACCAAAAACAATGGCAACAAAAGCCAAAATTGACAAATGGGATCTAATTAAACTAAAGAGCTTCTGTACAGCAAAAGAAACTACCATCAGAGTGAACAGGCAACCTACAGAATGGGAGAAAATTTTTGCAATCTACCCATCTGACAAAGGGGTACTACCCAGAATCTACAAAGAACTCAAACAAATTTACAAGAAAAAAACAACCCCATCAAAAAGTGAGTGAAGGATATGAACAGACACTTCTCAAAAGAAGACATTTATGCAGCCAACTGACACATGAAAAAATGCTCACTATCACTGGCCATCAGAGAAATGCAAATCAAAACCACAATGAGATACCATCTCACACCAGTTAGAATGGCGATCATTAAAAAATCAGGAAACAACAGGTGCTGGAGAGGATGTGGAGAAATAGGAACACTTTTACACTGTTGGTGGGACTGTAAACTAGTTCAGCCATTGTGGAAGACAGTGTGGCGATTCCTCAGGGATCTAGAACTAGAAATACCATTTGACCCAACCATCCCATTACCAGGTATATACCCAAAGGATTACAAATCATGCTGCTATAAAGACACATGCACACGTATGTTTACTGCAACACTATTCACAATAGCAAAGACTTGGAACCAACCCAAATGTCCATCAATGATAGACTTGATTAAGGAAATGTGGCACATATACACCATGAAATACTATGCAGCCATAAAAAAGGATGAGTTCATGTCCTTTGTAGGGACATGGATGAAGCTGGAAACCATCATTCTCAGCAAACTATCCCAAAGACAAAAAAACCAAACACCGCATATTGTCACTCATAGGTGGGAATTGAACAATGAGAACACTTGGACACAGGGAGGGGAACATCACACACCGGGGCCTGTCGTGGGGTGGTAGGAGGGGGGAGGGATAGCATTAGGAGATATACCTAATGTAAATGATGAGTTAATGGATGCAGCACACCAACATGGCGCATGTATACATATGTAACCAACCTGCACGTTGTGCACATGTACCCTAGAACTTAAAGTATAAAAGTAAAAGAAAAAAAAAGTTGACCATATGTTGAGTCAAAGCAAATATCAACAAATTTCAAGACACTGAAATAATTAGAAACATGTAATTTTATCTTGGTGGAAATAACCTAGATATCAGTACAAAAAATAAACAAGAAATCCCCCCCCCCCAAAAAAAAGAAAAAACAAAGTAAGTGATGAAGAAAAATATCACCAAAAGAAATTGAACATTAACATTATGTGGTTCTATAACCTGTAATATTGGTGGTAATTAATTTTTTAATTTGTTGGGATGCTAGTTAAGTTGATAGTGTGACTTTTCTGTGAGAAAACAAAACAGTATAAATGAGCAGATAAACCACTCAGTAAAATTTTATAGGGTTGGAGTTTTATAGAGAATCACGGGAAAGTAAAAGAAGAAAGGACGAAAAGACAATAACAAGAAACTGTTCCTTTATCTGAATGGGTGAGTGATATAGGCTGGAAAGAGTCTATGAATCCAGGAGATGATGCTAAGATTGGGAGTGAATAAAAAGATGAAAGTTCTGGAGGTATATGTGCACATGAAATAATCAAGAATGTGAAGCTTTGGAAGCGAGTAAGATAAGTAATATTTGCAATTGAAAGAGAGAGAACTTCATGTCAATGTCAGGTCTAGAAGTCGATCATTGGTGTGGCATAGTTGGAGTGTCGGTGAAGGTCATAAGAGCTATGGTTAAGGAATTCTGAATTAAGGGTGGAAGATGGTTTTGTCCCAAAAGACATAGAGATAACTTAGCACAATGACAAGATCTGAGGTAGAGGAGAATATTGAGACAGTACCTGAGTCGATGCTGAATATCAGGGCAAGACTTTGAGGTTAATATTTGACAAAAGAAAAGAGGGAGGCACAACCCGACAGCATAAAATTCAAAGAAGGAGAAATGTTTTATAAGGATGAATAATTAATATTTTGGAAGCTACAAAGCTGGAAAAGTAGATATAAACACATTCTAATGATATCGTGGTATGATCTATATGGGAAATGGGTAGGATTCACTAGCAAGAGCTACAGGGAAGTGAGGCTAGAGAAAATCTAGGCTTCCCAGATATTACACTTTTCTATTTTTCTTCTTGCTTCCATGGGTGATTCTTCTCAGTCTCTTTTGAGCATCTTCTTTTGCTTTTGCTTTAAATGTTGCCACATACCCTCTAAAAAAGAAATCTCTGTTGCATTTAATTCAACTAGTCATTTTATAGAAACATGTTTGTCTACTAGTTTATTGTAAGCATATTTCTTATCAGATTATAAAATATAAATCAAAATATTTACATATACAAGAGTTTAGTTTCTGATATTATCAATGTTAAGAAAAAGAAGATGTATGGAAGTACTTCTGATTCTAATATTAGATATTAGAGCATATTTTAGGGATTGTTGGATATTTTCTGATGAACTGTATAGGATTTTATAACTCACATGTAGGTCTTATTGGTGAATACTTTTATTTGTTTCCTGAACATATTGACCTTCAGCTCCTCTTTCAGTAAAAGCCACTGTTTAAAATATCCTCTGGGAAAAAATGAGTGTGTGTGTGTGTGTGTGTGTATGTGTAAATGCTAGTTTTATATTTAATGTGTAAATGTTAATTTCATACAAAATTAGCATTTAATGTATAAGTATTAAAATGTAATACCTTCTATGAAGCACTTTATTTTCAGACACTAAAAATAACTGTTTTGTTGTGTTGGTAACAAGTACTCATATAGTAAGTAAATTAGGCTGCTCTGGCTACCATAACGAAATACTACGGGCTGGGTGGCTTAAAAAGCAAAAATTGTATTTTTCCCCAGTTCCGGATTACGAAAAATCTCAGATAAAGGTCCCCAGAATCTTTTCCTGGCTAGGACTCTTCTTTTACTAGCTTGTAGATAGCCAGCCACATTTTCCCTGCGTTCTCAGGACCTTTCTTCAGTGAGTACTCCAGGGGAGAGAGACAGCTAGCTCCCTGAAGTCTTCTGACATGGACACTAATCCTATTCGATCAGGGCCCCACTCTTATGACCTCTTTTAACCTAAAGACACCATCACCCCATAACTGCACACGGAGATTATGGCTCCAACTTATGAATGTAGGGGTAATGAGAAAAACATTCAGTCAATAACAGTGAGTGAAGCTGTTGTTTATTTAGGTCTACACAGTAGTTTCTTGAATATATTTTAGTCAGTGGCACAGCCTTACCAATCATTCCCAATGCAGGGGTACTAATCCATAAAAGAATGTCCAGCCTAGACTTTTGTACCTGTTACAAAAGCTATATGACTCCCTGGGATCTGTTTGTTGGGATTTTATTAGATATGGAATAGTAGCACAGAAGTTGGAACCTCCAGATCTTCCTCAGAGAGGCGGGATGATGGGTGGGATCAAGAAGAAAGAGTGGTTCTCAAGCTGAGACTTGATCAATTAAAAAAATGAAAAACAATGCATAATGAGAATAGCTTGGACAATATAAGGAGTCTGGAAGGCCATGACACACCTGGGGGTAGAAGTAAGTTTCCTGTGATAGTACCATCTTATATGTGCACTAGACTAGCAGGCAGGAAATATGAACAAACAGCTCAGATTAGGACATAATCATGAAGGGACATTTATGCCATAACAAAACTTATTATCTTAATATCCAATGAAAAAATAATAATTTTCATTTCAAAATGAAAATCTTATCATCTGATTCCCCTGCCACTTTATGGATACATTAGTGCTCCTTATAGTTTCTTTTGGCTTTGTTTTATATGTCTGTATTTCCTTCTGGGCTGTGGGATGCTCGATGACAGGGACTGCAGATTTGCATCCTCAGTTTGTCACCTGGTACATAGTAGGGAACCAACCAATGTTCCTTTAAAGATTTTGGAATTAGATGAACACCGAGTTCATTTTCGTTGATGAGATTTTTCAATACTATAATTATAATTTCTAAGAACTCTTGGAGGATAAGATAATCAGAGGTGAAACTGGTTTTAAAAATTGCATTTCATACTAAAGAAGACCCTTCTGAGAAGGGTTTTTATGCTGGGCAGGGTGGGAGGTAGTGTTCAGAAAATATTCCTTCTGTTTTTTTTTTTTTTTTCCCCAGTCAGCATCCAATGTTTGTTTACTCCGTGCACACAGTCTAATCACTAGCATTTATTTAAGTCTTCAAGTAACTGAATCCTCAGAGCAGGGCTGTATAGCTCACTTGAATGATATTTCAGAGGCTTGTTTTCTTCATCTATACCACATTAATTTTGAATATCAAGGGCTAAATACATGTTACATAACCTTGTATGTACTTTTGCTTGAATATATGTGGACTTTACTCATTTATAAATGTGGCCCACGTTTTCCTAGGAAATTCAGAAAATTGTTCAATAATGAAATAATTTCTTTGTTTTCCTTCTAGATAACGTGAAAGAGGATAAATTCAAATGGAATCTAACTACACGTTCCCATCATGGTAATGTTTTTAAGTTATTATTTTGATCTGCATTGCAAATACCTGATAATATAAAATGCAGTTACCAGGCTTCTTAAAGATAGGCCAATACAGAACAAATCATGTGGTTTAACAGTTCTAATATAATAAAATGCAGCAAAATCATTTCATTTCTTTTACTAATGATGCATCAAAGCAACTACTTTGCCCATCCATTATCAATTTATACATGCGCTAAGAAATACTTAATAATTAAAACCAAATACTAGGTTGGGCACAGTGGCTCACAGCTGTAGTCCCAGTACTGTGGGAGGCTGAGGTAGGTGGATCATTTGATCCCAGGAGTTTGAGACCAACCTGGACAACATGGCAAAACCCTGTCTCTACAAAAACAAAACAAAACAAAAACAAAAACAAAAGTCAAAACTTAGCGGGTCATGTAGGCTTGTGTCTGTGATCCCAGCTCATTGGGAGGCTGAGGCAGGAGGATCACTTGAGCCCAGGAGTTGGAGGTTGCAGTGAGCTGGGATCATGCCACTATACAACAAGACCCTGTCTCAAAAATCAAACAAACAAAAATCCAAATAGTAGATAGTGATTACATTTAATAGGTATTTGTGATCATATAAGTTATTTGGCACCAACTGTTTTTGTGTATACTTGTGTATCTGTAGGAGTATAAACATTTATATATGCTAGAATAAATATGTGGAGCCTTTATTCAAGATTCCCCTCACAAAAATGTGCAACAGAACAAGAATCATTTTGCCTTGAGCCAATGAGCTAACCATAAGCTACATAGTTCAAATGCAATTTCTGAAGATTTATCGTTTACATTTGAAAACCTTGGACTGGGAGATTTTTCCTTCAGCTCAATTTTGGCCCAGCACGCTTCCCATCACTCTAGATCACAATGTGTATCCTGTATAGATGAAAGATGATTCCAATAAGTCTACGATTTAGGTCTCAGTAAATTCATACTTACTCTAAAAGATGTAATGTTTGCCAAAAATAGGACATTGGTACATCATTGTATTTTGCTCATAGACTTCTCACAGTGTTTTATAGTTTCTGTATGTACAGCTTTGTGTTTACTTTTCCACGACCTGGGCATATCATTGCTTTCAGGATTCAAAGGGATGTGGTCCTGTTTGGAAGTGGCAGAGGCATGTGTAGGGGATGTGGTCTGTAATGCACAGTTGGCCTCTTACCTTAAAGCTTGCTCAGCAAATGGAAATCCGTGTGATCTGAAACAGTGCCAAGCAGCCATACGGTTCTTCTATCAAAATATACCTTTTAACATTGCCCAGATGTTGGCTTTTTGTGACTGTGCTCAATCTGATATACCTTGTCAGCAGTCCAAAGAAGCTCTTCACAGCAAGACATGTGCAGTGAACATGGTTCCACCCCCTACTTGCCTCAGTGTAATTCGCAGCTGCCAAAATGATGAATTATGCAGGTGGGTAAAAACACTCATACCTTACTTTCTTATTTCGGCACCTTATTTGTTATAGTCCAGTCCTAACACTTGATCTCATAACATTAGCTAGAGTTCCCACCATCATCCAACATAGTGTAAATAAAACCAGACAATTAATATTTTTTTGAATCTGTGGTACATATGCAGTATCATCTGAAATTCAAATGCAGAGTAGATTTTTGAAATAAAAAATCAGCATGTCAAAATATGGTAGCCATGAAATAATATTATAAAAATTATGTATTCAAGTTAGACTAATGAATTGGTTAATAGACCTGACTTACATATCAGCTTTTTAATTTTTTTTTTGTTGTTTGTTTAATTATGTAAGGCTGTTACAAATTTATTATTTTGGCAAGGAGACTCTTCAAACTTTGAAATAAATTCTTTCTGTCTTAGGCTGGAGATCAGGAGGAAGAAGGTAGCATAAATACTCACATGAGTGGTGCAAAGTCAGAGATAACCAGGTCCACACACATTTGTGTCTTTTCACAATGTCAGGCTTTAATACTGTTCAATCACAAAAGCCACAAGCTACATGGAGTTCCCAAGGAGGCAGTTCTCCTTAGTACTTCTCATTCACTTTGTTTTCAGAGCCATGGGTACACAGGCTCAAGCCACTCCACAAATCAGTCAATATTGCAAACCATACATAATAATATACTTAATATATAAGGATTATAGGTTAAACATTCCACAACAAAGTAACATTTAACATTAAGAGAAAAGGGATAGAGAAAAGGGTTAATGAAAAAGTCCAGGAAGAGTGACAAAAACAAAGATTCTTCTGGTCTTATCTGGGCTGTCCATTGATCTTGCAAGGAAGAGTCTGATGTGGGGAGAATTGTTGGCAGCAGATGCTGGGTGCTTATGAGCGACAGCAAGATGGTGTCAGGTAAGATGGCCATTTTGAGCTGCTGAAGTCCTACTCTCTTTATGGCCACAGAGTCCTCTTGAGAGGACCGATAGTGGAAGAGTATGCTTGTTTATGTCCTTATTTGGTTGGATGCAGTATTGTTTATTTAGCAAAATATTTTGTCCCTGTTGGAAAAGTACCGTATGAAATCTAAGATGGAGTCTTTTTTGGAGTTACTTATGTCAAGGATGCTCTATACAAGTAGGATTTGGACATCCCTAGCACACATGTATGCTATGACCATAGAAATGTATTCATTCTCCTCTTTCTAACCTCACACCTTTAATTATTGGGGGAGTAATGTTAGTCGTTTATTTATTAATTCAAAAAAAATTTATCAAGCACCTACTACTACTCTAGGCAATGGCGAATAAGGAAAACAAATGCCTATGGATCTTATAGTCCAGAGAGAAGACAGATATTAAATTAAAAATGTATGTGTTGTTTTAAGGCAAACAACACTAGGCAAACAGTAGATACTGAGAGAGGAGATATTAAGCAAACTGACCAGCCAGTGCTTAGGAAAACATGTATGTGGCATTTTAGAAAAGCAGTGAGGGTAGAGTGTGCAAAGGGGAGAGAAATAGGAGCGAGATAAGAGAGTTAATTGAGTGGGTGTGAACAGGCCTATATCATATGAGGGCTTGAAGGACACTGCCTAGGGCTTCGGACATGTAGGTGGCTTAGTGTGTGATTTGTCATATTTGTCCCCTTGTTTCAACTACTGGCAAAAAAACACAAAAAGTAATGATATCAACTTCCTGAAGGTTCTTAGTAAAATTCTCTCTTTTAGCTTTTTAACTATGTCTACTCTTATTTTCAGTCACTCTAACTGGCAAAGTAGTTCCAGATCTTGTAAACATTTGTTAAAAAGAACTGCTTCCCTATAGCACACATTCTATGAAATAAGTGGTAAAGAGCTAAGCAGAGTCCTAGAGCATTGACATATTTCGTCAACTTATAGGATATCAAGGTTCTTAAAATTGTATTCAAGAATTTTTCATGCAAATGTGTCAGTTATTTTAAGGCTTATTATTTATTTTTCTTGAGTGAATAAGGCATTGACAAAATACTTTTTATAATGCAATTTAGGTTTTTCAAACTCATTTATCATCTCAAAAATCCTTATTAGAGAAATACTACATTTCATTGATTCTAAGATGCAATTTCTTTTTACACATTTTAACATCTCTGACATATTTTAAATAAATTTTTAAGGTCAATAACAAAGACATTTGTCATAATTTAAGTTCCAGCAGGTGTTTTTTGTTGTTATTGTTGTTGTACATAAAATAATGGTATCTTCTGAAATCAATGAAATATGAAATCAATGAAATATCAAACACATGTGATTACACTACTTTTCTCACCTCAAATGAACTAAAACTATTACTATTCTGCCTTTCTAACTATCATATTCCTACATCAACAATGAAACCTAATAATATTTTAACCAGCCAGGGCCAGGGGCACCATGGTTTCAATAGCAAAATCACTATAAAAATATCAGATTTATTCACAGATGGGTACCCAGCTTTGCCTGATTCCAGTGCCAGGGCTTTCGATATGCTATCTAATTATCTGGAAGCCATTAGCATTCAACCTTCAAAGCATGGTATTTCTGAGCATCCACATCAAAGAAAATATTTTAATAGCAAGTGGTGGCTCTGCTGCTATAGTCCTTGAGAATTCCTGTGATAGACTCTGAAGCACACACTCTTACACTAACCTCCCCTTGGTATCAACACCTTCTCAGATGGACTGGCACAGAGTTGATGATTTTCCTCAACAAGGACCCCCAGCTTTAACCACCTTTTCAAAATGTTTGGTGTGGGGTCTGGAGTGGGATAAGCACTCAAAAAACGTCATCTCCCTTCCTCTCACTTTTGAATATTGTACACTTAATTGTTATATTTTAGTATACATATATGTATTTCTTCTCATGTAATTTATTTCTTAGATTAGTTCAAGTGTAAGGACTGTGTGTCTTCAATTTCCTTTCACTATGTGCAAATAGTCCCTTAATCAGTACTTTATAGAGGTGATGGAAATGTTATATAATATTAGTAGTCAATGTGAAAAGACAAATCCTATCATTTTCCTGAGCACATTTTGCCTTAGGGAGATTTCCAGCTTTTATATTAAATTATTGTTAATGTAATTCAGATGAAAAACAAATCTCCAAATGGAAAACCACTTCTTCAATGAGAATATTAAGCCCTTTATGATACTTATCTTTTTTGCAGAAGAGCCTGTACATAGGCAAAACAGGGCACTTCAGTTTTAAAATACAATTTCTGTCCCTGTTCCAAATTTTTCAATTCACGATGGGCTTTGAAATTCCTTTATTTTTTAACTGCCAAAGAGAACAATTTAAGGGCCATTTCTCAATTACCTTTCTCTAGTACCGACACCCTCAGGGAGGTGAGATTATGTCTTGCCAATTTCACAAAAGTCTGGGTATTTACAGAAAATTATAATACATTATATTTTTATATATTAACTTAAAAAAGTAATGACAAGGTATTTGCTTAGGAAATATTCTAAATACTTTTAAATATGTATGCATTATTTAATTGATTTAAAACAGATGACATCATATTATATACTTCTCTATATATTGTTTTTGTTTTTTTTCCCTAAATGTGGATTAAAGATCTTTCCATAATTGCATATAAGAAAATTCACACATCAGGGTCTGTTAGGGAGTCGGGGGCGAGGGGAGGGAACTTAGAGGACAGGTCAATAGGTGCAGCAAACAACCATGGCTCATGCGTACCTATGTAATAAACCTGCACGTTCTGCACATCTATCTCATTTTTCTTAGAATAAATTAAAAAAAAGAAAATTCTCAAATGTTTGAATGGCTATAGAGTATGCCATTGCATGGATGTAGCTTAATTAATTTGCTTAGTCTTTTTTGGACATTTAGACATATTCCAAGTATCTTATTTTATTTGTAGCTATTGTAAATGGGACTACTTTGAAGATTTGTTTTTCAGATTGCTTGCTGTTAGCATATAGAAATGCTACTGATTTTTGTATGTTAATTTTATATCTTGCAACTTTACTGAATTTGTTGATCAGTTCTAAGAGTTCCTTGGTGGAGTCTTTGGGTCTTTTCAAATATAAAATTATATAATCTGCAAACAAATTTTTCTACCTTTCTAATTTGGATGCCCCCCTTTTCTTTTCCTTCTCTTGTCTAATTGCTGGGCTAGGACTTCCAGCACTATGTTGAATAATAGTGATGAAAGTAGGCATCCTTGTCTCATTACAGATCATAGAGGAAAAGCTTTCAGTTTTTCCCCATTTTATATGATACTAGCTATTGGTCTGCTCTGTCATATATGGCATTTATTCTGTTGAGGTATATTCCTTCTATATCCTGGTTTTGAGGCTTTTATCATGAAGGAACGTAGAGAACTTTAGCAAATGCTTTTTCAGCATCAATTGAAAAGATCATGTTTTATGTCCTTCATTTTGTTGATATGATGTATCAAACTGATTGATTTTCATATATTGAACCATCCTTGTATCACTAGGATAAATCCCACGTGGTCATGATGAAAAATCTTAATGTGTTGTTGCATTTGGTTTGCTAGGATTTTGTTGAGGATTTTTGCATTAATGTTCTTCAGGAAAATTGTCCTGTAGTTTACTTTCCTTGGTATGTCTTGTCTGGTTTTGGTATTAGGGTGATACTGGCCTCAAAGAATGAGTTTGGAAGTATTCCCTCCTCTATTGTTGGAAATATTTTTAGTAGAATTGGTATTAGTTCCTCTCTAAGTGTTTGGTAAAATTCAGCATCATGTCCCAGGTTTTCCCTTGCTGGGAGACTTTCTATTATAGCTTCGATCTCATTACTTGTTATTGGTCTGTTCAGGATTTGGACTTCTTTATAGTTCAATCTTGGTAGGTTGTGTCTACAAATTTATTCACTTATCCATTTTAGATTTTCTGATGTATTGGCATATATTTGCTCATAGTAGGCTTCAATGATCCTTCGAATTTCTGTGGCATCATTTGTAATATTTCCTTTTTAATCTCTGATTTCATTTATTGAGGTCTTCTGTTTCTTTTTATTAGCCTAGCTGATGGTTTGGAGATTTTATCTTTCCAAAAGACCAACTTTTCATTTTGTTAATCTTTTGAATTTTTTTTGTTTCACTTTCATTTATTTCTGCTCTGAAGTTTATTTTCTACTATTAATTTTGGGTTCAGTTTGCTCTTGCTTTTCTAGTTCTTTAAGATGCGTTGCTAAGTTGTTTATTTGAAGTTTTTCTACTTTTTTGATGTAGGTGCTTATTTCTATAAACTTTTCTCTTAATACTGCTTTTTCCATATCCCACAGGTTTTGGTATGTTGTTCTTCCATTTTCATTGTTTTAATACACCTCTAAATTTTACTCTTAATTTCTTTATTTGCACACTGGACAATCAGGAGCATATTGTTTAATTTCCATGTATTTGTATAGTTTTCAAAGTTCCTCTTGTCATTGATTTCTAGTTTTATTCCATTGTCATCAGAGAAAATACTTGATATGATTTCAAGTTTTTGAAAATTTTAAGACTTGCTTTTTAGCTAACATATGGGTTACCATTGACAACGATCTGCGTGCTGAGGAGAATAATGTGTATTCTTCAGCTATTGTATGAAATGTCCTGTAAATATCTATTAGGTACATTTTATCTATAGTGCAGATTAAGACTGATGTTTCTTTGTTGATTTTCTGTCTGAATGATCTGTCCAATGCTGAAAGTGAGATGTTGAAGTCTCTCTCTTTAGGTCTAATACTATTTGCTTTACATGTCTAGGTACTGCAGTGTTGGGTGCATATATATTTACAATTGTTATATCTTCTTGCTGAGTTGAATCTGTTATCATTATATAATCACCTTCTTTATCTTTTTATAGTTTTTTTCTTGAAATCTATTTTGTCTAATTAAAGTATAGCTACTCCTGCTTCTTTTTTTGGTTCCATTGGCATAGAATATCTTTTTCCATCCCTTTATTTTTCAATCTATGTGTTTCTTTATAGATGATGTATGCTTCTTAGAGGTAACAGATCATTGGCTCGTTTTATTTTTAATCCGTTTAATCCATTCAGCCATACTATGTCTTTTAATTGGAGACTTTAGTCCATTTACATTTCAAATAATTTTGGAATCCAGTGTACCAAAGTAGTATTTTATTTTTAATTAAATATTCTTTAGTTCATCATTTTGGCAAAATTTCATGGTGTTTTTCCTGAGTGAAAATTTATCTACTTATGTATAAGTAGATAAACCATGCAATTTAAACTTAGTAAAACATATTTAAAATGAATAAATAGCATGTAGGTACAGATGTAGTCTCTATCTGAATGACAATCAATACTTCCAAAACTTACATTTAGAAGATATCTTATATGTAACCCTTAACAGCATTGAAGGAATATGTTTGTTCTTCTGACCTAATAATTACATGTTCAGAAAATTTGCAGTATTTCCTTTATTATAAATTTAATATACATGAATTAATCTTCATTATTATATTTAAAAGCTTATCCTTTAAGATGAGTTAAATATTTAATTATTAAAAACAATGTGACTTTGGTTTTTTAACATAGCAGCATCCATGTGGACAAATAACTTCATGAAAATGTCATGTACTTATAGGGCTTTCATACATGTTTGATGTCAACCTATTCAAGAAGAGTAAAAAGCAATTTTCGGTGACAAACATTAAATTGAAATAATTTTATTCTTGCATTCATTAATAAAAATATATTCTTATTGTAAAAAAATTCAAAAATGAAATTAGTGTACATTATCCAGACTTTTTTTCAATTTTATTACAGCAATAATCAAATACATACAGAAATTTTATACCTCACAACATATTGTAAATTCTAATTAGTCTGTTTAGTCTCTTGAGAAAGTATAAAGCGCCTCCCATCCTGTGGGATAACTGACTTGAAAAGTCAAATACCTTACTTGAAATCACTTGGTGTGACACAGTGGCCAAAGGCTAGCCACAAAACTATATTTGGAATAAAAAATTGCCAATAAATCTCTGAAGCAGTTCATGCCTCAAATAGTCATACATTGGAATAAAATTAGTAATAAAGGAAAATCCATCCGTGGAATCCTCAACTTAACTGCTGTCTTTCATCACAAAAAAGGGACAATAATTCACAATATTACTCTACAATTTCTTCCACACTACCTATGGTGATTTTTCAAATCACAAATTTACTTTTCAACTATGTACTGGCATCTCGAAGGCATTGTGTTCTATGTCTTTCATTAGGTGAGGGGGGATCACATGTTAATGTGAAATAACACTATTCAAAACTAATTATTTTTCTTCACTCTTTCTCTAGGAGGCACTATAGAACATTTCAGTCAAAATGCTGGCAGCGTGTGACTAGAAAGTGCCATGAAGATGAGAATTGCATTAGCACCTTAAGCAAACAGGACCTCACTTGTTCAGGAAGTGATGACTGCAAAGCTGCTTACATAGATATCCTTGGGACGGTCCTTCAAGTGCAATGTACCTGTAGGACCATTACACAAAGTGAGGAATCTTTGTGTAAGATTTTCCAGCACATGCTTCATAGAAAATCATGTTTCAGTAAGTTCCCCAAATAAAATTATCTGTCTATCTATCTATCTATCTATCATCTATCTATCTATCTATTTTGTTTTTGCCTATACAGTAAAAGAGGTAATCCAGCACAGACATTTTTGTGTTTGGTATTGCATTTGAAAATTTGCTTTCTGATTATGTTCTGTGTATTTGCTATTTTACTCACTTACTTGAAAATAGTACATTTTAAAAATTTATATGATAGGTCACTCTTAATTATCATTTATTGATTTCAATATCAAAAGCATAGAAGGTTTATTCTATCAGATAAATGGATATATCAAGTATCAATTGCTGCATAACAAACCATAAGTATCTATACTAAGTAACAAAACAATGGCTTAAAACGATAACCATTTATTTGCTCACAATTCTGCACATTGGACTTGGCTCAGCTGGATGGCTCTTCCGATGGTCTTTTGGGGGGTCACTCATGTGCCTATAGTCATCTGGTATCTTTAGGCTCGGCTGAGGCTGTTTGGTCCAAGGTGGTATTAGCAGACACCATTTTCTGGTGTGGTGTGGTTCACTTCAATATGACATCTTCAGCAATATAGCCAAAAACTCTTATGTGGAAGCAGAAGAGTTCCTAATGGCTAAACCCCATTGTGTAGCTGTCTAGTATCTGCTACTGTCACATTTGTAATTATTTCACTGAACAAAGCAAATCACAATGGCCAACCTCAGAGTCACTGTGGGAGTGGACTACATAAGGATATGAATATTCAAGGTCAGATTAATCAAGGATCATTACTCTAACAACCTACTATGATTGGCTGTCCTGGCCTATGTACAATATATTCACTCTTCAATTTAGTTTTTCTCCCCTTGGTCTTTAACATGTCTGCTGATCAACCTATAATGATGAAATGGAAAACATATTTTCCGAAGTTATTGTTTAATTTAGGGACAAGAAAATTGATATTTAGGAATTTAAATAATTTGTTCAGCATCTCAAAGTGAGCTAATGGTCAAGAAGGACTTTCATGAGTCTTAAGGAAACAACCTAAGGATGTGATCATGTAATAATTCAAAACCTCTCTATTATCCATCTTCAGGGTTAGACCATGCAACCTTCGACGTCCCCAAACTTCCCCAGGCCCCTACCCCTAGATCCCTAGCTGTAACTACCATATCTGCAGGTACTGTTTCTAGAAGGAAGTAATGGATATTTACTGTTTCATAGCAAACCAAATCTTTATATTTATTGAAAATGTTTGACAGACATAGATCTATATCTACATCTATATCTATATCTATATCTGTATCTATATCTATATACAGATGCATATTTACACATTTATATTTCTATTTTTCTTTACAGATACTTAGGAGATGCACATTAGCCAATGTGCTAAAAATTGTGATTTGTTGTATATTATGTAATAGGCATACAGCTCAGAGTTTATGGTTTTGATTTCGACAGTGTTTTCTGTGGAATATCCACAATTTCTATAATTAACACTACAGATATATTTCAACTGAAATCACGATACAGAGAAGAATTGAAGTGTTATATAAGTCATATTCTCTAATTTTCCTCTCTTATTAACATTAGTTCTGTTGAAACTGAAAATACTTATAATGAATGGCTCATATGATTACAGCAGGAAAATACCAAATAACCAATTTGGTATTAACCAAACTAAACTTATAGTAATATATACAGTTATATAATAATGGTTATTTATAGGTTCTTTCTAATATTACAAGGTATGAAGAAAAATGTTGATTCTACAGGTTAATAATGATTCAATTTATTTGGCAAAAATTCTCTAAAAATACAGGTCTAAACATCCTAATTCTAGTTCTAAACATGTTTTTCTCAAATATAATAACAATTGTGTTCAATTTTCATAGTGTTTGCTTACTATAACCTTTTCAGAGCAAAAAATTTGCAGAGGCACTAAAGATAGACATTTAAAATTGTGTAAATATTAAAGTTCTGTATGAATGCTTTAAAGAATGAAAATTCAAAATGATTTCACTTTTCTTTACTCACCTAGGAAGAGGAAGTTTTTGCTCCAAATATTACCTACTAAGACTAGGAATTTCAAATGACAGGATTATAGAATTAAAGGAACCTCAAAGGCCTTTGGTCACAGTTCTTGGTAGAATTGTCCCTTGGTATCCATGGGGAATTGGTTCCAGGACTCAAATGGACACCAAAATTTG
This sequence comes from Homo sapiens, assembly GCF_000001405.40. Lineage (NCBI taxonomy): Eukaryota > Metazoa > Chordata > Mammalia > Primates > Hominidae > Homo > Homo sapiens. The sequence goes on from NC_000006.12 coordinate 55,361,329, forward strand.
TTCATGTTCAAGTCCCTGATATAAAATGGTGTAGTATTTGCATATAACCTATGTATATCCTCCCATATACTTTAAATAATATCTAGAATACTTATAATATCTAATACATGATTTACATATAAATGTCATGTAAATTGTAGTTATAATGTATCTTTTATATTCATATTATATTTTATCATTTTGCTGTTTTTTTAAAATTATTTTTTTCTCTCAAATATTTTGATCCAAAGTTGGTTGAGTCGAGGGGTGCAGAACTCACAGGTATGGAGTGATGACTATACTTGAATTAATAGGAAAAATTCCAAACAAAACCAGAAACCAAATCCTTAGGCCTTGCTAATTCTAACAAACCTTTATCCATTGCCTCAAATATATGAAAGTAGCACAAGGACATTTGCTGAAGGAAGTATGTCTCTCATCATTGCCCCGACTTCTCACATCAGCCTAGCACTCTCATGAATTTTCAAAAGATCGGTCATTACAGTATGTTTCTAAAACCCTTTAGCTTCTGCTTTCTTTACTTGAAAGGGTCAGAACTGAGTGGAACTGAGAGGACTGTGAAGGGAGGCTTTTCAGTTTGTCACATTTGCTTAATTAAATGCATTGTTTCTCAAACTCATTTGAGCTTAGGCCACAGTAAGTAATATATGTTTATATTAGCACTGTACTCTCATTTTTATGCAACATACTCTGTTTGTTAACAATTTTTATTGCTTTATTCTATTGTTCCCCAATGCTGACCACTACCCACTAAATTATTTTAAGACTTACTAACATGTTGTTCACTGAAGTTTCAAAAACACTTTCTTGGAACAAAAATTTTTCTGGAAATAAATTTATGAGATTAAATAGCTTGCCCAGGGTTCTACATTGGGTGTGGTATAGTCATGACCCTGGCTGGTTGACTTGGAGCCCGCTATGTTCTCCTGTTTGTGAAATGATAATGAAAAAAAAAAAAACAGCAACAACAAAACAAAACAAAACAAAAAACTTATATCTGTTCCATATGCTCCAAAGTCCTATTAGTCTGAACTTCATAGTTCTGTTCTGAGAACTAAGCTTGGAAAATGCACTGAAGAGCCCTTATCTGGTCCTGTGTGCAGGACTAGACTCAGGCAGAAGAGCATCCTGAACAAACCATGTATTCTGTCACCAACCTCCACTTACCTACTAACCTATGGATTCACAACAAACTTACTTGTCTGTGATAATCTGTAGCACAGAACAAATTTGTGGCCCTTAGAGCTAATAGGGAAATGAGAGCCATGGAAGAGAGAGAAGTTGGTTAAGAGACAGAGGACCATCAACACGGGAAGGATTAAAGGATCCATTATTGTTTTCAGTCCATTATACCGAAGGAGTGAGAGGGTATACCTTAAGCTGACAGAAATGTTCTTTTTGCATTTCCCAGAGCTTTTTTTTATTTAAATACCAGTTATATAGTCAACTAAAAGAGATATGAAATACCACCATTCTGACCCAAAATATTCAGATCCTCCATGTGGATAATTAAAAGAAAAAGGAGAAAGAAAAGGAGGAAGAGGAAAAGGAAGGGGCAGGAAGGGAGAGGGAAGAGAAAACAGGAAGGAAGAGTAGGAGAAGAAGTAGGAGGAGAGAAAGGAGAGGAGGAGGAGAAGGGGGAGGAGGGGAGGAAGAAGAGGAAACAGGAAGGAGGAAAAGAACAAGGAGAAGAAGTAGGAGACAAAAGAGGGAAGGTAGAGGAGGAGGAGGAGAAAGAGGATTAAGAAAAAGCAGAAAACCTCTGTTTAGTAAATTCTACAAGAGATGGAAAACATAGCAATACAAAAAAAAAAGCATGTGATACATGCTTAAACAAATTTAAAGAATACAGAAATAATCCCATTCTCAAGAGAGAGCCAATGTTCATAAGGTTGGTGTATATTCTTTTGAACTTTTTCTTTACTTGTAATACATACATACTTTGAATACCTTGTATATACCCAAACATGTCTCCTTTACTCTGATACACACACACATTTTTTAAGGCAATCAAACTATACTTATTGCTTTACAGGTTCCTTTTTAAACTTAAAAAATATATGGTAGACCCATTTCCAAGTATTTACATACATGGTAGCTTAATTCTTTTTTTTTTTTTTAATTATACTTTAAGTTTTAGGGTACATGTGCACATTGTGCAGGTTAGTTACATATGTATACATGTGCCATGCTGGTGCGCTGAACCCACTAAATCGTCATCTAGCATTAGGTATATCTCCCGATGCTATCCCTCCCCCCTCCCCCCACCCCACCTCAGTCCCCAGAGTGTGATATTCCCCTTCCTGTGTCCATGTGATCTCACTGTTCAATTCCCACCTATGAGTGAGAATATGCGGTGTTTGGTTTTTTGTTCTTGCGATAGTTTACTGAGAATGATGATTTCCAATTTCATCCATGTCCCTACAAAGGACATGAACTCATCCTTTTTTATGGCTGCATAGTATTCCATGGTGCATATGTGCCACATTTTCTTAATCCAGTCTATCATTGTTGGACATTTGGGTTGGTTCCAAGTCTTTGCTATTGTGAATAATGTCGCAATAAACATACGTGTGCATGTGTCTTTATAGCAGCATGATTTATAGTCCTTTGGGTATATACCCAGTAATGGGATGGCTGGGTCAAATGGTATTTCCAGTTCTAGATCCCTGAGGAATCGCCACACTGACTTCCACAATGGTTGAACTAGTTTACTGTCCCACCAACAGTGTAAAAGTGTTCCTATTTCTCCACATCCTCTCCAGTACCTGTTGTTTCCTGCCTTTTAAATGATTGCCATTCTAAGTGGTGTGAGATGGTATCTCATTGTGGTTTTGATTTGCATTTCTCTGACGGCCAGTGATGATGAGCATTTTTTCATGTGTTTTTTGGCTGCATAAATGTCTTCTTTTGAGAAGTGTCTGTTCATGTCCTTCGCCCACTTTTTGTTGGGATTGTTTGTTTTTTTCTTGTAAATTTGTTTTAGTTCATTGTAGATTCTGGATATTAGCCCTTTGTCGGATGAGTAGGTTGCGAAAATTTTCTCCCATTTTGTAGGTTGCCTGTTCACTCTGATGGTAGTTTCTTTTGCTGTGCAGAAGCTCTTTAGTTTAATTAGATCCCATTTGTCAATTTTGTCTTTTGTTGCCATTGCTTTTGGTGCTTTAGACATGAAGTCCTTGCCCATGCCTATGTCCTGAATGGTAATGCCTAGGTTTTCTTCTAGGGTTTTTATGGTTTTAGGTCTAACGTTTAAGTCTTTAATCCATCTTGAATTGATTTTTGTATAAGGTGTAAGGAAGGGATTCAGTTTCAGCTTTCTACATATGGCTAGCCAGTTTTCCCAGCACCATTTAATAAATAGGGAATCCTTTCCCCATTGCTTGTTTTTCTCAGGTTTGTCAAAGATCAGATAGTTGTAGATATGCGGCGTGATTTCTGAGGGCTCTGTTCTGTTCCATTGATCTATATCTCTGTTTTGGTACCAGTACCATGCTGTTTTGGTTACTGTAGCCTTGTAGTATAGTTTGAAGTCAGGTAGCGAGATGCCTCCAGCTTTGTTCTTTTGGCTGAGGATTGACTTGGTGATGCGGGCTCTTTTTTGGTTCCATATGAACTTTAAAGTAGTTTTTTCCAATTCTGTGAAGAAAGTCATTGGTAGCTTGATGGGGATGGCATTGAATCTGTAAATTACCTTGGGCAGTATGGCCATTTTCACAATATTGATTCTTCCTACCCATGAGCATGGAATGTTCTTCCATTTGTTTGTATCCTCTTTTATTTCCTTGAGGAGTGGTTTGTAGTTCTCCTTGAAGAGGTCCTTCACATCCCTTGTAAGTGGGATTCCTAGGTATTTTATTCTCTTTGAAGCAATTGTGAATGGGAGTTCACTCTTGATTTGGCTCTCTGTTTGTCTGTTGTTGGTGTATAAGAATGCTTGTGATTTTTGTACATTGATTTTGTATCCTGAGACTTTGCTGAAGTTGCTTATCAGCTTAAGAAGATTTTGGGCTGAGACAATGGGGTTTTCTAGATATACAATCATGTCATCTGCAAACAGGGACAATTTGACTTCCTCTTTTCCTAATTGAATACCCTTTATTTCCTTCTCCTGCCTAATTGCCCTGGCCAGAACTTCCAACACTATGTTGAATAGGAGTGGTGAGAGAGGGCATCCCTGTCTTGTGCCAGTTTTCAAAGGGAATGCTTCCAGTTTTTGCCCATTCAGTATGATATTGGCTGTGGGTTTGTCATAGATAGCTCTTATTATTTTGAAATATGTCCCATCAATACCTAATTTATTGAGAGTTTTTAGCATGAAGGGTTGTTGAATTTTGTCAAAGGCTTTTTCTGCATCTATTGAGATAATCATGTGGTTTTTGCCTTTGGCTCTGTTTATATGCTGGATTACATTTATTGATTTGTGTATATTGAACCAGCCTTGCATCCCAGGGATGAAGCCCACTTGATCATGGTGGATAAGCTTTTGGATGTGCTGCTGGATTCATTTTGCCAGTATTTTATTGAGGTTTTTTGCATCAATGTTCATCAAGGATATTGGTCTAAAATTCTCTTTTTTTGTTGTGTCCCTGCCTGGCTTTGGTATTAGAATGATGCTGGCCTCATAAAATGAGTTAGGGAGGATTCCCTCTTTTTCTATTGATTGGAATAGTTTCAGAAGGAATGGTACCAGTTCCTCCTTGTACCTCTGGTAGAATTCGGCTGTGAATCCATCTGGTCCTTGACTCTTTTTGGTTGGTAAGCTATTGATTATTGCCACAATTTCAGCTCCTGTTATTGGTCTATTCAGAGATTCAACATCTTCCTGGTTTAGTCTTGGGAGAGTGTATGTGTCGAGGAATTTATCCATTTCTTCTAGATTTTCTAGTTTATTTGTGTAGAGGTGTTTGTAGTATTCTCTGATGATAGTTTGTATTTCTATGGGATCGGTAGTGACATCCCCTTTATCATTTTTTATTGCATCTATTTGATTCTGCTCTTTTTTTTTCTTTATTAGTCTTGCTAGTGGTCTATCAATTTTGTTGATCCTTTCAAAAAACCAGCTCCTGGATTCATTAATTTTTTGAAGGGTTTTTTGTGTCTCTATTTCCTTCAGTTCTGCTCTGATTTTAGTTATTTCTTGCCTTCTGCTAGCTTTTGAATGTGTTTGCTCTTGCTTTTCTAGTTCTTTTAATTGCGATGTTAGGGTGTCAGTTTTGGATCTTTCCTGCTTTCTCTTGTGGGCATTTAGTCCTATAAATTTCCCTCTACACACTGCTTTGAATGTGTCCCAGAGATTCTGGTATGTTGTGTCTTTGTTCTGGTTGGTTTCAAAGAACATCTTTATTTCTGCCTTCATTTCGTTATGTACCCAGTAGTCATTCAGGAGCAGGTTGTTCAGTTTCCATGTAGTTGAGTGGTTTTGAGTGAGATTCTTAATCCTGAGTTCTAGTTTGATTGCACTGTGGTCTGAGAGATAGTTTGTTATAATTTCTGTTCTTTTACATTTGCTGAAGAGAGCTTTACTTCCAAGTATGTGGTCAATTTTGGAATAGGTGTGGTGTGGTGCTGAAAAAAATGTATATTCTGTTGATTTGGGGTGGAGAGTTCTGTAGATGTCTATTAGGTCCGCTTGGTGCAGAGCTGAGTTCAATTCCTGGGTATCCTTGTTGACTTTCTGTCTCGTTGATCTGTCTAATGTTGACAGTGGGGTGTTAAAGTCTCCCATTATTAATGTGTGGGAGTCTAAGTCTCTTTGTAGGTCACTCAGGACTTGCTTTATGAATCTTGGTGCTCCTGTATTGGGTGCATATATATTTAGGATAGTTAGCTCTTCTTGTTGAATTGATCCCTTTACCATTATGTAATGGCCTTCTTTCTCTCTTTTGATCTTTGTTGGTTTAAAGTCTGTTTTATCAGAGACTAGGATTGCAACCCCTGCCTTTTTTTGTTTTCCATTTGCTTGGTAGATCTTCCTCCATCCTTTTATTTTGAGCCTATGGGTGTCTCTGCACGTGAGATGGGTTTCCTGAATACAGCACGCTGATGGGTCTTGACTCTTGATCCAATTTGCCAGTCTGTGTTTTTTAATTGGAGCATTTAGTCCATTTACATTTAAAGTTAATATTGTTATGTGTGAATTTGATCCTGTCATTATGATGTTAGCTGGTTATTTTGCTCGTTAGTTGATGCAGTTTCTTCCTAGTCTCGATGGTCTTTACATTTTGGCATGATTTTGCAGCAGCTGGTACCGGTTGTTCCTTTCCATGTTTAGTGCTTCCTTCAGGAACTCTTGTAAGGCAGGCCTGGTGGTGACAAAATCTCTCAGCATTTGCTTGTCTGTAAAGTATTTTATTTCTTCTTCACTTATGAAGCTTAGTTTGGCTGGATATGAAATTCTGGGTTGAAAATTCTTTTCTTTAAGAATGTTGAATATTGGCCCCCACTCTCTTCTGGCTTGTAGGGTTTCTGCCAAGAGATCCGCTCTTAGTCTGATGGCGTTCCCTTTGAGGGTAACCCGACCTTTCTCTCTGGCTGCCCTTAACATTTTTTCCTTCATTTCAACTTTGGTGAATCTGACAATTATGTGTCTTGGAGTTGCTCTTCTCGAGGAGTATCTTTGTGGCGTTCTCTGTATTTCCTGAATCTGAACGTTGGCCTGCCTTCCTAGATTGGGGAAGTTCTCCTGGATAATATCCTGCAGAGTGTTTTCCAACTTGGTTCCATTCTCCCCATCACTTTCAGGTACACCAATCAGATGTAGATTTGGTCTTTTCACATAGTCCCATATTTCTTGGAGGCTTTGCTCATTTCTTTTTATTCTTTTTTCTCTAAACTTCCCTTCTCACTTCATTTCATTCATTTCATCTTCCATCGCTGATACCCTTTCTTCTAGTTGATCGCATCAGCTCCTGAGGCTTCTGCATTCTTCACGTAGTTCTCGAGCCTTGGTTTTCAGCTCCATCAGCTCCTTTAAGCACTTCTCTGTATTGGTTATTCTAGTTATACATTCTTCTAAATTTTTTTCAAAGTTTTCAACTTCTTTGCCTTTGGTTTGAATGTCCTCCCGTAGCTCAGAGTAATTTGATCGTTTGAAGCCTTCTTCTCTCAGCTCGTCAAAGTCATTCTCCGTCCAGCTTTGTTCCGTTGCTGGTGAGGAACTGCGTTCCTTTGGAGGAGGAGAGGCACTCTGCTTTTTAGAGTTTCCAGTTTTTCTGCTCTGTTTTTTCCCCATCTTTGTGGTTTTATCTACTTTTGGTCTTTGATGATGGTGATGTACAGATGGGTTTTTGGTGTGGATGTCCTTTCTGTTTGTTAGTTTTCCTTCTAACAGAGAGGACCCTCAGCTGCAGATCTGTTGGAGTACCCTGCCCTGTGAGGTGTCAGTCTGCCCCTGCTGGGGGGTGCCTCCCAGTTAGGCTGCTTGGGGGTCAGGGGTCAGGGACCCACCTGAGGAGGCAGTCTGCCCATTCTCAGATCTGCAGCTGCGTGCTGGGGGAACCACTGCTCTCTTCAAAGCTGTCAGACAGGGACATTTAAGTCTGCAGAGGTTACTGCTGTCTTTTTGTTTGTCTGTGCCCTGACCCCGGAGGTGGAGCCTACAGAGGCAGGCAGGCCTCCTTGAGCTGTGGTGGGCTCCACCCAGTTGGAGCTTCCCGGCTGCTTTGTTTACCTAAGCAAGCCTGGGCAATGGCGGGCGCCCCTACCCCAGCCTGGCTGCTGCCTTGCAGTTTGATCTCAGACTGCTGTGCTAGCAATCAGCGAGACTCCGTGGGCGTAGGACCCTCCGAGCCAGGTGCTGGATAGAATCTCATGGTGCGCCGTTTTTTAAGCCCGTCGGAAAAGCGCAGTATTCGGGTGGGAGTGACCCGATTTTCCAGGTGCCGTCCGTCACCCCTTTCTTTGACTCAGAAAGGGAACTCCCTGACCCCTTGCGCTTCCCAAGTGAGGCAATGCCTCGCCCTGCTTCGGCTCACGCAAGGTGCGCGCACCCACTGACCTGCGCCTACTGTCTGGCACTCCCTAGTGAGATGAACCCGGTACCTCGGATGGAAATGCAGAAATCACCCATCTTCTGCGTCGCTCAGGCTCGGAGCTGTAGACCGGAGCTGTTCCTATTCGGCCATCTTGGCTCCTCCCTGCTTAATTCTTTTTAAAGGTCATATCATATCTTATAGTAGAGCTATATCATAATTGTTAACTAATCTCCTGTTAATGTGGATATTTTGTTTGAATGCAATTGTTTTTACAGACATTGCTGCAATAAATGTTATTGCACGTATGTACTGGCATTTGAATAGAGTAAGTTTCAAATAGTGGAATTACTAGACCATAAGATTTGTGCATTTTTAAATTTGGTAGACACTGAAAAAAAAACAGTTTGTTTCTGTTACATTTTAATGAGAAAGTTTCAATATTTTTAATTTGTATTTTTATTATAAATAATATGGAACATCTTTTCAGTGACTTGTTGGAGATATTCTGTTTCTTCTTACCTACTCCTGTACTGTGCTTAAAATATCCTGCTTCTTTAGTCTCAGTAAATGACACTTTTGTTGCCTGTGTCAGCTGTTTGTGTGGATATGTGAAGACTCATTGATCTGCATACCTCCTTAATGATCCTGATCACAAAGTGATGACCTGGTGGGTCATAGCCTTGGGCTTGGAACTGGACCCTACTATGTGTTATCTGAGTGATGTAAAGAGCAAAGTTTTAAAATCATTTTTTGAATATTCAACCATTCTTCCTCAACTGGATAATTTCCATTGCTTTTTGAAAGGATAATTTTCACTACATGATTAATAGTCAGAAAACAAAATTTATAATATAAATATAATTATGAAAAATAATTATATTTATCATTCAGTTAAAGAAAAATAACATTGTCATGATTTTTGAAGTTCTTTTAAGTGTCTCTCAACATCACATTCTTTTCTTTCCCAATACAGAAATTAGTGTTGATTAATTCCTTGCTTCCCTTTCTAATTTTGCCACATTAAAAAAAATCCAATCAATATATTGTTTAGTTTTTCATGTTTTGAGCATTATATAAATGGAATCACATTTTTTTGCCCCTTTAGTATCCTGAAATGAAGCCATGTTGTGATGTAGAACTAGTGACTTATTTTTTACTGCTATGTAATATTCTATTGCAAATACATCTATTTATTCTATAGCTGGCATATGTTAGGATTTTTCCATTTTAAAAAATTGTAAATAGTGTAGCTTGATCATCTTAGTACATTTTTCTTGATACACACATGCAAGATAATTCTCTAGGGAGCAGTTCTCAATCTTTGCTAAACGTGAGAATCATTGAGAGATTAAAAATTCTCATGTCCAATAAACCAATAAAATCACATTATATAATGGCAGGACGTGACAGTAGGACCAGCTTCATGGACATGTGGCCAATGTAGTTACATAGGCCCTGTGCTCAGAAGAATCCCAGATCTGGGGTTTAATGCTCTGCAGTCATTGTCGAAATTCTTAATAATTTTCTTTTGCTTTTGTTTTTGAAATTCAATGAAATAATAAAGCACACAAGAGGTGGCTTGGAGCCTCAGCACATGTGTGTTTCTGTGTCTTGCCATTTCGCATCTTCTTAGGGGCAAGCAAGTTCTCAGCTGCCTGCTCCCCATCCTCTGATGCTGGGCCCTGCCCAACACCCCTTCACTTCGCCATCCTGCAACTGCTGCCAGACATTTGTCTATTTTCTAAAAAGTGATATTGAGCCTTCCAATCCACAGATATATATTTTTTTCTTTCCTGTCTTATAATAAATTTTTGTTACTTTCACAATGAAAAGTAATTTCTAAATAAATTTTTTCATAACTTTTGCTATCTATAATTATTTCTAGGTATGGCCCAAATATTACAATTGCTATTGAAAGTCATATTTTCTCAGGATTATACTGTCAAACTCTTCATGGTTGAACTATAGAAATTCATTTGATTTCTACACATAAATTCATGTGTAGCAAAGTTGTTAAACACTCATAGATTTTGACAATTTATGGAATTATTTTGTTCTTCCTTTTAGCTAACCATATACTCGTCAATAATCACAGTTTTGTTTCTTTTGTTCAATGCTCATGCTTTTTTTTAATCCTCCCCACCACTTCCTATAACATCTAGGACCTACAGAAAAAAAGTGAAATATAAATGGTGATAGTGAGCACCCTTGCCTTGTTCCTGATCTTGAAGAGAATTATCTCATCATTTACCATTAAGTCTGACATTTGTCACAAGTTTTTTGTAGATACTGCAGATTGGAATAAAGAAGTTATCTTCTATTCATGGAATGCAAATCACTTTTAAACAACAAATGAATGCTGAATTTTATTAAATGCTACTATACATTTGAAGATCTCATCTGAAATTTGTTCAGTACTTTTTAGTCATTGTCTTGTGGTAGAGTGATTTGTCATGGTTCTAATATTGTTAGACTATCAGAAATAGAACTAAAGTATTCATTTAAACACATTCAAGAATCTCTATTTGTACAAAAAGGAAAAAAAACAGACACAAATAAACCCAACTTATTCATTAGCACCATGTCTTTTCCCCTTTCACAGACAAATTTTCCAGAAGAGTTGCCTGGGTTTATTGTTTCAATTTCCTTTTCTCTAACAGGTTGATCCACCCTTTCCAGTCTGGCTTCTGGGTATAGATCCACTCACAAAAGCAGCTTTCCCATAGGTTATCAACAACATCCATTTCAGAGGGCCTGGAGGTCCTTGTCTTATTTGGATTTTAAGCTACCTTCAAGAACAATTGATATACTTTTCTTTCTTGATATACTCCCCTCACACCTTAGCTCCTATTCCTCTGATCACCCTGAATGCTCCTCTTATTTCTACTTTGTAGGCTTATCCAATTGGCTAATTAATATTTGTGTTTCAAGACTCAGCTGTAGATTCTCTACTAAAGTACTGCTATAATCTTCCCCAAGGAGATCCCATCCATGCCCATAGCATCATCACTTCTTATAATGACTTACAATCTTCAAGGAGACCTCTTTTCTAAGATTCCAACCCAATTGCCTGTCCTCCTACTTGATATATTCTTTAGGATTTTGAGATTGTGATATAACAAATAAGCTCCAGAAGCTCAGTGGCTTTACAGAATGGAAGTTTATTTCTTGGGAGCATTAAGTCCAATCAGCATTAACATTGGTCATTTAGAGGACTAGCCTCTTTCCTACATGCAGCTCTACCTCAGCATAGGACCTCTAAGTCTTCCCTACTCAGCAGAGGATAGGAAAATAAAAAATGTGGTTTGCCTCACAGTCATAAAGGAGCATTTTATGGTTCGATGGTGGCAACAGTGCATATCACACACACTCATGGTCCACTGGCCCCAACTCAGTCACACGGCCACACTTATCTCCAGGGAGACAGGGAACTATAGTCTAGCTTTGTGCCAGGAGGAAAGGCAATTGTAATTGTTAATCAACAAATAAGTCTCTGCAACAATTTACCCTTCCTCTTAGCAAATTTCCGTTGCATTTTTCTCTTCACACAGAGAATATGCTTATTCCTTCTCCATTGGAGACATCTTAATGTTTTTCAAATTTTTATTCAGCATCAGCCGCGAACTCAAAGCCCTGAATGTTAAAAGATGTGCAAGCTAAATGTTGTGGCACCTTGTAATAGACAGGAAACCCACTGCCATCTTCCCGACACAGACACCAAACACTAACACACCCAAACCCCCACTATAAACCTACATATAGTATCAGGGACAGCAAAACCTCAAAAAAAAAAAAAAACTTCTATTCAAAATCAGGAAAAATGGGAGAACAATAACACACAGTGAGATCCTATACTATAGGCATTGTGCAGCCTCTCTGGCAGTGTGGATTTCAGTAAGGAGAACCTGAATCAGATATCTGTGAAGAACCACCTTCTGTGGCTCCTATTTTATCCTCTGAAAGGTTCTTCCTTGACCGTATTTTTCCACGGCCATATCTGAAATAGGTTTGGCGGAGTACACCCTCCTCGGGGAACATGGAATGTTCATAGCCAAATCCTGTTCATAGAGTTTGAAGGACTGAAAGTTGTTTTAAAGTTTAACAGTCACAGACTTTTGCAAGCAGACTGGTGGCTCCTTTGGCAATATAATCTCTTAAAAATGTGTTAGATTTCTCATGTACTTGCTTTTTATCAGTTACATGTGCCAGTATTCACAATAAAAAATTTTTCTTGACTTAGTTCCCAAGTTTGCCTTATTTCTTTCCTTCCTCACCTCTGTGCCTCTCTCTCTCTCATTTAATAATTTAAGCTAATCTAAACAATAGACTGTGTAATAAGGTAATACTCTTAATCTGAGATTTGCTCCATCATTGAATCAATTTATTTAACTTAGAAATACTAGGCCTTTTATGACTGGAGATATTTTCCTTTGTTTTCTTCAACTTTTTTTTTTTAAGTTCTGGGATACATGTGCAGGATATACGGTTTGTTACATAGGTAAATGCATGCCATAGTGGTTTGCTGCACAGATCATCCCATCACCTAGGTATTAAGCCCAGCATCCATTAGCTATTCTTCCTGATGCTCTCCCTCCTCCCACCAGCCACCTGACAGGCTGCAGCATTTGTTGTTCCCACTGTGTGTCCATGTGTTCTCATCATTCTGCTCCCACTTATAAGTGAGCACATGCAGTGTTCGGTTTTCTGCTCCTGTGTTAGTTTGCTGAGGATAATGGCTTCCAATTCCATCCATTTTCCTGAAAAGGATATGATCTCATTCCTTTTTATGGCTGCATAGTATCCCATGGTATATATGTACCACATTTTCTTTATCCAGTCTATCATTGATGGTTATTTAGGCTGATCCCATGTCTTCACTATTGTGAATAGTGCTGCAGTGAACATATCCATGCACATATCTTTATAATACAATGATTTATATTCCTTTGAGTATATACCCAGTAGTGGGATTGCTGGGTCAAATGGTATCTCTGCTTCTAGATCCTTGAGGAATTGCCACACTGTCTTCACAATGGTCGCATGTTAGTTTTGATTTGCATTTCTCTAATGATCAGTGATGTTAAGCTTTTTTTCATATGTTTGTTGGCCACATGAATGTCTTCTTTTGAGAAGTGTCACTCCTTTCCTTTACCCACTTTTTAATAGTGTTGCTTGTTTTTTTTCTTTTCAATTTGTTTAAGTTACTTGTAGATTCTGGATATTAGATCTTTGCCAAATGGAAAGATTGCAAAAGTTTTCTTCCACTATGTAGGTTGTCTGTTCACTCTGATGATAGTTTATTTTGCTGTGCAAAAGGTCTTTAGTTTAGATCTCATTTGTCAATTTTTGCTTTTGTTGCAATTGCTTGTGGTGTTTTCATCATGAAAATTTTGCCTGTGCCTATATCCTGAATGGTATTGCCTAGATTTTCTTCTAGGATTTTCATAGTTTTGGGTTTTACATTTGTCTTTAAGCCATCTTGAGTTAATTTCTGTATATGGTGTAAGGAAGGGATCCAGTTTCAATTTTCTGCATATGCTAACCAGCACTCCAGGCATCATTTATTAAATAGGGATTCCTTTCCCCACTGCTTGTTTTTGCTAGGTTTGTCAAAGATCAGATGGTTGTAGCTGCGTGGTCTTATTTTTGAGCTCTCTATTCTCTTCTGTGTATCTATGTGTATGTTCTTATACCAGTATCATACTGTTTTGGTTACTGTAGCCTCACAGTATAGTTTGAAGTTGGGTAGCGTGATACCTCCAGATTTGTTCCTTTTGCTTAGGACTGTCTTGGCTATTTCGCTCTTTTTTTGCTCCATATGAATTTTTAAATAGCTTTTTTCTAATTCTGTGAAGAATGTCAATGGTAGTTTAATGGGAATAGCATTGAACATATAAATTACTTTGGGCAGAATGACCATTTTCATGATATTGATTTTTCCTATCCATGAGCATGGAATGTTTCTTCATTTGTTTGCATCCTCTCTGATTTCTCTGAGCAGTGGTTTGTAGTTCTCCTTGATGATGTCTTTCACTTCCTTTGTTAGCTGTATTCCTAGATATTTTGTTCTTTTTGTAGCAGTTGTAAATGCGAGTTTGTTCATAATTTGGCTCTCTGCTTGTCTGTTGTTTGTGTATAGGAATGCTAGTGATTTTTGCACATTGATTTTGTATCCTGAGACTTTGCTGAAGTTGCTTATTAGCTTAAGAAGCCTTTGGGCTCAGTCAATGGTGTTCCCTAGATATAGGATCGTATCATCTGCCAACACAGATAGTTTGACTTCCTATTTGAATACACTTTATTTCCTTCTCTTGCCCAATTGCTCTGGCCAAAACTTCCAATACTATGTTGAATAGGAGTGCTAAGAAAGGGCAACCTTGTCTTGTGTCACTTTGCACATTAATCTTATATCCTGAGACTTTGCTGAAGTTGCTTATCAGCTTAAGATGCTTTTGGGCTAAAACAATGGGGTTTTCTAGATACAGGATCATGTCTTCTACAAAGATAATTTGACTTCCTCTTTTCCTATCTGAATACCCTTTATTTCGTTCCCTTGCCTGATTTCCCTGGCCAGAAATTCCAATAGTATGTTGAATAGGAGTGGTGAGAAAGGGCATCCTTATCTTGTGCTGGTGTTCAAGGGGAATGCCTCCAGCTTTTGCACATTCAGTATAATATTGGTTGTGGATTTGTCATAGACGGCTCTTATTATTTTGAGGTATGTTCCTTCAATAACTAGTTTATTGAGAGTTTTTAACATGAAGCGATGTTGCATTTTATCAAAGGCCTTTTCTGCAACTATTGAGATAATCATGTGGTTTTTGTCTTTAGTTCTGTTTATGTAATGAATCATATTTATTGACTGGGCTGTATTGAACCAAACTTGCACCCCAGACATGAAGCCAACTTGATCGTGGTGGATAAGATTTTTTTTGTGCTGCTGGATTCGGTTTGCCAATATTTAATTGAAGATTTTTGCATCGATGTTCATCAAGAATATTGGCCTGAAGTTTTCTTATTTTTGTTGCATCTCTTTCAGGTTTTGGTATCAGGATGATTTTGTGCTCATAGAGTAAGTTAGGGAGGAGTCTTTCCTTTTCAATTTTTTGGAATAGTTTCAGTAGAAATGGTACCAGCTCTTCTTTGTACCTCTGGTAGGATTCAGGTGTTAATACCATCTTGCTTGGTAGGCTATTTATTACTGCCTCAATTTCAGAACTCATTATTGGTCTATTTAGAGATTCAGTTTCTTCCTGGTTCAGTCTCGGGAGGGTGAAGGTGTCCAGGAATTTGTCTATTTCTTCTGGATTTTCTAGTTTATGTGCATAGAGGTGTTTATAGTATTCTGTAATGTTTGTTTGTATTTCTCTGGGGTCAGTGGTGATATTCCCCCTTATTATTTCTGATTGTGTCTATTTGATTCTTCTTTCTTTTCTTCTTTACTAGTCTAGCTAGCTAGCTATTTTATCTAAAAAAATGGCTACTGGATTTATTGATTTTTTGAAGGATTTTCATGTCTCTATCTTCTTCAATTTATCTTGGATCTTGGTTATTTCTTGTCTTCTGCTAGCTTTGGGGTTTATTTGCTCTTGGATATTTTTCAATCTTATCTTTTACTATTTGGGACCTACAAGTAGTCGGCTTTTTCAATGTTAGGGGATCCTTATTTTAATGCCTCTAATCTTTGCTTGACAACCAATTTCTACCTGAGCTCATGTCTCTTTTGTAAAACCCTGCTCAAGCAGCCAAGAGTGAGCCATTCATACTATCACTCCAGTTCTTTCAAACCACCACATGTAGTGCTACTGGCTGGGTGGATATCTGATCTCCTTTGCAAATTGTACCAAATAATTTGCCAATTCACAATTTAAAAACGGTCTCCATCTTTCCAGCCCCCAATAGGCAGTTTCTCACCACCTGACTGCTAAGACAATTCTCCATATTTTAAACTGTGGCAGCTGCCCTACTTCAAGGTGTCAATTTTTATATAGGCTAGGCATCACTAAGCCATCACCAATAACACATCAAATACCAGTAGGCCAAAACAATAGTTAATTTCTGACTCACATGAAATTTAATTCCAGAGGGAAGAGGTGGGATGGGTTGAGTGAGTTAGAGGAATTTAGGTGTTATACAGCTATTTAGTGATTCCAAATGTTTCTACCGTATGGCCACACCCTCTTCTAAGTTTACAGATGCTTCTTCATTCATCCTGCAGATTCAGAAAAAGACATTACACTGGAGATTTTTAGGGGCCAGTCATAAGTGCATTCCACATGTACTTCTGTTTCTACTTATCTGTGGGGAGGCTGGGAAATATAGTTTAGCTCGATACCTTGGAGGAAGAAAAGTGAATTTGGTGAGTGGCTTGCCAGTCTTTGCCACAGTATTTCCAACAAAGCATGTAATCTGTCTCCCTAAAACTAGTCCTATTTAATTATCATTTGTACCACTCTATTATAGATAGATACTGAAAGATCCAAAATTATTTTTGAATATGGCCAGTACATATAACAGAGAACAAAGCATAAAGCAATGACTTTTGTGCAGTAGTTTATCTGGGAGCACATGTAAAGGAGATGGGGTGTCAAGAGTCAGTAAAAAGATGCAATACTGAGTTGTTTTCTAATTCAGGTAACTGAAGTTTTCTTCTTTGGGGACCTTCTAAGATGCTTTGTGAAATACATCACTGAACTTTATTCATAGGAGAAGAAAGGGGAAATCATTTGACCTTTGGATCCTGTCCCTCACTGATTTGGGGTGACCCCACTAGCCTTGATTCCCTCAAACTCGCATACAGTGTATGCATGAGTGCTGAGTGGGTCCCCACATTTCGTGCTTCAGTGGCAGAAAAGTACTGGGAAAAGAAAAATGAAAAGCATGGTACAATGTCCAAGATGAAGCACTCTTAGGTTGCAGCTGCATAAAAAAAGATTAGGCATTCTATGAAGAATTTTGATGGTGGGGAAGGAAGGCAAATTCATATCCAAAGTAAGTATAAATTCTAGTTGGAAAGCATCACTACCTCTTTCAAGTAGAAAGGTTACGGTATTATAAATCTGCCATCAACCTGCTAAAATAAGATCTTGGTATAGGTATCAGTTGTTGCTGGAAGGTTTGCCATTCAGCATTGGTAGAACACTAACTGATCAGCCTTATGGAGAGGAAATCCATTCTGTCAGGCCCATGCATAGCTGCCATCCTTGCCACCATAGCTACATTCTTCAAGCTCACTGCAAAACTATGGTCATGGAGGGTCTTCTCTGTGGTAGATACTCTCTGCTGGCAAAAATCTGAGACAGAAAAATTTGCCCACGTCTTGCCACTACCATGGGTACTTCCACAAGTCTTTTTCCCTCATTCCCTTTTCTACAGTCTTCCAAGTCTGCTGTTTTTTTTAATCCCTTTGACCAAGCAATTTACCACTGACCATGAGTCTTACTTCTAGCCACTTGTCTTTCCATACAAAGTGAACAGTCAAGAGTACTGCTCATGTTCTGCCTCTGGGAAGGATTTCCTTTTACCACTGGCTTCTAGAGCCACCTCTGTGAGTGTTTGTAGTCATCTGTGCATGGACAGTAAACACTGATATACTGGGTTCGTCTTTCTGGGAATCATTTACTTAACAGATCCGATAATATCCAATAGGTGCTAAATTTCAAATGGCAAGGAGTATTCTACTGCAGATGGAATGGTTTTGCTTCAGAGCCCAAGGTGTCTGTGTTGTAACTCTCCTATTAAGTTCTTGCCAGAGACTCCATATACCAACCTGAGAGCTTGAATGAGATTAAGTGTATAAAGTGACTATTAAATAGCAAATATTGTGTATATGTTACACACTGTGCCTTTATTTTTATATTTTTAACTTTTATTTTAGGTTTGGGGGTACATGTGAAGGTTTGTTACGTAGGTAAACATGTGTCATGGGGATTTGTTGTACATATTATTTCATCACCCAGGTATTAAGCCCAGTACCCAAGAGTTATCTTTTCTGCTCCTCTCCCTCCTCCTCCCTCCCCCATCAGGGAGACCCCAGTGTCTGTTGTTTCCTTCTTTAACACTCTGCCTTTAAAACCATTATGTTGATTTGGATTAAGAATTGAACCATTAGGCTTCTTTTATTTGATGCCTTACAAAGACTATAGTGAATACTGCTACACATTTTTCAGAATTTATTTTTTATGTTTTGCTTTTTCCCCAAATTTATATATTTTTTAAATTGATATAAAAATTATATGTATTTACCATATGCAAGATGATGTTTTGAAATACACACACACACACACACACACAAACTGTGGAATGGTTAAATCTAGCTAATTTACACACACATAACCTCACATAGTTATCATTTTTGTGGTGAGAACACTTTGCATTCACTCTCTCAGCATTTTTCAAGAATGTAATATATCATCATTAACTATAGTCACCATGTTGTACAATACATCTCCTGAATTTTTTCTTCCTATCTAACTGTAGTTATGCATCCTTTGACCAATATCTCCCCAACAACCCTTGCTTTTAATAATCATCCCTCTATTCTCTGTATCTATGAGATCAACATTTTTAGATTCCGCATACAAGTGAGATCATGTGGTATTTGTCTCTCTGTGCCTGGCATTTTTCGTTCAGCACAATGTTATACAGTTTCATCCATGTTGTTGCAAATAAAAAAATTCATTTTTTTCCATGGTTGAATAGTATTGCATTGTGTATGTATATCACATTTTCTTAGGTTGATTCCATATCTTGGCTGTTGTGAACAGTGTTGCAATAAACATGGAATGCAGATATATCTTCAGCACACTAATTTCACTTCCTTTGGATGTATGCCCAGCAATGGGATTGCTAGGTCATTTGGTAGTTCTAGTTTTAATTTTTAGAGGAAACTTCATACTGTTTTCCATAATGGCTGCCCTAATTTATTTCCACCAACAGTGTGCTAGGGGTTTCTATATTAAGGTTTTACTAAAGCCAGCTGGTTCCCCAACTCTATTAGTAACAATCTTTCCACTATTAATGAAGAAACATGGTCACAAAGACAAGCCCAAACTATTGAGGAGTATTACTGGACATTAAATTTTTGGTTCTCAAATCTGGCTAATCCTCAGAAATATATACAGAGTGTGTTGAAAATATAGGTATTTAGCCCTAACCCCAGTAATTCTAATTCAGTAGGCCTGGGATAGAGTTCAGCAACATGTATTTAAAAAGTTATCCAGGTGGTTTTGATTTTCAAGCAAGTCTGGGAACCACTTCTCTAATCCACATTTGGGAAAACCCAGTCACCAGCCATAGGTCCCAGATCCTCTTTTCACTTACACCTCTCAGGGAATAAGAAAAGTCTGTGCTCAGAAGGGAAAGACCAATAAGACTAATACCATGCAGCTCCCAAGGTGGCCTGCTTCACTCCAGTGCCCAAAACAATTGTTGGTACACATTAGCCACTCAATAAGTAGTGAATGAATGAATGAGTAAATGAATGAAAGTCAACCATAGTTCTATGGCAGCACTGTTCTTGAATTCAATAGCTTTTCCTTGCTTTATTGGAAGTATCCTAATACTGCTTCTCTATTTAGAGCCTCAATTCTTTATGTTTCCACTCAAGCTGGAACTTTTAATTCAAATATTTGAGCAAAAGAATCAGGAATTAACAAGACCAGGCTGCTACTGCTCACTTTAATAAAAACATTTCAAGCTCCTTGTATTTTCCAACACTTTTCCTTTTTATAGATCTGCTCTCAAAAAGTTTGAGTAGTAGGAAATAATTTTACAGTTGATCCTTCAGTGGTGTCATCATTGCAAATAAGCAATTGATCCTAACACATTTTTGCTCTTAAATGTGTGCATTCCTTTAATGACTGATATGGTTAGCCCTATCTGTGAATGACAGAAGATTGTTCCCAACTGATTTCCAGAACCAGCTGGCTTTTGTGAAATATTAACATAAAACCTCCTCAAAATGTATATAGTCTTTTTCAAGAAGCTTTAGAAAAGAGCCTTTCCGTACCTGTTTCTACCATTTCATTTCTTTTTATAGCCATACTTCTCACCCATCTGTCTATCGATCCCTCATGTTAGATGTCAAGATGCTAGTAAGATTGGTTTATTCATCTTACTTGTCTGCATTCAATGGATAGATGATTTATTTGGCTGCATTTCATCCTGCCTTACAACATTTCATCTGTCTACTCCCAGTGAAGGTCTGGGTTTAAAAATAACATTCCATTAGCGAGCATTTTTATAGAAAGTACTTTGAATACACTCATTTATATATGGAGGTGCATGATACATAGTCTTACATTTTTTTCCTTAAGTACATAAAATTTTAAACTTAATTTTACCAAAATAATGCAAAGACTGTGTAAAATGACTTAATAAAGGTTCGAACTCACTTTTGTAATTACATGTTATAATTTTTACTATTATCTGATCACTGACTGTCTGAAGAAAGATTACAGACTATAAATAAAACACTGAGCTAAGTGAATTGTGAAAGACATTTCCCCTGCAAAAACTCCTCTCTCTCTCTCTTTCTTTCCCTGTCTTATGCACACAGATATACATACACGTATACATAAATGCACATACATCACCTTCTAGTATAGCCAATTCAAATAAATTAGTATTTCAGGAGCTTTATGTTAAGTTTTGGCTTTAAATAAATCACTTCATCTAGCCAAAACCACTGACTTTTTCTTGGTTTCTACACAAAACTCTAATTCAAGTCTAGTTTCCTTCAAATTCAGTCCAGGTGCTAAAAAAGCTTCTTGGTTTTCCAAGGAACATTCAACAGAATTTCTCTACTCTGTATTCATATTTATATCATAGCCTCTAAACAGTCCAGTATTTGGTATTTTCTGGATTAAAATGGTTCCATGGTGAATTTGTAGTCCATTGGATTCATAGACATTCACTTATAAATGTTTGTTTTTCCTCTTAGAAATAAGTGATTATTCCTTAAGGATCTTGTTTTTTATTATTTGCATTGTTTTGAATTCTGTAGAGAACAGGCATATGTGTTTTAAGTTAGCAATAAAGAGAATAATAACAAATAAACTGTTTCTTTAAAATTACTTTAAATACCATCCAATGTAAAAATGTTGATTTATAATAAACTCTACAACTTTTAGGTTTTATGCTATTTAATATATACACTTAGAATTCTAGATATTTCTTTGGGTTGGGTCCTCAGGGAAAAGTCAGTGTATTTAACCATTATTAGCTTTCAAATTTAAAATATAAATAGTGCCCCTTCTTCCACTCTCCTTCCTCAGCCTGACTCTTACATTTTTGATTAAAAACAATAATCAGCAACAATGACTCTAGAAGTCAAATTCTGTGCTTGGAAATGTAAATAGACCTTATTACAGAGCACAGCCATAGAGAGGCAACATAGCACCAATGTGTCTGGGTTCAAATAATTTTTCCATCATTTACAAGATAAGTAACCATAAACAAGTTACTTCTCTCACTTTCCTTCAATTTCCAGTCTGTGAAATGAAAATCACAATAAACATTTCTAACTAAGAATGTTGGTACAAAAATTATATCAGTAAAGAAATATCTGAAACATAGTAAAACTCAGTAAATACTACTTTTTATCACAGATTTTGAGGGGTTTGAAAAATCAGGCAAATCAATACTTTTTGAATAATTATGATGTTAAACATGTAATATGGGTAGAAAATTTCTGGAAGATCTAAGGCATATTTTCTTAGAATAAGTGACTTCTTAAGTATGGTGTTATCTTTGAATAATTTTAGGGTAGATAATCAACTGGGGCTATTAGTTGCAAACTTCATTGTTCATAAGAATCACATGGTTTCCAGTTAAAATCCAGATTCTGATTCATTAGGTCTGGGGTAGGGCCTGAGATATGCATTTCTACAAGCAACTAGGTGAGGCTGATGCTGTTGGTCTAAGGATCACATTTTAAATAGCAATTACCTCTAAGGATCACATTTTAAATAGCAATTACCTCAACAATTTCTTGAGGACATTTTAAGAAGACATGAATTTACTATCCAATCTCATATACAATTATGCACTGCATAATGATGTTTCTGTCAAAGTCAGACTGCATAATGATGGTGGTCCCATAAAATTATAACATCGTATTTTTACTGTGTTATACTTTGTTATACTGTGTTTTACCTTCTCTATGTTTAGGTACACAAATACCATTGTGTTACACGTTGACTACAGTATTCAGTATTCAGTAACATGCTGTACGGGTTTGTAGCCTAGGAGCAACAGGCTAGACCATATAGCCTAGATCTGTAGTAGGCTATACCACCTAAGTTTGTGTACATTCTCTGATATTTGCACAACAAAATCTCCTAATGATGCATTTCTCAGAATGTATTCTGGTCCTGATCATTAAGCTACACATGATTGTACATACCTTCCTGCCGTCTACTGGGAAATAGACTAACCTGATTGACATGATGCACTTTCTAATCCAATGGGCTTGAAAACTGGGGCATTTACATTTAGGACAAGTTCCCAGGTGATGCTGAAATTGCTTGTCCAGGTACCACACTCCATGAAACACTGGCTTAGAGTACTCATTGATTCTCTTCGGAAAATCAGGTGGAATCTGGCAATGTTCACTTACTTAAATCATAAACATAGCATACACTACTGTTAACTCCATAAGGAGAACTTCAACACTAGTTCCTTTGAGATACCATCCCGATGTTTTCGAATTTGCTTACCAAGTCAATGGAACAAAAGATCTCACTCATAAGTGAGAGTTGAACAATGAGAACACATGGACACAGGGAGGGGAACATCACACACTGGGGCCTGTTGGGGGGTTGGGAGCTAGTGGAGGGATAGCATTAGGAGAAATACCTAATGTAGATGATGGGTTGATAGGTGCAGCAAACCACCATGGCACGTGTATATCTATGTAACAAACCTGCATGTTCTGCATGTGTATCCCAGAACTTAAAGTATATAAAAAAAACTCAAGAACTTCCATTTATCCCCACACAATAAAACATCCCCAGACTCAAGAGAAAGAGAAGCATTATTTTTTCTATTAATTAAAAATAAACTATTACTATATTCCAGAGGCATTAGTATCAAGATTATCATGTTATAAACATGAAAAAGTAGACTTGGATAACTGGAAGAATTCCCATTGGCCCCACAATTCTACTGTTTACATTTGATAACAACTGATGGGACAGATAAAAGTCAAGAG
Source organism: Homo sapiens (assembly GCF_000001405.40). NCBI lineage: Eukaryota > Metazoa > Chordata > Mammalia > Primates > Hominidae > Homo > Homo sapiens. The sequence goes on from NC_000006.12 coordinate 55,384,519, forward strand.
TCAGAAAACATCTGAACACTGAGTGTCATCACTTGATTTTCAGCATCAAGCACACTGTGTTTAGAAAGGAGTGAAGAATTTTTGCTTCGCACTGGGTAAAATTAGACTTGGAAGCAAAGAGCAACCAACAGATGTGTGTCAGGGAGAGATCAGCTGGATAAGGTTAGTTGTTTAACATCTAAGTCAAACCTGAACATATTTGAGTAAGTCATATTTTCCACAGTAACTTTTGCAACTTTAGAGGTTCTTTGGTCATGGCAGTTGGAATTTGCATCAGAACTTCGCAAATAGGAAAATCTCCCTTAAGTTCACTCTAGATTTTCCTAGATTTCTCCAAAAAGCAGCAAAAAAAAAAAAAAAAGTCAGACTCAGCTACGGAGTTAGCCTATGAGGAATGCTCCAACCTTGCTGATGGTATACTTGGGACTATCCTGGAAAGCATCAGTCTTTAGAATAGAGGTGGAGCCTATAGATGAGATCCACCTGTGCAATTAGCTTTACATTTGCTGTCACTTCTGATGGAAAGCACTAAGACAATCAGGTGTTTCCCTTTGAGCACACTACTACCTTCCTCAAAGAAACTACAGAAATAGTGAATGACTAATGACCAGAAGCATATCAAGAAAACATTACATTAATATTAATAGTATAAGAATCTGGACAAAGTCTTGAAAATAATTATCCCATTTGACCAGCTGTAAAGAATCTTCTCATGGATCTGCTTGCCACTTTATCTCCACATTGTAAAATGATGACATGGAGAAAACTGAAGCTATAAAAGATGTATCTTAAAAATGGAGATTTAATAAACATCTAAAGATACTGCTGTTGAAGCTACATTCTGACTACTAATGCTAGCTGACTTGTCTTTCGTTTGCTCGAGCTGCTGAGACCTAATTGACTGCTATGTGTCAGACATTGTTCTATTCATTTTATGTGGCTTAACTAATTTAATTTTTACAAGCAATATGTGAAGTAGGTGCTCTTTCTTTTACCCAAAAGAAAACAGAGGCGACTAAAAATTAGTAACTTGTCCAAGTCACAAAAAAAGACAATAGAGCCAGAATTTAAACATAGCTGTTTTTGGCACCAGAAGCTGTGATTTTATTCACCATAATATACTGCTCTCGTCTAATGATATAAATCTTATAATTGTCAATTGATTATAAATGTTACATTTCACAGGGAACACAGGAATATAATAAGAGACTATTTAAAAAGTTTGTTTGATGAGAGGCAATTTGTTGCAATATAAAGAAGAGCCTAAGAAGCCAGTTCTATCCCTACCTCCACCAGGTTGTGTAGAGGAAATTAGTTATCTTCTCCCTAGAGCTCAGGTTTCTCACATATTAAATTCTAGTAAAGATTTCAAAGAAATAGATGATCTCTGATATTAGATGTGTTCTGATAGTCTTGGATTAGGTAACTGAGGCTAAGTTCAGGGCCATTTAAGCAAACTCCAGACTGTGTATGTGGCCCCCTCTGGAGTGACTATTTATTTAATATTAAAAAGACAAGTAGCCCACCAATAACTTTCCTTTCCTAATACTATACTAAAATTTTAAGAAAGCCTGTATTATTTCTTTCTTTGCCCTTGAAAAAAGTACTTATTCTTTCAGAGAGCTAAATTGAGATTTGGGATAAAAGAGTTTTCTCTAGTTCCAGATTACCTTTTATTGCTTTGTTTTAAAAATTCTAAATAGCTAATAATGTGTCCATATTCAATAAACAATCATAATAAGGCACGTTTCTTTGCTTCTAGTACTTACGTGTTTGACTCTATAAAACTGCATATTTTTTTAGCAAGGAACACAATAATTTTCACCTAAGGGACATTCAAAAATATGATGTGGAACTTTTGTCATCTACAAATCCAGTATGTTGGTCATTATTTGCCACTTTGACCAGGCACTATTGTAAAAGTGTGTGAGTTTAAGTGAATGCGTGTCTGTTGGCTATGTTTTTGTAAGTATATGTGTATAGGGAATCTTTATCTGTTTTAATTTGGGCAACTTAAAATTAGATTACTGAGAGAGACCCAGCTTCCCCTCATCTCTCTCAAGATTTGACTAAGAGAGGCATCATATCTGGCTGCAACTTCTACCTTTGTTGGCTAAGATTTCAACCAGATACTCTAAGGAATTATCTGGAAGATTTTATCTTAGGACCTTTCAAAATTCAAAATTCCCTCAAGAGAAGAGACATGGAGGAGTAGTTCCTAAAGATGCAGCCCATTCCAGTGGAGACAAATGCTGGCTTTAGTTTCACCACTAGGTTTACTTGCACTCAAAAATTCCCAATAAAATCCAGCTGGTTTAAATTTTGTCTGCAGACCTGAAACACTGCATATTTGGCTAAGGCTTCCTATTTTGCAGTAAATGCTTCACAGGGCTATAATCTGGAAATACTGAAGTGTACAAACCCTCAACAGAAACAACAGGAGAACGGCTGTCTTCTACCTTCATTTTCTCCTAACTCTACTCTAAAGGCATAGGTGTTGTTAAGGAAGGGGAAAAATCCTTCATTGAACATGAAATGTTGTATGAATCATCATTTGACTACCTTTGTTGTTTGCTCAAAGCCAAAACATAAAGATTAAAGAGTTGCCATTGATGAGTGAGACAATTCACATTTTGGCATTACTAGAGAAGAAAGGAGCATTTAAGATCATGGAGGGAAATAAAACAACAAAACAATACTGTTGCAATTTGAACAATAACAGCCTTCAGTACATGAAATCATAGTATTATCTTTTCCATTTTCCACCCTTATATTTTCATTGGCTTCATACAATCCTCTTGTTGCCTATAATTGGGGATAGGGTTAGTGCCAAAGCTGCATAAAACAAGCAGCCTTTCCTTTATACTTTCTTTGCATCGTGATTGTGTATGTGAAGTCATAAAAATCATTTATTATGAGCATGTGTATTCTTGGCTTAAAGAGCCAAGTATTCTTGTGACAACAATATAATAGCATCAGATGTATTGCCATAAAACACCATATGTGGGCACTTAATAGTTACTGCCCTGGCACCTACATGCTGGGATATCATCTTAAAGAGGGACTCTTTAGAAAAAAAGAATGTTTGGTACTTAGACAAATAAAGCTCCTTGGATGAGATAGGTGAGCAATGAGTAGACATTTGTGAAGAATCCATTGATGATGGCAACGGTTCGTCTTCCATTAGTATCAGATTTTCTCAACCCATCTGCTGGAGTTCTTTTCATGGGTCCAAGAAAATCCTTTACAACATTGCAAACATCAATAAATATCTCTCAGGCTAAAAGTTGCAAGAATGTTTTAATGTCATATTTACAGCTAATAAGCTATAAAATGAGAACAACGTAATTTTCATTCTGTGCAACCATTACTCTTTGGAAAGCATTTATTTAGGGTATGTTGTACAAATCATTAGTAAACAAATTAGTTCTCAAACTAGATAAAAGAATGTAGAATGGATGAAAGCCACTGCATGGCACATGTGAGCCCTTGGTGGTGTTTCGAGCCTCTGTGACAGACACTGCTCCCCACTGTCTCTGTCCTTTCTTCTAGCAATGATTTCCCTTGGTTGCTGCTGAAGCTAGAGACTAAGCTTTCCCAAGCATCAATGCACTTCAAGTTTGCCATAACTCTGGGACTGATGTTCTACTTCTGCATTAGCACCTGAGTCAGGTGGCCAGACATTAACTGTAGACACATGCTAGTGTCTTTCAAAAAAAACTCAGTTGCAAAGGAGGCCAGAGTCCACTAGTTCCTGAGTGCATGTCTGCTTTAGTTAGGAGTGAAGGCGATCTGAAACAAGAAAAGCCACATAACTCTGTTTGCTGAGTTTTCTCAGAGGGCGACTCATCTTAGTGATACACTGCTGTGCGTCACTGGTGTCTGTGTAGGAAGATGCTACTCTTGATGTTTTGAGTTTCCAGGCCAGACATGATTCAATCCCTGAATCTCTATTCACTAGCTCTTTCTAGTATAACAGACAGTCTAAAACTTACAATGGTATTTTGTTGAAAGAACATATGGTAGCTATTACATTGAAAATGTACACTAAGCATATGTCTACAACCCTAATAGCTACTTCCAACACTTCTACACAACTGCTTCGACTCAGTCAATTTCTTTCACTGTTCTTTGGCCCAAACTGCCATTCCAGCACCCCTACCCTAAAATGGAAATATTATTCCTTTTAATTGCTTTTGTTATTTTAATACTGCCAGGTAGCTGAAAGGGAACTTTTGAGGTGGTAACATCTCTTACTGATCCAAATATGTTTTTCTTCAGTTGGTAAAACTGGCTTAGCAGTTACCGTCATTATGTCTGGTTCTTCTCTACCAGCTTATTTTTAAAGGAGTTTTCGTAAGAAACATAACTCCCCAACCTCTCCCTCTTCCTGTTCTTCCCCCAGCTCCCCTCACTAATTAAGTATTTCATTTCCACTAGCCCATTATAATGTTGTTTATGATCTGATTTCTCTTTCTCTTTTTCATTTCCAAAATCATGAGTTTTCCCCTTTCTACCAATGGTCTACATCCTGACTGTATAGATATATGCTTTACATGTTTTTGTTTTATTATTTTAAAAATTTTATGTTAAGTTCAGGGGTACATGTGCAGATTTGTTATACAGGTAGACTTATGTCATGGGGGTTTGTTATACAGATTATTTCATCACCCAGGTATTAAGCCTAGTACCCATTAGTTATTTTTCCTGATCCTCTCTCTCCTTTCACCCTCCACTCTTCAAAAGGTCCCAGCCAGCATGTGTTGTTCCCTCTATGTGTCTGACCATATATTGAAAGGGTATAGAAAAGTATTTGAAATTATGAAAGCCTAGTACTTATCTCTACTTTTCCCTTGCCCTATTAAATCAAAACGTACAGCAATAGAACCCAGAAATCTCTCATTGCTCCATAGGTAATACTAATGTGTAACCACTAGCAAAACATAATTTCTTACTTTAAAAAAAATAGCTCCTGTTGTATGTTTACCCTCTGCAAGTTACCTTACATGCCTTGCCTCATTTAATCCTCACAAAAAAACAGTAAATATTATTATCCTAAAATTTTCTAGGATAGAAAACTGGAGCATCAATGAGTCAGAAAAAAGAAGGAAAAACAAAAGTACAAATTTTAGAGCAAGGTCTTCAATCCATGATTGGAAGTCAAAGGCTGACCCCTTTCTACTATGCTACACTACTCCTCACTCCACTCTATTATCTATGTTTACTAGTATTTTTATTTCTAATTCTCATTATGTATTTGTGTGTATATGTAAAGTGACAAATCAGCTGGAAAATCCACATTTACAAAAGGTGCTAATACCTCATATGGTAATGCAGTACTGTAAGATGTTTATGAATAAAAGGAATGTGGCCCTGACTGACGTGGAATAATTTAAATCTCAGTAGAGATAATGATGCTGCATCCCATACTTACTTTTGAGAATATGGTGGACTTTAAAATAACACTGCTGCATAATAAATAAGGAGTGACTGCAATTAATGCATACCTCACTGCCTAAGGTTTCCCAAAAGAGAAGGGAAAGCCTTCCTATTTCCAAGGTGGGAATGTTCTTCAACGCTCTCCTGACCTTTCTCCAGTTTCCTCCTTTCTCACCTTTCTTTAAACCCTTTTCACTTTTTCTTCTCTTTTCACCTGCAAGTCTATTGACAGGTAAGTGAGAGAAGAGAAAAGAAAAAGCTAGTATTTATTAAGCACCTGCAATCTGTCAAAAATTTTCATTAGTGGTATATTATAACCCCCCTGAATTAGCTTTTGCTATGTTATACACTAACATGCAATTGTCAAATTTCAGTGGCATACAAAAACAAAGATTGATTTCTAGGTCATGCCACATGTAGGCAGCTGGGTTCTGCTTCCCATTTCTAGACTCAGGCTGAAGGCACAGTTGCCATTGGGAACATGCCATTTTTATGGAAAAGATAAAAACAAGCAACAAGATCACTCTTAAATATCTGCATGAATATAATATATGTCCTTTCTTTCTTACATTTTTGACAAATGCAAGTCAAAGTGAGCCCAATATCAGTGGAGTAGTAAATATTGACCTCCCATAGAAAGTAGTGCTCTAGGCCAGGCGTGGTGGCTCACACCTGTAATCCCAGCACTTTGGGAGACCAAGGCGGGCGGATCACGAGGTCAGCAGTTTGAGACCAGCCTGACCAACATGGTGAAACCCCGTCTCTACTAAAAATACAAAAATCAGCCAGGCATGGTGGCGAGCGCCTGTAATCCCAGCTACTCAGGAGGCTGAGGCAGGAGAATCACTTGAACCTGGGAGGCAGAGATTGCAGTGAGCCAAGATCGCGCCATTGCACTCCAGCCTCGGCGACAGAGCGAGACTCCATCTCACACACATACACACACACACACACACACACACACACACACACACACAAGTAGTGGTCTAACTCACAGGGCATTGGATGGTGCATGCATATATTTTTACAGCAAAATAGAAGTGAATCTTTATAAAAAAATATAATCTATCGCAATACCCTTTTTATATAGGGGAAACATGAGGCTCAGAGGTTAAATTAACTGTCCAAGAGTAGTGCATCTAGTGGACGACTCATTTAAGATTGTAGTCAAGTTTTTTCTAATTCTACAGCCACTGTTCTTGGATTTGCATAGCCAAGTTGAAGAGAGGGGAGACAGACTTAGTTCTCTCTTCTATTATTTTTTAATCTTTCATTCCAAATATTTTCTAAAACATCACGTCACCTTAAGGATCTAGGAATAATCTTTGATTTAATCCTCTTCATTTTTTCATATTAAATAAAACTCTACATTGTCTAATGCTTAATAATGATACAATTTTTTGAGCACTTAACTTGTGCCAAACACTATTTCAAACTCTCTTCACATACTGTTTTATTTAATTTTGAACCATAAGTTTTGTGGTAGGCATCATATCACTTTAAAGACAAAGGGCTACACATAGTGGCTCATCCATGTAATCCTAGAGCTTTGGGAGGCCAAGGTAAGAGGATTGCTTGAGGCCGGGAGTTTGAGGCCAGCCTGGGCAATAATAGCAAGGCCTTGTCTCTAGAAAAAATAAAAATTAGTAGGGCATGGTGACATGCCCCTGTAGTCCTAGCTACTCAGGAGGCTGAGACAGGAGGATTGCTTGAGCCCAGGAGTTCAAAGTTGCAGTGAAGTATGATTGTGTAACCTGGGCAACAAAGCAAGAACTTATCTCAATAAAAAAGGATAAAAACATTGAGGAAAAAATCTCAATAACTTGCCTAAAATGACTGACTGGGAGTGAAGTAGAGCTGGTTTTTAATCCATATCTGATGTTAACACTTGTGCTTCTATGCTCTGCATCATTCTGCTTTCTAATGAAAATCTCTGTTTTAAATATATCCTACACTTCTCTCTTCTCGTCTCCAGCTTCTATTGCCTATGTTTAGTTTTTATCTTGTTAAGCCTAAATTTCTGCTGTTGCTTTCTAGTTAGATTTCACTCATGAAACCAACCTATATACCAAGACTAGACTAATTCTTAAACTCTGCCTTGATCACTTTTGTGTGCAGAAGACATTCATTGCTCTCCCTTCTTCCTACTTTCATCCTTCCCTCATATAAACTCCTTCATCTGATTTCCAAGGACACCCAGAGTGCAAATTATTCTTATTTCCCACTAGTCCTCAAAGTGTACCATTTACCTGGTTGTCCCTTATTGATTCAACCTTGCTTTATTTACATTTTTCCCCTTACTGGAAACTAGATCAAGAACTTTACGGGAGCAAGGTCATGCATCATTTTATGAATATCTCTCCATATTGATTGTCATTATGCTAGCTTTGAAGTAGGAAGTAATTACTTACATAGGTAACCTTTACTTGGGTCCAAATATGGTGCTTTTCATCACATTGTTATGTGGACATTTACAGGTAACTAGGAATAAATGATCCATGAATTCATTTCTGGTTCTGCTGTAATGGGTCTCCTGAATAGACAGCAGATTCTAAATTCTCCATATCTCATGGGGACATGTTGGGAAATTGAAGAATGCCAGATTAACTGGCAGCAAAAGTGGGATTGATGTTGCATCACATCGCCCTCTCTAAGCAACAATAAGAATAGCACTTGAAAGGTCAGGCATCTTTCAAACCTCAGGGTGAAAAGTTTGCTTGAACACATGGACAAATAGAGGGGAACAACACACTTGGGGGCCTGCTAGAGGGTGGAGGGTGGGAGGAGGGAGAGGATTAAAAAAATAACTAATGGATACTAGGTTTAATACCTGGGCGATAAAATAATTTGCACAACAAACTTCCATGACACAAGTTCACCTATGTAACAAACCTACACATGTACCCTTGAACTTAAAAATTAAACAAAATAGAATAACATAATATAAAATAAATAACTGAAAAAGAAAAAAGGAAAGAAAAATTTGCTTGGCTCCCAGAAAAACATATGAAGAGAAATTGTCGTACATAGCGTTTGCATATACGTGTGTCTAGTAGAGGTAAGGATTATAAATTAGTACTTACATTTATCAACACACAATGTTTTCAGTGTGGTGTTCTCTTGCCTTCCATTGACTAAGCAAAAATAAAGATCCTCAATGAACATCTTATGCCTGCACACATTTTATAAATCCTTGCCATTTAATCACATATATCCATGTTTTCCAATTTGTTTTCCTGGATTCTAAAATATATCCCCTGGAGAAAGTAAATTTAGGTAATGTATGCCACTATATTATGTCAAAAAAACTGAAAATTACTTGCAACTAAAATGCATATATTACATCTAACCCAAAATTTTCTAAAGTCATTTACTTATGGGATCTTTTGTTTGCCTAACCCATAAAAGTATTCTGTAGAACCAGTGTTTTATGGAACATAATTCTAAAAACTCTGCCTCTTCTAAAAAAGACGTTGAATTTACTGTGTCCCCTTGAAAATAGAGAATGACAGATGGTTCTACTTGAGTAAAATGGCCTGAGAAAATCTTTCCCAGAAGGTGGTCTTTAGGCAGACACCTGAAGAAAGAGAAGGAGTCTGTTCTAGGAAGAGGCAATAGCAAGGGTTGAGTGCTCCAGCAGTAAAGAAAATGTTTAATGTGTTTGGCAAACTAAAAGGAAGTAAGAGAAAGAGGAAGGAAGGAAAAGAGGCAAGGGGGGAGGAAAGAAGCCTCTTGGTGGCTGGAATGAAATGGGCAAAGACGAGATTTAATATACCAAAGAGATTGCTAGAGTTTAGATCATGTGGGACTTCCTAGACATGATAGAGGCTTTAGGATTTCATTTAAGTTCAGTGAGAGGCTATTTAAAGATTTGAAGTAGGGGAAATTAATGATTTCATTTGGATGTTTAATAGATAATCCTGATTGCTTTCCTTGTAGTCAGGCAGAAGTGAAAACAGGAAAAAAGTTGAGATTACTGGGGGTATTTATTGAAGCACCTATGCTGGAATATGATGATCACTTTAGCTAGTTCAGTGCAGTTTGCAATGAGGAAGAATAAAGATACCTATTTATGTAAAATCAACAAGACAAACTGGCTAATGGGATATACGATTGAAAGAAGGGAAAAAATCTAGGATAATTTCCAGATTACCTGAATAATATAGATGGGCCATTTCATTTACTGAGATGAGAAACACAGTGAGAGAAGTAAGTATAGTAAGAGGAAACCTACATTTAGTTTAGAACTTGTTAAATATGAGATGGTTATAAGATATGCAAGCAAAAATATCAAGAAGGTAGCTTGAAATGAATCTGTAGTTTACTTAAAATCATTGGAAAACTGAGATCACTCAGTAAGATTATTAGGTTTCTTCTTACTTAAGGGGAGGGGCAGGACTGAATCTTATTAAAGGGAAGGGCCAGGACTGAACTCCAGCCTTTAGAAGTTGAAGACAGCAGAAGAAGCCAGTGAAGAAGAATATTTGAAATGACCAAGTAGGCCTTAGCTGATCTTGAAATAATAATTTCAGTGGACTAGTGAAGCAAAAACCTGTTTGGAAATGTAAAGTGAAATGGGTTGAGGATCAGAGACAATTATCAAGACAACTATTTCAAGACATTTGGCTATTGAAGGATAGTCAGAAAAGGTGGAAGGTAGTTGTCATATTGACAGTTTAATGCAGTAGTGTGGGATCTTTTCAAGATGGCTTGAAAATGTACTAATGAGAAAGGAGGGAGAACTAGAGGTAACAAAATGGTTCCTGAGTCGTCAGCTTTTAAGTGGTCTTTGGGTAATGACTGCAAAGACATCAAATCTGGTGTATTTTCACACCACATTCAACAATACTGAAAAATTACACGTGGATCACTTTTTAAAAAATCTCCACTGTCTATTAATAGTAAATGCTCACTAAATACTTTTTGAGGAAAGATAGGAATGAGAGAAGGAGGAGAAGGAGGAGAGAAAGAAAAATGAGAAAAGGAGCCAAAAAGAAATCCCATATTTTATCCTTGTTTTCCCTTCTACTCTCACTACAATTGTGCATTCTTTCTGATGGAGGTTCCCCATTTCATAACTCAGTAACATATAAAACTTTCTGGATTGTCTCATCATTCGAAATGACTGTGAACACTCTCCAAAAGAGTGTTCTCTTTCTTTTATTTTTTCCTAACTCTCCCCTGTTGTTTTCAATCAGCCTATGGAAAAAAAAAAAAAATATATATATATATATATAAGCCAGCTAGGTAAAATTTTACACATTTTCCAAAGGGTAGCCATAAGTGAGTTATTCAATGTCAAATGAAGACATCAAAACCTGTCTGGACAATCAGTGGTAATGTCATTTATATATTTTTTCATTGAAAGTATTCCATACACTGAAACCTCCACATATGAAATATAAAGTCTTGAAATTTATAAATTATAGTACAAACTATTTTCATTATCTTTCATTTGTCTTATTTATTACAAACTTGCCTAGTGCTTGTGTAATATAATTCAAGGTAAAAATTACTGTTCAATTTTGTGAACTTATTTTTTTCCCATGAAACTCATTCTAGATACAGGCATTTTTTCCCCCAAACTGACTCTTCTAAATGTTGCTTTAATTAAAATGAAATGAAGGTTTATAAATTTGCAGTTTGTGATATGTTAAATCCCTGTTTCAAATTATATCTCAAGTATTCTGACATTTATTTCTAAATCATTACTTTGTCTCTGATCAACCATAACTTTTACAATGCATTTACTGTTTCATGTGAATTATATAAGCAGAGTTTCAGTCCCCATGAACTCTCAACTACTGTTGCACAAGGATTTTGGAAAAAAAAAAAAAAGAAAAAAGAAACAGTAATGCTCACCTCTCCATAGCTCATTTGGGGAGAATATTACCTAAATTTGTTCCTAATGCAAGATTGAAATTAATCTTGATTTCCCATCAAATGTACAAGGATTTTACAATATAGTTCATAATCGTGTTTAATTTCTCCAGGGTACAAGTTAAGATAAACAAGTCACTGACAGTGTTTATCTATAAATAGAGCAGATGGTCTGGGGCTGAGGTTAGTTATCAACTTTTCTGACTTTAATTTCATGGTTATAAAACGCTGTAAACCTCACTGTTTATAAAAGGCAGGGAAGGAACTCCAGTGGGCTTCAGTAGCCAAGAAACCCTCAGTAACATTAATCTTTCTAACTGATATTCGGTATCCTCCTAGGGTGCAATATTTAAGATTGTGGAGTGATTGCTAGACAAATTTAAATTTTCACTGGGATAATTAGCTAACATTTCTGTCACTGATCTATTATAACGTTGTTAATGAGTTCCATGTGAGAGAAATTTAGTAAATGAGATGATTCTTTCTAAACTCTGCTAGGTGAGTGTTTAACAATTAAGGCAGTTACATATCTAAAAAAAGCCTTTTTTCTTTCAAAATAATACTTTTTTCTTCTGCAAAGATGAACTGTAATACCCAACTAGACTAAATGTACTTAGGGATAGAATTTCATAAGGAAAAACCATAGCATCATTTAAATAATTAATAATCATCTAATGTATATTGTATATACTTAGGCCATGAATCCAGCTACAGCTTTTTTTTAAAAAAGGCCATAGAACTTAAAAAGAAGTAAAACTATTGATTCTTCATATTCTGAATTGATTTAAATACACAATTTTATTGTGATCATTTATTTTGCTAAAGGTCTGTATGATCAATGTGATTAAAATTAATTTTTTTCAAGGACCCCTTATTAAAAAAAAGTATTATTTAAAATTTCTCATTTTTCCCCTTGCAACTTTATAGTGAATATAAAAGTAATTTTACAATCACAAAAGTAAAAAATAATTCACAAGTTCTACCTCTATTACTTTTACATTCTTAAGTGGTTTATTTTGCATTCTAACAAGGGGGAAGCTTTTTTTTTTTTTTTTTCTGGAGTCAGAGTCTTGGTGTTTTCACCCAGGCTGGAGTGTAGTGGCTTGATCACAGCTACGTCAATCTGGAATGCCTGGGCTCAAGTGATCCTCACACCTCAGCCTCCAGAGAAGTTTGGACTACAGGTGTGCACCACCATGCCCAGCTAATCTTTAAACTTTTTAGAGATGGGGTCTTGCTATGTTGGCCAGGCTGGCTTCAAACTCCTGGGCTCAAGTGATCTTCCCAACTTAGCCTTCCAAAGTGCTGGTTTTACAGGCATCAGCCACATTGGAGGTTTCTTAAATAGATGGTAATCCAATATGCAAATTGGAGACTAAAACTATTTTAAAAAAATGCCGGCCGGGCGCGGTGGCTCACGCCTGTAATCCCAGCACTTTGGGAGGCCGAGGCGGGTGGATCATGAGGTCAGGAGATCGAGACCATCCTGGCTAACAAGGTGAAACCCCGTCTCTACTAAAAATACAAAAAATTAGCCGGGCGCAGTGGCGGGCGCCTGTAGTCCCAGCTACTCGGGAGGCTGAGGCAGGAGAATGGCGTGAACCCGGGAAGCGGAGCTTGCAGTGAGCCGAGATTGCGCCACTGCAGTCCGCAGTCCGGCCTGGGCGACAGAGCGAGACTCCGTCTCAAAAAAAAAAAAAAAAAAAAAAAAAATGCCTTAACTGTATTTGAGTTCAGACTCCCTGAGAATGAGTTTTCTAATGACAAAATCCTCACTTTTCTAGTCTTGTGTTGGGCTGCTGCTTTCTGACCCACTCTGGGAGGTTTACTACTGGTCTGAAACTCCAATCTATCTCTCTACTGATTATTGTTAACACAGTGCTCAAATCTTGGCTCCCAATAAGCTGTCTTCTGAATAGCAGCAGCCCTAGGTGGAGAGATAACTGAATGGAACATTTGCTAATAAAGTCATGTACCTCGTAAGGACATTCTGGTCAATGACAGACAGACAGACTATACATCAGTGGTCCCATAAGATTATAATACCGTATTTTTTATAGTATCTTTTCTATGTTTATATGCTTAAATATGCAAATATTTACCATTGCATTAAAGTTGCCTAAAGTATTTAGTACAATAGCACACACTGTGCATGTTTGTAACCTAAAAACAAAGGCTATATTATATAGCCTAGGCATGTGGTAGGCTATACCACCCAGGTTGGTGTAAGTACACTCTATGATGTTCACACAAGCACAAAATCGACTAAGCATGCATTTTTCAGTGCATATCCCCATCATTAAGCAATGCATGACTGTAGATTTTCTTATCTCCCTTCCTGCTCAGAGTCTGTTGTCACTAGTTTTCATCGGATGTAATATCCCACTGTTTGATACATTCATTTTTGTAAACAACTGTCTACTCATAGTTAGTGTCAGGTCTCAAAAATGCAGGAAGCATCTATAACAGAAGACCGCAACCTCTCTAAAATGGGAGCTTTATCTCATTTTTCTTACTGCCTCAAAACCAGCTTTCATTACATAAATTGGTTACTAAACTATTGGTATGTTTGACATTCATATTTGTGTACAATTACTCAAAACTCGGAGTGATTTCACTTTAAAGTTATTGATAAAAATCACCTAAAAGAGATCTATCAGTTAATTGTAACAATTGCATCTTTCTGTTGTTAAAGTAGAAAAGCCAGAGAAAAGATTGTCCTCACAGGGAAAGATTTGTTTTTATGAACTGGTCACTCTAAAGCATGATTTCTAAAATTGTGAGCTATTGGAAACTGGTGGGAATGTATTTCTCAGAAACATGGCCAAGAAGACTAGCACCTCAGAATGGCCAGGAATAGCTCTGAAGGGAGGCAAAAATAGGTAACAGGAGAAACTGAAGTTTTAGCTAATAGAGAGAAAAAGAGAACAAGGGAAAAAAGCAAAACTAGGTATTCCAGTATCTGAGTGCAGAGGTACATTAAAATAATCACTTTTGTAAAGAAAGGATCTTTTTCAATATCCCAAAGATGGCCTAAAGTAACCATCTTTTATTTTTCTTGTCTGTATATAAGATACAATGATTTATGTTATAAAATATAATCATTGTACTAATCTTGGTTTGCAAAAAATAAAAGCTTATACACGGAAATTACCTGATTAAAAGGGGAAAAACAGGCTGTTAAAATTTAAGAAAATTGTTCCTAGTTTTATTCAAATCTATCAGATTAAAATAATGTAATGGAAATAAATTGCTGCCTTAAAAGATAAAGCAAATTGTAATCCATAAAATTAAAATAATGTATGATATGTAACTAATCTCATTTTTATGATTTTCTTTCAGATTATCCAACCCTGTCTAATGTCAAAGGCATGGCATTGTATACAAGAAAACATGCAAACAAAATCACTTTAACTGGATTTCATTCCCCCTTCAATGGTCAGTTAAAAATCAATCCTCTATAATATTTATATTATTTATTTCCTCTAAAAATCCAGTGACTATTATTTCTTAATCTTTTTCTTTTTCTAGGAGAAGTAATCTATGCTGCCATGTGCATGACAGTCACCTGTGGAATCCTTCTGTTGGTTATGGTCAAGCTTAGGTAACTGAATATAAATTAGAAGGAAAGGTCTGAAAGGGAGTCACTTAGCTGTGTTAAAGCATGTTGCACAATGGCTGAGCTTACAAAGAGCCTGAGAATGAAAGCTTCTCTGTTAAGACATATTAAATCAAGTTTTATGTGGCATAGGTCCATGGAAACGTTACTTTCAGTCTTCCTACATAAGGAAAATGTGATCATAGGAGATTTTTTATGTTGCATTTCATAAGCACATATGCATTGTATGTTCCTTCCAATTAAACTCTTATCCATCTTTCCCCTTGGCTTCCCTACCAAATCCAAATTGAACTTTGCTGCATTTGTTATTCAAATCATTTGCATGATTGATAGGCTCACATAACTGACCTATTGTTTACTGCATACAGTTTGTATTTACCTGAAGATGTATTCTTCACTCTAATATCTTATATGCTAATACATTTTATTCATTTTTAATAGGCAATTATTGAAAAAGACATTTCATAAAGCCTCACAGAGTGCCCCTAGAAAGACATTACCATTGCCTGACATTAATTTATTCTCCAAATCTTGGCTGCTTTTATTGCTGGAATGTAGTAATGCTCCAGCAGGCATGTGAGACATTGAGATGAGATATACATCAACCTCTAGATTTCTAAACGTCTAGTGTTTAAAATTTTTCCACTTATTTAGCATTTACAACTATACATAAAATAGTGTAGACTTGCCTTTAATTAAAAAAAACTCACATTTAAACATCAATCATGTTCATTTGCTTATTCTTTACACATATGGGTACATGTCTATAAAATTTGAGTAGCATAAATGTTAATGAAGAAATATACATAAGTGTGTATACAGCCATATATACATGTAAGTACATACACAAATTATATCAGTAAGATTGGGCCTTCAGAGGAACAGAAGTATTCACTGGAGATTTACCTTATGACATCTGACACCTAGAAAGATTAATTCAGTCAACTCTACAATACATATAAACATATCTTGCTCCTCCAGAGATCTCAGACTTAAAAAGGCCTTGACAATTAGGCAAATAAAAGACTGGCATGAGAAGGTGTACGGTGATACCAAGGGGTCAGGTACATACGGACATCCTAATTTATTTATTTTTAAATGCAATGCCAGCTAAACAAAATGTATCCACTGTTTGGACCCAATCCCTCTAAGCATTTAATTTGTTGTTAACTAAAATCAGTACCAAAACACACTGCTTTTCTCCAAGGCCTTAAAAGTTACATTTGTATGAGAAGACATTCCGTGGGTTCTAAGATATGGGTTGAAAGCCAAATAATTAGAGTCCATTGCTAAGAGGGAAAAATAGCATTTGGAATTTATTAAAGTTTACTTTATTTGGTTTTAAGTACTTGAGAACACTGTTTAGTTATTGTTCCTGCCTAGATATTCCATGACAAACATTGTTACAACAAAATATGGACAGTTTTCTGGCCCGGCAAAAACATCTTACTTTAATGGTTCTCAATCTTTACTTCTTAACTACATACAGAATGTATAAAATTTACACCTGTTCCATGATCCCACTGGTTTTTAGATACTACTGTTTTGCTACAGATACAAGATATAGACTACTCATAATTCCCTATGTATTTGCTGTAACTTCGTCTTTTTTCTCACCTGCATAGAAGGCATATCCCTTTTTTGGATGGCAGTGGGGGCATTATTATTATGGACAAATGTTTTGAATTTATTCTAATGTGTATTTTAAAGCAAATTATTCATACTATTAAATATATTTGTATTTAGTTACAAATTATTTTCATATAATTTAAAATTTATCATAATGTGTAATCGGAAAACTCCAGGCCCAGGATAAAAGAGACAAAATTTAAAGCCATCATAAAAAGAACAAACTGAAACAAAAGCATCATTGGCAACAAAACCTGTGTTGCCCCACACCTGGAGATAAATAATGCTCCCTAAAGAAAGAAGAATGATTGCTATTTCAGACATTGTTCACTCACCTGATGGTCAAGCCCAACCCATGTGAATACCTGTCTTCTGTAAGGAATAAGATAGTTGCATTTGTTTCATGTTATGCTATATTCAAATAGCCCAGAGCCTTCAAAGAAGTTTGCAGAGAAACAACTAAAAATTTAAATATTTACAAAAAGAAAGGACTTTTTAAAAAATGATTACTTGGACATCATAGTTAAAGGTGTGATGCTCCCTAGAAAGAAAATATGATATTTTACTATTGGGACTTTACATTCTGGAACTTGATTAGTTTTTTCCTCCAGGTGCAGACTCCAGCAAAAATGCAAACACACACAAGCACATTTGTGAAATCCTTAAAATGGCATGTTGTTAACTTTTACTTTTATTTTATACAGAACTTCCAGAATATCAAGTAAAGCAAGAGATCCTTCATCGATCCAAATACCTGGAGAACTCTGATTCATTAGGAGTCATGGACCTATAACAATCACTCTTTTCTCTGCTTTTCTTCTTTCCTCTTTTCTTCTCTCCTCTCCTCTCCTCTCTTCTCCTCTCCTCCCCTCCCCTCTCTGTTTCTTTTTCTTTTTCTTTTCTTTTTTGTGGCGGAGTTTTGCTCTTGTTGCCCAGGCTGCAGTACAATGGCTCAATCTCGGTTCACTGCAACCTCTGCCTCCAAGGTTCAAGTGATTTTCCTGCCTCAGCCTTCCCGAGTAGCTGGGATTACAGGTACCCGCCACCACGCCCAGCTAATTTTTTTGTATTTTTAGTAGAGATGGGGTTTTGCCAAATTGGCCAGGGTGGTCTCAAACTCCTGACCTCAGGTGATCCACCCACCTCGGCCTCCCAAAGTGCTGGGATTACAGGCGTGAGCAACCACGTCAAGACAACAATCACTTTCTTTAAAGCAAATCCTACAGCTGGTCAACACCCTATTCCATCTGTCATCGAGAAAGAAAATGTTAAAATAGACTTAAAAATATTGCTTTGTTACATATAATAATATGGCATGATGATGTTATTTTTTTCTTAATACTCAAGAAAAAATATATGGTGGTATCTTTTACAACACTGGAACAGAAATAAAGTTTCCCTTGAAGGCAAAAAGTGTTATCCCAAGTCACATTTTGCATAATTTGCTTTATGATGAATATAAACACATATCATATTAATTATTTGCATCATAATATGACATAGTTAGCAGTTTTTCTGATCAATTACATAAGTTCCCATTAACTTGCCAAAAAAAGTTAATATATATATCCAGTGTCTGTGTTATTGGTATATTTTCGACCATTTTGAAATCAGTCATTAACGTATTAGCATTGACTTTAAGTTCCTATATATATTTGATTAAATGAAAGCCTTAAAAAATTGGAAGTGACATGTTTGAATTTTGTAATTTGAATACTATTGAATTTTACTTTTTGACCTTGATATCTCATTTTATTCCCATAAAATGTAAAACAACTACACTGGCTGAAAGAAAGTCAATGTGCGCTTCAATAATCATAGATTTTTGTGAATTAAATCTTTCTAGGCTAATTATGAGGAACTTCTGCAATAATAAAGTAACACCATAATTGTTACTTTTTATAATATTCCTATACTGTGACTTTTGGCCTGGTTTGACATCAGAGTATAATTGTGATTAGAAAATTGTAGAAAATATGTTCATTAGTTAGAATTTTAATACATATTTGCTTTTCAACCGCCTGCAATTACACTAGTACCTATTACTCATAATAACCATGAGGTTGTATTATCTATAGTGGCACAGAGGCACAAATATTCAATAACCTGAGGATATCATACTAACCGTGGCATATTTACAATTAAAATTCAAATATTTTCTGCTCATTTGGTCTCATTTCTATTGCTATTCACTACACTTCAGATTAAACTGTCTACATTAAATTAAATTTGGAGTTAACATTTGGCTATGTTTACTCAAAGTAATTGAGAAGCCATCGTTTATCTTTTAAAACAGAGAAGAATAAATTGATGAGTCACAGATGTTTCTCAAGGAGTTCTATATATTCCAGTGGCTAATGCAGAGTATTAACATGAAGAGAATGCAGGGATTTCCTTCTCCAAATCACTGCCATTTAATTTAGGCTTGGTAATGTCTGGGAAAATGCAAACTGTTCTCTGGAAAACTGAGAAAAGAAGTCAAGTTCCTTCTAGAAACATGCTTGTGTTGAGCAGAGAAGGGGAGAACAGAGTGTAAAATGGATGGCTTCCCTAGGAAACAGAATCTTGTCTCTTAGGACAGCAGGAATAAGTAGGCAAAACCACAGAAGGGGGAATCAGCATGAAGCATTTAGGGAACACTAAATAGTCACCTATCTCTAGAGCAGAGAGTCCAAATTGAGAAAGTGTAGGACATACAGCTAGTAAACATCAGGACTAAGACACTGAGATACCAGGCTAAGGAGACACCTATAAAAGTGGAGTGTGGGCCTCATAGGACATGGTCCCCATATTCGTTGTCTTCTTTTACTCTTCAGTCCTCTGGGAAGCCTTTCCTAACATTTTCTTCCCTGTAGTTCAAAGATTCTTGTTCAGTGCTTCCCAGCACCCGGTGATCCCCCATCTTAGACTATTACACTTCACTGCCGCAGCTTCGTTTATTATTTTTGCTTAGTAAATTGTAAGCACCCTGATTGAGTCTGTTGGCTCATCTTTGTTTTCTATTCCTTAGCACATAGTGTATGCTCAATAAATAAGTGTTCAGTGACAGAATTGCTTCATTTGGAATCCTACAAAGTGCTGCAAAATAATTTTAAGCAGATTTTTGAATAAAAAAAGTTATGCTAGCAGACATAGAAATGGACTATAAAGGACTAAAACTGATGCTGAAGAGACTGCTTTAAAGTGTAACTAAATTAGTTAGCTAATAAGTATTGGAAGCCTGCACTAATTTATTCATTCAATACTTATTTATCAAGCATATACTATGTATCAGCCACTGTACTAGGAACTGGAGATACAATCCTGAGCACAGTCTTCCAGTAAATTTGAAAAACAAAGTAAACAAGGTAATTTTTGAAAGTGATAGATGCCATAAAGAAGTGAACAGGCTGCAGTGATGGTAGAGTGATGTGAAGAGAAAAATTAGCAGTGATGTGAGAGAATGGAAGGCACTTCACAAATCTCACAATTTAGAATCAATGGAAACTTGGGGTCAGATATTTGTATGAGTTGAGATTGTAAGGATCATGGTAAGAATGAGTGTTGAGTATATTTTGATTTGTGCCATTAGGTAAACCGTGTTGCCAATTAGAAAACTGGCTCATACAAGTGGAACTTGGAATGGGAAAGGGGAATATGCTAGTTATTTTAGGGTCTGTTCCAATTTTCCTCCACCTCTCATACACCCCTAGGAGGCTGACATATATGCAACATAGTCCCCTTTGTCCTCTGGCTTCCATTTGGTTGTCGATAGTGAGAAATGGTAGAAAATGGGGGAGAAATTCTCCTGGACTCCTTGCTGAGATGTCCCCACAGGCTGGCTGTTTCCTTCAATTGTTTCTATCAGTGTGGCCTTTTCTACACACATCTTTCCTGGATGGCAATAAACCTTTCCAGGCCTTCTCCCTGCAGGCTTAGTGGTGTTAACAGCTCAGTCAGTGCCATTCCTGAGTTACTGGACTATGCCTTGAGGTTTTTCAACTACCTACACCTGTATAAAGAGTACCTAAATCAAGCATTCTTAAGAGTCATCCAATTTCAGATAACTTGCAGTTTATTCTAATTGGAGTATCCCATCTGCTTCCTGTTGGTTCCCTGACTGACACTGGTAAATATTTCAAGTTTAGATCAATTGACTTCCTAACACCAGTGACATATCCATGTGGAGTCACCTAATAGTCAACTGGAAAATATGATTTTGGCACTGGTAAGTGGGATCAAGCTAGAACAATTAAATTTCAAGATGTCCAATATCTTCCTTACATCTCTCTCACCCCAGATGAGAAAGCAAATTTACCCTTGTGATTTCTAGGGGGAAAAATGCTGTAGGATAGGATAGCCAGATCACCAGGTGGCACAGATCACAGACCTCCCCGCAGAATAATTTGACCACTGATTAAATTCCCTCCAGAGTAGTCTCTTTCCTAATAAGTTTTTGTACCCCTAGCTGCTTCTGCATATTTACCCACAGCCTCTTTTCCTTCACAGAATCCTTTCCATAAAACCCACAGGTGTTCCTGGGACCCGGGAGTCAGCCGAGCTGTACAAGCTGGAACTCTGCAAGGTGAGTCAGAAAGGTCTCTCTGGAAAGGGCTTTAGGGCAGTAGGAAAACAGGGACTTTGTGGTTACTCCAAAGCTGAGGCTTGCGTCTGTTCCTACTTTTGAATTCCCTGTGAGAGTCCTGAGAAACAGATCTTGGGGTTATTAAAACATGCATCCTTTTTCATTGCCATGTACAGTGAAATGAATACAAATGACTTGAGTGAATAGAATATTTTTTTATTTTTTAGAATAAAAATATTCTAAATTTTTCAAATTGTGAGCTCAACAAATGCAGGAGTCAAATCTGAGTGACTAATGGTCAAACGATGGCACCACCGCTTTAAAGGCAGTGCCGGGTTGGCATGTACCCTGTATGAACCAACAGTGCAATTTTTACATATCCCTGTCTGCTTGCTCTGTTCTTTCACAACGTGTTCCCCCTCAGAACTCTGAGATGAATACCATCTGGGCTGCAATGATTTACTGCACTGGAGTTTCTCAAGTTGTTCCCAAAGTGCCTCTTTGAGGCTTCAATGTCTATTCAGACCACACTGATTGCACCCCAAAACTTAGGGTAGTAGAATTGGTGTTTCCAAAACCTTAGACAAGTCAATTGCAATAAATGTATCTTTAATAAGGGTTTCCATAATACAGTTGTTTATAATCTTGGTTCTACTAAGAAGGAAACATGCCTTTAAAACACAGTGGTTTAAAATTAAATTTTGGCAATATTGTCAGATTCAAATATTTATTTAGGGTGGCAAACAGTCAAACAAAATTACATTAAAATATTTTTGAGATTTCACTTGATTTTTCTAATGTAAGTTACATTGCTGGTTTTGCAGAAGTTACATGACTGGTTTTGCAGAAGGTCATTATATTTTTATAATGGTCAGTATAATTAAATGCTTAGTGAATGCTTAATTCCATGTGTTACATTCTTTTTTTTTTTTTTTGAGACGGAGTCTTGCTCTGTTGCCCAGGCTGGAGTGCAGTGGTGCAATCTTGGCTCACTGCAACCTCCGCCTCCCGGGTTCAAGCGATTCTCCTGCCTCAGCCTCCTGAGTAGCTGGGATTACTTACAGGTGCCCGCCACCACGCCTGGCTAATTTTTGTATTTTTAGTAGAGATGGGGTTTCACCATATTGGCCAGGCTGGTCTCGAACTCCTGACCTCATGATCCACCCACCTCGGCCTCCCAAAGTCCTAGGATTACAAGCTTGAGCCACCACGCCTGGCCACATTCTTTCAATACTTGGAAACAAATGTAATTTTTACTCTTCTGCCTGAAAATTCTAATTTAGTGAGTATTGAAGATACTATGCCTCTTAAGAGTAGCAGAAGGTATTAAAAAGGAAATGTAAACATAAGAAAAGGAGTAGTCATAAATTCAAAGGTGGAACACATATCTACAAACATCACATACTCATTACAATATAATTATTTTAATCAGTGGGATTACAGAAAATAGTAAAAGCAACTAAACTATATAAGATTATTCTACATGCTTTACATACATTATGTAGTTTAAGTCTGACACAAACTCTGTGCCAATTGTCTATTTACAGAATTAAAATAAAAAATAAAAAACCCGATAAAGAAGTTAAGCAATTTCCCAAGCTTCAGAGCAGAAAATTGGTAACTGAGGACAGATATATCATATTTCAGAATCTTCCATCTTAATTTCTAAGCTTTATCACCAGCCATCTCCAACTGTAATTATGTAATTCTTATACTTTAAAAAAGGACCAGGAAAGATCTATTTTAAATATTCTTCTCTAAAGTATTATTGTTATTAACTTGCATGTCTGAATCACATGTATGAGGTGGAATACTTTTACCTGAAATTAAAAATCTTAATAAAAAATACATAATTCCTATAACATAAATTCCAGATGAAAGCATCTATAGGATTGGTGAACTTAATGGCTCAATGAAATCTTCAAGGACTCGAATTTTTCTTTTCTGCCATGCTTACAGTTGCTGAGTGGATTGTACAGTTCAGGATTTATTTGAAGACATAGAAACAAGGGAATTCAAATTACTATAATTGACTTAGTCTAGTCAGAATTGACCCTGAATTACCTAGGAGAAGGGTGGACTCCCAAACAAAATCCATTAGCAAGGATGAACAAGAGAGGGCTTTTGGGTAGGTAGCCAATAGTTTATGCTACAAAAGTCTAGATTAACTTCACCAATTAAATACAAAGTAAAATGGCTTCAAACAAGTAAATCAGATTACTTGGGTTTAAGTTATACTTTTCATTTTGTTATTTGGAACTAAATAGTCCACACCTAAGACAGTGTTTCTCTATGTTGACATCTATGGAAGTGCTCAAGTTCTACCAATTTAGGATTTTCTATTTACTAATGAACAAAATTTGTCTATTATGAAAAAAATGTTGACTGTTTTGTATTAGCAAAATAAATATCACCTTTTAATGAAAACTTTTCCAGATACTTGGAGATCATTCATTCATTGAGAAGGAAAGAGATTAAAGGCTATGCAGCTGACAGTTGAGTTGCAGAATACAGTGAGTAGTGGAGGAATCAACACTGCCTGGGTTTCTCCTTGATATGATTTGGCTGTGTCCCCACCCAAATCTCATCTTGAATTGTAGCTCCTATAATCCTCATGTGTCATGGGAGGCACCTAGTGGGAGGTAATTAAATCATGGGGGTGGGTTTTTTCCATGATAGTGAATAAGTCTCACAAGATTTGATGGTTTTATAAAGAGGAGTTCCCCTGCACACACTCTATTACCTGCTGCCATGTAAGACATGCCTTTGCTCCTCCTTCACCTTCAACCATGATTGTGATGCCTCCCCAGCCACGTGGAATTGTGAGTCCATTAAACCTCTTTTTCTTTATAAATTATCCAGTCTCAGGTATCCTCATAGCAGCAAGAAAATGGACTAATACACTCCTCTTTTCTGAGAATTCCATTCCACAAAAAAGTACTGTTTAGACTACTTATCTATTGGCTAGACACCTTTGCCTTAGTAGCTCAGAAAGGGTAAAGGAATAAATGTTTCCCAGGTAGTAAAAAAGATATGCCAAATCAGTGTACCATTAAGAACAGGAGGGGAGTGTTTAGAAGCCAAAGCTGAGATACAATATATAAAAGGAAACAATGGGAAATAACTTCTAAAAAGTGGAAACTTAAAATAGTTGTTTGTTAGGCAGTCTTCACAGATACCCTATTCTCTTGGATGAGTCAAAATTAGTCTCTGCAAATAAAAAGTGATAGGAATAAAATATTAGAATTTAAAGATATGTAGTAGGAAAGGAAAACAAAATGTGTTACTGCCCCTAACATCTCAATAATAGAGAAAGAACATGGAGATAAGTTTTGAGGAGTTTGACAGAATGAAATGATAGATTGGAAGATAAATATTTATCTAGCATTTTCTTGATTGCATTGAAACTTGATGGAACTGGGGATGGGGTATAGGGTAGTAGTGAATAGAACTGGGAGTCCTTATTGGCAGCAATATTGAAATACAGGTGTATTGTTTATTATATAATGAAGTATTTTTCATATGAAGTAATATATTCTATTGTATTTGTTCATATTTTAACCATGCAACTAGGTAATAAAGGAAACAAAGTGTTGTTCTATATAATTATTCATTTACTTTATCATCTTAGAAATACTGCAAATTTCTTTCATCATAGTATTAATCTTTTTCTGTTTTTCTTCTTCCTTTTCTCTCATCTTGTTTTCCTTTTTTCATAACAGGAGGGGAACAAGCTCAGGAAAGTTAGCAACAGGCAATAAATAGAATGCTCTGAAAATAGCTAACAAGTTTAGCTTAACTTTTTTGTTTTTATTTTTTGATATGGAGTCTCGCTCTGTCCCCCAGTCTGGAGTACAGTGGCTCCATCTCAGCTCACTGCAGCCTCTGCCTCCTGGGTTCTAGCAATTCTCCTGCCTCAGCCTCCTGAGTAGTTGGGATTACAGGTACCCGCCACCCTGTAGGGCTAATTTTTGTATTTTTAGTAGAGATGAGGCTTCACCATGTTGGTCAGGCTGGTCTTGAACTTCTGACCTCAGGTGATCCACCCGTCTAAGCCTCCCAAAGTGCTGGGATTACAGGCGGGAGCCACCGTGCCCAGCTTAGCTCAACTCTTCTAGTCATTTAATACCCAATTATCTTTCACAAATACATTTTGATGGAAATAAAGCTAGTGACGCTTATTGATGTAACAGATACAGGAAATAGGGAAAACCTAGAATTCAGTGTGGTTACACAAGATTTTTTTTTCTTTTTTTTTTTTCTTTTTGTTTTTTTTGAGATGGAGTGTTGCTCTGTCGCTCAGGCTGGAGTGCAGTGGTGTGATATCGGCTCACTGCAAGCTCCATCTCCTGGGTTCATGCCATTCTCCTGCCTCAGCTTCCCAAGTAGCTGGGAATACAGGTGCCCCCACCACGCCTAGCTAATTTTTTTTTGTATTTTTGTAGAGATGGGGTTTCACTGTGTCAGCCAGTATGGTCTCTATCTCCTGACCTCATGATCTGCCCGCCTTGGCCTCCCAAAGTGCTGGGATTACAGGTGTGAGCCACCGAGCCAGGCATTTTTTTTTTTTTTTTTTTTTGGCCTGGAGTAGAGTGTGATTAGCTGAAAAGGAAAATATGTGTTTGATCTTTTTGTTTTTGTTTGTATCCAGCTGTATTTTAAGGTAGACGTAATTGTTCAAATATTTTTAATTGGCAGCTTTTATATGAAAGTAGAGACCCATAATAAAGTCAACCTCAAATGTATGAATGTTATTTAAAATCACGACAATAGAAGAAACCACATAACAAAAAAATGTGAGAAAAGATGGAAAATGACCAAAAAATGACTTGGATGATTACAACACTTAGTGGTCTGGAAGAAGAAGGTGAGAAAGTGAGAAAGCAAGGCTACTATAAATGGGTGGCTAATGAGAAATGAAAGCTAGCAGAAATAAGCCAAAAGTGTAGAGATTTTCAAGATGGAGAGCATGTTCAACAATGTCGGATATTGCCAAGAGACTGAATAAAATAAGGTCTAGAATTTAATTTTGGCTTTGGTAGAAGGAAAGTCACTGAGATCTTAAACAGATCTTATAGATGTGGTGGAGACAGAGGCCCAGTTGCAGTAGATTGAAGAGAGATTGAGGAATGAGGAAATGAAGGCAATGAATACTTACAACACTTGTGAGAAGTTTTGCACTCAAGAGGAGCATTACAATGGGTGTTTATGTGGAGTTTCTGTAAAGTATGAGGTCATCAACAGAATTGAGAGGAAGATGTTAGAGATGTGAGAAGAGAGAGAATGTGAAATGGTTATCTTGGGGAATAGATAAATTTAGTAGGGAGTATAGGAGAAGCAATATTGCTAAGCCTGCCTGCATTCAAATCCTCACTGACTCACTTGTTTTATAATTTGAGTCAACTTACCTAAATTCTCTGAACCTCAGTCTTCTCAACTAACAGCGATATGTCCTGTTAATTTCCCTAACAAAGAAATTAATTGCACTTACCTTACAGGGTTTGAAAGGAATAACTTTGTTAATATGTGTAAAGCCATTAGTAAGAGGTATATGTGAATTTTCTACTAGGTAATGATTACAATTTCTCAAATCACCTGACTTTTTGAGATTCTTGGTCAAAAACACAAAATATGTCAGTATAGTTGAGCGATTTTTCTCCATTAGATACAGAGAGCTAGATTTTACCACAGCTGGAGTTTTCTGAAGTAAGTTCGATGGAGAGAAGAAGCTGCAGCAGCGGAAGTTCCCTATGAACGCGTGGTTGAGCCCTTCTGGTGGATGATGGGAATACAGCAAACGGGTCATGGGCAGTTAAAGATAGTTGAGGTGGCAAGGCATAGTGATCTTACTGGAAATCAAGAGTTGTTGAAAGAAAAATGCTGGATTTGGTACAGGTAGTTATTAGGCATGAGCAGGACAGGAGAGGGCTCTACCGCCACCCACTAAAAATCTCCGCCTCTCTAAAATGATAATTTGGCAGCACCAGGGAGAGGCCATTTCCTGATGGTCCACACCTGTTAACATCAGAATGTTAATTGAACGCAAGCCCTAAGGAGAAGCACACTCCCTGGGCATGTGCATCAAGAGATAAAAATGGTGCAGTATATTCTTTCAGGAGCACACTCCACTGGAAGAGGGAAGAAAGCTTCAGATGGGCCTGCATATAACTTCCTAAACACAAGCGCCTGCTCAGTCCCAAAGGATAAGGAAAGCACTGGGCATGCAGAAAGCCCACCCTATGGAAAGAATCATGGGAAAGGGGTGAGCCTGTAAGTCTCATGATCAAGGTTAAAGGCCCTTTTTTGCTGTCTTCTTTTGCTCTCTTTTCTTTCTTCCAACTTTAGGTGCCTGATTGGGTCTCTTTCAAGAGAATTTTCCTTTCTTTCCTGTTCTAAAACCTTTCTAAATTTCCACTCATGCTCTGAAACTTGCCGTGGTCTCTTTTTCTGCTGTATGCCCCTCAGTTGAATTCTTTCTTCTGAGGAGACAAGGACTGAAGTTGCTGTGGAATTGGTATGGATTCACCGCCAATAACTCGTGGTAACTCGAATCTCTTCCACTGCTAACAGTTTGAGAAAGCTGGAAAAAATGGGGTATGGGGGTAAAATCAATTTCAGAAGTTATAGTCACTAGAAGTGTTAGAATGGTCGCCTGAGTTGGACGGGGCATCAAGAGAAAATATTACACGTAAATGAAGTGGACAAGAGCTAAGAGGTCACAGTATGTGTGGAAATATTAAGGCCACCAAGGATAATAAAAGTAGTGATATAAGCCAGGCACAGAAAGACAAATTCTGCACAATCCTACATGTGGAGTGTAAAAAAAAAAAAATCAAACTTAGATTAAAATGGTGGTTACTAGAGATGGGAAGTTGAAGGGAATAAAGAGATGTCAATCCTCAGATAAAAAATCGATGATGCTTTAAGACCATGACACATCAATTAAATCAGAACTTCTAGGAAGAGGCATGGGTATCAATGACTCTAAAAGTTTCTCAGGTGATTATAATGGGCAGACAGAGTTGAAAGCTGCTAAATCAATGCTACTCAAAGCTTGGCCTCCAGATCAGCAGTGTCAGTATCATGTGGAAGATGTTAAAAATGCAAATTCTCACCCCACCAGACCAGTTAAATTAGAAACTCTGGAAGTGGAACCCAGAAAGCTGTCTTTAACAAGCCCCCTGGGTGATTTTGATGAGGACTAATGTTTAAGAACCATAGCGCTGGGCCAACTGCAGTATGGCTGGTGCCTGGACACTCCACCCCATAGTCCCATTAATTTTTGGCAGTTTCCTCCCACAGCTCATGTTTGTCAGGACCTTGAGGTGGGTTTTATATTCTTCTTGATTCCCTTTTCTGCTTCCAAAATGTGTCTTCTTATTGATGCTTCAAAATACCCCAAATCATTGAGGAGAATGTCATTAAACTTGGTTAGCTATTATTTTTCCTTATTATCTACTTCATTTACTGTATTAGTCTGTTCTCATTCTGCTAATAAAGACATACCTGAGACTGGGTAATTTATAAAGGAAAGAGGTTTAATTGACTCACAGTTCCACGGTTCAATCATGGTGGAAGGGAAATGAGGAGCAGTCACATCTTACATGGTGGCAGGCAAGAGAGATTGTGTAGAGGAACTCCCCATTATAAAACCATCAGATCTCATGAGACTCATTCACTATCATGAGAACAGCATGAGAAAGACCCACTCCCATGATTCAGTTGCCTCTCACTGGGTCCCTCCTACAGCATGTGAGAATTATGGGGGTTACAATTCAAGATGAGATTTAGGTGGGGACACAGCCAAACCATATCACTTACTATGCTTCCTATAATCCCTTCTCATTCATGAGTCCAGTGTTTGACTCAGTCCACCCCCTAATTCTTGCTTTTCCTCTGTAAAAATTGTATATATTTATGATGTATAATGTCCTGATATGCATACATGGTATGGAAAGGCTAGATCAAGCTATTTTACATATGCCTTACCCTCACGTGCTTTTTTCTGTGGCAAGAACACTTAGACTACTCTCAGCTATTTTCAGTATTCAACATATTGTTATTAACTGTAGTCACCATATTTAAAATAAACCTCTTGAACATATTTCCCTTGTATAACTGAAATTTAATGAGAGCAAGGAGAAAGTAGCATGAAGAGGTTAAAGATGTAAGGTAGTTGGCCGATAACCAGGAGTGAATTCCTGAAGCCCAGTGGAAGGATCTGAAAGGGCAAAGAGGAATGGAAGACAGGATCCTACTGGGAAACAAAAAGTGAAGAAATAAGCACAAGACAGTGGTTGGTCTGGAAATCTGGACCTTCCCATAGCATTTGAGGCTCTCTTGGATTTGTCCTAGAAATCACCATGAATAAAGGATCTTGGAATAAATGATGTAATGTAAGCTGGAATTTTGTGGCCGTCTGAAGAACTCAGAGTGGCCAGTCTTGCCCCTTGCTGGAGAGATCATTAGACATGAATTCTTCTTTCCTCATTGGGAGGAGAAAGGAAGTTTTCAAGGGAGAAGGAGAAACAAGCAGTGTCCGAAGCCCCTGCAAACTGTGACCTTGTAGGTGTTGCACAATTACATGGTTTGAAGTAATATCCTTAGTAAGTACTAAAAGAAAATCTGCAAGTGATAACTCATATTCAAACATAAATACAAAATCCTTTTTCAAAGACAATAGAAATGGATGAACAATTATCTGATTCCCTGATGCCCTATGGTTGGCTATAATGGATTTGTTCAGTTGAAAATAAGCAACTGAAGGACAGCTAGGTATAAATAGGCTCAGTTTACTAAGCATTTCTAAAGCCTGCTACTACAGGAAGAAAACCAATTTCTTCGGGTCTGCTGATTGGTACTTGTTTCAACATGAAAAAAAGTTTTAGTTAAAATAGGAACTTAGGTCATGTTGTCATCATTTCTTATTTAGAGTAATATAATAGCTCCCTAATTTTTGTGCCCATTTGCACACTTGCCCCTCCAATCTGACTTTTTTTTTTTTTTTTTTTGAGATGTAGTTTCGTTCTTGTTGCCCAGGCTGGAGTGCAATGGCACGACCTCAGTTCACTGCAACCTCTGCCTCCTGGGTTCAAGCAATTCCCTTGCCTCACCCTCTCGAGTAGCTGGGATTACAGGTGCACACCACCACTTCCGGCTAATTTGTAATTTAGTAGAGATGGGGTTTCACCATGTTGTCCAGACTGGTCTCAAACCCCTGATCTCAGGCTATCTGCCTGCCTTGGCCTCCCAAAGTGCTGGGATTACAGGCATGAGCCACTGCACCTGGCCGACAATTTGATTTTTCACCTGCCCACGTATTACTTAAAATGTTTCAGTGGCTAGTCAGTGCTTTCAGGTTGCTGAGTAAATTACTTACCATAGCTCTAAAGCTACAATTAGCATAACTTAGTGATTGAAAGCACAGTCCCCAGAGCAAGACTTCCTGGGGTTGAAGTTAATTATTTCATAATGATTAGCTGGGTGATTTGGGGCCAGTTAGTTAAACTGTGCCTTTGTTGCTTATGTATAATGAAGAAATAATATAGTACCTCTTTCATAAAGTTGTGAAGATTAAATTACTTGGCACTTACAAAATGCATAGAATAGTGTTGGTGTGGAGCAAGAGCTCTATAAATGCTCGCTATTATTGATGCTCTTTCAAGCAGTTTCTATGTGATTATCCCTGTCTCCCCCAGACTCATCTCCCATGAAGCTACCACTCACTCACTGGGTTCCAGCCATAAAGTACTTGTTTTCATCCCTTACAATGAATAGGATTATTTTACCAGTAAACCCTCATATTAGCTTTACTATCCATTTGGAATCCTTAGTTCTCTCTTCCACAAGTTAATTCCCATGCATCATTCAGAATTTAGATGGTCACTTCCTTGGAGAAATTGTCACTGGCCTCTGTGACTAGTTTAGTAGCCCCTCTTCTAGCACCATGTGCCTCTCATTTAAAACAATTATTACATGTGTGATCATATATTTGTGTGGTCATCTGATTAAGCTCTATCCCCCTCTACACCCTCAAGCTACATGAGGCCAGAGACCTATTCTGCTTTGCTCACCAGTATATCAGCAATACCTGGTGCAATTCCTGTTAGAGAAATGCATGGGTTTTGAACAAAAAAGAAACAACATTTAGAAATTATTATAAATTTGCAACTGCTAAATTGGGTGAACATGGGTTAAATTCATAAGTATATAACAGTAAGTTTCATTCAGAATTAACTTTGCTTTTCAGTCACATCCAAAATGGATTCGATTCTATGTTTGGGTCTTTGAATCATTTAGCAGGAAAGAATAAGAAACAGAACTATTAAAACTAATTTACATATTTGTATATAAACATTCATAAAATTGCTAACTGGAATCGTTAGGGACCAAGCATTAAAGTATAGGAATAACACCATTAATCTGGGTTATTTGATGTGATGCCCATTTGGACAGGCAGCACTTGGAGAAGTTGGCTTTTGCTACTGGTTTCAACTTTAGTTTTCCATCTTCCTTGAGTGACTTGGAGGTGAAAGTATACAAAGAATAAAAAAAATTTAAGTAAATATTTTAGGAAGAGAAGCATAATTTTATAAATGGATGTTTCTCTCTGTAAGATCATCATTTTATAATGCCAAATTCCCATCTTCTGCTTTGCAATATGTTACTTGGGGATTTTTTATGTTGTTGACTCTATACTTACTATAGTGGCACCTCTAATATCTGAATAACTTGCCTAACAAGGAACATCTGAGATAGTTAGTTCTATGTAATCAAAGAAACGTACAAAATAAGGATCAAAACATTATGCTATTACTTTACAGTATATTACATGATGCACCCAAAGATAGTAAATATTTATCTGTATATTTATTCATAATCTGATCTGAGAAGACTCTGTTGCTCCTGATAAGAAACATATCTTAAAGTTACCAAGAAAGGGCCAGGCGCGGTGGCTCATGCCTATAATCCCAGCACTTTGGGAGGCCGATGCGGGTGGATCACAAGGTCAGGAGATCAAGACCATCCTGGCTAACAAGGTGAAACCCCATCTCTATTAAAAATGCAAAAAAAAATTAGCCAGGTGTGGTGGCGGGCGCCTGTAGTCCCAGCTGCTCGGGAGGCTGAGGCAGGAGAATAGCGTGAACCCAGGAGGCAGAGTTTGCTGTGAGCTGAGATCACGCCACTGCACTCCAACCTGGGCAACAGGGTGAAACTCCGTCTCAAAAAAAAGAAAACAAAATTACCAAGAAAGATAACCCGCATGCTTATGCATATTAACTAAATCCCTGTAGAATAATTAATCAACTGTTTTAACTTTGAATTCTCAGTTGGAGAACTCTCATCTCTTTTACTCTTCTCCCTCCTCAAGAGGGTATCTTTGCGAATGGAGAGAATGCTGAGGTGTGCATGCTGCCTTCTGGATCTTTGGTGCTCTCTGCTATGGAATGACTGTCTTGTCTGGTCTCTCCTCATACTGCAGCAAAGCCAGCTGAGGAGGGGCTGGTTCATCTTGATAATTTGGGTACCAGGGTTTCTTCCCATGGCTTCCAGTTTTATGGCTTCTATATACAATGGCTCCTTGTTCTGACTCTTCTGGCTCTCTAGAGAGGATCTCAACTCTCCTGCATTCCTCTGGAGAGTAAAGTACCTACTTTCTCTGCACACTGATATATTTGGTTGAAGCTAACTTGAAACCCCTCCCTCAGCTGTGGCTTCTTTCCTGCTGCAGTCTCAGTGCCATGTTGATTTGGCAATATAATCAATATCAATGCACAGCTTTGCTGAGAGGCAAGAAGTAAGGCCCTCTTACATTGGAATCTCCCCAAAACTTATATAGGTGTGAGTATTTTTCTTCATTTCTACCCTGACCCCAAGCCCATGGTGGGATCAACAGTGGGTGGGAGGGGATGGTGATGGCGGAGGTGGAAGTAATCTTGGGAAGGGTTTGGGACAGGACTGCCCTCAATTTCTCCAGTGTTAAAAGTTCCTATCTACTGTGGTCTTTTCCTGCAACATATACTCCACAGTTTTTGCACTATAATTTTAGTATGGTTTTACAACTCAAGTCTGCCAGAGTAGGATCATGATACATACAAGGAAGTTTTAAAAATATAGAAAACATTGCTCACTTGCTCTCAACAAAGCCTGGCTCTCAATGCTGTTGTTTTTTTAATGTTGTTGAAAAGACTAGCTTTTAAGCTCAAACTGAACATTGACTTCTTCATTCTAAGACAATTCCCAACCTATCCTAGGGGTAATGAATACTGTTGCTTCACTGGAGCTGTAGAACACCATAATTCAGGAAAATTTTTAAATACCGATGGTTTAAGATTATCCATTATTTCCTATAACTTATACACAATGTCTCAATTAAAAGCTAGTTCAAGTAAAAGAAATGAGATGAGAAGAAGTGAGAAGACAGAAAGGAAAAAAGAACAGGGTGCTACAGGGTATTAAAAATTGTACCTCTTGGCTGGGTGCGGTGGCTCACACCTGTAATCCCAGCACTTTGGGAGGCTGAGGCGGGTGGATCAAGAGGTCAGGAGATCGAGACCATCATGCCCAATATGGTGAAACCCCGTCTCTACTAAAAATACAAAAATTAGCTGGGTGTGGTGGTGCCTGCCTGTAATCCCAGCTACTCGAGAGGCTGAGGCATGAGAATCACTTGAACCCAACAGGCGGAGGTTGCAGTGAGCCAAGATCGCACCACTGCACTCCAGCCTGGCGACAGTGAGACTCCGTTTCAAAAAAAAAAAATTATACCTCTTTTCCTCTTTTCATCTCCTATATTATCTTAACTCTGTTGCAGGTAGAAGACAAGAGAGACAAGAGAGTTATTATTATGGTAGAAAGAACCTCAAATATAAAACCACCTGTAAGACAACACTTTTGTAGACTTTGTAGGCTAGTTGCCTCATTATCATCTTGCAAGTCATTGTTATTATTGCCACAGATCAATCAGAGAAGACAACCCCAAATCAGATATTTCCCCACATTTGATTCTATTGGCTGGTCAAATATAATCCCTTTTGTTAAGATCCATAAGAAGCTAAGATTTCTGAACTAGAAGTAGTTGGATTTCCATTAGTAAATGATTTCTTTGTATATCACAGACATTGAATCCAGTATCTAGATATGTTCTTTTTTATTACATAGCTGCTAGAAACCTTAGAGTTCCATTTGCACCTAATCTTTAGAAAGTATTCTTGATTGTACATATTTTTATATTTTTATTTTTCAGTATCTGTATTTGCCTTCATTGTCACCATTACTTATAATAATATTGCTACTAGTGGTAGGTGTATAGAGTAGGATAGGTTGGGTTATTCTACAGTAACAAGCAACAATGGAGTATCAGTGGATTACGATAACAAAAATTTATTTCTTGCTCACACTACAAGCCCATTACAGGTCAGCTCATACTGTTCTATTGCCTTCACTGGGAGGCCAAGGCTGACAAAACAACTTTTCTCTGGGATATTACTAGAAGGAAACTAAAGATTATAGCAAAGCACATGTTTCATTTTAAAACTTCTGTCTAGGAGTAACACGTCTTCCCTGCTCACACTTTGCTGCCTAAATCAGCAAGGCAAGGAACTGTACTCTTCCCCAAGAGAAGCCAAGGGACACCAGGGGATAACAATACAGTCAAACAAAATAGGTTGCATTTACTTAAGTAATTATTCAATGCATCATTCATGCAATATTTATATATTTAATACTCATCAGACTTCTGTTTGGTATGTACTAGGTTTTTCTTCATTTTATACATGAACAATAAAGAGTTTAGAGAAACCAAGACATTTGTTCAAAGTTATACAGTTGGTAAGAAACAGAGTTGAGATTGGAATTGGATTTTTCTGTTCTAAACCCAGTCTTTACTCTTGTATATGGTACCTCTCCTGAGATAAAGAAGGGGAATGCATTTTTAAATACAAGAAACCAATAAGAAGCTGAATGATCCACTTTACCACTCCAGTGTTAAGAAAATCCAGTTTGATGGCAGTGAGTTTTCCCCTAACCCTGCTTGAGGAATCAATTGCCAATGAGTCAAAGTAGCTGCTAATGAGCTAATAATCTCTCAGTGGCAGCTAATTAATCTGCAACCTGGGGGCACCTATCAGTTGGTATTCAGAAGACCAATAAAATAAGGGGTCAACTGAGATGGCTCAAAGAGGTCAAAACCAGATTTTTGAAACAGAAAAATTATGTACATTAAATTATATATACAAGAAAGTACCAAAGGGAGAATTAAGATCAAACATATTGATTGCCTTTGTCTTTTTAAAGACGTCATCCTTTTACACATGAAAACAGAATTGTAGTCATTAGATTAAGTCACTGGCATCCTAATTAGGCAATCAAAGACTTAACCCATTTTAGAATTGTTGAATAGGCAGCTTAATAGTTTGATAAGTGCCTCTTCTTTCCCATACACTGTGGCCCTTGGTTTCCCACTGTTATTCTTCAGAGTGATTTCTTATGGCACCACAGAGAGTGGATAATTAAACAAATTTTGGGACACTACTGTGTGTCAGTTCTTGTGCTGGACCTGGATGTGACAAAAGCCTGGCCTTTATAAAGCTGAAAGCCAAATGGAGGTGACTTAAACATGTAATTACACAAATAACTTTGCAAATCATTATTAGTCTCTGGCAGCATTGAAGCATTTTGGCAGCACATTCTATTTACACTCTCTTTACTTGGTATCCTGAATTGGAAAGAAAATCAATATGCGAATTTAATTACCTTGACTCTAATATTATGATTACACTATACAGTAGAAGGTAGGTATTTGTTAGTCTTGAATGTAACAATTCATGCCACAACAATTATACAGCAAAGATTTGGAAACACATTTATCAGAATTGAAAACTTATACATTGAAGCTTGTCATTTTTGAAGGCTTAAATTTTTAAAAAATTTCTCATAAAATTTAAATGATTTAATAATTCATAAAGCATGTGTCAACATTCAGAAATTATTTTAAATATATTTATAAGTAAACAATAATGTAGGAAAATACCTTTTGTTGATTAAAATTTCTTCCACATTTTCTTATAAGAACTATAATTATGTTACTAATAGACATCTTTTAAGGTCTATCTTGAAAACAAATAGTGTATCTATTTAAATTATTGAATAAAAAAACTTGAAATTTTCTGATTTCCAGACTGTATGACAATGTATTAAGCTCATCTTTGAATGTCTTGATACATACTATGTAGCTTAGAGTAAAAGTTACAGGCCCTCAAACAGCGGGATAACATAATTTTCATTTTCCTAATGTATACCAGAATCTAAATTGCATCTTTCCTTCATTTGAAACCCAACCATTCAGTTATAGTAAACTGACTTGATGGGAAGTTTATCTTAAGACTTATGTAATTTTTGCCCCTTGTGTATCATGCTATTTGGGGAATATATTTTCTGGGGATAACAGTCTTTCAGGTTACCTGCTGTAACCCTGAGTTTGCATCATGGTAGTAAAATATGCTTCCAATTAAAATTGCCCTATGGGGATACTATTTTTTATGAATTCAGGGTAAAGAATAGCAAAAGAGTCTAGGCTGTATTTGACAGCTGGGGTAAAGCACCTTGAATCAATAAAATTCTAATTAATTCCATCCTAAGTACTTGCCATTGTTTCACATTGTCATGATTCTATATAACTACATTTGGAAACCTCTAATACAGGTGGTTGTCCAGATTAATGCCCAATATTCTTGAAAAAGGCCTACATACTGACAAAAATAACATCAAATAAATAAATAATTGCACACAGTTTTTGGGTTCTGTTGGAGTGGCTGTGGCAAATTCTTAAAATAAGACAACAAAGTGTGCCACATTGATCTTCCTTTCATAAAAATAATTCTTCCTTTCATAAAAGACTTCTCTATAGCATGTTATACTGTTTGATAACATTTTACCCACAATAGAACTTCTTTCAAAATTGGAGTTAATTGGCCAGGTGTGGTGGTTCACACCTGTAATCCCAGCACTTTGGGAGGCTGAGGCAGGTGGATCACCTGAGCTCAGGAGTTCCAAGACCAGCCTGGCCAACATGGTGAAACCCCATCTCTAACCCATCTGTTTTAGGTGCTTTGAGAGTCAAAAATTTAAAGACATAATTTCTTTTCCTGAATGATGCTCCTAAAAATAAGACATATAATTTTAACTTAAGTCGATGTAGACCAGGGTTTATGGAAGTTCTATTCTTAAATACATGAATTTACTTTTTTACAACAATGATCCAACCATGCACAAACTATTCCCTTTGTTGAACTCTGAATAATGCTAAGCCTGCTAAACATTTTACAGAGTCAAGTAAAATCTGATTGAGTAATTTATCTTTATTTTTCTTTATTCTTTTCTAAGCACAGTCGTTCAGTTTCCTCCATATTCAGTATATCATTCACTGCAAAGCAGGACATATTAATATGTTACACAAAGTCATATTAATTATTTAATACAGGCATACCTCAGAGATATTAGGGATTTGGTTCCAGACCACTACAATAATACAAATAACACAATAAAGTCGCATGGATTTTGGGTTTTCCAGTGCATATAAAAGTTATGTTTATACTATACCGAGTCTATTATGTGTTCAGTAGCATTATTTCTAAATAAACAATGTACATAATTACAATATTTTGCTAAAAGTTGCTAATGCTTAACTGACCATTCATACAGTTATAATCTTATTGTTGGTGTAGGGTCTTAGCTTGATGTTGATGGCTACTAACTGATCAAGGTGGTGATTGCTGAAAGTTGGGGTGGCTGTGGCAAATTCTTAAAATAAGACAACAAAGTGTGCCATGTTGATCTTCCTTTCATAAAAAGAATTCTTCCTTTCATAAAAGACTTCTCTATAGCATGTTATATTGTTTGATAACATTTTACCCACAATAGAACTTCTTTCAAAATTGGAGTTAATTGGCTGGGAGTGGTGGCTCACGCCTGTAATCCCAGCACTCTGGGAGGCTGAGGCAGGTGGATCACCTGAGCTCAGGAGTTCCGAGACCAGCCTGGCCAACATGGTGAAACCCCATCTCTACTAAAAATACAAAAATTAGCTGGACGTGGTGGTGGGCACCAGTAATGCCAGCTACTCAGAGGCTGAAGCAGACGAATCACTTGAACCCCGGAGGTGGAGGCTGCAGTGAGTTGAGATCCCACCATTGCACTCCAGCCTGGGCAACAAGAGCAAAACTCCATCTCAAAAAAAAAAAAAAAAAAAAAAATAGATTTAATCCTCTCAAACCTTGCCCCGATTTATAAACTAATATTCTAAATCCTTTGTTATTTCGACAATATTCACAGTATCTTCATCAGTAGATTCCATCTCAACAAACCATTTCCTTTGATCATAAGAAGCAACTTCTCATCAGCTCAAGTTTGATCATGAGACTAGAATAATTCAGTCACATCTTCTGTTTCCAGTTCTAATTCTAGTTCTCTTGCTATTTCCACCACATCTGCAGTTACTTTCTCCACTGAAGTCTTGAGCTCCTCAGCCATCCATGAGAGTTGGAATCAACCTCTTCTAAACTCCTGGTTGATATTGTTACTTTTATTTCATTTCATGAGTCACAAATGTTCTTAATCACATCCAGAAGAGATAATCCTTTTCAGGAGATTTTCAATTTTTATTGCCCAGATCCATCAGGGGAATAACTAGCTATGGAAGCTATAGTCTAACAAAACATATTTCTTAATTAATAAGACTTGAACATCAAAATTACTCCTTGATCCATGGGATGAAGAATGTGTATTTTGTTAGCAGGCATGAAAACATTAATTTCCTATAAGGGAATTAACATCTTCATCAGAGCCCTTGGGTGATTAGGTGCAGTAACATTTTGAATTTTTTTTTCTCCTGACCAGTATGTCTTAACAGTGTGCTTAAAATATTTGTAAACCATACTATAAACAGCTGTCCTGTCATTTAGGCTTTGTTGTTCCATTTACAGAGCACAGACAGAGTAGATTTAGCATAATTCTAAAAGGTCCTAGGATTTTTTGAATTGTCAGTGAGCACTGGCTTCAGTTTAAGTCACCAGCTGCATTAGCTCCTAACAGTCAGTCTGTCCTTTGCAGCTTTGAAGCTAGGCATTTACTTCTCCAATCTATGAAAGTCCTAGCTGTAGCTTCTTTTAGTGGAAGGCTGTTTTGTCTGCATTGAAAATCTGTTTAGTGTAGCTGCCTTCATCAATGATCTTAGCTAGATCTTCTGAATAACTTGCTGCAGCTTCTCCATCAGCACTTGCTGCTTAGCCTTGCACTTTGTTATGAACATGGCTTCCTTCCCTAACCTCATTAACCAACCTCTGCAAGCTTTTCTTCTGCAACTTCCTCACCTTTCTCAGCCTTCATTGTATTAAGGAAAATCAGGGCCTTGTTCTGGATTAGGCTTTCACTAAAGGGATGTTGTAGCTGGTTTGATCATCTGTTCAGGCCACCCAAATTTCTCTGTATCAGCAATAATGCTATTTCACTTTCTTATTATCTGTGTGCTCACTGGAGTAGCACTTTTAAATTTCGTTTAATAACTTTTTCTTTGCATTCAAACTTTTCTAACTGGCACAAGGGGCCTAGCTTTCAGCCTAACTGGGCTTTCGATATGCCTTCCTTACTAAGCATAATCATTTCTATCTTTTGATTTAAAGAGAAATATGTGACTCTTCCTTTCACTTGAACATATATAGGCCATTACAGTGTTGTTAATCAGCTCAATTTTAATATTTTTTTTGTCTCCAGGAATAGAGAGACCCAAGGAGAAAGAGAAAACACATACAACTAAGTTTGCCGTCTTATGCAGGCATGGTTCGTAGCTCCCCAAAACAATTACAGTTGTAACATCAAAGATGACTGATTGCAGATTACGGTAATAGATATGATAATAGTGAAAAAGTTTGAAATATTGTGAGAGTTACTAAAATGTAACAGAGAAACAAAGCATGCACACACTGTTAAAAAAAATGGTGCTGATAGACTTGCTCAACCTCTATGCAGGATTGCCACAAGCCTTTAATTTGTTTCAAAAAAAGAAAGAAAGAAAGAAAAACAATATCTGCAAAGCAAAATAAAGGAAAGCATAATTAAATGAGGTATGCCTATATTTGGTCTTTATGCTTTTCTAGTTTGTTATTGTACCCTATTTTTTTCCTGGATCATATTTTACAGCTTTACCTACCGATTCACATCTCAGTATACATATCTAAATATATAGTAATTTTTCTTTTGCTATACTTGCTAGAGCCCCTAGCCTCCAGTAGAATATCAACTGTATGGCCAATAATGGGGAAGGAGTTGGAAATTCATCCCCTTCCTTCCACTACAAGAATCTCAAGGTAATTCAAAAATTTTAAAAGATGGTTATGAAGATGGTCATCATTCCAAATGCTCCTTAGCAGCCAGACAATTGGAGGAAGGAAAAAAAAAGTCTCTTTCCTTTATATTTATTCAGTCCTAAGGAATACAAGTGTTGTTTGAGAAACATTTATTGAACTAATGATATCATATCATATAGTAAATTTCCTGTTAAGTAATTTTTGTCTTTTGTAATTTATGACTTATTTTATTAAACAAATACATAAGTGGGTGAGTGATTGTTGTGTCTCAAACACTAACCACAAGATCATAGATAGTTGAAGCTCTAAACATAATGTCCAAGCATTTGTCTAAATGAATTCTTTGCAAATTATAATTAATGAGCTTCTTAATTGGACATCCAGATTCCTCCATTTTCCCCTGTGCTTCAACCACATTAGCCTACTTTCAATTTCCAGAAATGCATCACGCTTCCTCCTTCCAGAGGGTTCTTCCACATGTGTTCCTTTCACAAGAAATGTTTTCTCCCCTTCCTCTTCTACTATTTAACACCTTGCTCTTCTTTCAGATCTCATCTCATGAATCATGTCCTTTGCATGGACGTGTTTTGTTACATTCTAGAGAATATGATGAATTTAAAGAAAGATGAACTTCTCCTTCATAACACTTATTACAAGTGCAATTGTGCTTTTTATGCCAATGTCTATCTTCCTCAAGTTTACTTATCTTGTTTTGACTCACTATTTGTCCTCAAATTCTAGCATCTATAGACCATCATGTACCATTTATAGATTTATTTATAACATCAGTTCTCAGATCTTCGCCACAACACCCAAGTTAGAGAAAAATGAACTTAGAGAAAGATGAACTTCTTAGAGAAAGATGAACTTAGAGAAAGAACTTCTCCTTCATAGCATTTATTACAAGTGCAATTGTCATTGTATCATAATTTCTGTGATTCCCCCATTAGGCCATTCCATAAAGAACCATTGATAAGTTTATTCATTGTTACATCCCTAGCACATAGCACATCCTTGCTCCTACTTGGTAAGGTTGACTTAAATAGTTGCTTTACCAGGATTCAGTCTCATCCATTTTCATACATAGAATTATGATTTTGTTTGGTGTGGCAATACACTTAAATACAATTCTTGAAATCCCAGACTCTTTAACAACTAAGTGATGAGTTGTGATGTGACACAGTTATGGCCAATGAAACTCAGGGTTCCTGGG
This sequence comes from Homo sapiens, assembly GCF_000001405.40. Lineage (NCBI taxonomy): Eukaryota > Metazoa > Chordata > Mammalia > Primates > Hominidae > Homo > Homo sapiens. The sequence goes on from NC_000006.12 coordinate 55,426,224, forward strand.
AAACCAATAATTTGAGATAGACAGCAAGATTGCTATTGTTCCTTCTTCTGGCCTTGAACGTAAATGTAAAGTTTGAGTGGCAGCTATCTTGGAGCCGTTAGGAAATTAGTACGAAGATGAAAGCTAACCTGTTCCCAAGCTAATGAGGATGATGAAGCAGAAAGATGGCGTTTATTATAGAGTGCTATAAACACTCACATTGACAGAATGGACCTCCCCACAAAACTGGCTCAGATGTTGAAACTGATAATGCCACACACATACCAAGAGGGTATGAAGAGGTAAATTACTCATGTATTAAACATTCTGGAAAGAATAGGGTAGAAAGCAAAGCAGATCCAAAAATAGCTTGAGTGAAGGAAGGAGCGAGTGTCTCTGGACTTTATTGGCTGGGGAATAAAGCCAAGGTGAGGATTCCTGCATAGTTTGAACTTTCCTGCTGGTGATCATGTAGTGGTTTGAGCTTCCTCACCAGTACTAATGGAGGGAGTACCTGGGCTTTCTTACCTTCTTGATCACATGTAGCACAGAAAGAGAAGGAGACCTGAAAGTTGTCGGTGGTTACCTGTGCTTGTTACACAGGGCATTAGGACAATAACTGAAGCCATGTACTCTGTATTCTTATTACTTGCAGGTAAACACAATCCTAACTGTACAGTAAGTGCTCAATAAATATTTTTTAAATGATGAAGAAATGAATGGGAATTTATAAAGTAGTCAATGGCTTAGACTTTCAGTGTCTCAATTTGTCGTGTGTGTGTGTGTGCGCACATTATGCTCTTTAACTTTGGTGTTGTGGCAAAGATATGAGAACTGATATTATAAACCTATGAATAGTACCTGATTGTCTACAGATGTTAGAATTTGAGGACAAATAGTCAAAACCAAGATAAATAATCTTGAGGAAGATAGAAATTGACATAAAAATAGACAAGTACATAGAAGTATATAATTTGCCAGAAAGAAATATAATTAAGCTTAACTAAATTCTTTTAGAAACTCCTTTATATTTTTCCACTTAAGTATCATTGATCCCCAATAATATAGATAATATAGGCTGGTCTAGATCTTGGGCTCCACAAGTCTTACCTGGAAGACCCTGTCAAGTACATCAGATATACTTTAGAGTTACCCAGTTGCATCTAGTCATTTGACCTGTGCATCTAAACCTGTCAACTTACAGAGTGCACACACAACTTGCACTGAATTACCTTCTCAGCACTGCAGTATAATATCCATCAAGACAGGCATTGTGTCTGCCTTATTTACCATTGAAATGTGAGAACGTAGCAAAATGTTTATTTTACACATATGCACAAGAAACATTTGTTAATGAACAAAATTATTCTGAATCTGATAGGCAAATAAGAACTCTGATTTGTATTTGTGTTATTTAAATTATTTTCAGAAGAACTTACAAGTTCATTCACAGTTTATTACCTTGTATGTGAGACTAGTCTAGCAAGAGTGGTTCAAACATCAGCTATATTTTGGCTACTTATGCTTTGCTAGGACTCCCCATCTTCAGGTATTTAAAATAGTAATTAAAATGGAAAATTTCAAGAGGTCCCTTAAGAGGAAGTACACTCCCAAATCAGGAAAATAAAGGCACAGCTTTTCAAAACAGAATAATTTAGGTTATTCAGAACAGGGCTTATATTTTACCATACACATCTTAATAGCAACTAAAATTATTACTAAAGCTTATAATAACATTCCCAATATCTCAAGACAGCAAAGTCATGTTAATTACTTTTGAAATGCTATAATGTGTTAGACATCATGAGAAATACTAGGGATATACAGGTATATATTATACAGTTTCTGCATTTTAGAAGCTCATAGTCAAGTGAGCAAGACTAACACATAGCAAATAATCACACAAAAGAGTGATCAAATTTGAACAAATTGCCTTGGGAAAGTGCTGGGTGAGTACAAGATACTTCAGGGAGAAGAAGAAATGAATATAAAGAAAGAAAGGAACTGAAAACTATTGATTTGTTTTGAGGGGGGTTGAACAGAGGTGATGAAAGGGAGGATAGAAGTAGATACCAGGAAATTATGCTAGGTAGTATATAGAATCTACATTAGGATTGGCCCTGTGTACCACAAAGAGCTTATAAACTGGGGGAAAATAAGTTATATCTGATTTAAACAAGATAAGTCTGACCACAACAATACTTCCTACAGAAATGTTTATTCTTTAAATAGTTGGGATATAAAGTGGAAACTTCACTTATCTGGGAATCACATATATTTAATAGTTCATCTTTATTTAGATAAAGAACATGGTATTATATATGGGTTATAAGAAATTTAAAAGTAAAATATGATTTTTAAACTAATACAGAAGTGAATGATACCTTTCCAAAATTATTGCCTTGCAACTCTAGACAACTATTCAAATATTCTGCCAGTAAAGCAAATGTGTTTATTTACTGCTCACTGAAATTGTCTCAGAAACATTTGACATATTCTTTTGAATTACCTGTGAAGTAGAAATTTGTTTTTTCTTTTTCAGCCTGGATTTGATTTTTAGAAATAACTGAATGTCATTTGGACAAAAATCTGGTGTGAATAAAGTAGACAAATAAATTGATAAATACATGTTAACTAAATTAACAGGAAAAATATGGTTAATACTGTCTTTGTTAACAATATTAGAACAATATAAAAAATGACTCTATAGTAGTGACATTTAGTTTCTTTTATGGAAGAGACTCAATGTAATTCCAATTCTGAAAGATAATGTCATTAACATGAATGCATAGCTTCCCAAAATGACAACTTTGAAGGACAACCATGACTGCAAACATTAAATACCCAATAAAAATGGTGTACTGTTATAGAAATGCAGAAGGTTCAGGGAAGAGCCTCTAATCAGTTAGTGGTAAAAGTAAATTTCCAGCCAGGTGACATGGCTCATGCATGTAATCACAGCACTTTGGGAGGCTGAGGCAGGAGGATCACTTGAGGTCAGGAGTTCAAGACCAGCCTGGTCAACATGGCAAAATCCCGTCTCTACTAAAAATACAAAAATTATTCAAGTGTGGTGGTGCATGCCTGTAATCCCAGCTACTCTGGTGGCTGAGGCATGAGAATCGCTTGAACCCAGGAGGCGGAGGTTGCAGTGAGCTGAGATCTTGCCGCTTCACTCCAGCCTGGGTGACAGAGTGAGACTCTGTATCAAAAAAAAAAAAAAAAAAGAAAAAAAAAAGTAAAAAAAGAAAATGTCCATGAGGTAGAAGAATACTAAGAGGCTTTTAATGTCTAGATGGTCATAAACCCCTTACAGAAACATACCTATCCCCACTTACGCTCTTAGCATTTGTTATCACATGTTTCTCACTTCTTCCTCATGCCCATAATTCTAGCCTGAACTACTTTGGTCTTCAAATTCTTTGCAGATGTTTACAGTTGAGAAAAACAAAGACATACTGTTCTTTGATTAAAGGAAGGTCCATAGATATGTTTTCCTTTATACTAATGTGATAGGTACTGAGCATACAAGCTGTTATAAGGAGACAGACATTGGCACTCTACAGCTTCCCTTCACCTCTGGAGTATACACACATTTACAGTACAAATTTTGTGAGCTGACTACCAGATAATTCGGTTTTATCTAAACGAAGCTACTACGAAAAGCAGTCAGTGATTCCTTGTAATTCTGTGGACCCCTCTGAATGCTGCTGGAATGTCTGCCCAACAATCCAATATACTGGTATTAGTGTACAGATAGTGAGAGGTCACTGTGAAAACCTTCTGACTGAAGCCACCTTTTCAGGATTCATATAATTCAGGATAATGATCTGGCTGGCTACCTATGATATTTTGCTCTGCTTTACTAATGACAGGAGGCTTAAATAACCATCTGGAGAAGGAAAGTTTAGATGGGATGATCATCAGAAGTTTTGATTTATTTCCTATTAATTCCTAGAGGAGCATAATCCCTTTTAAGTTTCATACTATGGCTCAAGTCAAAGGAAAGACAACCCTCATGGAAGAAAATAATACTTCAACTAAGCACACGGTTCTACTTTATAATGGAACCAGGAAGAATAAGAAGAAAGCAGAAGCTTTCTAGGTAGTCCACCAAATAAATACAACTCATATAAAAATAGATATCAAAATCTATCTGCTCACCTGTCCAACTGCCAAAAGACTGACACAATTTCCTAATGTTCATGAAATTTTTGACTTTAGATGATGTGATATTTCTTAGATAAGTGTACTCAGCAAAAGTCTCAAAACAAGTTCCTGTAGCAAACTACTGTCATATGAAATGCAGAAAAGAATTAGCTCAGCACACATACCTCAGGGGTATAGCATAATAAGGAAAGCATGGGACTCTGGTGCCAATTTAAGACTATGTGGTCCTGGAGTTTGATGACGAACGGCCTTTTTGGGGATTATTGCAGGCCCTTTAAGACAACACACACTTTACATGGAACAGGATATAGAAAGAGAGCCTCTCTAATTGTTAACTCTCAGTGGAGGGGAAGTTCCACTCCATGGCAGTGCCATAGGAAAGGATAATAAAAATTATGATTGTTAACATTTATTGATTACTTTCTAAGTACCAGGCGCTTTGCCAAACACTTATAAGCATTATTTCATGAAATCCTTCCAATAGCTGTATAAATAAAGGTTATTATCATCTGAGTTTTACAGGTGAAGGAAGTGAGGTTTGAAATTAGGTTTAAAGACCTTAGGTAAATTGAACGAGTTTGCATAGCCATTGAGTAATAGAGCCAAGACTCAAAACTCGATTGTGTGCTTCCAGAGCCTAAGATCAGTTGATGCCAAAGAAGAATCGATAGAACCCTGGTGGAATTTTTCTCAGACTCAAGCCTCCTGGAGAAAATCCTAATGATGAGTCTATTCATATGCCTCTTACAACTTACGAAGCTGGGAAACACAGTCAAGGGAAAGAATGTGGCAGAGGACATTGACATCTGTTTTTATACTTCATTCCTCTCTTGAAAGCACTGTTCACATTGGAAATGTAGGCTGGAAATGCATGCCTATTTGGATTACATGAGTGCTAGTTCAAAATGATGCTTTGTTGTGTGGATATAGGGCATACAATAAGCTAAATCGTATCCATTTTTCTCTTCTACCAATTACAAGTGTGGTAAAATCACTGCCTTAGAAGGTCAGTGATTCTCAAACTTTAGGGTTCCTCAGAATCCCCTGGAGGATCTGTAAAAACACAGATTACTGGGCCTTAACCCAGAGCTTCTGATTTAGTACATCTACGTTGGAGTTTGAGAATTTGCATCTCTAGTGAATCCTAATTTGAATTCTAATGAGTTGGTTATGTAGTTTGCTTATGTATTCCCTCTAAATCTCATGTTGAACTGTAACCCTCAGTGTCAGAGGTGAGCCCTGGTGAAAGGTGATTGGATCACGCGGGTGGATTTCTAATGGATGGTTTAACATCCTCTTGGTGCTGTCCTGGTGATAGTTGTTGTAAAGTGTGGTACCTCCTCCCTATTCTCTCTCTTGCTCCTGTTTTTGCCATGTAAAGTGCTGGCTCTTGCTTCACCTTCCACCATGAGTAAAAACCTCCTGAGGCCCTCCCAGAAGCAGATGTTGGTGCTATGCTTCCTGTACAGCCTGCAGAACCATGAGGTTCAACCTCTTTTCTTATAAATTACCTAGTCTTAGGTATAGCAAGGCAAGGATGAGCTAATACAGTTGGTGTCCTCTTACTGTCCTTTATCTCTGTAGTATACACAGATTCACAATCTGGATTTTATAACTGACTCTGAGATGATGCAGTTTTCTCTGGATGAAGCTCCTAAGAAAAGCAGGCCATTTTGCTGCTGCTGCTGCTCCTGGGATTACACTTTCAAAACCATTGCTCTAAATTGGAGATTTTCAACTAAACTTGCACACGAGAATTGCCTTATATACATTTTTTTTTAAAATGTTGATGCTTGAAGTACTACTCCAGACGAATTAAATCAAAATATCCGAGGGTGAAGTTCAGGCATCAATATTGCTAAACTCCTCTCCCGTCATCCACTGATTAATCTAATGTACAACATGAATTGAGATCACAGAGAATAAGTTTGCTTATGTGTCAGTGACAGAAAATTAAGAGTATGTCTCTGCTAAGACTTGACTCTGAAATATCTATAAGTTACTAAAAGAATTTAAGGAATACTGAAGTAATAAGGTCTTGATATCAAGTCATTATGAAATTTTTATCTCTTAGTAATATAGATAACAGCTGATATAACAGGCTCGCTTTTCTTCGATGACATGTACAGTGGACTTTTAAATAGGCAATGCAGTTCTTGTTTCTTTGATAGAGAAGAGACAGGTTACAGAAGTTTGAGAAAACTAAATTTTTCTGGCCATTTCTGGAATGGTGTATTATGTATGCATGTGTGCGTGCCCGTGTGCATGTGTGTAAGACACACAGGAAGCAATGGCATGCCCATAGCAAAGCTGATTAGATGCTATTATAGCTGTTGCCTCTTTACCTCAGGAAGGTTTTTGTTGTTATTGATATTGTCCATTTGTTGTTATCAATTCCAGCAGTTTCACTTTTACTTTATTCTGCTTAAAAAGATATGTATTTCCCTTACAATTTTGGTTTATCCAACATTTCTTAACAACCTCTTTGGTGTATACAGGCATTCATTCCTTAATTCAATCATTCAACATATAAACTGGAACAAATAAACCTTAAAAATCTATTAAGGGCTCAGGAAATATATATGTATATATTCAGAAAACAGAGTTCATGCAGAATAGTTTCCTTCCTTCAATTCCCAAATGTCTGAATTAAACCCGTTTCTATTCTTCACTCTAACATTTATTGGTATTTAGTGCTAGACCCTAGCACTATGTTCTGGGCACTGCGGAACTAAGAGTGAAGAAGATAGCAAACCCCTTGCTCTCAGGTGTATATATTCTGTTGGAAAAAGAAAGAATAAACAAACAAGAAGGTAAAAATTCTATAATTAATAATTAAATGAGTTGATGTGAGAGAATGTAACAGGACTTACTTTAAACTGAGTTGTCCAGGAAGATTCATTAAGGAGGTAAAATTTATGCTGAGACCTCAATGACAAGAGGGAGCCAAACATGCCCAGGGAAAGAGCCAGGGAAACAGACACAGAAAAAAACTAAGGTAAAGGACCTGAGATGGATCTGAGTGTGCCTTGTTCCAAAAACAGAGAAGACAGTGGGGTAGACTACAGTGCACAAAGTGAAAAATGGTACAAGAATTTTGAATATATATGAAGCTCGAGATGCCTGTTGGATACCCAAGAGGAGGTATCAAATAGGCAAGTGCCTCTCAAAGTTAATCTGCATATGAGTCACGTAAGGATCTTGTTTAAAATGCAAACTGTGATGCAATGGGTATGGAGTGAAGGCTCAGATTCTATTTCTCAAAAGGTCCCAGGGGATTATCCTGCTGGTCTTGGACCACATGTTGAGTTGCAAGAATGAAGGCAACTGTGCATTTGTGAGTCTGCAGTCAAACATAAGAAGGAAGAGGCCAAAAGATAAATAAGGTGGAGAAAATAAAACCAGAAAAGAAACTCTCTTAAACTATCAAAGGGATTTAGATGGTTTGTGTGGAGAAAGGATACCAAATACCTACAACAAGCTTTCTCATACTAAATGTGATTCAGTAGCATCAAGGTATTCATGGAAGTGACTCAGTACACTGATATGGATGCTATGTAACTGTGCTGTAGACTGTACTTGGAGTTTCTGACTACTTGCTCTGTCTTTCAAAGTCCATGGTTTTCATTTCAAAACAGCAATGCTTTCCCATCATCCCCTTAGTTGTTACTATGGGCAGTTTGTAACAAGAGATGCTTTTCCAAATATCTGAAATTAGGAACAGCATAGCATTGTAAGAGATAGGAAGTCAGTCTCCTCAGAATATGGGGTACGTATCCAGTTGTACACGCTAATTGCAGGTGTCCCATTACTGCCAGTGTGCAGGGTCATGTGCTTCGTGAAGAGAGATGCACAGGGAGATGTAACTGAAAAAGATTCATAACCAGCTTTGATTTTTGTCTGCTCCCTGCATTTCCCCCAACCCACAAACATTAAGCCCAAAACAGAGAATTGCTCTCAGTATTCCTGCTCCAGAACCATGCAACATAATCAGTACTTCTTACTTTCTTGAATTTATTTTTATTTCAATGGTTTTAATGAATATTTCCTAGAAAGTTCACAATACTCATTTTTATGTTTCAATTTATATTCAAATTTACTCAAAGATAATATCACCCGGTATTATTAGAGAAGTCTCTCTAAATACTAGAACTGACATTTCAGATCCATTTGTAATAATACTGCCCCCATAAAATATGCATAGGTTACAGAAGTTTATCTTGAATAGTCCTCCTGCTCCTCATCCCTGACTTTGATATATTACATCTTGCAATTTCTGGCAATCAATTCTAAGACAATAGACAAAATTTCAGCCACTTCAACTTCTAAAATAACCACTAAAAAATACACCAAAAAATAATGTGGGTAAGCAAAGCACCATGAATAAAAGGAAAATGGGTATTTCATTAACCTAAAATTATCTTAATATTCTTAGGATCACAATATTTCCTTGGGCAATTTGAAAGTGATCTGAAAATTATAAAGGTAGATTATGATACATGTATCAACCTATTCTTATCACTGCAATTTAGACATCAGGACAAAAAAAAATAGCTTACAATTTCTCAATAGTTGAGTAACACCATGCTGGTTTTTACTATAACTGATGACAGGTAAAGTGTGGTAAACTGGATGCATGTAACAAACATGGGAGGTCGTAATATGTTTCCAGGATATGGCATCTTGCCATTGGCCACAGCCTCTTGGAACCAGATAAAGTCACTGAAATAGTTAACAGATGTTAGCCATACTTGAAATATAAAAGTTCTATTGCTAAAATTATGTAGGGTCAGATGGAGATTTGGCTTTTGGTCCATAACATAACTGACTTGGCAAATGAGTAGTTGAGATCCAGAGGCATAATGTATAATATTGAGGCCACACACTCTGCATACTATGCAGGAGCTCATAAACTACTGACAATATGTACACAGTGTTAAGCCTGCTTGATTAAGTATTAACACAGTATTTGATACTTGGGGAAATACGAAGTCAATTTTCCCATCTACTAAATTAAAAAGTTATTTCTATGAGAGCAAAAGAAACTTTTTTCCAAGTTCAAAATTATGACAAGTTTTATTATTTATCCTCAGCTTGCAATTTACCTGATGACTGATATTGCATTTTGTTGACTTAATCTATCCAGTTATAATCTTTTTGAAAAGGATCTCTTTTTTCCCACTCTTGTCCATTACTTCACATATCAGAGCAAGTTGGCATTAATGATTTTCAGATGAGTATTGTAGCTGAAATTGATCTTCTCAACGGTACGTCATAAATCCATTCAAGTCAAGCATTGAAGGAGGCTTGTGCTACTTTAGAGTTTGTGGTTTTATTCACAGCTTTGCAAATAAAGTCACCAGCTTCCATCACTTTGTATAGATTCACACCCTGGTGACGAAATGAAGGAATATCAGGAAGGCAGAGGGATTAGAGAGAAAAAAGATAAAACATAGCCTTTTAAATTTTATTAGTAGTTACTTAACCATTTAAAATTACTAAACAAAGTGGTGTTGGTCATTATCAATTTTGGGGCAACATTTGTTTCCATGAATAATGTTGTTAACATTTTAGATTTGTCTGCTTTATTACAGCATATCTTTAATCTGACCCTTGTATAATAATATAGGTAGACACACTTGAAAAACATCATAATTCAGGCTGGTATCTAGAGTCTAGGAAGGACAATAATGGAACTAGAAAAGCAGTCAACAAAGCATCAGCGAAGGACAATCAAAATAATGTTTTGGAGCAGTTTATAGATAAGAACTGACTTAGAAAAAAAACTATCCTCTTTACTATATAAAGAAACAAACTTGAAAAAGCCATAAGGATTACAGAAAAGGTGTATGCATATATATACATATATATTTTTTAAACCAAGGCCAGAAATACTATTACTAGTATGATATTGAAGGAGGTAGTTGCAAGTGAAATAAAATGAAGTGGTATTTAGTACACATCTGGAACTTGTTCGCCTGAGAGGTTGTACTGTCTGAAAGTATAAATAGGATCAACAAAAGCTCAGGTAAATCCATGGATGACAGATATGCAGCTGGGTATAAAGGGCAAGTTCAGGACATGCTCTTGGCTTTAGTGTAAGGAAAGGGTCACTATCAAAGTTTCCACCCAGCACTTTTGTTGTCACCGGAGGAGGCAAAGCATTAAGTGGATTAAGCACAAACTTGCCCTTATGTGGCATTTCATAAGCTTCTATGTTCCCCCTCAATATGGACTAGAAACAATGTGGGCTTAAAATTGAAAATATTCAGTTTTCCTTGCTATTATAAAGTACTTTTTAATATCTATGAAAACTTGTCACTTTCATAAAATAGACAAGTATAAAAACTCATAGGGGCTTTTCATAACAATGAATATCATTTTAGAAATTGGAGACATTTCGATATAGCTAATTACTTATCTCTTTAAGAATTAAAAATATTTTGTAAAGTGATACTTGTAAATTATTTTCATGATGTCTTTTTATTACAAAGTTGTTTTCAGGATACTAACATTTGCTTTGGTTTGAGAAAGTTGGTTTTGTCGTGGTAACGGCTTTACGTGGAGTATCTGTTTAACATCCTTAATCCAATGATACTTAAATTCTGTAAACAATTAACTTCAGGTGCCTTTCACTTATAAATTACATCCAGCAAGGGTTGACAGAAAGATTTTTGTCATTAATGTCTTTCTTCTCTTTTCAGTAAGTCCATTTGTCACAATTATACAGTAGAATTTGTTGATATCGCACCAAAGAAGAATTTTGTTTTGGCTTTTCTCTACCATTTTATTTAACCAGTAGATATCATTATGAAACAACACTGCATGTATTCTTAAATCATTTGTCGGGTGCTTAAATATGTCTCGTATACTATGATAGATTCTGGAGTTTCAAGAACCTCACGTAGAATGTGGTTTCTGCCTTCAAGTTCAAGCAAGCAATGTGGACTCACAACAGAAAATTCTGTACCATAGTTAAAGCCACAAATAGAGATATGCCCAGGTTATTACGGAGGCAGAGATATGAGGCCATCAACCCACTGAGGAAAAAAAAATGCAGAAAGGAATGTGTCAGGGAAAAGTGCCAAGAAGGGTAAAGCCTGACCTGAGGTTTATACAAAATGTATAAAAGAGGATGGAGGATATATGGGGCACTGTATGCAGGCAGAGAGAAGAGCAGTCCAAGATATCTTAAATATCCATGGCGTATATGGATAAAGGCAAAATATACCATTAACCCTGGAAAAGGTAATAATAGGCCAGATTATGTGATAGAGCACAGGCTTCCTTTCAGGAAATTAGAATCCACTGATCCTTGCTCAAGCAGACGTAGAGCCTATTCATACTTATATGTTAGGTGTAACCCTTTGATGGTAGCATGGAAGATAGATTTTAAAGGCAAGTCTGGAGCCAGCGACCAGTATATAGGATGAACACCCAGGAAAGAGATGCAGACCTGCATCAATGTAGTCATAGCAGAGGTAGTAAGGGAAGGACAACCAAAATATTTTAAAGTCAGATTAGCAGCTCTTGGTAACTGATTGGACATGGAATCCATAGTGAGATTAAATTCTATAGAGAATCCTGGTTTGTTGCCTTGGGTGACTAGTTGAATTGTGGCAGCTACTCAATGTAGCAACCCTTGGATGTTGAAATTTTTAGGAATAAACTTGATTTATTTGCATTTGGACTCCAGAGTTATGGAACATAACTGGCATATATTAAGCATCAGCTATCAGCTATGGAGTTCGATTCAGTCATCTAAATTTCTAAGAAAGGAGCTATTTACCCTCATTTATGTCATTAGCTTCTGATATAAATGATTAAGATACGATGTAAATGAAATAACATTTATTTCTAACCAGAGAAAATAGGCAATAGCTTTTGGTGTTTATGGGCAACAGCTGTTGGTGTTTAGTGCCAAGTGAAATCAGTCTTTCAATAAATATTTATGGAGCATCTTTATGCCACAGGCACCAAGTATAAAGTATGAATAAGCTGTCATAATTGCTCTGTGGTTGCATGGGAAGATAGACACATAAACAAGATAATTATATAACCTTGTGGTAAGTTCAGAGGAAAACATGAAAACACTAAGGAATGGGACCTAACAGTTTGACCTGGGGGATAGGCAGGGAGATGCCAGACGGCTTATTTTTAGGATGGTGGTGTCTTACTTTCCAGGCCAAATGGAATACGAGGCATAAGGCCATTTCACATGGTAGTGAAAACCTGAGCAAGGAGTAGAAGTGAGGAATAAAATGGTACAGAACTGTAGACTAGAAGCAAGTTTAATGCAGCCGGAGCATTAATGTAAGTAGAATGAGGAAAAAGGAGGAATAGGAGCAGCAGAGAGTAAAAAAATTCATTTTACAATACAGATGATTATTTTACATCTCAGAAATTCTAAATGTCTAATCATCTGTGATTTTTATTTTTTTCCTAAATAAATCGGTTCTATAGACTAACAGGTTGTGTTAACAATCATAGGGCAAAACAAGGTGCTGAATTTGGTGGATGTGGTTACATAGCACGTGACTTTTCCGGTACAACTTGCAAAGAGACTATTCTTGCCATCCAGTGTCTCATATGCTAAGTGTTATGAAGCTCCCCTCTTTCACTGATCATTTAAAAAGTGCCCTGGGAGTTCTTCCAGAAGCTACAGTTGTCACTGAGACAATCAAGATCTCCATTTTCTCCAAGAAAAACATCCATACAAAAAACAAAACTGCAAAACTCAACAATCGTAACAGCAAAGACACAGGCTCCAACTCACAAAGTGTATAAAATCAAATCAGATAATACATGAAAAAGTTCTTTAGAGGTCATGAAGCACTATAAAAATGTGAAATGGTAGCATTATTGGTGATTGAGCTATAGCAATGAGTTACTTTATAAAGACCCCAAAAGAATTTTTATTGCATTTTCCCACTGTGCATTTTAGCAAATAGCAAAAGTGTAGTAAAACTTTGACCTCAAAATTGCTTCCCACATCTTAGAAGCTTTGCAATTTGGAGCTGCAAGGAATGCATGAATATTAAAATACGTTAAAGTAACTTACTGTATTGAGCCCCAGGCCATTAAGCATATATATCAAATCCTCAGTGGCTACATTCCCAGAAGCACCTTTTGCATAAGGGCAGCCACCTAATCCGGATACTGCGGAGTCCACCACATTAATTCCCATCTGGAAAACAAACCAAACCACCTAAAGCTTGTGTGTTTATGGCATGTAAATTGTTGCATTTCTATTTAACCTATGGTAAACTGCAAATAAGCAAAATCTGAACTGGTTATTCAAATATATTCACTTACCCAGTGGCCTCTAGAATGGTCCCCAGGGTGCTTATTTCTTTTATGTCTAATCTCGTCTTTGAGGCTAACAGAAATTCTGCTAAGGCTCTCTGGAGCTAGAATAATCTTTGATCAAAAGTAAAATGGTGTTGTTCGTTGGTAACAGCTCAACTGTAGGTGGTGAAGCTTAGAGTAAGGTTAATTTACTCCAGATTTTCACATATTATCCAATTCTCTAACTTTATTCTAAAAGCATTTTATAAGCAACATGAAATATTTTCAACATTCTACTTCAACATCAAAATGCCTTAGATGACTGGTATGTGAGGGCAGGGGAGAGAGAAGTCACTGGGTTTGAAATAGGGTTTTGTGGGCTCACTTTACCCATTCAACTCACCAAATCTTTATTGAGACATTCATTGTTTTGCACACAAAACTCCACTACTTTGGGAGAAGGAAGAAATATTTAAGAGACAAAACACTTGCCACCAGCAGTAACGCCAGCTTACATTATTGGTTCCTCACTAAGTGCTGGATGCTGTTATTAACAAATTATGTGTATTAATTCACAATTCTCCCCAAAATCCATGAAGTAGATACTCTTGTATCATCCCCAGTTCTCAGAAAGAAAACTCAGGTACAGAGGGAATAAACAATTTACCCAAGGTCACTATCTGGTAGGTGAAATCTTCTGTCTCCAGGGAATCTACACTCTGCTTTGATTTATAGCCTCTGGAAACATGAGATTTGGTACATGATTATGCACTTGGGGATATCAGAGGTGGAAGAGCTCTCTGTGTACCGGAGAAGTTATGGAAGACATGAGTACAACAGGGTCTGAGAAGGGCCCCGGAGTTCAAATGTTAATAATATGAGAAGAACAGAGGCAGGCATGCCATTCCTCTGTGAAAGGTAACAATTCGGTAATCAGAAGATACAGTAAAGCCTAATCCGATTCTTCACTCTTGGGCATTAAAGAAAAAGTAACATGATCACATTTAAAATGAGAAGCACCTGGAAGCAGAGCTCTTTCCAACCAACTATATCATGTTTCTCAATCACAGGTTACTGCTACATTCCCTGAGTTTTTGACTCAGAAGGTCTGGGCTGCGACTTGAGAATTTTAAATTTTGACAAGATTCTGACAGCTGCTGCTCATGTGGGAATCTCTTTCTCCCTTCCTTCCTGCCTTCCTTCCCTTCTTTACTTTTTTGATAAACTTTTAATTTTAAAATAGTTTTTGATTTTCACAAAATTTGTGAAGATAAAACAGAATTCCTATATATTGCACACTCAGTTTTCTCTATGGTTAACATCTGTTACAGAAAACATTATTCAATGATACTTATTAAAGCACAGCAAGGATGAATTTATTTAGGAACATTGCAGTAGGTACAGGGACCACATGCAATGCAGGAGAGAGAGACTGTGCTGAAATCCAAATACAGCATGGGCAAGTGAGAATTTATAGCCAAGGAGTGGGGTGGGGGTCAGTGGATTAAAAATTACTAGGAGAAAACATCAGGAGTGAAAGGAATTCTGGCTAAACTGACCTACCAGGATTTTTGCAGAAGACAGGATAGGGTGATCAGACATGACCTTCGGGTTGGTAGAGGAGGAGAGACCTAATCAGATCGGGCATTTGGATATTGACTATAGGGGTTCTTGTTAAGCTAATTTAGTAGGAATTGCTAAAACTGGATTTTACAAGGAAATGAAGAGGTGGGCTTAGGAGAAGTTTTAGAAATCTGACTGAAGTTTGGCTTCTTTGTCAGATCTTATTATGGTATATTTGTCATAACTAAAGAACACATGTTGGCAAGTTTTTATTAAAATCCATGCAATATTTAGATTTCTTTAGACTTTTAAAATGACATTTCTAAAGACATTTTTAAACTGGTGTCTTTTATCTGTTCTGGGAGCTCACCAGTATACCACATTAGTAGTCAGGTATCCTTAGCCTCCTATGGGCTGTGACAGTTTCTCCGAACTATTTTGAGTAGTATAAGTCATGTTTTTGTTTTGTTTTATTTTGTTTTTTTGAGATGGAGTCTTGCTCGGTTAGCCAGGCTGGAGTGCAGTGGTGTTATCTCGGCCCACTGCAACCTCTGCTTCCTGGGTTCAAGCGATTCTCTTGCCTCAGCCTCCTGAGTAGCTGGGATTATAGGTGCGCACAATCACACCTGGCTAATTTTTGTGTTTTTAGTAGAGACAGGGTTTCACTATGTTGGCCAGGCTGGCCTCAAACTCCTAACCTCAAGTGATCCCCCCTCCTCAGCCTCCCAAAGTGCTCGTCATGTATTTTGTACATTGTCCTTCAACTTGGGTTTGTCTAAGTTTTTCTCCTGTTAAGACTGGAGTTATAGAGTTTTGGGAGAAGACCACAGAGGTAAAGTGTCATCCTGAAAGCATTATATCAAGGATATATAATATCAATATAAATTATGACGGCTGGTATTAACTTTTCTTGTCTGGCTGAGGTGGTGTCTGCCAGGTATCTGCACTATAAAGTCTCCCCACAGTCTTTCTGTATTGTACGTTTTGGAAAAATGTCACTATGCGTAGCTCACACTTAAAGAATGGGGAGTATCTACACAAAAATTTTGAATTCTTCTGTATGGAAAATTTGTCCATTCTCATTTATTTACTTATTCTAACATGTATTTATATTAGGGAGGACTCATAGCTAATTATAGGTAATTATTTTGCACTTTGGGTTATAACGTAATACCAATTTATGTCTTTTGTTGCTCAAACTGTTCAACATTTGGCCATTGGGAGCTCTCTCACTTGGCTCCTGTGTCCTTTAGGCATGCCAAAGGGACTGTGGGTTTTCAACCACTTGCCTAGAGTTTCCTTTGCAAGACTGAAAAGGATACTTACAAAATCTCACAAAGGAAGAACTACAGTCCTTAAAAAGCCTTAGAATTCTTTGGGACCTAAGGAAAGTTTACAAAGGATAGACTGTTTCTCTACCTCCATTTCTTCTTCTTATACTCTCCAACATGAGAAGGTCTCTATTGCTTTCTTTCCATTACCACAACATTTCTCACATAATGATCTGACAAGCTTAGTCATATTCAGCAGTAAAATACTGGTACCTTTAGGACAATTTTCATTTACTATGAATCAAAGCAGTAAGAATGGGGAATTATACTTTAGAAGTGAAATTTGTGGCATTGTTCAGTACTTGGAAAAGACAAATATTAAGATGTTGACCCGTCTCTGGGAGTCTGCCATGATATAAACAGGCAGGGGCATTTCTTTACTTATAGGTTAAAACTGATCTATTCAGTGGATCTGAATGTATCAGTTTAGGAGTCAGAAATTTCCATTATTCTCAATCCTGTCAACCCATTGGAATCACCTGGAGCCCTTTTCAAATGACTAATGTCTAAGCTTCTCCCTAAATTAATCAAACCAGAATCATCTCTGTCCTAGAATCTCCTCTTATCCAGTGATTCTCAAATCCCTAAAGTAGAGTTTCTTATCTATCTCACCCTTTATCAATCCGGGGTATGGGTCAGCTTTAACTTTAGAGAAACTTTGTACCCTGGGGCAGCAAACAGTTAACCAGGACTGGTCAGCATTTCAAGAAAAGCAGGTTTTGAAAAAATACCCAAAAAAGTATAAAGTAGCAAAAGTCAGAGGAATCAGCCGGATAGATGAGAAATGGCTTCAGCCCGAAATGTGGATGATTCACTTCTGGGATCTGGAATCCACGTATCATGTTCCTTTTCTCGCTACTGAGGATCAAGACCCTGCAACTACAGGAGTCCCAGAAGGGAAACTTGTTACCTTGTCAAAACAACAGTTTTTAGTCTTAATTGGCCTTTTGGGAAAGAGTGAGGAAACAACAGTCATTCTTCTATTTTGTAACTAAAGGCCAATGTAACCTATTGCTTGGGCAAGAGTGAAAGATTTATTTACAATAGAGAAACCAGTATTACCACAGAGGAACAATAAATGACCAATGTCACACTAGAGCAAATATAAATAACCAGTGAAGCCAAAAAAAAAAAAGTTCAACCTCACATTAAATCAAAGATTGTGCGTGAAAACTGTAACACTGTATTTTATACTTTCAGACTGACAACAATTAAAAAAGAATACTGGCATTGAAATAGTATAATATAGAGCTCAAATATATAAAACACTCTACAACTTCAACAACATGGACTAATTTCACAAACACAAGGTTGCTTGAAAAAAGTCAGGCTCAAAAGAAGACATACGTCATTTCATTTAGATAAAGTCCTAAAATAGACCACACTAATCAAAGCAGTGAGAGGTTAATAATTATCTTTGAAGTGTGAATATAAATAGACACAAGGAGAGCTTCGAGGGTGCTGGTAATAAATTTCTTGAACTGAGTTGATTACATTGATAGTATCAGTTTGTGAAAATTCATTGAGCTTATAATTTGTACACATTTCCATATATACATTATAGTTCAATAAATATCAATGACAAAGGGAGTGTTATTGGAACTGAAGGTAAACAGTCAAACCTAAATGAGTAGGAATATACAGTTAATTGGAATTCTTTGGGTGAGCAATTATTTAGTAATAAGTCTTCACTCGTCAATATTCTTTGTCCCAACAGTTCCTTATCAAAGAGTCCTTTCTAGAAATATTTAACAAATCCTAGAAAATAACTAGATAAAAATAAATACATATGGGTGACGTATATTGTATCTTGGTTTTGTATAGGATATATAACACACACACATATATCTATATAAAGACTCATCACAGTATGTTTTTTAAGAATGAAAATTTGAGAACCATCCAAATGTCTCACAATGGAGAATAGCTTTATGGTGTAGCTAGAAAACAAAATGATGATGCTATTTAACTGCATGATTAAGGGAAAAACAGGTTAGAAGATGTTATAACAGTACATAGAGTCATGACACAATTTTCTAAAAGCAAAAAGGATTTGGGAGATATATAAAGTGCTAATGGTAATGATCATGGGTGCTATGATTACAGATAAATTATTTTACTTTAATTCTGTTTTCCAATGCCTCCACAATGAATGTTAATTACCTACCTAAGTAGAAAAAGTAAAATATAAAAGTTTTTGGAAATTTTAACCTGTAGTAAAATGACTGTAAATAAGTGAAAATGAATGTAAATAAATCCAAGACTGAATTTATTCATATTTTGCAATAATGGATCTTTCTAGGATCTAAGACTACAGGACTAATCTGCAAACATACTCTGGCGAAGGCAGACATAATCTGAGTAAAAGAGGACTTGTAAAATGGTCTTTCTGATTTTCTAGTACCAGATTAGCTCTAGACACAGATTCTCTTTCAGTAAGCTCTATTCACAAATTAATTGACTCAGTTCTAAATGCAATATGTGGATTTAAAGTTTAAGCAATTTTAAAGAGTTTATTCAAGGATATATGACCTATAAAGGAGAATATTAAGGCATCAATTCCCTTTAAAGTCTCTCTTTTTAAAAAAATCACAGTACTTTAAAAATATTTTAATACAATTTCCCCTAAATTCTCTACTTTATTAAGTGTGTAATTTTCTTCTCAGAAATAAAAATTTTCTCAATGATACTGTTATCCTTATACTAAATTATATGCTCGTTTTTCTAAACGAGCTGCTTTGGAAATTTCTAGTCATAATCTTCTAAGAAAATTTTATTTCACTATGTATGTTTTCTTCACATCTACTACCTTATTTCATCAGAAATAATTTTAATATGATGTAAACAAGCTCTGAAAAAAACTAGGAAGAAAAACATTATTTCTTTTTATTATTAGTTCTTTATTATAAAGAGTGGAAAGACATTTTTACTTAACCATTGAAATCATATCATTGTGTGTTTGAAAATAATAGACAGGCCACTTAGCTAATTTTCCTATATGAGAGACTTTCGGCATTAAAGGATTACTCTTGGAAAGATGTTCCATTTCTCTCCTTTTCAAGCACAGTCACTACTTTCAGACTCAGGTTTCTGGTGTGCATGCATGTGTGTGTGTGTGACTGTATGTCTGTGTGTGTGTGTAAGCACACAGCACAAACTTATGTTTGCACCATATATCACAAAAGCAAAACAGTTATTCTTTGTTTTGTCTATTTTTGATTTTTGTTTTTGAAGAAAAGTCCATTTTTAGATGAGTAACCACAAGGTGGCAATATAGCACCAAAATCCACCAGGTTAAAGTCAAACATTTACAACCCCACTCACTGTGTTGCAGTCCCTCAAAACTGTAAATAGTAAATAGTTTTATATTTATCAAACAAACGGGTTTTCTGCATTTAAAATAAGGACACTCTTACTAAAGGTGTAGAACACATGAAAATGTGGTTCAATATATTCAGCATATTTGTATTTTTCCTTTGACTTAAAAGTGTTTATTAAGCACACTCTTTGTGCCAGGGACTTGGAATAAATAAAAGTCCTGTAGCTCACAGAATTTAGCATTATAAACTAAAGTGACTATATATTTTGGCTGTTATTGAGAAGTAGCTTATGACTATCTAATGAGAAGCAACTGTTATTAGTGCTCAGGGAACCAATGTTTTCTAAATTATATACATATTTATATATTCATATATAACATATATAACATGTATATTTATAACATATTTATTTAAATATTTATAACATACATAATATATAAATATATTTTTATATAACATATATAAATACATTTATATAATTATAACTCTAAGGACTGAGATGTCCTTGGCTTCTCATTTTCTCTAAGTTCACAATTAAAGCTATTAACTCAATGGCCCAGGATACCATAAACCTGGTGAATTCAGTTATGTGTGCTCCGTCTACTTGAGCTCTCTGCATATGTGCTTGGACCTAAGGCCAGAGAGAAATGAATAAAATGTTAGTGGCAACTTTTTCTGGAGGAGAGCAAATTGCCTGTAGATATGTCATAAACATATCATGTCTGTATTCTAATCTTAGGTGAGCTCTGGGGAGTATTGATTCTGTATGATGTTCTAATGGTCTGATGTTGCTGATATGCTAACTAAAAGTACCATCACAACTTTTTCTTGTTGCTGTATGGTCTTATAACCCAAATAAAATGAATACATACAACAATAAAGGGAGTAAAAAATCATCTTGCAAAATTTCTAATCTATATATTCATGTTTTCAAAATATTTTATGAAACCTAAAATTTTAGTTATTGAGGTTACTAAAGTCCCAAAAAACAATTAGATCTGGATTATTATTTTTGAAGTCATCTACATTTTTTATCCCCTAAGATCAGTATTTTATTTAATAATCTATAGTAATGTTAGATTTAATTTAAAATAAAATTTCTGAAAGTGAAAATTATTCATTTTAACATGAATATTCATATAGAATAAAATATCAAAATATGCTTATTTTCCAATATTTTTATTCTCAACTTGTTTCTCATAGCTACTATTCACTCTACCAAAGGACTGAAATTACCCATACATGAAGTATTACTCGTAGTTCAGTGGCCACGCTTATTTCCAATAAGCCCAGATGTTTGCTTCTCAACCAAGACTCTAAATAGATACTATATGAGCTACTGTACCACCTGAGAGAGAACCCTACTTGCCATTGATGTGTATTGTGAACATAATATACGTGATAGGTAAGCCATAGATAATGAACAGTTAGCCTACATGAATAATGTCAATGTTTTAGTAAACAGGAGTATATATAAAAATTGGTAAGTAAATAATAGGATTATATATAGATGCAAAGAGAGAGAGCTATGTTGAGGAATGACTAAGCTAATGTGATTATTAATCAAAATAATTAGACTTCTCATCTTTAAAACTAGTATTCCTAAATGCTTCACTCCTCCTTGCCTTCAAAAGGAGATAGATTATATTTCTACCTTCACTGGACATATTCAAATTGAGATAGAAATGGGAGTGTGTACACTGAAGGAAGTAAGGAAAAAAAAAGCAAGAAAATTTTCAATTTCTTTAAGACTAAAAATAATAAATACTATTAGCAAACATTTGCTGAATTGCTTACTTTTTCACAAGGATTGTACCATGTGCTTCACATATGATAAAGCTCCACAAAGTCAACCTGAAGTGGTTAGTAACACATGCCCATTTTACTCATGAGTAAACTGAGGTTCATGAAGGGCAAGTGATATGTCCTGCTTCATATGGTTAGTATGAGGCAAGGTAAGAATGCAAATCCAGGTTTAACAACTGTGTGCTACTGCACAATATTAATAGTTAACAAAATACTGACGATATGCCGGACATATTACTAAACACTTTACATGCATTGATTCATTGAATCCATATAACAACTCCAGGAGGCAGGGTGTGAATTAGAAGAAGAACATCGACAAATCAAAAGGCTTCCTTTTCTTATGAGACTTTCTGAAAAGTTTCCACACAAGTTAGCAACATTAGCAAACAACTTCAGAAAGTAAATATTTGTTGTCCTAGTGATTGTATTTCTAGGAAGCTAGCCCAAGAAGACAGCCAGAAATATTCAGATAGATTGATGTTCAAGGATGAATATTTTTTGTAATGTTACTCAATATTAACAGTGAAAATAAGTTCATAGGTTAAATGTTGAAAAATAGAGACAGAGTTGATAAATTACATAAGATTGGCTATCATGAAATAGTAAAATATTTCTGTATAATACAATATTATATATACAAAAATATAAATATATAAATATATAAACAGTACTATATATACAAAAATACATAATATGAAAAAATGAATAGGAGAAAATGGAAGATAAAAGAAAAGGATACTAACTATAGTTCCATTTATTTGTGCTTCTAGATTTTTTTCCAATCCTCTATAATAAATATATACCACTCATATATTTAGGACAAATGAACTTTATTAATAAAGGTCTATCTACTTTTTTTCATAGTCATTTCCTTCTTTTGCCAGTATCATACCCCCAGAAGTATTCTGGTCTATCTCAGGCTCACATGGCTTGAATTCCATTCAAATTCTGTAGATGATTCTTCTCAGAATCATCTGCTTTTGCCTGTTGTTGATTGGATAATGCTCCTATCACTTTACTTCTACAGCCATCCACATTCTCTAACATCTTGGCATAAAATAATTAGACCAGTGCTCCTGAAACTGTAATGAACATATGGTTTCACTTAATAGGTCTGAGGTGGTACCTGGGATGCTGCATTATTTACAATCCTGAATTATGCCAATACTACTGGCCCCCAGAACACACTTGAGTGGCAAGAGACAACAGATCTTCCTGGAAACATCTCAGATGTTAACATATCCAGCTTCAGTCACAGTGGCTCCCTCATGCCTTGTTCAGTATTTCTCAGAATGATATCATCTAAGTTTTGGAATCACCTGATGTCCTATTTAAAAATGCAAAAAGGTAGCACCTAAAAAGGAAACTGAATTTTTCTTGTAAAGTATATTTATTGTTTCAAACTCCAAGATGGTTTTTATGGATAAAAACATTGTGAAAATTTCTAACCTTGTGGCTGAACTGTTTATCTGTGGCAGATAGAGCTAGTTTATTACCAAAAATCTGTTTCTTCTTCCAGGACCCTCAGCTAGCTGATATTACCAAGCTGCCCTGTACTTAGGTATGGATATGTGACTACAGTCTAGCCAATGGCATGCAAGCAAAGTGAAACAGGCCATTTCTAAAACCAGTCTTCTTAGAGACTACAAGCATTCTTCTTCTTTAATAGCCAAACGCAGATGACATTGAGGCCTTAGGGAGTGGTGAGCCACAAGGTGGAAGCAGCCTGAGTTCCTCAATGACCACTTGGAGGAGACAACACACTCATTTACCAGGAACATGTGTGGTGGGCTGTTAAATCAGTGAGAAACAAACATCTATGTGTTGGAGTCATTATTCATTTCGAAGTGTGTTTTTATATCAGCATAGCCAATTGGAACGGATATACCAATTGATAAAAGGTTAGATTAAAATCTGCCACTTTGCTGGCTGCTTTCTATTTGTTCCACACTTTTAATTTTTTTCCTCTTTTCTGCCTTCTCTTCTGCTAATTGAACGTTTTACGATTTTATTGGATCTCTTCTGTTGACTTAGTATTTAGATTTCTTTAAATTGTTTAGTAGTTGTCATCTCATTTACAATACACATCTTTAATTAACCATAATCTATCTTCAAATAACCAGTCACACACAGGGAAGGAGCTGCTAACAGTATATTCTCAATTCCTTCCATGCAGCCTTTGTGCTCGTGTTTCCCTGTTACTTTTACATAAATAAACTGATAATATATTGCTACTATTTTTTTTTTACTTTAGTTAGTCAGTTATCTCTTAGAGCAATTAAAAATAAGGAAAAAATGATCTCATCTTGACTTATTCCATTTCTGAGTTCCCTGAAGGAACTTGGCTAGAATAAAAATGGCAGAGGTTCAAATCCTGGGTTTTGGTGAACACTCACTTTTTGGAGGTGGGAGAAAGAAGATGAGTTAATGAAAGAGACAAGGAGTTCAGGAGGAAGTTCAATGTCACAAGCCAGGGTAGAAAACGTTTCTCCAAATACATACCACAGTGATGAGTGCAACAGATGGTTAAGGAAAATGACAGCTGAGAAAATCCACTGGATTTATGCCATTGACAAATTTTGAAGTTGATCATTTCAGCAGAATGGGAGGACAGGATAGAGCTGGCAGAAGATTTCAAAACAAACGAAGAGCATACAGCCTACTGCTTAAGAAGTCAGTTTCAGAAGACAGACTTCCATTTGAACCTGTTGTGCCATTTTAACTGTGTGATTTTGATAATGTTTGTTCAACCTCTGTTCCCTCAACTGTAAAATGAGTATAATAGTACCAATTAACAGGCTTGTTGAGGATTCTATGAGATCTTTCATGGAATGTGCTTATCACATAGGTTGGCACATAGCAAAATGCTGGATTTTAAAAGTATATAACAAAGATGTGGAGGCAGACAGAGGACATGTGATAAAAGGAAGAAGAGAGTTGAGGAAGAAGTTGAGGGGGGTATGTGAACAGAGAGATATCTAGGTTATGTGAGAAATATAAGTAGAAAACCATAAAAGACAGAGCTAATTAAATGGAAGTAAGGGATGATGCCATGAATAGAGGAGAAAATTAACAAAGAAAAAATCTTATAGATTAGGATAAGTTTTGGGACCAGGGCAGAAACAAGGAGGTGAGCCAGGAAATAAATAGAAAAAACTGTCCTTTGAGTTAGGGTGTAAGGAGAGACAATACATATATCCCTTAACAGAGATATGTTAAAGGAACAAGGGCCCTGAAGCTTTTGTAGAAAACAAATAACCAATCTCAAAAACACAGTAATTGAGTTCATTGGCTGAGAGTCATACAAAGAGTTCATCTCATTTCTAGCTCCCTAACACTTGCTTCTTTTGGACTCAGCCAGGCCCTGCTCTCACAATAGTCTTCAGTGTGTGCACAAAGAGAAGGGGATGGAGCTAATGGTTATGGGGAAGAGAAGTAGGAAGAGAATGAGAGAGACCACAAACAATATTGTTCTGACAATATCTATTCAGGTGGAGGTCCCCATGTATTTTTCATACTAATCTGCAAATCACAGACTTTTACAACTAGATAATTTAGCCAAAATCCCTTATATGTTTAATGATTGATTGATTTAAAATGAATTAGGCCCCATAGTTCTTAACAAAGAACTTTTGGAGGTTATCAAAAGTTACATAGGGCTGGGCGCGGTGGCTCACACCTGTAATCCCAGCACTTTGGGAGACTGAGGCGGGTGGATCACCTGAGGTCAGGAGTTCAAGACCAGCCTGGCCAACATGGCAAAACCCCGTCTCCACTAAAAATACAAAAATTAGCCGGGCACGGTGGTGTATGCTGAGATCGCGCCATTGCACTCCTGCCTGGGCAACAGAGTGAGATTCCATCTCCAAAAAAACAAAAACAAAAACAAAAACAAAAACAAAAAAAGTCACTTAGGTGGTCAGTTATAGGCAGTTATAGTGATGTATATAGAACTTAGAACTTAGGCCTTTCTGTTCCTGGAATTTCACTAGGAGGTAGGAGGTAAATAACTTCCAGTTCCAAGGTAGATGTTAGTGGGAGACATACCTAATGTTGTGAAAATACAACTAAATGTTAATAAGTTTTTTTAAGTGTATTAAAAGACAAAAGAATTGAAAACAGTGGTTCTGACAAAGAATGAGCAATGTTATAAATATTAATAAGCTAGTGATGGCTTGTGAGAATGTACAGACCAGATTTTTGAAAATAGCAAAAGCAGCAGGCAGTATATATTAGCTTCATGATGTCTGGAATTTCACTTTATCTCATTCCATTATACCTTCAGCATATGGCATAATACCTAGAACATAATAAGTTATTATTCAAATATTCTTGAAGGCATAATTGAACAAATAATGAGTATGGCACAATACTGTATGTAATATCAAGATCAAGGTGCATATAGGCCTATATATTATAAAAACTGAAGACACAGCACTGCATGTTTGAGGACACAAAAATAAAGGAACATTTGAGTGGATCACTACCTATCTTGTTTTCTCCTTAAACCTTCTCCTCTTGGAAGTGCCTCTCATAAAGAAGGGTTTCTGGAAACTGCTCAATGACTCTTTTATTAATCTTGGCTGCAGCTGATTGGACTTAAATTTGGTCAATCACAGTCTTCTCACCCAGACTTAGAACAGACAAAGACAGAATCCGTCTTTATAAGAGGTGAGATGTACAGCAAATGAACTGTGGACCAGTAACTTTTTCCATGAATAACGGAGAGCAGAGAAATTCAATCTCTAGTAAAATGAGAAGTGAAGCATAGGTGAATCAGAGAAACATGGCCTGAATTTCTGACAGATTTTCAGTCCTTCCTGAGGTCCAGCTTCATTCCCTTACCAGCTTTGTTTTTGGAAGTGGGTACTATTATTATCATCCTCATTTTTTAATTGAGGAAACTGAGGCATAGAATGTTTAATATGATCATATATAATGTTACATGTTTGGCAAAAGGTAAAGCTGAGATTCAGAATCAGGTAAAAAAAGACTTCTTTCTAAATCTCTGTTCTTGACTTGTGTGCATAATTTCTCCAAGAAGTTTCCTGAGACACCCCTGTGTCTTCATAATAAATTTTCCTTTTTTGTTTACGGTAGCCTGAGTTGGCTACTGTTGCTGGGAAACAAAGACTAGTAACTAGCATCATTAAGTTAATGACTTGGCAGAGAAGATATTCATTAATACAAAGAACTTTAATACAAAGTAGAATGTCATAGCTATTATGAGAATTATAAACAAAGCTATTCAGAAACACCAGTGAGATGGTTTGTATATTTTGTGGTGGAGCAAGGAAGGGGTGGAGGAGAGGAGGGATAGTGAAAATGTTGTTATAGTTTGCCTCTGAATTGGGCTTTGAAGGATATTGACAAGGGTGGGGAGAGGATGTGGGAAGAGGTATTCTACAGAGAAGAAGCAATGTGGAAAATCATACATACGATGAACATGCCAAGCATGTACTAAGAAGTTTGTTGTTGTTGTTGTTGTTTGTTGTTGGTTTTGTTTTGTTTTTGAGACGGAATCTCGCTCTGTCGCCCAGGCTGGAGCGCAGTGGTGCAATCTCGGCTCACTGCAAGCTCCACCTCCCAGGTTCACGCCATTCTCCTGCCTCAGCCTTACCAGCAGCTGGGACTACAGGCGCCCGCCACCACGTCTGGCTAATTTTTTTGTATTTTTAGTAGAGACGGGGTTTCACCGCGTTAGCCAGGATGGTCTCGATCTCCTGACCTCGGCCTCCCAAAGTGCTGGGATTACAGGCGTGAGCCACCGCGCCTGGCCAGAAGATTTTAATGAGATGTTTATTGTAGGGGCTTTTGGGATATGGATGGAGCATAGCTCCTGATCATGGGAAGCCCTGTGCCTTGCTATAGGATATGAGCTTTATTCTCTATGAAATGAAGGTCTATCTAAGGTTTATGAATAATCATGCCATCATCAGCACTTTTATTTTCTAATTTTGCTAGCAAGGGAGCAATAATTGAGATGGATAGAGGCTGAGAAATATGTAAGTAGAAACATTTGTTAGAAAATTAGTGCAATACATCCAATCATTAGTGATGACTATTTAAAATGAAGCATAAGGAAAAAGATTGTTGTTAAGGAATAAATTTGAGATAAATTTACTAGGTAAAATACTGTCTAAATGAATGAGGAATGACTGAAGAAAGAAATACCATTAACAAAGCACTGAGATCTCTCGCTTAACAACAACTTAATAGAGGGTGGTCCATTAACTGGAGTGGGATATAGAATCATCTTTAGTGAAAGGTGAAAGTTGCTTTCTTGAAAATCATTATAGACATAGAAAACTGGCTATTTACCACGTTTCCTGAAGCATTCCTAATTATTCAAAACTAATTTAAATTCACATTTATCTTTCATTAAATAACTTTTTTTCCACTTCCCCATTTGCAGTTGGAGTGATTTCATGTCTTTGGTAATGTTTATATTTATAGTTTAACATTCTTGTAACTCAAATAATTGGACTCCATTGGTCAGTAAAATAATTTAAAAGATAGGACACAGTGATTCCTAGGTCTCTAGAAAGAGCACGAGGCTTCCCATATGCTGAGTACCAGGGGTGGGGGCAGGGATAATGAGTGATAGGAATTTTATATGGGTTTTGGGGAGCCCTATAACAAAGGAGACTGGTCTTGCTTTCAAAGGTGTATACTGGAGGGCATACAAGACTCAGAAGCTCAGCATCCAGCTGACAGAGGTAACAGGGCAGCAAAGGCTAAGTGAGATACCTAGCCAGTGGCTCAGGTAACTTCAAAGAATACAGAACACTCAAACCTGGCATAGAAAGCTTACAACAATTTCCCATTTTCCCTAGCAGAGCTGAAAAATCACTGGTGGGCAAGAGGGAACTAAAATCATGACCAGGATGTGGTACAGAGTATGGGCTAGAGTTGGATGGATCATGGTTTGGGTACCATCACAAGGACAGAGCTGAATGGGCCGAATAGTCATATCTCCAGGGAAACAAGGGAGGACTAAGAATGTTTGCAGACCAGGTAACTCCCCACTAATGCCAGGATGATACTTAAGCC
This sequence comes from Homo sapiens, assembly GCF_000001405.40. Classification (NCBI taxonomy): domain Eukaryota; kingdom Metazoa; phylum Chordata; class Mammalia; order Primates; family Hominidae; genus Homo; species Homo sapiens. The sequence goes on from NC_000006.12 coordinate 55,454,737, forward strand.
CTCTTCAAACTTAGCTCACTCATAGGAGGAAGGAGAAAGAGAATAGGAGGAACTTGAAATCTGTTTTAAAGGAGAAGTGGCTAAGCGGATTTACACATGTATTCCACCATTTATTAGGAGACATCTATTTGGGGGGTAAACTTCAGAATTCATTAAACTGGACACTGCTGTGTTTTTACATAGATATAAAATATTATGTATGCTATTAAGTACAAAAAATATTACAGGCCAGGCACAGTGGCTCAGGTCTGTGTTCCCAGCTACTGGGGAGACTGAGAGAAGATCACTTGAGCCTAGGAGTTTGAGGCTGCAGTGAGCTATGATCATACCACTGCACTCCAGCCTGGGCTTCAGAGTGAGACCCCCATCTCTAAAAAAATAAAAATAAAAAAGTATAGAATATTTTATGATATTACTTATATGAGTATTACCATTCACATTCTTATTGTTAATTTCAAATAGCTCAAGTTCAGCTTGATTTCTAAATGACTTACCAAAGACCTTGCTAGCTTGAGACCCACCATTGATCAAAATATCTAACAAGATATTTATCTTAACAATGGTATTAATTTTTTAAAGCATTGGGTACATCTTGGAGGAAGAGGGAAGGCTGTGAATATATAAAATAATTTTTTTTTTCTGCCACTAGAAATAGTCCAGTTGAAGGCACCCGAAATGGTGCAGTTGAAGCCAGTTATTCAAAGAAGGTAGGAAAATAAACATAAGTATAATTACAGTTAAATATATAGAAGAAAAGCAGATTTGGAGAAAACTCGCATGTCTAGAAAACATAATATAATCCATGGTTGAGGCAATTGTGGATATTTGCCTTGGAAAAGGCTGAGAGATAAATGAGAGTTGTAGTTGCATAGTTCAAGATCATTATGTGGTCAAGAAAGTAGACATATTCTGTATGATTCCAGAGCCAAATAGACAGATGTAGATTTTGGTTGATTATGGGGGATAACTCTCTAGCCATTTAATGCTGCCCAAACACAAATGAGTTAGCTTTCAAAATAATGATAGCCTTGCCACTGAAGTATTAAAAGACAATCTAAAGGTTGCAGAAGGAATCCCTTCTACTGTTAGTGAAGCCATCAGCTTTGATGGCTCTAGGATTTTCTCCAATCCTATGGCTTTCTATGAATACGTACTGAAGTTGGTTTGCTCAATTTTATCTAATTATGTCCTCAAATTATAAACATACCCAAATAAAATTAGAATATTAAGGGCTTTTGCTATTATAATTTGGGGCAACACATTATTGTGATAGGTTCATTCCCTTGGCATCTGAAGATATGGCATACAAATGCCAAGCAAAGATATAGTGACTTAATGGGAAGGTCACACGCATATAAGCTTCCAGATGGCATACAACCATGATGGCCAGTGCTAATAGCCAAGAAAAAAAAGTCATATAAGACAAAACTCTTAAAACATTTGCTGAAGATTCTCATTGAGGAGTGCCAAACCCACACATATTTGGTGTTGTAGCAAAGCTGCCAAGTACCACTAGGCTTACAAAAGCTCCTGTGTAAACTGTAACATATTTTATGCTTCTGTTTTAACTTCAACGATTCGAAATACCTGAAATTCAATGTCATCCTTACTTAAAAATGAAAATATATGAGATAAAAATCTTTAGATATGAGTCAAATTCAAGTGCTATTTCACTTACTTCACATAAACATGGGGTATGCAGGAAAATACACAAAATATTAATCATGGACAGATTAATGTCCAAGGAAGAAAAAGAGTTCTTTCTTGTCCGTCACGTCTTTGCTCTTCATCACAGGAGACTGATTCCTTCAGGATGCATTTCCCCAGTTCTCATATCAGCTGGATTCCTACAGAGTTCAGCCAACAGTAAGCTCTGGTGTTAGGAAGAAGTCATAATATTTCCCACTAACAGCTTTGGGTGGTATCTCAAGTAGAGCCCATATTTTCTTTGTGTCCTCCAATGCCTTCTGCTGACCATGGACAGGCCCAGCATGGTTCCAGCTCTCTCACAGTGACTCTGGATGCTGGGCTCCAGTAACACTGCTTCTTTCTTTGTCCATCCAGCCTATAGGGCTCACTGCTATTGCAACGGTGGGTTCCTGCTATTGCTAATCTCCAGGAGTGCCTCCTTAACAGTGAAGCAAACAGGGTGCAAATCGTAGGAAGCCATTCAGCAACTCAGTTGGTGAGCAAGTTGAAAATCATCAGCACCTGAGAAAGAATGCCTCTTAAATGTTGTGTTCTAGTTACCTGGTTTGCCTTACCCTATTCTAGGTCCTGCTAACCTCTGGGATGCTTTTTTGTCCGATGTTCAGTTTTATACTTTTCCTTTCACCTGTGTTTCCTACATTCAATTATTTTTGTGTCTTCTGCTTTCTGACTGATCCCAGAAAAATGTAATCATCCTTTCCAAGGAGTTGAAACTTGAATTATTTTCTACCAAACTCTTATCAAAGGCAGATTGGGCAAAGTGATACTAAACATAGGCACTTTATGAGATTCACTGTCTATCCTCTTCTAAGTATTTTAGTTCTGTCCTTATGCCAATTTCACCAGAAAGTTCTGGATCTCATTAGCTCAGACTCCTGCAGAGATAGCTTCCTTGAATCCCATTTTCAGGTTATTCAAAGTCATGAAAATAAATAAATAAATACACACAGAAATGAAAGACTTGTTAAGGAGGATTTTCCCTCCCCCCACATTTATTCTAAAAACCCCTACTGGAGACACTGTCCATTTATTTTATTATATATTAGCCAGGATAAGAAGTTTGAGTTATTAAAGCCAAGAAAAGGGCAGGAGAGAAATTCATTGGTTCCCTTAAGTGAATTATAGAAAAAGTTTGGTTGGTTAATCTTGGGAAACACTGAACCAGAGATTCCAACATCCTACTTTCTGTCTCTTTCTTCCCTTCTTTTTTCCTTCGTTCTCTCTCTTCATCTCTCTCATCATTTTTTTTCTTCTCTGTGTGTTGGCTTTATTCTTTCAAGTCGGCTATATCAAAAGTCACAGAGTTTTATGTAAGAGAAAGGAACTCTTTTTCATAAGCTCTAACTAGAAAACTTTTGGCAGAGTGATTTTTATTAACCCACCTTGAGTCACACATCCATCTGTGGACCAGAAATTGAAGCCAGTGCACCAGAATACGAAAATTTCCCTCACTGGGGCCATGAGTGCACTTTGTAAGCTAGACATTGTGGGAGGAAGAGAGAAGGATGCTGCAATTTCTAGGTCCTCACTAGAACCACATATTTGGAGTGATGAAGACATGTTTTCCTAGAAGTGGGGTGTATTTTGAACATACTAAACAATAAATATTCACTAGATACCTTTTCTAGAAACTATTCAATATATTCCATTGAAAGTGTAATACCAGAAAATGATTTATTACTGTTAAACTCTCATGTTTTTCCTTAAGTCTTTGCTTTTAGGAAATTTAAAATGACATGTAATGCTTGCTAGTGGCAAGTATTCATCATATCATTGAACAGATATTTATTGAGTTCTTATATTGTTCTAGGTGCCACGTATACAGTAGTAGAAAATAAAGCATACAAAATCTGTGCTTTCAAGGAGCCAGTTTTTAGTGGGGAAGAAAAACACTTCTAAAGCCTAAACAAGATAATAGTGATACAGGAAAGCAAGTGACAGGATAGAGATGCATGTGTGACTCAAGGTGGGTTAATAAAAATCACTCTCCCAAAAGTTTTATTCTGATGAAGGAGTATTTGAGCTGAAACCTGAACGAAGTGGGAGGTTAACTACGAACTGGTCTGAAATAATAGTGTGTTAGGCAAAAATGAAGACGGTCAGAACAAATGCTTTGACAAGGAGGAGTATTTGGTGTGTTTAGAGAGAATTAAGGAGACCACTGTGCTTGGAGTAGAGGGAGTCATGAAGACAGTGTTGCAAAGTAATATCAGACATGTAGCAGGGCCGTGTCTTATGAATAAGTATTTACTAATCAAGTCAGTATCATTAGTGAATCACATTGCAATCCCCACTAGCATTTTTTAATAAGAATAGAATAGAAAATATTATGTATTTGTGCATTGCACTTTCTTCCATATCACAAAAGACTTTGCTGTTTGATAGACTACACTGTTTTGGATGAGTAAACCACATGTACTAGGGAGTATGCTATGGGCCAAGGCTGATACGAAGCCATTAACAAATTAATTTGGGTAATTTGGGTCACATGTATACTTTCTTGCCCCATAAAGTATGTTTAAACAAAAATCTCCTGTATTTTATAACAGAAGATTTTAGCTTCTTACTAGAGAGTGCAATATGAATTTTATAAATATCTATTAGTTGAATGAGTTCAAATTTCACAGAGCAGCCTCCTCTCCTGTCAAAATTAGTACAGAATGTTAGCTTTTAGAAGAGCATTTGTATTTATGTCAGCTAAAGAGTAAATCATGCAATCAGCCAACATGTACTAATTATTCACTCACAAAAGGCTTACCACATTATCATATTTAAGATGTAGCCTTTGACTCAAAACAACTTAGAATCTAGTAGAAAAGATATAATGTATACATGAATAATTAAAAGGCAGATTATGAGAAGTGTTAATTCAGGCCAACTAGGAAAATATTAAGAGTTTAAGGGGGAAGAAAATTATTTTAGACTGTTTAAATTGAGGCAGGTTTTATAGAGGAAATGACATTTGAACTTGGCCTTGAAAAGTAGGGAGATTCTATGAGCAGAGAGTGAGGCATGGGGAGCAGACCTTAAAAAATATAAATAACGTCAATGACAGAACTTGTTAATAGCAGGTTCCTGTTTACTGATGTTTTTGATGTTAGCTCTGACATAATGCTGGATCCCTCCTGCTATGTAGCACAATTTGGTACAAGTCTCCCAAAACACTATTTAATAACGATTTATTAAAATGTATTTGTGTTTATTAAGTGGTTTCTATGTACAATCCACTGAGAGGGATACAAATAAGAGTAAGATGCAGTAAATTGAGATGTATAAATCAGATGCTCACTAGAATAAGTTTTATATAACCTTATGATGCCTATACAAACAAACACTTTTCAAATTTCACTCAAATGTTATATTGTTGAATATATATACAGATAAATATATAGGTAGGTAAATATATAGATATATATCTGTATCTGGCTATATAACTCTGTATATGTGTGTGTATATGTTTGTATTTTGGTTACATTATAGAGCAACTGTTTAACTTTGAATTGTCATTTTAGAGAAACTTCATTTCAGCTAATGTCTATAGAACATCTGTAAGTACTATGGCATTTCTTAATAAAAGTACATCTGTTATTGCTCAGTATTTTAGGCTGGTACCTAATCTTTTATCAATTACTCACATGATCCCATGTGTCCAGGAGGAATATATATCAAGGGTTTTGAACCATCTAATGAATGCATGCATGCCTCTGTAATATATAGCTGTGTTTTAGAAATTTTAGAGAGGTGGGACTCTTCCAGGCAGTCTCTCACTAAGGATAACAAATGTAGAAAACTATGCATAAAATGAAGTACCATAAAGTATAGCTATATTCACAAAGGCTAATTTATTTTAATATATATAAAACCAAAAATATCATTTATCTTCAAGTTGGTGTTTAGCTCTAAACCAAATAATTTATGTATACAACCAATTTATTTCACATTACTAGAGACAAATGACAGGCAATTGAAACTCATAGAAAGCACTAAAGTTTAATTTTAATCATACTTTATCTGTTTTTATCAGCCGCATCTTTATAAACATTATAACAAAAAGCGTATGTTTATTATGCAAGAAATCTTCATGTTTTTCAAGACCAAAAAAGCTCTTCTCATAAATCACAATTCTAAATATTTTGTAAGTCATAGATTCCTCTAAGAACATGAAGAAAACATAATATCCTATTACTAGGAAAAAAAATACATACATAGACACATGCTTAAAATTGTATATGTTTATCTATCCATGGCAAAACACTTTTCTAAAATAAATCTATTGAATTCACTTAATTGCCATCCATATCTAAAAGTAAGGGGGACAGTATTATTCTGTTGTTATTTGAGCTCTGTAGTCCAGTTATGCAACTTTTTTGGTGTCAGTATTTTTTAACCCAGCAATTTTTGAAATTTAGTATGACAGTAACTTTTAATGTCAACATTGCTTATTTATTGTTATAACACTAGCAACAATGAAATATTTAACCACGTAAAGTAAGAAATATCTAGGAGACATATAAAATATAAGACACAATATTTTTTCATGAAAAGCAACTTAATGTGTTTTATTAAGACTCTTTGCCCTTAGGGTGCTGCTACAGGATTTGGAAGAAAAATAATTTAACTCTCTGCCCTGAATGTAGGAAAAAAAATCTAACTTGTATCAAATAGCATCTATTTTGGAGTGCTTTGTTGACAAGCAATGTGAACATTCTAAAGAATAATGATCTACTATTTATTTTTTTTAGTAATCTAGACCGTCATCTAAGGAAGTAAAGATTTTTTTTTATTGTAAGTGCTTTTTTGAAGAGTCAAAAGAAGAAATATGTGGAACCCATTCCTTAGCTTTCTGAAATCTCCAACTGGGAGAAACACATATACAGTACTTTTAAAGTTTAAAGAAATGAAACAAGAAACGCAAATCACATTGTAATTCTCCAAGTAAAATAATACTATGTCCACCAAATACTATTATTACCATGAAAGTTTGGCTAGAGTTTCAATGCCTGGATGGGGGAGGCTGCTATCAAATATATGAAGATGCTGCTAAATTTGAAATACAGTAAGGTTTAGGCAGAATACTTGGAATAAGGTAAGAACAAGAATATAACTAACTTATTTTTCAAGTTGCTTTGACTAGTAAATGTACCGGCTATAAACTGGTTTGTTTTTGGTATTTCATTTTAAATTAAAATCATCCTGTAAACAAGACAAGGTAACCATGATGTTATCAGAACTTAAAGCACCATGAAATTAGATCAAGATATAAGCAAAGTAATAGTTCATATTTTAAATGTAGGTACACTTGATTTGACTATTTAGACTGAAATAAACTAAAAAGTACTCAAGATAGTCAATAAAAAAGTGATTACTCTGGATGTTCCAAAATATATACCTGTGAAGAACTACTCAATAGCACCTTGCTAATGAAAACAATAATATCTCTAGTTTTAGAAGAAGACAATTAAGTAGCAGGAAAAAATAAAAAAGAATATAATTCAGGTTGATTGTTAACTAATATGGCAGTAGGGTCATATGATTCATTGTGGTCCATATAAATGACATTCCTACCAAATACAGCAAATCAACACCAAACAATCTTTCCAGACCATCAGATATGCCATATATTCATGCGATTATGGGGTTTTTGGGTAATTCTAATGCCAAATTCTGTCAAAAATTAGGATAAATAAATAAGGAAGACTATATGACAATACCTCATAAATGTGGAAATGTGGTAAGAAAGACTGCTTTCCTTCTCTATGCTTACCTTTCTAAAACATGAATTACTCCTCGTCTAAAATGCTGCCATCTGCTCTCTTGGGACCTTCCCTTTCTTAAAATTCTCATCTTTATCTGTTGCAACTACATACGAAATAACTTCCTTCCTTCCTATGCTCACCATGTATGCTCATGTCTTCAGTCCGTGGGTTTGTTCCCTTTCTCAATTATACCACATCTTAGCTGTCTCCCCTGCCCCCATGACCTCTCTCCCTCACATATCTGCCTTCACACCCTATTTTGGGAATAACAACTGCATGATTTTAATTTGTCCAGAAATTTAAATTTAAATTTTCTAGAGACTTTAATTTTTCTAGAGACTTAAGTTTCAAAACATAATCCATATATATTGTGCCAATAGAATCTTATAAATTATTTAAACGTATCTAACCTAGAGCATGCAAATAATTATTAGACTTAGAGCATTTAATGAAAATGCCAGCCATCTTTACCTGTGCTTAGGTAAGCTGCCATAGAAAGGTCTAATAATTATTTTGAACACCACTTACTATTAAACTAATTATACAAACTTCTTATGTTGTAGGTATAACTCACATATATCAGTTTTCTAGGTAGTATATTGCTGCTATACATTTCAGTCAATAGGCTTCTCAGGAGTAGTTAACTGCAGAACGTGTAGACACAGCACTGACTCCATCACAATTAAAAACATCGTTTATGTAAAGGAAAGTTGTGCATGAAAGGTACAAGGAATCGCCCCAGAACTGGAACAATATGTAGGGTCAAAACTCACAAAGGAGTTATGCTGGGCTTTTGGTGTTGAGTCCAATCTTTTCTTTTTTCTTTCTTTTTTTTTTTTTTTTTCTGAGATGGAGTCTTGCTCTGTTGCCCAGGCTGGAGTGCAGTAGCGCAATCTCGGCTCACTGCAACCTCCGCCTCCTGGGTTCAAGCAATTCTCCTGCCTCAACCTCCCGAGTAGCTGGACTACAGGCACATGCCACCATGCCTGGCTAATTTTTTTCTATTTTTAGTAGAGACGGGGTTTCACTATGTTGGCCAGGCTGGTCTCGAACTCCTGACCTCAGGCAAACCGCCTACCTCGGCCTCCCAAAGTCATGGCATTACAGGAGTGAGCCACTGTGCCCGGCCCCAGTCTTTAGCTGAGAAGAGAGATAAATGATACATGAAAAAGTGGCCCTTACAATGTGAAAATTGCATGGTTATTTAAAAATAAATTTTAAAAGATGTTATATTTCATGATTTAAGTTATTTACTCTTATGCCTCAGGTTTCTTTAGAACTCTCTACTAAAGAGAATATTCCAGAAAAGTTATTCTAAAATATACAAATTTCCTAAGAGCCTCCTGAAGTGAAATAAATTGTAATACAACTGCTTCAAAATATAATAATACAAATATAACATTTTTGGCTTCAAACATTGGGGCAACTGCAGACATTTACATATTTGAAACTAAATGTCTACTTTCCTCTTTTCCTAAATCTAGTAACCCCTAGGCATCTCTCCAGATGGAATAATCATGGAAAGAAAGTGAGCTTTGTTTGTTGTTCTGTTTTTGATTGAGCTGTCCGTTTTTCTGCTCCACGTATTCCTGCTTTCCTGAGAGAATAGTTGGGATATACTTTCAGAATAAAATATTTTCAACCTCTTTTGAATGTTTTAAGTCTCACCTCCAGGGCAATACTTTGTATGCACAGAATCATAAAAAAAATAGGAAGAAAAAATGAGAATATAAAACAGGTAGAAGTCCAGAAACCACCCAACGCTTTAGACTGAAATATTTTGATAATAGCTTGTTTCATTCCTCACTTGTTCATACTCTTTGAATTTTAAATATTAAATTGGTAAAGGGGCTCTGTAGAATTATCTAGAATTAACATTTTGAAAGATATGCATGTTGAAGGACAATAGCTGTGAATAATATTAACATTAAATTCCAAGAGAATTTAATTCTCTTAATTTACTAATGTACAATATCAACTGAAAGCATAATTAAATCTGTCTATGTCATAGATTTTTATAAAGATAATTTACTGTCTTAAAAAATCTCACAAGATTATTTTAGATAAAAATATTAGACTCCTAGTTGCAAGTAGAAATCATATTGAAAAGGAAAAAGTGAAAGATGTAAAAATTCTATCCTGCAACCATAACACTAACTAATGTGACTTTTAGTGGTTTAATTATTTTTTGAGTTTAAAAGGCCGTTTCTACTGCCAGGCTTCTGTGTACATACATGGATAACCACCTCCAGGATATTTTTAATAAATATAACCTACTACCAAGTTCTCCAAAACACAAGCAAATTGCATGACAATAATTAGCCTCACACTCAGTTCTGAATTTGATTCAGTTTCATTCAGATTAATAATCTACTCAAGATTAATGATTAAACAAGTCTCCTTGTACATACCTACAGAGGCTCCCAAAATTTCCTACAGGTAAACTCAAATTCCTACCAGTTTAAGAGATTTGACACTCAGAGCCCAGGCCTTCCCCTACCCTCTCCTTCTTTCTAGCCTTTTTGGAATTACGTGTTTGCTACTCATCTCATCCCAGGCGCTGTGAACCTACCTTGGTTTCAGGATAGAATCAGTCCTGGAGGCTGCTTTATTATCATAATTAAGTCTTTCAACCTGATAAGGCAAGTTCTCCTCTCTTGTTCTAAAATGTGTCTTGTTTACTCTGTGCTCTTTACTCCTTTACTCCTCTTTTTGAAGGTTAAATTTGATCATCAACTTTCACGAACAAGACGGCTAGGGATTTCACTTGAAAGTTTATAAATCAAAACCAGGACAATTGCCATCTTTAAGATACCAAATTCATTCATCTGTGAACATTATATATCTAGTCATTTATTCTGATTTATTTGTATTTCTTTCAAAAACATTTTGGAATTGTGATATACAGGTTTTACAACAAAGGTTTTAATATGTATTTGGTTTAAACACATACCTGGTTTCTCCTAGTACTTTATTGTTTTTGCTGCTAACTTGAATATTGTATTTTTCTCTTATGTTTGATCAGTTACTATTTCCAACTGAAATTTTGTCAAATGCTCTTATTACTATAAATATACACATTAATACGTATGTCCATTAATTATATATATAGCCATTACTTCACACACCCAAAATCAGTTATCTTTACTGCAAATGATATGATTACTATATGAAAATCAAAGAGAATACATATTATAGATAATAAGTCATTTGCAGATATAGATAATTTTTGTATTCCTAATTATTTTTTATCATTTATTTTCCTTATTTTAGTACATTGGCTTAAATCTCCTCTGTAATGCTGAAACAGTGATGGGTACCTTGCTTGATTTTTTAAATTGATACTATTTCTAAGAGTTAATCATTAAATATGATATTCATGGTAAGTTTCTGGTAGATACCCTTTATGAGCTTTAGGTGGTTCCCATTTACTCTTAGTTTATAAAATTTTATTATAAGACAGTGTTTAGTTTTATCAATTTTTTTCTGTGTTCCTTAAGAAATATTTTTCTCCTCTAATCTGGTAACGTTCTGACTACGTTAATTCCCAGAGACTGAACTAATCTTTCAATTATTTCTGGTATAAACCTTACTTGGTAATGTAATCATTCTTAAGAGATTCCATTTTGTAAGAGTGTAAAATCAGTGACACTGAAACTATTTCTTGTTTTCCATGAGGATTTTTTTTCTTTTTTATATTTCCATGTATATTCATCTATGCTTTAAGGATTGTCTGAATCCAGAACCACTGCCCTTAACCTTTATTGTATAAGGATATTACTAATAGAAGTTAACAATTTTCCAAAGACATATCAAGGTAAAAATAAAAGCTTGCTGAAAGTATGCCAGACTGTAAGATTCTAGACAACATGGTCCATTTGTAGAGATCTTGCTTTTCTGAGGCCTACTAGTATTGAGATCCAGAACCCTACAAGCCTCTATGGGAAGTGGGGCAGGAATCTGAGCAAGATTATGCCTGATGGACTTAATTATTTTGACTAATTAAGAGGCAATAACACTAGCTATGCAGGAAGAAACATGGTTTTGTAGGAAGCTTGAAGAGAGATGAACCTGAGAGCAGTAGTAACTGAAGGGAATGAGAGAGGCAGCATCAAGAACAAGAGCTTTGTCAAGTTCCACAGGAAACTGATGACCAAGTTCCATTTCTTTGAGCTAATTTGAGAATCCGCTTTGAGAATCCGCTTTGAGAATCTGCTTTGAGAATCTGCAATGACCTTTATGCTTTGCCTCTTTTATTTCTACTGCCCCTGGCATAGTTTAGGCCCAAGTGTCTGCTCTGGAGGACAGCTATGCATTTAACAAATGTCTCTACATGACAACATTTGATCATTGGTCACCTAGTCACTCATGCAAAAAGTATGCAACTCAGCTGTTTCTTCCCTCTCTCTGGCCTTCCATGTTAAGTCAATCTTGAGGTCCTACTACCTCTTAAATGAATTTCCAATATGCCCTTCACTCCTCTGTACTATGCACACCTTACACACAAGGCCTTCAATATTTCTTTCTTGATTCACTGAAAGAGTCTAGGATCTGATCTGTTTTGTCCTATGTTCCTTAAATCTACTTTCTATAGATATACTAGAAAGAGTTCTAAAATACAAATCTGAAGTGCAAATAGCACTTCCCTGCTTAAAACTCTTGTGGTCCTCCATCACCTGCTGGATAAAGTTCAAGAGTTTTACCTTTACTAGTGAGGCCTTTGAAGTTTTGGCATCAGAATGTGTTTTCAGCCTCATCATTTATCATTGTCTTACATGATATAATTTTAGCTTTGTTTAAGTTACCATTATCTTGAACTTGATGCTTCAACAACATAAAATTTCTTGTAAATTCCCCTACACTGTTTCTAACCTCCGTGGCCTTACCATAATGTCTTTTTGCCTGGAATCCTTGTCTATAAATTAGGTAATTCTTCCTCAACTCAAGGCATTGCTTCTTCTAATAAGCCACATTTCTGAAGTGAAATTATGGCATCAACTAATAAAGGTCTCACTTTAAGACACGTGTAAAAACATTTATTCTATGTATTCCTACACATGTACATCAACTATATTGCCTCCATGTAATACAAAATATATTTTTTCTATGTGAATATTTTCATGTTTTTTTGCAAATGTTTAAACCAAATGTCATTCCAGGCTTCTTACGTACAAGCATGTGGAAATAAGTTGCCATGCCACCTAAGTGGATACTATTTCATTTCTGCTCCACTTTATATCCAATCCCAACTAGAACGAAATTATATACAGATAAGAGCAAGAGCTCCATTAAGGAAAATTGGCACACCTAGAAACAGAGAGCTTCTGAATTTTAAATCACTTTGCCAAGACTCCCAGCATATACCCTCATTAAGTGCAGGTATGTTCTTCATTTTATATCCCTAGCTACTATGGCATCGAGTAATCATCTACAATTCCAAAAGGAAATTAAGTGAGTTAAAACAAATTACTCATTGGGATATAAAAAATGGAGTGTTTCTGTTGAAACTATATCTTGACAGTATTGAATCATTCCCTGAAGATAGGTGTTGAACATAAAGCATATGCTACATGCTAGGCCCGGTGGTAGAGGCTACGATCAACTGTGATGCACAGCCTTTCTCCTTACTAATGAGTGGTGCACTGATATGTAAATAAGCAGTGAAGATACTATGTGAACAGCACACTGTCAGGTGAGGTGCCATGTGGTACAGGAGCATAGCTTAGAAACACCTCTTCAGGAAGTCTTTCTAAATTATGACTTAAAAGATAAATAGGCATTGTCTAGAGGTAAATAAAGTGAAGTGGACCATACAGAATGCCTGTGTGAAGGCCCCCAGTCCAGGGGATTTGGGAATGAGAAGGAGCATGACAAGAGAAAAGGCTGCAGTAGCAGATTGAGGGCAACCTAACAAGGGTTGGGATCTCTTTTGCAGACTCGATATTAAGGTTGCAATGAAGCCACTAAAGGCTGTATGCAGAACTTGAGATCTGTCTAACGATGTATATTGTAAGGCAACAATAAATTTAGGTTTAATGCTTTTTGAATTTTTTGAAAATGAATGGCCTGATAGCATCTCCCAAATACAAACACGTCCCATCATAAAGTTATAGAACAACCAGTCAAATCTAGCATCTAGTAGAGAACAATGCCTTATGGAAGGTGCTCAATAGATGTTTGATGAATTCCTATGAGGAATAAAAGAATGCTGTCATAATGAGATGTGTCAACATCCAATTATAATACCTATCTTTTAGACTCAGGATTGAGAGAAGCCAACCTTCTAGTGGAAAGGTAGAATGATGGAGTGACTGTTCTGATTCTGATATGGAGATTAGATTGACTGTTAGCTGAGGAATGGAGCCAGTAGAGAAGGACGAGAAAAGCTAACACCCCTAGTGCCTAATATGTGCCTACATTCATTTAATCATCACAACAGCTCACAAGTACAAACTTTTGAAATTCAAAATTTACAGATAAGGGAACAATGGAGCATAGAAAAATTAAGTAATTTGCCTAAGAAGACAAAATCAAAATTTAATCATAGACATTTAGATTTTAGAGGCAGTGCTTGTAACTACTATGCTACACTCTCCTTTTTACCACCTAACATATACCAGATAGAATCAGGAAGAAAAAAATCATGAGTTGATTTATCAGAAGCAATAGCTGCACTTTATTTCCTTTAATTCATTTAGCTATGCACTTATATATGTGCATATTTGACTAGAGACTACAAAATATGTTTGGAGGTAGGGGAAAGAAAACTTGTTGAATAGCATGTATTTAGCAGGGAACTATGTAGGCCTCTATTTGATCGTGCAGCATTTCCTTTCTTCACTAATTAGTTTTCTGAGTTTAAACCCAGAGCTTTTGAAGTACTATGTTGAAATTAGAACAAATATTAATGCTGCAAGAGGAATTAAGTGGAATCAATAAGAACTGGAAAAAAAAAAAAGAAAAAAAGATTGTCTAAACAACAAAAAGAAAAACCTACAAGATAGAGACAGCTTCTATAATTTGTTGATCTTGAAGCCTGACATTTATTTAAGAAAAGCCCATAACATGGAAGTACAATTTTTTTTGCTTCCCATCTACATATTCACACATCCTAATATATTATGCAGTGATCCTAAAGGTCACTTACTGATAGTGCATATATATGTACACATACATATATACACATATATACATATATATGTATATATACTTATAAGTATACATATATAAGTATATATACATATATATGTATATATGTGTATATATGTGTGTGTGTGTGTATATATATATATGAAGTTAGTTATCTTGATTTCCTTGATTATATGTAATAAAATGGAAAGGAGGGAGAAAAGAAGGGAAGGAGAGAGAGGAATTGCTTGAGCAAGGATGAGAGTTAGCGAAGTCGAGAGGAAAAGAAGAGAGGATGAGGAAAGAGAATAAATGACTTGCTACTGTTCACTGATTTTCACTGGCCAAATGGAACCAATGTAAGGTGGACAAATTATAAAACTCAAGTGTAAACAAAGAATCCAGGGGGCTTCTTATGTCATGGGGTTGATGCAGGTGCATATTCATCTTTTGGCACATTTGGGAAGTGAAAATTTTATTCCATATTCAAATGCCATTAAGTTATTTACAACTAGATCTGGAGGTTTCATATTTATCATCATGAAGTATAAAGCCAAATGTCCCTTTTTCAGAAGCACCAAAGATTAACCGATTAGAATGTTTTCCACATGTCCATTTTTACTGTCAAGAGAATTTTAAAGTTTTCCAGCTTCCGCAGCTGAGCCAGATGTCAGTGGGTCCCACAGTGAAATGAAATTGGCAGAGTAGCCTTCTCATGACCCTGGGGTTGTTTTATCAGGGATCACTTTAATGTCTAAGAGTCGTTCCTTGCTGAAGACTCTAAAGTTTTGGGTCCAATCTGCCACAATTACAGAAATATGCTGACTTGGTTGAACCACTGAAACCCAGAAATATTTCTTACAACTTTTCTCACATCGCACTATAATTGTTGTTTGTGTTGGCACTAGAATAGTACAGGGTTTCATTTCCACTGTACGTTTCCGGTCTCTGGTTACAGAAACATCAGTAGAGAATATTTTACCAGCCACATTTTTTGTTGTGTAAACAGGTCCTGGTGATTTACTCTGTTGGTCTCTTCACTGTGTTCTCAAATGACCATGGTCTGAAAGATATCAGATGGACACTTTCTAAAATAACTTTAGGAGTTAGCACAATGTTTTTTAAAATATTGTAATTGATAGCTTTGGTTCAGGAAATCTTGGCAAAAAGTCCCAAAATGGTTACATTGACATATTTCATTTTTTTCTTTAACTTTTAGATTTCTGCTACCATTAATATAACAATTATATTTAAGGTAGACACAATTTAAAACACAATACAATAAAATGAACATAATTTTAGTCACCATGCAGTTTAAGAAATAGGAGTATGTATTCTGTTTTCACACTGCTATAAAATACCTGAGACAGGGTAATTCATAAAGGAAAGAGCTTTAATTGACTCACAGTGCTGTATGGCTGGAGAGGTCTCAGGAAACTTACAATCATGGTGGAAGTTGAAGGGGAAGCAAGGCACATCTTATATGGTGGCAGGAGAGAGAGCATGAAGAGGGAACTGCCAAACACTTTTAAAACCATCAGTTATCATGAGAACTCACTCACTAGCATGAGAACTGTATCAGGACAATTGCCCCCATGATCAAATCACCTCCTACCAGGTCCCTCCCTCAACACCTGTGGATTATAATTAGAGATGAGATTTGGGTGGGGACACAGAGCCAAACCATATCAGCATTACAATATTTTAGAATCTCCATATAAGCCTGCCTTCATCGAATGACCCCTCTGTCCCAGAAAATTCTGCATATCATTCTCCTGTTTTACTTTAAAATGTTATAATATGATTGGTAAATTTGTCTTTTTTTGGACTTTACATAACTAGAATATTACTTTATTCTTCGATAACTTGCTTTATCCACCCATTACTGGGTTTTTCAGTTCAACCTGTGTGACTGCACATAGCTGTCAATATTCCTTGTCTTGACTAGATGATTTTCATTTGTGTGAATATGGCACAGTTTGATCCAATTCCTTAGAGGTGAAAAATTGTTTCAGTTTTTATCATTATAAACAATTCTGCTACAAACTCTTTTTCTGTCTTCTGCTGCATACAAGAGATTTACCAGGTATATACCAAGGAATAAATTGCTGGGTCATAGAGTACACATGTGCACAAATCACCAATAGTATGTGAGAGTTTCTGTAAGTCTACATCTTTACCAACATTAGATACTGTCTGGCTTTTCTATTTTTGCCAATATACCAGGTATAACATGAAATCACATTTAAATTTGCATTTTTCAGATTAATGTTGAACATATTTTATGTGACATTTGTGTTCCCTTTTATGAGTAATACTGATGTAATTCTTAACAATTTTTATATTTTTTTCTTTTTTTAAAATAAGCTATTAAGTTTATAATATACATATAGAGAAGAGCACAAATCATAAGTATACAGATCAATAAATGTTCACAAAGTTAAAACACCACTCAGGTCAGAAAATTGAACATTAGCAGCATGTTCTCATGCTGCTCTCACACCTTCTCCCTTATTATCCTACTCCTGTGTAAACATCTATAACCATGGATTAGTTTTGCATGTTCATGAATATTATAAAAATGTAATCAAACAATATACTTTATCATGTCTGACTTTTCTCATTCAACATGTTGTTTTGAAATTCAACCATGTTGTATGTAGCAGTTTTTCATTCTCATAAGTGATACATATATTCAGAATCTATGTACAAATTTTATTACTGATATGTATTTGTGTTGCTTCCAATTTGGAGTTACTATAAAGAGTACTAGTGTGAACATTCTTGAACATATCTTTTGGTGAATACATGCATACATTTCTATTGGTTATATACCTAGGAATGGAATTGTTGGGTTCTAATGTATGCATGTTTTACAGAGTGGTGGCACCAATTTAAACTCCCAACAGCAATATGTGAGAGTACCATTCGTTCCACATTTTTGCCAGTACTTTGTACCTCAGACTTTATCATTGCAACCAGTCTGGTGGCTGTGTGGTGGTATTTCATTGTAGTTTTAATTTACATTTCTCTGATGACTAGTGAAGTGTAATGACTTTTCAGAACTTACTTGCTATTAATACACCTTTTCTGTGCAGTGTCTCTTCAAGTTATTTGTCCATTTTACCACTGACCTGTTAATATTTATTTTATCATAGATTAATAGGAGTTTTATATGTATTCTTGATACTATTCCTTTGTCATGTATATTAATTCAAAATATCTTTTCCCACATTGTGACTTGTTATTCAATCTTATAATATATATTTTTGTTTTAATTTTTATTTAATAGGGTTTTAGATTTTTAGAAAAATTGTGAAGAGATTACAGATAATTACCATAGACCTACACCCAATTCCTCCTGTTATTAACATCTTGCATTAATATGTATTCTGATATTATTGTATGGATGATTCACAAATGTCAATTAAAACAAACTGCTTGATAGTGCTGTTCAAATAAACTATATTCTTGTTGATTATCTGTCTGCTTGATATATCAATTACCAAAAGAAGTATGTTAATGTTTTAAACTATAATAGTGAATCTGCCTATTTCTTATTTCCATTTTACCTCATGAATTTTGATGCTGTGTTGTTAGATTTATAAAAATTTACAACTGTTATTTCTTCTTGGATAATGTATTTATCATTATATAACATACTACCATATCTTTGATAATTTTTTTCTTTTGCGAAGTCCACTTTTTTCTAAAATTAATATTGCTACCCCAGCTTTCATTTGATTGGTGTTAGTATGTCATGTATACTTTTTCTATCCCTTTACTTTTAACATACCTGAGTATATTAAATATTTATAATGGATTTTTTGTAGATAACAAATAGTTGGGTCTTGCTTTTAAAATCCGCTGGCAACCTCTGTCTTCAAATTTAGACCATTCACATTTGAAATGATTGTAGTTGGATTATAGGTGGATTAATATCCACCATATTTATAAATGTATTACAGTCATTACATTCTTTTTTCTCCACATTTTTCAATCTTCTCTGGTTTTAATCGATAATTTTATATGATTCTTCTGTACTTTATCTCCTAGCATATCATTTATATTTCTTAAAATTTTTAGTGATTTATCTACAGTTTCCAATACACCTTGTTAACTAAAGTCCACCTTCAAATAATACTATACCATTTCATGTGTAGCACCAGTACGTTGTAATAAAGTATCCCAAATTCATTCCTCCCATATTTTATAACATTATTATCCTTCATTTCACTTACACATATGCTACAATTACCCTGTACCTTGTTACTATTTTTACTTTGAACAGTTATTAATAGATGAATTAAGAATAATTAAAATAAAAGATTATATTTTATTTTCATATATTGCATCTCTGATGTCTTATTTTTCTTTGTGTAGAACTAATTTTCTGATATATACATACATAAGTATCCTTCTTTGTGAAGACTGTCTTTTTAAGTTTCTAGTTGGGCAGATATATTGATGGAATCCTTCAGTTCTTGTTTTTCTGAAAAAGTCTTTGTTTCTACTTCACTTCTGAAGAGTAATTTTATTGAACATAGAATCCTAGGTTCTACACTGGTGGGTTTTTACTTTCAGTACTTTACTTCATTCTACTTTCTAGTTGCTTTTGTGGTTTCTGAAGGACAGTTGAAATGCAATTCTTAATTTCATTTCTCTATAGATACGGTGTATTTTTTCTCTGGCTTCTTTCAAAATTCTCTGTTTATCTTTGTTTTGTTGCAGTTTGAATATGATATGCCTAGCTATTGATTTTCAGTATTTATCCTGCTTGACATTCTCTGAGCTTCCCGGATCTATGGGTTCATGGCTGTCATTAATTTTGGAAAGCTGTCAACGATTATTGCTTCAAATATTTATGCTACTGTGTTCTCTGTTTCTTCTCCTTCTGGCATTTTAATTACACATACATAATGGATCTCTACAGAGCCTTTTAAAATCGTGTAATAGTTCTCAGACAATCTGTTATGAATTTTTTCATTAATTTTTCCTCTTTGCATTTCAGTTTTATGAAGTGTCTACTGACATATTTTTCAGCTCACTGATTCTCTCCTTAGCCACGTCTAGTCTACCAATGAGTCTATCAACAGCATTCTTCATTTCTATTAGTTTTTTTTTCTAGCATTTCTTTTTTATTCTTCTTTTAGAGCCTCCATCTACAGGTTTACATTCCCGTCTCTTTTTTGCATGTTGTCTACTTCTGCCAATAAATCCCTTCACATATTAGTCATAGTTAATTTGAATTCCCTGTCTCATCATTCCAATATCTGTGTCATATCTGAGTCTGATTCTGAGGGTTGCTTTGTCTCTTCAGGCTGTATTTTTTATTGGCTTTTCATCTGCCTTTGATTTGTTGTTGTTGTTGTCGTTGAAAGCCTACACATTGTATCTGGTAATAGTAACTGAGGTAAACAGGCTGTAAGTGTGAGATTATATGTTTATCTGGCTAGGAGTTTGGTTGCATTTAATGTTTGCTGCAGCTGTAACTGCCAGAGGCTTCAAATTTCTCTAGTTTCCTGTCTTTGCCTTTTCTATATAAGGCGGGCTTTCCTAAGTATTCCTTCTCAGATAAACGGGTCTGCTTCTTGTAGTTCTTTCTGCTGTAATCTGCTGTTATTAGACTGGAGCCCTTTCGGTGTGGTGATAAGGTGTGAAAGAAGAGAAGCATTCCTTAATCTGGTGATTAAATTTCAGACTTGTAGTGGGCCTGTGGGTTTTAAATGTTGACCTTCCCAAGTGTTTCTCCAGTGGTATCAACTTTTGTTTATCCCTGTGGTACTACAGGAAGTCTATTGTGGGCTGGAGAATGATGAATACCCTTTCCCCAGCTGGGATAAGGTACTAGTAATTTCTTTGTATTGAGAATAGGCCTTTGTAATGAAGAATATTCTGATAATATTTCAAGTGATTATTCTTTTCCTCTCCTTGCCAGGGTCACAGAAAAAGGTCTTTCTCAAATTCTCACTTTTAGATCCTGATAGAAGGTAAGACTCACAAAATTAGCGACCCCCTTAAAACTCTGGCTTCAAGTGTTTCTCACTTTTATGCTTATCCACACTCAGACTCCAGCAATTTGTCAAAATTAGGCAGTTAAGAAGATCTCAAATCTGCAGCTCTGGATTTGCCTCTCTCTCCAGATTTCAGGGCAGAAGTTTGCTCTTCAACCTCAGTTTTCTGATAGATCCAAGAAAAGTTATTTCAGTTCAATTTTTCAAGCTTGTCCATGCCGTAAAAATAAGGGTGATTTCCAAACTCTTTACATTTGGAGCTAACATAGAAACTCAATGTATCTTTTTATGAGCAGAAAATCCTAATTGTAATATAGCCTGTTTATCAATTATTTTCCACTGTTAGCCTTTCTCATGTGTTATGTAATGTCTCTCTCTAGGCAAAATATTACTCTCATGTTATTTACTTCTATAGTTAGACTTATAATCTTTGTGTATCAAGATTAAGATTTTTTTTTCTGTATGAATATCCAATTGAACTAGCACAATTTATTGAAAAGATCATGCTTTTCTCACTGAAGTGTAGTGATGCTTTTCTCACAAATCAGGTGACTGTATATGTCTGAATTTCTTTCTCAGCTCTCTTTTCTTTGTGGTCTATATGCCCATTCTTGTATTGCTATCACACATCTTAATTATTTTAGCTTTATATTAAGATTTGTTATCTGATAAGTTCTTCAGATTTGAAATTCCCCTTTTCGATTGCCTTGGCTATTGTAGGCCATTTGCATTCTCACATCAATTTTAGAATCCACTTGTCAATTCCTTGCACACACACAGATCTGCTGAGCTTGCATTGAATCTATGGATCAATTTGGTGAAAACTGGTATTTGTTCAATATTGAGCCTTCCAAGCCTGAAACTTATCTCTCTGTTTACTTTTATTTATAAAACTTCTCTTCATAGTGTTATGTTACTTTCTATATAGTAATATAACATGTCTGTTGTTAAATCTATGCCTTACCATATTTTAATAATATTGCAATTGGAAGTGTGTCATTTCATTTCATAATGAATATTTGTTACTAGTATATATAACAGTACCAGTAATTTTTATATATTGTGCTTATATTCTACAATCTTCCTAAATTTATGTATTGATTTTAATAGTATACCTATAACTTATGTTGGAAGTTTGAATACACAATTATGACATTTGAAATAATGATAATTGTATTTCATCCTTCCCAACTTGTACATTTTGTTCATTTCCTTTCCTTATTGCACTGGCTAGAAACTCCTACTTTGCTAAGTGTGTCAAATAATTTTCTACATCATTTGAGATAATCACAAGATTTTTCTTCTTTATTAATGTGGTAATTCTATGATTGGTTTTATATGTTAAACTAGAATTTCTGGGATAAATCCAACTTGGTTGAAATGGATTAGTCTTTTAATATGTCACTAAATTCCCTTTGAAATATTTTATTAGGATACAGTGAAATAGATTTGGCTAGGAGTTTCTTTTCTTGTAATAATCTTGTAGGATTTGTGATCAAGGTTATACTGGACTCAGGAAATGAATTAGGAGGGGGCAGAACAGTGGAACTCAGAATGACTGCATCTAACATCACACGGGGCCTCTACAACAACAGCTGCTCTTAAATCAAATTATGAATTCGCTGTCCTTATGTGTAAGCCTTGTTTATAAAAATTATGGGCAAAAATCCTTTGGGTATATACCCAGTAATGGGATGGCTGGGTCAAATGGTATTTCTATGTAACAAACCTGCACATTGTGCACATGTACCCCAGAACTTAGAGTATTTTATATATATCATATATATATAATAGATATAATATATATATTATATATTATAATATAATATATATTATATTTATATATTATATATTATATAATATATATTATATTATAATATATAATATATATTATATTTATATAATATATAATATATATTATATAATATATATTATATATTATATATAAAATAATATATATTATATATATAATATATATTATATTATATAATATATATTATATTTAGATAATATATATTATATTAATATAATATATATTATCTAAATATAATATATATTATCTAAATATATATTATCTTAATATATATTATATATTATATATATAATATATTACATATAATATATAATATATATATTATATTACATATACATATTACATATATTATATATGTAATTACATATATATATAATATATATAAATAAATGATGGACCAAAAAAACCCACAAAAATTGAATAGTAAAAAGTACCGGATGCCTAAATGTCTTTTAATGGGGGAATAGATAAGTAAATATATGAGTTACAGTTTATATATGTTATATAACCATTGAGATAATCATATCTTTACAATTTTAGTATTTTAAAGCAGTGACTTCTAATAAATTTTCTAATGTAAAGCCAAACTTGAATCCCTGGAACAAAACAAACTTTTCTGTGATGTTACATTTTTATACATTAGTAAATTTGGTTTACTGTTTTGTTTAGAATTTGTCATCAATGTTCATGAGTGACAATAGCCATAATTTTACTTTCACATACTGTTCTTATATGATTTTGGAACCAGGAATATATTACTTGTAAAAATCAAACAGAGTCGATTCTGTATTTTAACATTCTCTGAAAATGTTTGTATAATATGGGAATTACTTGCTTATTTTACATTCAATATAACTAACCTATAAAGCATCTGGGCTTGATGTTTTTATTGTGGAAAAATATGTGAGCTACTGATTCAGTGAGGTTCTGTTTTTTTTTTTCATTTTTCATAGTTTATATAATTTTATGAATTTTATTTTACACCTAAGTTTCAAATATGTTGGCATAACCTTTTTACAATAATCTCTTGTTACATTTTGATCTCTGCTACATGTATAATATTTTGCCCTTTTTCATTCCCTCTACCTTCTCACCTCTCCGTATGACATCAAAAATAAGATACTGTGAAATGGCTCATGAAGGAATTCAAAGTTCTACCGAAAATCAATAAAGGCTTTCGAACAGAATTTGGTAAGAAATGTATCTTACTTTCTACAGACATTTTAAACTGGAGAAGAGAAGTGAAAGGACAAATAAAATAGTATATATGAATAATCCTACAAATTTTACATGGTAGAGAGAAAATTTACACATTTACTGAGCAGTGACTTCTTTGGATTCACAGATTATAAAGGAACAAATATATGTTTTAAAATAATTAAAAATGTATTACGAAAATATTGCATATAATCCAAAAACTAATTCTTGAAAATGAAACTATTTAGCAGAAACCTGAAAACAAATATGGATATGGATGAGTAGTCATGTAGATACCTAAAAATTTTTCATATATATATATTTATTTTCTCTATAATATAGCAAAACACTCAAATCTTTAGTGAAGGTCATCGCTTGTCTTATGTGGAGTCAAAGTTTGCATTTGTAGTGGACAGCTTGTTGATCTAATTACCAAACTAATTTTTATTTAGGCTGTTCTCACATAGTATTGTACTGATTGGATGAGAATTTCACATCATTTTTTTTTTCATGGTAAATGGATACATTAAAGATGCTAAGGAAGAAATCTTTCTCTAGAAATTTACTCTTTACTATTATCTTTCTACCTAAATTCAAAAAGGGAATACTATGGCTCTGAGCATCCTTGTGCCTCTGAATTTCTCTCTTTTTTTGCCTACCATCTGCCAGTGAATTGAACTATGCACAGCTTTAAGTAGTTTTAATCTTAAACAAAGTTTAAGCTGAAAGAAATCTCTCATCACCTAGTTGACACTTGCGTTTTGCAGCTGAAAAGAATGAGTTTATGGAGCTAGGGACTATCCTCACCAGGCTTGGGCTTCATACAAGGACCATTTACCATACAACAGGAAAGTCCTGTGGCAGCCTTTCCACATCTGTCATGGGAACTTTAACTGTCAGGCAGTCTAGTATCTGCTGAGAACAATTTTGCCAGTCCTGTTTTCTTAACCACAACACTTTAGACACATATAAACTACACATTTTTCCTTATTTTATGCTTGTATTTTGGTGCTGCCTATTTTGTTTGCATTATACTATGTGGTGGGATATATCTGAAACTATGGGATGTGGTTTATTTAAAATATGGAATCCTAATAAAATCTGGGCAGTTTAATACATTTCCTGAATCACTTTCACAGAGCAATTACTAATCACTTGCCACTCTCATCCTACCTTTTTCATTTATGTAATCATAAGTGATCTTCATGTAATATTATTCTTTCTCTTTATATTTTCCTTTATATCCATTTTTCATTTTTTATATTAGCACAGTAGGTCAGAACAATGTAGACACTCACTTAGAGACATTTAATGATTTCCTTTTTAGAATGAAAAAAGAAAACTTGACTTCAGTATGTGAAAGCCTGAAGATTTAAAGGATAAGCAGAAAGTTAATAGCAAATGTCTGTGCATGTCGATTGCTTTTAATCACTTTAGCTTACCACAGTTCAACAGGATTTGTTATAAAGTCCAATACCCACTAATCGAATCCAGAATTCCTCTGCTTACTAAAGAAGGCAGTCTTTCTAATTGGATCTTGGGTTACTAAGAAGCTCAGACTTCTTTTTATGAATTTACCATTTCCCATCCCCATTACCAACATTTTTTTCCTTCAAAAATTTAAAACAGATTAAATGCTTGAAGAGGTTAAAGAAGTGAGAGAGTTTCCCCAATGTTTCTTTTAGTAATTTCACAGTTTGAGGTCTTAGATTTGTCTTCCTTGAGTAATACCCTACAGAGCAAAAGTGGACAAATTACATCAACTTAAAATAATGTAATTTTAAGGGATTTCATCTGCTTAAAAAGCTTCTGCATAGCAAACAACAAAGAGACAACCCACAGAATGGGAGAAAATATTTGAAAACTATCCATTTGACAGGGATTAATAACCCGAATATACAAGGAGCTCAAATAACTCTATAGGAAAAATCTAATAATCCGACCAAAAATGGAAAAAAGATCTGAAAAGATCTTCTCAAAAGAAGACATATAAATGTCAAACAAGCATATGAAAAGGTTCTCAACATAACTGATCATCAGACAAATGGAAATTAAAACTATAATGAGATATCATCTCACACCAGTTAAGACAGCTTTTACTCAAGGTAACAAATGCTGCTGAGGATGTGGAGAAAAAGGGAACTCTCATACGCTGTTGGTTAGAAATTGTATTAGTACAACCACTACGGAGAGTGGTTTGGAGATTCCTCAAAGTAAAAATAGAGGTACCGTATCTATTTAGGTACCGTACACATAGAGTAGCAATCCCACTGCTATGTGTATATTCAAAATAAAGGAAATTAGTATACCTAACAGATATCTGTACTTACATGTTTACTGCAGCACTATTCACAATAGCCAAGATTTGGAAGCAACCTGTGTCCATCAATAGACAAATGGATAAAGATAATGTGGTGTATAGACACAATGGAATACTATTCAGCCATAAAAAAGAATGAGATCCCGTTATTTGCAACGACATGGGTGGAACTGGAGGTCATTATGTTAAGTGAAATAAGCCAGGCACAGAAAGACAAACTTCACTTAGTCTCACTTACTTGTGGGAGCTAAAAATTAAAACAATTGAGCTCATAGAGATCGTAGAACAATGATTACCAGAGGCTAGGAAGGGTAATGTCGTAAGGAGTGGGAATGGTTAATGGGTATAAAAATATAGAAAGAATGAATAAGATCTAGTATTTGATAGCATAACAAATGACTACAGCCAACAATAATTTATTGCAGGCTGGGCACAGTGGCTCACGCCTAGAATCTCAACAATTTGGAGGGCTAATGTGGGTGGATTGCTTGAGCCCAGAAATTCAAGACCAGCCTGGGCAACTTGTGAGACCCTGTCTCTAAAAAAATACAAAAATTATCTAGGTATGGTTTTCATGCCTGTAGTCCCAGCTACTTGGGAGGCTGAGGTGGGAGGATGACTTGAGGCTGGGAGGTTGAGGCTGCAGTGAGCTATCCAGCCTGGGTGACAAAGTGAGACCCTGTCTCAAAAAATTTATTGTACATTTAAAAATAACTAAAAGAGTAGAACTGGAACGTTTGCAATACAAAGAAAGGATAAATGCTTGAGGTGATAGATACCCCATTTATCCTTATAAAATTATGTATTGTATGCCTGAATCAAAATATCTCATGTATCCCATAAATATATATAACTACTATGTACCCCCCAAAATGAAAAATAATAAGTGGGATACAAGAGACAAGTGAGATCTACACTCTTAGAGTAGGCTCAGTCTGTGTAAGCTAGTGAAAGCATGCCCTATTTCAAGGGGCTACTTGCAACTTAGTTCCAACCTATTTTTTTTTTGTCATGCAAAAAAAACTTTTGTAGACAAGTTTAAAATTAAAATTCACAATAAAACAGAATTTCAATATGAATTTTCACAATTTTGGAAAATAAGCAATCAATCTTATCTATCTATCTACCTACCTACCTATCTACCTACCTATCTATTTATCTTTGTGCACCAAGACCTAAGGGTAAAGCAGTATTAATATTTGCCATAAGATATTTATTTACTAGTGTTCTTTTTCAATTGAACATTTCAAGTTAAATGCTCAAGAGAGGCTCCTCCTTCATCTGCCTCTTTCTTACTGTTTCTTCCATTTTTTCCCAGTGAACACACAAATTTCCTAAAAAAAACAGTGCTTTTATTTCCACTTCTTCATAAAGTAGTCACATCTTCCCACTTATATGAACTCACTCACCTGGAATTTGAGACAGAAACACATTTCTAATACTCTGATTCTACAATAAGACACCATGACTTTAAGTAAGCAAACAAACACTATTACCACTTTGGCAAACATTAATATCTGTAAATCACAATTATTTTGAATTAACATGGTTTTAGGCATACCCTTAATCCTTAGGGAGTTCTGTGTCTTTTTTTAAAAGAATGCAAATGAGGCAATAATGAATCAGGGTAAAATTTAAGAAGTTGCTTTCACCTCTTTATTGAAGTTACATCTTAGCAAATAAAAATAGTCTTCCTTCTTTTTAATATTTCATATTTTTTAGTGGATTCAGCCATGGATATTCTTTTAAAATTACACTGTTGGCCCCCTTACAGCTGAAGTGGGTATTAACACTTATAACTCTAAGGTCTGTTATCTATAAAGCCTTGTATATTTTCAAAGGAAAGTGTTCCAAAATGTCTATTTAGAAAAATAAATAACATTTTCTTTCCTTTCAGAATAGAAACAGTATTCTTTTAATTTGGACCTTCAACTGAAAGTCATGGGTTTTGGTTACTGAAGCAAATGTTTCCTTTAAGAATGTTTACTGAACTGAAAACATTTTACTAAGAAATGTGAGCTTTATTTAGTTATCTGTAGTTACTGTGAGATCAAAGTAAAAGGAACCTAATTCTCAAAGCATCCTCTTCAAACCTCAACTTTTTTTACCTCAGGAAATTGATGTCATGAAAATATTTTCCATATCCCGCAAGAAAAGGTTCCCCCCCAAGAAATTTTTCAAGGTATTCATATGCTTAATATAAATAAATTTAAACTTTTATATGCAAATAAATATAAGAATGTTATGAAAAATTTGAATGAAGGGAAGAGCGATTGATAGAACTCAAGGAAGATACAGTTCAAATCAGGAAGATAAACGAAACATGTATTACAATGATCCCAATCAGAAGAAATCTATGGAATCATGGGCCTCCTATAGGAAAAGAAATAACCAAATTTCATTTTTATACAAATAATAACCTGAATAAATTGAAAAATACACCAATTTCTTCGATGGGATGACTGAATATTATCATTAAGTCAATTCTTTGTAAATTATGTATTTAATATAATGGATATTTGGGGGATGTAGTTTTGAACAAATTTAAATTCAATTAGACAAAATACACATAAAAATGATCAAGAAGGATTTTATTATATTTTATTTTTTGAGATGGAGTCACACTCTGTCATCAGGCTGGAGTGCAGTGGCACGATTTCTGCTCACTGCAACCTCTGCCTCCCAGGTTCAAGCAATTCTCCTGCCTCAGCCTCCCGAGTAGCTGGGACTATAGGCACGTGCCACCATGCCTGGCTAATTTTTGTATTTTTAGTAGAGACGGGGTTTTACCATGTTGCCAGGATGGTCCCGATCTCTTGACCTCATGATCTGCCTGCCTTGGCCACCCAAAGTGCTGGGATTACAGGCATGAGCCACCACACCCAGCCAAGAAGGATTTTATTAAAGGACTAAGGCGTGGTGTTATGTCAGATTTAAAATGTAATATAGAGACACATTCATTAAAAGTGTGGCATTTGCACGAAATAAATAGACTAAAGAGATGGAAAGACACAAGATGAGTTGGGTTGAAATCCCGGTTCTACTATTTTTCAAGTAGGAAACATTGGACAACTTCCCTAACCTTGCTAAGCTACAATTATGTCATTTTTTAAAAATAAAAAGTTACAAAAATTACTTCATGGGATTGTCATGAGGACAACATAGAACTCAGGTAAGATATGATTTTAAAAATTATTAATATCAGCTATTGTTATCACAGAATAGAAATTCCAGAGACAGACACAATTTAAGCACGTTATGTGTCATGGATGAACATTTTGTATTAGTAGGGAAAGAATGGGTTAGGTAATAAATGGATAAAAAATGTGTTTATATAGAAAATAGATTCTTGTCTTGCACCTTGAATAAAAATAAAGTCCAGTTGGGTTAAATATTTTATTGTAAGAAATGAAGCCAAAGAAAAGATAGGTAGTCATGTACCTCTTCTTGGAGTATTAAAGATCTTTCTAAGCATAACTCCAAAAGCAGAAGCCATAAAGGGATGACAATGTGGACAATCCTTGGTCCTCATCATACGTGACCCATATATAGCATTTAACACCTCTTTCTTCTTGAAACCCTTTTTTGAGACTCTAGGGCTCAAGACTCTCAGTTTTCTCTTACTTCATAAATCACTATTTCTCAGTCTCCTCAAACTACTCTGCTCTGATCTCTTAAGGATGGAATGTCTCGGTGCCCCATTTATCATCTTGTACAGTCTGCTGGATTTAAATATGATCTATATGCCGCTTATTATATCCTCACTGAAGACTTCATATCCCTTCCCAATTCTTTTATATGCAACTGCCTACTCAAAAGCTCCATCTAGATGTGTAGCAGATTTCTCAAATATAACATGCCCCAAACTGAAATTCTAATATTTGCCAGCAAATATTGTCCACTCATAGCCTTTTCCATTTTGGTTGATGGCAGTTTCATCCTTCCAGTTGCTCACTCGAATGTCTTTGTGATCATTTTCTTTCCCTTTTAGACACTCTACATCTAATTCATCATGAAATCAATTCAAATTTAAAAATATACTTAGAATATGCTCACCACCCCTATAGTTACCACATTTATGCAAACCATCATTATTTGTTTCCTGGACTATTGCAATTGCATTATTTCTAACTTGTCTCCTAATTCTTATTTGCCCCTCCTTATAGTCTAGTCTCAACAGAGCAGTCAGAATGATCCCTTTTGAAATGCAAGCCAGGACTGCTCAAAACCCTGTAATTTTTTTTTTCCATTTCACTCAAAGAAAAAGCCAAAGGATTTACAATAGCCTTCAAGGATCCTCTCTTATTCTCTTCCTTACTCACTTATCTCCAGCCACACTGGCCACATGTTGTTTGTTGAACACATGTTAGAATCTTGACTGTAACTATTCCCTCAGACTGAGATGTTCTGTTCCCAGTTGTGAAGTGGAGTAATACCCACATCTTCTCCAGTTCTTTGCTTACATCTCTTCTTAAAATTGCCTTCCCGACCACTTAGTAAATACTGCAACCTGCCCCCTTTCACCACCCCTCCAAATTTCCCATCTTCTGTATCTTACTGCACTTTCTCTATTTTTTTGCATAGCTTTTATCGCCAATTAATATGCTCTAAAATGTACTTCTATATTAGGCGTGTGTGTGTGTGTTGGGGGGGTGTTTTTAATCATCTGTACTCCCCTGCCAGAATGAGCTACTTGAAGACATGACAATGCTTTTTATCGTGGCTGTGTGCCTAGAACAGTATCTGATAGTAGTAAGCATTCAAGATGTTTCTTAAAATAAATTCATAAATTAATAAATATAAATGTAAAGTACATATGCATTAAAACACAAAAGAAAGCTTTGAAAAATAATCCTACCATATATACATATATATGTTAGACACCTTAATATTTGAGAGATAATATCTTATATAAATAGCTCTTAAAATTTGTGAGGAAAAAACATTTCAATACAGAGTAGACAAAGAACAAGAACAACAATTAATTTAAAAAATACAAATAATCATTAAACATATGAAAGAACTGTTCAGCCCCACGAAACAAATGCAAATAGAAATTAAAATGGCATATCAAATGCAAATCGAGTTGGCATACATTTTATATTATAATATAATCTACAAGTGAGGTTTGCTGAATTTAGCAATATTATATAAACCTAGTGAGTGTATAGGCTGGAAATAGCCTCTCTAAAAACCCTTGACTTACATAATATATCAAAAAACCCCTAATGATCTGATATTTTCCCTGAAAATCCATTCTAAGATGAATAAAATATTAGAAATAAGAATGTTCATTAAAATTATATTAAAATAACTGCTCCCAATCAAAAGTGGGATCAGTTAAATTAACATACACATTTAACATACACACAAGTTAAGGGTAGGCTATGTCGGTGTATACACACACACACACATACACAATATGTATGTGTGTGTGTGTATATATATAGTCTATGAATATATATGTAATATATATTAATACTTATTTTACTAATTTAACATGTTTCCTCTGTGTGGTAGAATTACAAGTAAGTATTTTTTGTGATTTTCCATATTTTCTAAATATTTAAAAAATAATTTTTTAAATTATTGGAAAACAAGCCAATAAACTCCACTACAACTGCTTTGGTCAACAATAAAGCAGTAGATGTAAAATATAGGTTTCATAGTACACACTATTTTATTTGGCAGGCAGGCCTTCCAGAAGTCTACTTGCCCAAGAGGCTGAGATACATCTAAAAATTATTCCCACAATATTTCGGGGGGCAACTCTGCAGCATGTTTGTGGCCCTGTGGAAGACGAACTCATTAAATATGGATTATTATCATTAGCAAATAGGTCTCTGCATCTGTTCTCATAAAGCTGGCAATGCCTTGGAAAGATCAATATTTTAATGACATCCACCTATTTTCCAAACTTGCACCCTTAGAGTCATCACTCACTGTCCTTCTCCCAAACCTTTATCTTTTATCACCGTCACCTTACATACACTCACAAGCAATTCTTAGTTTCACTGCTTCTGCATGGGAATAACCTCTCTCATATGATTCTTCCACCTTATCTCCCCCCTTGTCAGTTTGGGCTGCTATAACAAAGTACCATAAGCAGGGTGGTTTATAAATAATAGAGATTTATTTCTCACAATTCTAGCAGTTCTAGAAGCTGGGAAGTCCACGATAAAAGTGCTGGCAGACTCAGTATCTGGTGAGGGCTGTTTTTAGCTTTGTAGATGGTGCTTGGCATCTTCTTTCCTCCTACCATGTCTTCACATGGCAGAAGTGGCAAATAAATTCCCTTGGGCCTCTTTTATGAGGGAACTAATTCTATTCATGGAGGAAGTCCTAATCACCTCCCAGAGGCCTCACCTTTTAATACCATCACACTGGTGATTTAGGTTTCAACATAAACATTTTGGAAACACAAAGATTCAGACCATAGCACCCCTCATCATTTTTCACCAGGAGCAACACTATTCCAACAGTGTTCTCTTTAGTCTCTGGGTCTCTGGTCTTCAGACCTTTTGTACTTTTTTTTTTACAATTTGTGTGCCTTTTATTTATTTTTATTGCTTAATTGCCCTGGTCAATCTAGTAAAAAGTTTGTCAATTTTGTTGATCTTGTTTGTTTGTTTTTATATATACTTTAAGTTCTGGGATACATGTGCAGAATGTGCAGTTTTGTTACACAGGTATACATGTGCCATGATGGTTTGCTGCACCTATCAACCCGTCACCTACATTAGGTATTTCTCCTAAAGTTATCCCTCCCCTAACCCCCTACCCCTTGACAGGCCCCGGTGTGTGATGTTCCCCTTCCTGTGTCCATGTGTTCTCATTGTTCTGCTCCTACTTATGAGTGAGAACATGTGGTGTTTGGTTTTCTGGTCGTGTGATAGTTTACTGAAAATGATGGTTTCCAGCTTCATCCATGTCCCTGCAAAGGACATGAACTCATGCTTTTTTATGGCTGCATAGTATTCCATGGTGTGTATGTGCCACATTTTCTTAATCCAGTCTATCATTGATCTTTACAGTACCCAGGATAACAGTCCATCTTCTAAATAAAATTTAGATTAAGTTCTCTAACACAAAGCGTTAATCAAATGATCCCTGATTAAAAACCTCCAGTAGCTGTCCACTGTTTTCAGTATTAAAAAAAAATAAAATAAAGACAAAAACAAGAAATACTTCACCCCAGGTTTGCTTCCAAGTATCTCCTCTGGGTTATTATGACACTTTAAGTTTGTCTCTGCTCCTACTGGAAACTCTCCAAGGTCAGTAACCTGAGCTTACTCTTATATGCATCCTTCCTAATACTAGACCACTTCACTCTTTGAATTAGGTATATGCATACATACATACACACACACATACAAACATACACTCGTATATAAGGTAAATAAACTGTTGGGCAGAATAGAAAATTTTTCAATACAATGTATGAAAATAAAATGCATAATGTAATTTTGGGCTAGGAGGACAGAGGGTACTATGATTTTTACATTTCTTGGGAAATCTGTTAAAAGTTCCATTAGAAAAAGACACAATTTTTATAAAATAGTATTACTTAACCTGAAAAGTCTTTAGTAGATGTAGCCATACATGATTCTTACAGTTAATCATACTTACACAGATTTTTTTAAAAGTTAAGTCAGTACAAGAAATTTTGAATGTGGATACATACAACTTCCTGACTATGCAATTTGACATGATTTTCACATTTAATTAGATAGATTAAAAAATTATTGAGGAAAAGGATGATGCTTCATCACGCTTTTTTAAAATTAACCAGTTTGCCTAACAGCAGAGAGACTTTCACATAGAAGATAACCAATAAACCTTTTTTTGGTTAAATTAGTACTTTTAAATAATTCATAAAATAATTCTAAATGGTCATAATTGATAGAAATAATTTATATTGTATATTATGCTCTCTATTGAAGAGAGATTTTAAGTAAATGGAAAAAAAACTGTCACTTCTAGAAGAGGGTTCCAACTGTTTGACTTAAGATTATTAAATTCTCCACATCCTCCATTCCATTGGCTTTCATTCTTTAACCTAACCTTCACTGATACTATTAAATAAGTCTGGTATTCTAAACTGAGAAGTAATTTTATAAGAATGAGCCACTGTGATCCAACAATATATATTACTTCTATTTAGTCTAAACCCAGAGTTAGAAATATTTTGGCAATATATGAGAAAGCTGTTCAACTAAAAAGCTAAGAGATTCCTGAATTTGGGCTATTGGAGTTATCAGTGCTTCTAATTGTGTGTTTTCGGGGTGGTGTGTCTAAGGGCTGGGCATATAACCATTAACTGGTTATATTACATTAAGCTAAAAAAACAGTCATGTGATAATAGTTTATGTTCAGTACAACACTGGCCAATTCAATCCAATGTTCCAAAGGAAAAGTCTGTGTTACATTATATTCAGGGGCAAGAATGTATGTGCATAAAATTTCCTTGTAAATATGAACTTTCAAGTGAGAAAAAATTGAAAATAAACATGAAAAGAAGTTTAAAAATAAAAAGCTTAATGTGTTTTATGCAAACACCATGGCGCAACAAGAAAATTTCCAAATTAAGGCCATATGTGTTAAGAAGTATGCAACAAGTATTTGGTTAAAAACAAGATATTGAAAACAAGATTAATAAGATGAGACATTTACAGAATGGGTAAGAGGTGATCAAAAAGGTAATGAGTTTTGAAATTTCCATCTCTTATGCCAAGGGAAGAATCATATCATTTTCTGGCCTCAATTCTTACTATACTATAAAAGCCAAATTTAAGCCCCCAAAAGAAGAAATATTAGACTGAGAAGAAACTAATAGTATTAATAGATAAGGCTTTCTTTTCTCGAAGGTGATAGCAGCAAGAAAAAATCATTTTAAAATTAAGAATATTTATTTTTAAAAGGTAAAAATTAACCATAATGAGTTGTACTGATTTTAAACTTGCAATATTATGTCTGAAGGAAATAAAATAACAGCTGAAACCTAGGATTAATGTCATACTAGGTGCAATTAGTGATAAAAACAAAGAAACATCCATATCTTTAATTTTTGGAATTACTATAATCACACTAATTTAATTAAAATTGCCAAGAAAAGCAAACAAAATATTTTGATTAACTATATTTGTTTTGAATCTAAGAAATTTTCATGAAAAGGGTATGAGCATATACTTTGATTTATCTTCTAGTGTAACAGAATTCTTTTGCATATGAGGAAATGCAATTATCCCAATATCGTATTCTGTAGATAATGGAAAAGTCAGTGAAAAAATTGAAGTACCCGTTAGGAGGACACTGGAGAATTTCAAGAAAATGAAGCAGAAAACCATAACACTTGGCCCCATGGAAAGTGAAAAGCTACCAGCCATATTCTCCGTCCTGTAATCTCTCAGTTTCATGAGCCTCGACTTTACTTCCCTGTGTATATCTGCACTCGAAGACTCTGCCTATGACCTTTTCAGCCTCTGGATCCCAAAAAAGATGTTCTACCTATCAGATACGTGTTGAAGAGTTTCCTTGGTCCAGTGAGCTGTGACTTGTGAGAATGGAGATCACAATGTATATTATTCCCTGTGCCTACCCTTTTATCCTAGAGTATCAACCAACATAAATTAATGGTGCTGATGTAAGCATGGAAACAATGATTTACAAAACACAACAACAACAAACAAAAAACTGTTAAACTGTGATTAAAAAGAAAATCAACAAACAAAAAACCCTTCTACTGATGAATCCAGTGTTCATTCTTTTTTACTTTTCCGACTCAGGAAACACTTGACAATCAATTTTTCTACTACTTGCCCATTTGATCAGCATGGATGAAATGCTGTGGGAGTGGCAGGGTGGGTTTAGACATGTTTACTTTCTTGGTGAGCTTGAAGTTTGTGATCTAAGTATAGTCTGTTGCATGAAGATTAACCACTTTCATTTTTAGCTTATTACAGTAGAATCAGAACTTTTATATGTGTTATTTTTAAATGTTGATTAAATGAATGTCAGTTTAAAATTTCCTGTAGCTCAGAAACAGCTTTTTCCAACTATCCATATTACCTGTGGATATCTAGAAATAGATGAAGATTATATTATCCCTAAAGACAAAATCTAATTGATCACCTATTGCCAAAATCAGAGAGATGCTTATATTAATATAAAGATGTTGGAGATGAACTAAAGCAAATAGAAGTATTAAAATGTATACCCATTTTTTTTTTACCACTGATATAAACAATCCAACCACTTGTAAAAAACATATATAAAGGCACTTTGTTCATCTTTGTTCATTCAGACTTCTGTGGCTCAGGAGCCTTGGTTATACACACTTGAAAATCCAACAGTCCAACCACATGTATTGTTATCAAGGCATCATTCTAGAAATTCTGTATCTCATCTCAGTTTTGCACAACTCAGGGAAGCAGACATCATTACATCATCCATTCTTACAAATATAGAACTGAGAAACAAAGAGGTTTATCTGGCTAGTAATGGGAATTTAAAAAATTTCTTCTTGAGAAACTCAAAAACAAATTATATGAAGAAAGATTTGCTATTTGGTAGCTTTTAAACATGGTTTATTAAGCAGCACACCAACATAGCACATGTGTACATATGTAACTAACCTGCACGTTGTGCACATGTACCCTAAAACTTAAAGTATAATAAAAAAAGAGTCAATCTAAAAACTGAAAGCTTTTGATGTAAAAATTAGGTAAATAATTTGGTCTTTCTAAAAGAGAATAGTAAACATATGAAAAACATTATGAGAAAAGGCACATTAAAGTTTATTAAGCTTAAGAGAAAAAAGGGCACATAGTACTTCAGAAGAAGAAATGTAAATATTGCCTGTTCTTTGTCTTTGTGCTACCAATCAATGTGTAGCTGTTATTTCAGTATTGGATCTCATTTGTTTCCTCATTTCAGTGGAGAAAAATAGAGGCTGAGAAATTAATTAAACAGTTTGTTAATTGGCCTTTTACTTAGGTACTTGGCAGAAGGGTGAAGCTAAATTTTTACATTAAAAATTCAGATAAGTTTATTGGGCCACATCCGTTTCTTCCGTTACTAAAATGCTGTACGTTTTGTCACCTCATTTTCTTGCTCTTTTGGTTTTGAGGGATTATAAATATCCCACACTGGGATCGACATGCTCAGAATAATTTCTCTATATTAAATAATATGATAATTATTCTTGAATTCCATACAACAATCTCTGGTCCCATAAATCATATATTTAAGTAATAAAAAAAAAATAAAACCCAGGAACCCCAGAAAGATCCCTCAGATCCCTCTACTACACTATTAGTGTGTGCTTTCCAGACTGAGGGGGACGTTCCATTTATAACTTTCATTTGTTTCCTATCATTGTGGCTAAGTTTCCACTTATTACATGTCTCCTTGCCTTAATATTAACTTCCAGTCTGAAGCACTGTAAACTGTTTCTGCACCCCTAAATTAAAGCAAATGATATCTAGTCCACATCCACCACCAATCTTACTAGAAGCCACTTCAAAGATTCCATTTTTTAAAAATGAAGTATGGCCTCTGCTTCCTGAAGCAAAGGTTGGCCCTGTTCATAGTGAAGTTAGATTTTCTCTGATTCTCCTTCTATTCAAACACTGACAGTTTTCTTCAATATATTTTCTTCTTCTCCTCTAAAGTTAAACCTGCTTATTGTGTTTTTGTTGTTGTTGGAAGAGGGGTAAGAAGAGAGCACTGGTGAACACCTCACTCAGCGCCACTCAGGACCAGTCCACGTGTGTTTGCAGTGACATTCCAGTACCACATGTGGCTGTTTTTCATAAACATAAAAGTTTCAAAACATTTGAACACTGTATCAGTTACATACAGTTTCAAGAAAGCAGTTGTGTATATGTCTTTCTTATGATATCAATGCGTTTATCAAACTCTATGCCAGCTGATGGCGGAAAAGACAGAAAGCTCTACATCTCTGCTTTTTGAACATTTTCTCAGTCACTCATTTATAGTAGCTTCTCCGGCCTCATATCATGTTGCTTATCATGCAAACCACTTTTACTCTCTTATCCATGTATTTACACTGTGGCTATAAATTAAGCCCTGGGGCAATGTAACACAGAGTATACTATTGCTTTCCTAGCCCCCTTCCCTCCCTTCTGCCCCAGAGTCCCAGGCACACAACAGAGCTTCTGCACATGGTAGAAAACCAGAAAACACAGATCCTCAGATCCTGACAATTAGACAGACAGTCTAGTATCACAGGAGCCACTGAGGGGTACAGTATCGATCTCTCCCCTCACACACACACACGTGCACAGAAACACACAGATCTCAAATAGTTTAGCGTAAGCCGAAGATATGTTCCTTAAAAAATATATTTATATATTATATATTAACATATAAAAATACATTACAATATATGTATATATTAATAATGTATATTTTATAAGAATATTCTTCTGGCACCTGCAGTGCTACTAACCCATAAGTATTTGAAAATAACTCATCTGCTTAGGTCTTTCCAGTTCTGCAGGTATGTGAACTTGAACCCTAAACCCACAAAACGTTGTGTAGTATAAAGAGATACATCCTATTTCTCCTCCACTCATAGCTGAGACCATGAGACATGAATATGCTTGCTCTCTCCCTTTATGGGATGGATCTTTTGCTGATTCACCCTTTGACTGGGGGTGTGGTCTTTTGGGGAGTCCTGTCCTTACATATGTTCTCATTAATGTTCCTTATCTTGCTTCGGCCCAACGTTGTTTCCTGTCCCCTGTATGGCTGCTATAAGATGGAAAAATGGCCCAGAATTTCAGTCCGAATCTCTCAGAAAATAGAGACAATGCAATTCAACCAATTTAGCAAATTTCATAAACCTTAATTTATCTGAATACATTAGTCTTCTTTTAATTACTAGGACATAATCCTCTCCTTCTCCAAGGACTTTTGCTCAAACGATGTTTCATCAGCTTAAAACATTCTTTTCACACACGTGCACACACACACCACAACACATACACACCATTTTAGGATTAGTTCCTTCTGTTTTTGTTTTTTTTGTTTTTGTTTTTGTTTTTTTTTTTGAGAAGGAGTCTTGCTCTGTCGCCCAGGCTGCAGTGCAGTGGTACGATCTCGGCTCACTGCAAGCTCTGCCTCCCAGGTTCACGCCGTTCTCCTGCCTCAGCCTCCCAAGTAGCTGGGACTACAGGCGCCCACCACCACGCCTGGCTAATTTTTTTGTATTTTTTTAGTAGAGACGGGGGTTCTCCGTGTTAGCCAGGATGGTCTTGATCTCCTGACCTCGTCGTGATCCGCCCACCTCAGCCTCCCAAAGTGCTGGGATTACAGGCGTGAGCCACCGCGCCTGGCCCCTTCTCATTCTTTAGATATGATTGCAACAATTACTTCTTCAGATAGGCCTTCCTTAACCATTAAAACCGCATTGGGGTATTAGCAATGTTTTGTTACTTGGGCATTTTCAAGAGGCAGACATAGTCCAGAAGCAGAAGTTTGGGCAGGTCCCAGATCTTGTTCTATAGCCCTTTATCCTGAAGACCTAAACTGTTATTCATTCTATAATAAATATGCTACACAAATAAATGATTACTCAAAGTGTTAAAATATAGAAGATATATTCATACAGAGAAACGAGAGAGAGAGAAACAGCCCTTCAGAAAAATAACTTCCAGTTGCAGCTGAACACAGGATACTGAAGTGCTGCCTAGTTTTCTATTGTTTCAGAAACTAGAATACCTAGGGAAGGAAAATTGCAAAAATTCCCATGCCCCAAAGACCATGGAATAACATTTTCTTTTTTCTGTGATTCAATAGAACGTTCTTTTCTTGCTGCCAGAGGATAAATAAGGATTTGTACACATATGTTACAAAGTCAAAATAAGCCCTTGTGGAACTTGATCTTCCCATTGTTTTTTAACTTCTGCCAAGCAACTGTATACTTTAGGACTGTGATACTAAGTTTACATATTGGTTTTCAGCCTCCAACCAGAAAGCTTTTATATAGTCTTATCTCTGATTGTCAAAATCTTGGATTCTGAGAATATCAAACAAATCATTTTTAGCTGCATTTAAGAAACTGACATTAATTTTAAAATAATACTCGTTTAATGCTACTTACAGCTATTCTTTCAAATGAATACATTTAAAATAACACAGAGTATAATAAGCAATTCATAATCTTCCAACTTTCTAGATCTCTTCACTTTATCATATAATGGAATATAGTGATTAAAAGACATAAGTTCTGTCAAAAGTAAGCTTGCCAACCTCAAGAAAACATTTTAAGCAAAATATACTATATTTCAGCACCAGATCTTCCCATCATAGAGCATGAAATCACCAAAGAAAGCATTGTTTCATGATTATGATAGTCTACTATTTTTGTGTTTTGCACTGCTCAAAATGCCATCGTATTTCAGTCTACTGAATGTTATGGTTGATAGAATATGAGGAGAGAAACAAGCAGACATAACTCTGCTAAGATTAATACTTTTCAAAAGAATAGATTACAGATTTTATCAAATCAAACTAACAGTAATAAGAGATCTTCATTGCCCTAAAAAAATGTGAAATTGACAAATATTTCCCAAGTGCCTGTCATGTACAGACACTGGTTAAAATTAGATTCATAACATTTTATGAAAATTGTAACAATACAGCTTTCAGTATGTTTATATTACAGATAAAGATGAACACCCTATGCACACACATAACACACAAAGAGTACAAAATACCTGAAGGGCCGTAAGGATATTTGCTAAGGCTTGTCCGTATGTGTCATGACAGTGAACAGCAAGAGCACCTGGTGGGATTTCTTTCATCACACTTTCCAACATTCTTTTCATACTTCCTGGAGTTCCCACTCCAATTGTGTCTCCTAGAGAGATCTCATAACAACCCATGCCGTACAATCTCTTAGACACCTGTTGATAAAGGTGAAGTGCTAGTAAAATAATGGAAATGAAGAGACTCAAACCCTCTTGTGCCACAACTAACATCATCTAAAGGTAAAAATTACAACTAATACCAGTAATGTCCATGAAAAATATATAATGTATTTTCTGGTCCTTTTTCTTTGCTTATGATATTCTAAACATTATATAAGACTTTGAGATTATTGCAATTATCTTTTTCTAATATTCAAGTTTGCCTTAGAGTCATATCTACCTATCTTTTTATCCAGCTATTTGTTCTACTATGAAATTATAAGCTACAATGTCAATTATGGGAGGCGTATGTTTCTCAACACTATAATCAAACCAAAGCATTACAGATCTACTTTGGAAGTAGTATTTCTCAAGCTATTAGTTTAGGGGTCAAAATAGTAATAAGAGATCTTCATTGCCCTTAAAAATGTGAAATTTACAAATATTTCACTACATATATATACAGCTGACCCTTAAACTACACAAGTTTGAACTCTATGGATCCACTTGTACGTGATTTTTTAAAAAATAACTATATTAAATTTTTTTTCGGAGATTTTCAACAATTTGAAAAAACTTGCAGACAAATCCCATAGCATAGAAATGTCAAAAAAGAAAAAGGTATGTCATGACTATATAAAATATGTGTTAATACTAATCTATTTTTCTCATTTACTATAAAATAATACAAATGTATTTTAAAAGGTTAAAATTTATCAAAACTCAGCACACAGACTGTAGATAGTGCCATTCTCATTCAAGAGAAATGTGCATGTAATGATTCAGTACTGAATCATAACTGCATAAAATTAATTATAGTACATACTGAACTATTGTAATAATTTTGTAGCCACCTCCTGTTGCTATTCCAGTGAGCTCCAGTGAGGGTATCCACTTAAAATCCTGGTGATGCTAATCATCTCTGTATGAACAGTTCATCTTTCCAGTAAATTGCATATCGCAGGACAAAGTGATCTCTTGCACTTCTTATGTGTTTTTCATTATATTTAGTGAAATACCATAAACCTTAAATAACACCAATGAACTCATAGGAAGTGCAACTAGTGATGCTGGAAGTGCTCCCAAGAAGCAGAAAAAAGTCATGACATGAGAGAAAGCTGAATTGCTCAATACGCATCATAGATTGAGGTCTCCAGCTACATTTGCCCACCATTTCAAGATAACGAAAATCAAAATATGTGTTAATTGGTGGGTTACATTATCTAAAAGGCTCCCACTCAACAGTAAGCTATTAGTAGTTAAGTTTTGGGAGCAAAAGTTATACCTAGATTTTTGACTGTGCATGTGGAGTGTGGTGTCCCTAACCTCCAAATTGTTCATGGATCAACTATATTAAGTTCAGCTCTTTCACTAAGTAGCTTTGCAAATGGTAGAGTCATTTAATATTTCTGGTCTAATTTATCTGGCTCATAAATATATATACTTTGAGGTAAATTGCAAGATCTCT
Organism: Homo sapiens; assembly: GCF_000001405.40. Classification (NCBI taxonomy): domain Eukaryota; kingdom Metazoa; phylum Chordata; class Mammalia; order Primates; family Hominidae; genus Homo; species Homo sapiens. The sequence continues at coordinate 55,497,079 of NC_000006.12, forward strand.
TTAAGCTGAATAATGTTACTTTCAAAGAGCAATATGAATGCATAAAGGCAGCATGGTATTTTGACAAAGACATGGGTTCTGGAATCAGAGAGGTCTGAATTTAAATCTCAGCTCCCACGCATCCTAATCATGTGACACTGGGCAGAAGATTAGTCTATTTAAGCCTCAATCCCTAATCTTTAGAATACAGACAACAAAACACCTTCTTTTAGCATATTTTCTAAGCCTTGGTTACTCTGTTCTTAAAAAAAAAAGATAAAAACAATTTTAATAATGATGTGTTTGGTTGTAAAAGTGAAATGAGAATGTATAAAAGCCATTTGACACACAATCTGGCACATGATACTGATTCGCTCATTCATTTAATATGCATTTCTTCAATACCTATTTTATGGCAGGTGCTGTGCTAGGTCCCAGGATATAATGGGGAAATGAATATTGACATGGCTCATGTTATTACAGATCCTGAAGTCAAGTGAGGATAGATCTTAGTCAACCCTACTGAGGAATAAATAAATACCAGCTAAAAATAAGAATTTTCAAACAAAGAAACAGGATTCTAAGAGCATGTAGTAAAGGAAATTGACCTGGATCTGTCAAGCTTAGGACCTATGTGACAACTTGAAATAAAGTAAGCTTTATTATAAAGTGCTTACTAACTCGTTGAAGAGGGTGAGAAGGAAGGACCTGAGAAGAATGTTCTAGGAAGAATATCAGATGCAAATGTTAATGGCTTCCAGGCAGCTGACATACAAAATGCAAAGAACATTCCAGGTAGGGAAAAAGCTAAATGCAAAGGACAGTGTAATGAGAAAGCAAAAACTGAGGAGGGAGACAATGAGGGGAAGGACCAGAGGCCTGAACAGAGTAATCACAGTTTGAAGTAGTAATTTCAGAGAGAAGAGAGTGAGTTAAGCACAAAATGTATTAGAATCACACAAAAGGCCCCTTTAAAGTTTCTGGTCCTGAATTATTCCTGTTACATGACTCTGCAGTAGCACCTTAGGCGTTCGGGTACAGAAATGGAGATCCTCACCCAAGGTGTGTGTGGTTCATTCCTACGTGGTGCACAGCAAAAGGAAGAAAGCAAGTCTGCTGGTAAGCAAAGGTGGATCCAGGTTTTGTGGGGCCAGCCTGAAGTTATGCCCTTTGGAGGTATTCTTAAAAAATATATATACAATTGTGAATGCAAATTAATGACAGCCTTGGAAGGGTCCCATGCAAGTGAAAAACCTAAAAAATCTGAATTGTGTTATTTTATAGTATATGTGCCTCTGTGTGCAAGGGTCTTGTGTAAATAATAGATAAAAGGATATGTTTCATTTGAAAAATCTGCAGTAGATTCCAAAAGTTCAAATGAAAGCACAAAAGAGGAACAGCTTTAGCTAAACTGAAACTTTATCCTGCCTAAATTTGGATTTTCTTATAAGGCCGTCTTCACTGCTTTGGTGCAAAATTTTTCAAAAATTAATAAATTTGTCAAAATTAACCTTAAAAACAGGTCTACATTAATATACTTTATATACAAATAAATTTCTGAAACTAATATAATCTCAAAGACAGTGCATTTTGTATTCATTGGTATAAATAAATAATAAAGGACAGGAAGAAAATAAACTTCAGTAATCAGGGCCTTAATGACTATAACCTATTGCTGTAAAATTGTTCTGGAATAACAGCAACTTAATCACAGCAGTAAGATCTCCAGGATCACAAAAGGACAAGAACACAAAAGTAGTGTATATTCTGATATAACGGGCCAAAGTATGCAGGAGCAAAACAGGGATGCTGCCTAAGCAACCAAGGAAAGTTTAAGTGTTTCTCCAAAAACTGCCCTGACATTCTGATGGAGATTGGAAAGGCCACTCACTACGTTATAGCCACAAAAAAACAAAATGTATATTTTTATTCCTTCCACCTTTGAGCACCCAAATTATAGGACTCAACTGTCCCTTAACGTTGAAAAGTTATAGCCAATGTACAGGACTTCACTGTTAAAATGAAACTATTAGTTAAGTGATCAAATATGTCTTCAGGGTTCGCCTCTTAATCCATGGCTTCATGCTATGCAGATTCAATAAATATTAAGAAAGCCCCCTTTTAAAAATAATATATATCATGTTACCATAAACCAAAAAAGCTGAAGATGTAGCTTACTTCTGTCACTTTTTGCGGTGTAATACTTCCTTCATATGGACAGCCCAGAGCACAAGACACATACCTAAATTAAAAATACAGCCTTATAAATATGCATATGGTAAATAAGCCATTTCCATTTTATAAAAATTAAGAATTAGCTGAAACTGCATCAAGAAAATTTATTTTGCACTATTACTTTATTATTATTTTGTCATTGGACCAAACCAAATGAAGTTTGAAGCATTTTCAATCAGCTCACATTTTTATCTTTCTATAATAATTACAATTTGATATGTGTTTTTGATGACAGATGGGGATAAATAGTAAGTGATTATCTGGTAAAGTTATTCATACCATAGCAACATATAACATTCAAAGCAGAAAATACCAGTGAAATATATGGTTTTATTAAAATAATTACATACACTCAACTGTTAAATATCTGGGTCTTTGGAAACATACAAGGAGATCATGTAGTAAACTAACTGAATTTTTCTTCTTACTCCCATCTGGATATTTTGGCCTCATTTAGGTACAGCCATTAATCATCCAAAGGTCTTGGAACTGGGCATAGCCTCAGAGTTCATTTTTTCTCTCTCTCTCATGGGTTTACCTAAATCATTCCAAACAGAAGAGTGTCTAGTGTGTTTAGAAGGCTTAGAATTAAGATATTCTATAAGCTTCTTTTGTAACTCATTCTAACATTAAAAAGTCAAGCATTTCCTGCAAAGACAAACATCCATTTCAATCTTAAATAATTAAGCTTTAGGAAAAGCCTGCTTTAGCTATTTCCAGCTCAACATCAATCCCATTTTATTAAACTTACTTCAGAGACATTTACAATTCTTGTATTGAAATAATGCATAACGAGTATGATATTTAGGAATGAATGAAGCAAGCTGCATAAAAGGGAGAGGGATGGTGGGAAATGAGGCTGGAGATCGAATATGGGGGTCACAATATGAAAGGGTTTAGAAAGCAAAGCCTTTGAACGCCATTCCAAGTTGTCTGGACTTTGAGATCACTCAAAAGTGTTTTGAGGCACTGAAAATTATTACGTAAGGTAGTGGCAAGATCAGATTTGTTTCCCAGAAATATAACTCTGTGGGGGCAGTGGAAGCAGATGCCAGAGAAAAGGTAGAGGCAAAAACACAAGAAATATCCTATTTCCTTAATTCTAATATGCTATTGATTTGAAGATGCACTATGAAATTCCTAACAGTCTTTGGAGTAGAAAAATAAAATACATATTCAATGATTCAGTACATAGCTATTGATTCTAAGATGTAACCAAATTAGGTTACAAAAATTATAGAAGTGTTAAAATGTCAATTAAAACATGTTTTAGTATTAAATAGTTTTATAAGCCATTCAAGCAGTTATGAGGGATAGAAAAGGATAAAAGAGGATAAATTCAAGTAAAATTGGAAAGTTATGCCAGACAGGAAGCTCATCCCTCCGTTATTCCAATCACTATAATCTAAGTTTATGCTTTAGATAATCTGTACATTTAATCAAGATGTGTGAAAATAAAATGTTCTTAAATGAACATAACACTGGAGAAGGTGGCTAAGGATGGAAAAGGAGAAAAAGTTTTAATACAAATGTAATGATTACAATAACATGCTAATATATAAATACATTGATTTTTGAACCCAAAACATCTAGATGTGAGTAAATAGAAAATCCAAGGTATTTATTTACATGTTCTCCTTCTAAATGTGAAAAACAAACATAAATGCAAAACAAAACAAACCTCTCCTGCATTTTCAAATTATTATTTGGCCACAGCTACCACTTTATTGACAGAACCTTAACTCTTTATGTGGGCATTTTTATTTATTCACACTTTCCCTCCAGGACATTTCCATGCCTGTGTTTCTGAGATCTTCACACTGTCTCATTTCATGTTCATATGCTCTTCCCTATCTTGTGAGGGAACACTGTTTTGATCTAGTCACGCATGCGGCTACTTTCTCCAAGGCTAATGTGATGGTTCTCAGCTATGTTCCCTTAACTGTATACTTTAACATTCTAAAGCAGAGGTTGGTACACTAAGGCCCAGAGACCAAATCCTGCCTATTACTCTTTTAATAATAAAATTGTATTAGAATACAGCCATGCCCATCTGTTTGCATACTTATTTATGGCTGCTTTTACACTACAGCAGAGTTGAGCAGTTGCAACAGAAATCATCTGACCCACAACACCTAAAATGTTATTGTCTGGAACTTTACAGAAAAAGGTTGTCAACTCTTTCTAAAGAAGTCAAGCTGCTTTTCCTGAGTGAGAAAAGGCCTCTACCGTCATGAATATGAACTGAATTCTCTTATTTGACAAGCGGCCAAAGCCAGCTTCTGGACTTCTGCTCTTCTCCAACAATCTATTACAGTGGTTCTCAACCTTGGCTGCACAGAATCACCTTGGTGCTTTAAAAAAGATAAACACTGATGCTTAGGATATGTTCCAAAACAATTAAACCAGAAACCTAGTGGATGAAATCCAACCACCAAGATATTATTTTATATAATTTTTAAAGTTCTATTATACTGCCAACATTGAAAATCACTCAACTATTAGCAATACTGCATCACCTGGATTGCTCTACTGATTCCCTTGTGTAAAAAGTTATATTACATGGACCTGACCGTATCTAACTAATCTCAGGAATTTCCTCACAACTATGCCATAATATTTTCATTCAGCTTTGATTGCCTGGTGGTTAAGTTTTACCCAGACCCGTTCCAAATGATTTCTACTTTTCTGAAGCTGCAAACTCCAATTGCTCCATTTATTTTTTTCATCTTATTCCTTATTTCTGGTTCAATGTTTTTGACTTAAGTGAATACATAGTAGTTCTTTCAGCAAGAGTCTGGTAGATGTTGCAGACTGTTTTGTCAGCAAATGGTTTCATTTCATCTTCATTCTTGAGCAATAGTTTGACTAGGTATAAAATTCTATGTTGACAGTTATCTTGGCATATTGAATATATTATTTTACTGTCTCTGGTCTCAGTTATTGCTGATAGGAATTTTACTGTCAAGCTAATTCTTTCATGGTAGTCTATTTTTTTCTCTACTGTTCTATCTGTTTCTATCTTATCTGCATTTTACTATTAGCTATCTCAGGATCTGCTATACTTCTTCAATATTAACAGTGCTTTTCCTAATTTCTAGAAAATTCTCAAGGTACTACCTTTTCAAACATATTTCTCATATCTATTTTCTCTGTTTACTCCATATGGAAATTCTATTAGGCATTTTCTACTAACCTTACTTTTACAATTTCTATTAATTTATTTTTCTGGGTTTCACTCTTACAGTTTTCTCAAATCTTAATTGCAGGCTAAGCTGCACATAATCTGTTGTTCCCTTTGGCGACATGTAATCTGCTGTTCAATTAATTCATTCACTTTTGTATTTTAATGAATATATTCCCATTTAGAGATAATGTTTCATTTTGTCAAATACTAATTTTGTTTTCTGTAAAGATCTGGTTTTTTTTTTTTTGCTTGCATTGTGAATTTTTTAAAGATTCATTTCAAATACATGATTTTGCTATTTATTATACTTTGTTAGACTGCTAAATTGTTTCAAGTTTATCCATCTTCTGAATTTTATTTTTCTCATCCACAAAGATGTTATATCTTTTTTATTATTATTATACTTTAAGTCTTATGTTCTTACTTTGCCTCTATAAACATTTCATGTGGTTAACTTATAATCTTTTTCAGATTGTTCTGTTACCTTCTGTTCTGCTAAAGTTTTTTTCGTTGTCTCCTGTGTTTGTTTTCCTTAAGTTAGCTTGTTTTCTCATGTGCTTTATAGTTTTTATTGTGAGTGCCTTTTCATGGCAATTTTAGTTTCTGTAGGAATTCTATGAGCATCTTGAATTATTTAAACAATCCTATCGAAAGAATCTGATTGCTTTCTGCCCTTACCCTGTGGAATTTATCAATTATTGAACAAATTTCTACCTTAATTTCTTAATTTGGGTTTCCACAATACTCATGTGTCACAAATCCACAACCCATAAAAATAGCTGGCATGGATCTCAATGACTTTGCATTGGCAAAGAGGTGATGCCAGACTCCAAGACATAGTTCCAAATTCATAACTTAGCAGAACATTGAATTTTTTCCCATGTAGATATTAAAATCCCATTACTACACTACTAGGTACTCTTTCTGGGATAGATACCCCCATATGCTTCTGTGGTATCAACCTACATGATTGCCACATTTTCATTGATGAAACCTGAGACTTTTTTTTTCTCAGCTAGGTGATATGTTTTAAAAGTTATAAAATTTCTGTGTGTGTAATGAGAATGAAAAAGGGGGGTCTATGGGTTAGCTAAGTCCTCCATAGTCCCTCTCGCTCACCATTATGCCCATAACCCCAGGATCAACCCCAAAGTGCCTCATGTATATTACAAGCTTGATGCATTCACATAGCATATTTAGTTAAACATGTCTGAAGTGGTCATCGTCCCTATTTCTTTCACATAAACCTGTTTCCCCTGCATTTGCCATTTAAAAAAATTACATAGTTATTCTCAGGGTCAGTCCTGCTAAGTCACTTGATGGTCACCTTTGTAAACTTATTCAATAACCAAAGGTTAGCTGATTCTTCCCCTCTAGCTTCTGTGGCATTTAGCCTCTGCCAGCAGCAGCTTGAGTGTACAGAACCATTCCCAAGAACCCTCTCCTAAGTGCTCTCCTTGTTTCTAACCCCATGTCTCTCCACTTTACTTCAATTTCTAATGTCAAAATTATATTCTTAGAGCATGGATTTGATTACATATTTTTCCACTTTGACAATCTTTAATGGCTTGCTATTTTCTACTGAATAAACTGGTGTTCAAGTTTAGCAATCTGTGAAACTCCAATCTAACCTTCTACCTTTCTTTTACTATATATCCACAAAAAACTTTATTTCAATAAAAGTAAGCTTCTTTCTATTACCCAAACATTTCCTGAGATTTCTCTTCACTGTGTCTTTGCTCTTTGTAGATTCCCTGCCCTGCCTGAAAAAGCCATTATTTTGATTATGTTTCCATACATTCATATATTTTTAATGACTTCATTGTACTGGTACCTTCTTTATGAAGTTTCTCTAAATCACCCCAGATATTAGAATTACTTTAAATTTCAATAGTATGTATCTTTATCTCTCTTAATGTACTTGCCGGTTTTGGCAGTACAATAATTATTTTCATACATATTTTATTTTCCCAGTCTGCTAAAAACTCTTTGAAGTTATGCTGAATTTTCATTTTCATAGCCCACATGGTATCACAAGACAGCACTTTGTTTAAAACAAATATAGTCATCCCTCAGTGTTTGTGGGGAATTCTCCCTATATACTTTAAATCATCTCTAGATTACTTATAATACCTAATATAATGTAAATACTATGTAAGTAGTTGCTAGACTGTATTTTTATTTTTCTTCAAATTATTTTTAAAAATATTTTTGATTCATAGTTGGTTGAATCCCTGCATGTATAACCCATGGATATTGAGGGCCTACTGTATTCAATTGCTATTTCTTGTATGAATTAATACACAAATACGTTAGTTAAAATGTCATTTTTACCTTCTGAATACTTGTCTAAGACATTCCTAATTTTTATAGTAAACAAATAGGTAAGGTTTATTTATGTTCTAAATCCTGTAGCCAGAAATAATAGCACATATTTGAGAGATCAGAACTTGAAATCCATTTTTAAACATTATTCAGATGACATAGTAATCATCAACCATATTGAAACGAATCTTGCTAAAATTAACAAAAAACACAGCATTACAGTAAATCCTGTGGAAATGAATATGAATTGTTTTATTTGTATTTGTGCTTGTTGAGGTCATTTTTTAATAGTCTGTAAAAACATGATATAAAAGAAGACGTGAAGTGTTTCAGTCTTTAATAACCTTACCTAGAAGAATTAAATCATGAAAAAGAATCTACAGTTAGGCCTTATCCCAGCCTACCTTCTCACAATTATCCCATGTTCCTCCAATCATCCTGGCAAAAATTGAAACAAAAAGTATAAGTAAAAGTCATGTATAAATGTCACAAACATTTGGAGTGGAGTCAACTATTGCTTATCCTCAGAAGAGAACAATGCCAGGAGTGATGAAATTATATGTAATCTCAAATAAAGGGAATTAAGATCTATAAACATAGGAGCTACTTTGCTACATTCATGTGGAATACACCTTTCTGTAAGCAACACAAAATAACATGCCATTATTATTAAGTGAATGAACAATATATTTTGAGAGCCTGTAATGCATTTATTATTGTGGATAACATAAAAATTAAAGACTGTTTCATGGCATCCAGGAGTAATTCTGCTAAGATTCAATTTTTGCTCTAGAATACTTGACTGATTTTATTTCTCCTAAGCCTACTATTAGAATACCGTGTATTAAAAATACCTTCTGTATAAACTGTGATCTCTCTACAAATATATGCAAAGTTTAGAAAAAAAATTTCATGTAATATCTTACTTTACATATAGTTTTGTTCCTAAAGCTGTATATGCCTGTGAGGTTAATTTATCTGCGTAGTTCCTGATGAAACTAAAAAGTAAATTTGTATTCAAGTTAGAATATTTTAGGGTTTTCTTTTAAAGAAAATGGCATAACCTCCTTCAGCAATTCATCCTTGGAAAAGTTGCCACGTAAAATATTTAAACATATGTGGGGCTAGACATTTGCTTAAAATTTTGTAATCTCCACAATAAATCCATTTCACCAATGGAAAACCTGAGCCTCAAGTAAATTAAATAGGTTGCAGAATACAAATAGAGTAAACTGCTGAACTAGGCTTTAAAACCAAACTGTCTGTCCAACTTGAAGGCTGGGTCTTTCTACTACATCAGTTGAGCTGTTTACAATGAGAAAGCTTCCTGTGTCAAGCTCAGATTCCCACACTAACTACAAGCTCAGACCCGGGAAGCCAGACATAGAGACTGGTTCAGACTGACTTTTAAATTATCTTTACCTTGATCTTATTTTCTGCCATACCTTTTGAAACTTTCTATACCTTTTTGCTCTATTTGTCTTTCCACTCTAATTGATAAACTACTTCATTTGATCCTTTGTGTTTTTTCCTCTTAAAATGATGAATCCTTGGAGTAATTTTTAATTAAAAGGCCTCAGCCCCACCCAGAGCCACGTGGAAAAAGTGTTAAGAGTCCCATACTGGTAGAGTAGCCTTCCCTTATCTAAGGTTTTACTTTCTGCAGTCTTAGTTACATGCAGTCAACCATGGTCTGAAAATATGAAATGGAAAATTCCAGAATAAACAATTCATAAGCTTAAAATTGTGGGCCACTCTGAATAACATGATGAAATCTCATACCATGCTGTTTGAGATGTGACTCTTCCCTTTGACCAGCATATCCATGCTGTAGATGCACCCATCCCATTAGTCACTTAATGGTTCTCTCAGTTATGAGATCAACTGTATCTCAGTGCTTGTGTTTAAGTAACACTTATTTTACTTAATGATGGACCCAAAGCCCAAAAATAGTGAGGTTGGCAACTTGGATACACCAAAAAGAATCTGCAAAGTGCTTCCTTTAAGTAAAATGGGGAAAGTTTTCAACTTAAAAAGAAAAAAAAAATATTGTATGATGAAGTTGCTAACATCTATGGTAAGAATATAAAACTCCTATCAATAGAATTGTGAAGGAAAAAATAAATTCATGCTGGCTTTGCTGTCGTACCTCAAACTACAAAAATCACAGCCACAGCATGTGATAAGCTCTTAGTTAAGATGGGAAAGACATTAAATTTGTGTGTGGAAGACATGAACAGAAAACATGTTCTGACTGAGGACCATGTGTTGTACCAGAAAGCATTGAACCTGTAAGACTTCAGCAAGGGATCTCCTGAAACTGGTGACCCCAAGCCATTACTGCAGGTAAAGGACATTTCACAGATTCAGGAATAGGTTTGGACTCAAACATACAAAAATTACTGAAGAGGCTATATCTGTGGGTTAAACTTTATTATACATATGTATGTAAAGGATAAAAAGAGTATACATAGGGTTTGTTATAATACTATCGACAGTTTCAGGCATCCACTGGGGTCTTGGAATACATCTCCTGCAGACAAGGGGGACTACTCTAAGTATCCTTTGGGACAATTCTAAATGGGACCTGCATGGCAGACTCCCTGTTTCCCCAGCCCTCAAACTAAACCCAACTCAATATCTGAATATGTTCCCAATGATCTGGGCTGGACACTTCAGGTAATACTTCATGTTCCATTTATGATGACTTATATTGTTTGTTTTTTAGAAGAGATTTGTAAAATAGTCTGTCTTTTTAAATAGCATGATTATGTACAAAATATTATTTTATTCAACAAATTAAACCAATGTAGTTTCAGAGACTTTTCTCAGAGTTCTGTATGTCCTGGCTTTTGACTCTGTCTCCAGCCAAGCTCTCAAATTTTTAATGATCCACTTAAATCTCTGAGACCTGAAACTTACATCACTGTGCAATTTGTTCTCTTATGTTCAATATGAAAGACATTTCATTTCATAGCTCCCACATTATATTTTATTTTGTAAACTTCAACAGCATGTCTGCTTTTGAAAACAATTAAAAAAAGCATCAATGTTAAATTCAACTACTAGAAACCAAACTAATCTTGCCTTTTTCATATAGTGCTAAAACTTTAATTGCCACCTTTTTTTTTGGCCTACCCACTCAAAATATTTAGCTTCTAGGGTTTCTGTCCAGTTGATTGATGAGTGAAGAAGTGAGAATTTCAGAGCACTGGCCACATGAAATGACAGGTGAAAAAGGGATTCCAAAGATCAGTAAATGTGAGAAACTCAGTCCAACACAACAGCCATCTTCCAGCCCTAGTTTAAAGAAGTCCTATATTTGGAGGGCCTGGTTAACAAGGATAACCATGTTTAGTCCAGGTGTCCACAAATTTTTGAACCATGAATTCTCCCCTTACCTCTACCTCCACTACTACTGTTTTAATTTTAATGTAACCCTACTAAACATGTTGAGTAATGCTTTCAGAGAATCTGGTTAGATATTTCCAAGGTAAAGCTCTGAGATTGACTCATTTCAATCCCTAATTACATTTTTAAAATAAATTTTTGATTCAATTTTGAATTAATTGAAGAATGCCTAAGATTATGTTTTCTGCTGAATTATATTGAAAAAGTTAAATAAGATTAGAAATAAATTTATCGAATACTTATTATTTCCAAACTTTATTCAGAGTACTTCTTCCAGGTATTCTGTGTTCTAATTTCATATGAATAGTGTTTCTAAATAAAAGTAAATTTGTAAACACTTTTCAGGAATTCATAGTAAAGTTAATCTCATGATAAAAACTTCTAAATGTTCATTTTTCTATTTAATATGTTGCACAACTCTCTTTTCATACTTATTAAATTCACTTTGTTATATCCTTGTTTCACATTGACATATATAATAAAAGAAAAAGCATGTTAAAAATAATTTTAAATTATTGTAAGTGACTGTATGGACTATAAACATATACCATTCAACCACAATCCGTGCTGAATTAATTTCACACCTTAGGGACACCACTAACTTTCTTGAAATTACTTGTGTAAATTAAAATTCTACTTCTTGCCCAGGTATGGCAAGGTATAATCCAGCAAAAGAATATTTAATAATGAAAAAGTATTAATGCTAATTTCATGAGAAATGATTAAACATATTCTTACCTCAAAATGTCTAAATGAAGGCTATTTAGACACAACTGCACAAACCCAGCTTACAAATATTAACTGCTGCTGGGTATGTGTTGTTCTGGCACACAGCAGTGCCAGAATAATATATAAAGCTTAAAAAGTACAAACCCTTAAACAAACCATATGTATGAAAGAAAATAGCTTTCACAGATGTCTTATTTTTAGAGTTTTATGTCCCATATTTTGGTGGTACATAATGATGATTGAATTGTTCTTCCAGACCTAGGCCTCAGTTGAACAATAGAATTTGGAAAGGAACTTCTGTGGGCAGCTTCTTGCTGCCCACTTACAAGAATATGATGCTATAAATGCAAGTGTTCCATAGAGGTAGATCATCCAATGGAAAGGATTTGATGCTGTCATAAGAAATGCTAGCTACTAGTCACAGTGTACTTAAAAATGGAGCCCTAAATAAGGAGACTCATTATCTCACTCAACAAGACTGCTATTATCTTCAGGGTCAGGATCTGAGTCCATACTGAGATTCTACATTAGACAAGGAGAAGAGGAAAGACACACTCAATGCAACGTGACCTAGGTGGTTTGGCTAATTCAGCAAGTAGGTTGCAAGTTTTTGAATAAATGTGTGTAGTTATAAATTATCTCTCAAAGGGGGAAACAACAGTGTTTTAAAGGAGAATACTGTGCCCTGACTTCATGGCACGTGGGAAGATTGCCATTTCAAAGGATGAGAATTATATAGAGCTGAATCAGTTAAAAAAAATAATTAAACACAGGAAGAATTTCCTAACATTGAGGATCTTTCATCAAAGGAATTCTTCACGATTGTATGTAATGCAATCCCTTTTGGAAGCATTTAAGACCAAATTAAGTTTTCCCTGTTTTTGCATAAGAAGAAAGTCAATAGTGAGAAAAATAGTAGACGAAGAGATGGACAAAATGAACACCCTAGATTCATTACAGTTCTCGGAAAATCTGACTCCTTACTTCCTCCTAAATACTAAGCACATTTTATTTAAAAAATTATGACTAAAGTATGACATTATCACACCTGACAATTGTCTTTGTTTTTCTGTATCTAAAAGTAATCTATGTTTGTCTCTATTAGTTGAAAAAAATTCAACCAGTTACAATTCACAGATAAATATTTTAAAGTTTTATAATTTTTAAAACAATGAATCAATAATTTTGTGTGGCTCCTAGGAAAAATGTTAAATATACTCTTCTTTGAACTTTCAGTATAAACTTTCAGAAGGTTAATCACGAATCAAATGATTCTTGGCCATCTTATAGGAGAAGTATAAGATGTAATTATGTAAAGAAACTTTCATGATTTATGCTTTAACTGGGTATATACCCAAAGGACTATAAATCATGCTGCTATAAAGACACATGCACACGTATGTTTATTGCGGCACTATTCACAATAGCAAAGACTTGGAACCAACCCAAATGACCAACAATGATAGACTGAATTAAGAAAATGTGGCACATATACACCATGGAATACTATGCAGCCATAAAAAATGATGAGTTCATGTCCTTTGTAGGGACATGGATGAAATTGGAAATCATCATTCTCGGTAAACTATCGCAAGGACAAAAAACCAAACACCGCATGTTCTCACTCATAGATGGGAATTGAACAATGAGAACACATGGACACAGGAAGGGGAACATCACACTCTGGGGACTGTTGTGGGGTGGGGGGAGGGGGGAGGGATAGCATTAAGAGATATACCTAATGCTAAATGATGAGTTAATGGGTGCAGCACACCAGCATGGCACATGTATACATATGTAACTAACCTGCACATTGTGCACATATACCCTAAAACTTAAAGTATAATAATAATAATAAATATATATATATATACAAACCTGCTGACCTTGTAATTTTATAATTTCTATTTATAATCATTTTAACCATGAAATTAATAATGGCAACTTACTAAGAATTTCCTTTTTAAATTAATACTCTCACAAAGAGTGAGCATGTGATTAATGTCATTTCAATAAAGAGAAGCTGATAATCACTTTAGACAAAAATAATAAATTCTGAATGTCTTATATATTAAAGTACTACTTCATATCTTGAAGAATTTCAATTTTAAAAGGATCCTGGCAAGCCAATAGATATTTCTTTCAATAAATACCATTGATAAAAGGAAAATAATCACATTTGTCATTGGCTTTTATTTTTCTTTGCCCTCTTAACCTTTTACAATTTAGACAGTTAATAGAAAAATTATCTAGATTTAAAAAAAGTCACATGAACTGCACATTAAAAAATAAAATCCAAACTGCGGATATTTCATTTTGCATTCGCATATAACCAGTAGTTTGCTGACTCTGCATTTTGTCACTGATTTGGCATGGTATCTCTTCACAATGTGTCCCAGACGTTATGTACAGTTCTGAGCGTGTGTTAAAAATGTGTACACATGCATGTGTTGTGTGTGTGTTTCAGTGAGTGTGTGGGGGGAATTTAACAATAGCCTTCATAACTGTAATAAAAGCTACTATTTGGACTATATGAATGTTTACTATTTTATAAAAATTTTAATAGTTTTAGTGTGCTTTTATAAAATGTGTACTGCTATGGCCTTTAAAGCTGACAACTGACGACATAAATTTTCTGGATGATTATCAAGTATATGTTGATGCAGCTGTTACCATGCAAGACATGCTGAAGCATCTACTGCAGTTTCAACTAGTTGAGCATGGCTCCTTTCCTTAAATAGGTACTAATGGCTTATGACTTACAATGGTGAATACCTAAAATCAGATTGCCAGTAAAAATAAAATCTTATTTAAACTTTATATAAATTGTTGGGAGGAATAAGATATTTTCAACTACACAAATAGCTGCTGAACTCTAATACTGAAAGGCATATTTCTGAAAATGAGAGTGTTTCAGAAAATTCAGGAGTTGTACTCCAAAGGAACAAAATCCACACTGGAAAACATACATTTGTCTATAATTCTACAGTAAAGTCTCCACTATACTCTACTCATTTTGCTTTACTGTGGGTCACTTCTTGTTCATCAAAGCCTGGAAAACTTAAGCCACAGCACGATTAGAAGTTTTCATTTTTCTGATGAGGCAATATTATTTGTCAAACAATGAGTATTAAGAGGGTTTAAGATTTTTATTAGCCCAGTTACATTAACTATTCCATTTTACAACAGAAAGCTAAGATAATAAAAGGTTACTTCCTACAACTTATATTTGCATCCATCTTTCAACACTAAAAAAACCCTTCCTATTTGAAGAGCAAGCTACATAAGCAATTTACTTCTTATAGTCACATACTTTTTAACTTTCCAATGAGAATTACTTTAAAGCTTATACTCCACACTTTAAACACATATTGAAGTAGAATAGGGTCTTCATCTTTCTCTTTATTTTAAAGAAAATTGAGACAACTTATTTATATTCGAATTGAGAAACCAATAGTATATCTCTCCTTTTTGATTGTGGTTTTGTAACTTTTGCCTGAAAAATAAATATCCTTTATTTTATGTCTTTGGAAGTACATTGCCTTGGATTTTAAATTTTTCTCATATAGTCCTTACATGATATGCATCTATCTTAATTACAAAAGTAATTTCAAATTTTAGAAACTCATGTAGACTTACTATGGAGGACAGGAAAAATATAAATAGAAAACAAACTAACAAAATATTTTACTAGGTATAGTCTAACTCTAATTGTTCCCCCAAAACACCTTGATTGAAATTCCAATCATTTCACTAATATTTTCAGTCACAATTGACTCACTTATCTTTCTCATTAACTGTTGAATCTTTCCCGCTACCATGAACTTTGCTCACCTCAACTAAGGGAAGTACAGCCTGCACCCAAATCCATCCCCAGCTTTCAACCTTCTATTACCAATCGCTATGCACTTTAACTTGTTACGATGTGTGTTCATCATATCTCCATATTTATAAAATTAATAGAAAAAGTAGCTAATGTCTTAGAAACAAATTCTTCCTTAAGAAACAAACACACACAAAAATGCATTATAGGTTTCACAACCCATAGGCCTGGTTATAATACTTGAGGCAACTATTGGTCCTGGAAGCAGACAAGCACCAAGGCAGATTTTTCCCTCTCCTCCCTCCCCCATACCTCTCATCACCGCTAGGAGCCTCCTTTTTCCATTTCTGCTTTCTACTACTCTGTCCTGTCACTGGTTTGCATGTGGCTCCATCCTAGGAACCCCAAAATAGTGAACTCAGTGACAAAATCACATAATCTTTCAATACAAGTAACCATGTTTGGTATACCATTTCTAAACTCCTGAGAGAGAAAATTAGGTTTGTGGATCTTGGGTCAGTTTTTATTTTCCATGTCCTGTAATCAACATCTCTTAGAATGAACAGCTGATAAGTTTCCACAAGAAAAAGGCAAGGCGAGGAGAAAGGGATTGATATCTCTGATACTCCTAAATTTATAGAAATCACATATAATAGAAAATAGTAGAGAACTGAAAGTTTATATTTATCTTCTATAAGCAATTTATCAAGTATTTTTAAACAGTGTTCTGCAAGATACTATGGAGGTGATTTGGGATCACCCAGAGGAAGTAGAAAAGTCAGCCATTGAGGGGGAGAAAGAATGGATAAAATGATTTCCCAGAGCAGCTCAATTTTATATCTGCTGTATTCTATTGAAGTTCTACATAAAATACTCTTTGAAGAAAAAGTCATGTTTTAAAAAAAATTTGAAAACCACATTAGGTGATTCTTTTCCAAAAGCTGTTGTGAGTTTATACCAACTTATCAGCACATGTAGGCTGAGATAAGAGGGCTGCATTTGGGTGCTAGAGTGTTAATAAAATAGTTAATAATGCCAGATTTGCATGCTAGTTCCTCTGATTTCAACTGCATGACACATTCCACAAGCTAGATACTCACTAATAATCAGCAGTGATGTTAATGAGATGTAACTATATAGTGATTACCCTGATTAAACAAAATAGAAATATGATATTCTATGTATATTTTTATAAATGATATAAGAATCTCTAGATAATTTTTGAGTAAGCTTTAACAATAAACATTAACAAAACAGAATTTGTGGGATTTCATAAGTACCCTCGTGCTGGAATATTCATGTGTCTTGCAGACTTAACAACCTCCTCAAATTTTCCCATACTTTCTTCAATGGAACAGTTAATATTCTTCTTGCTAAAGGATTCAGATGCAGCTCCAAAAACTGATATCTCAGTAGCTCCAGCAGCAACCTGAAAAATATATAATTTAAAGCCAAATCTAATAACTTCAAAAATGTGAATGACAGTGGTAGAATAAAGATTAACTACTCTATGAAGGCATACATGTATTCTTTAATATTTGCCTTAGAATTTAAAATTGGATTCCTCTCATCTTGCCACATATATTCTTTCGAAATGTAAAAATATTTTGTAATAACAGAATAATCCACAAACTGCAATATTCATAAGTCTGTGAGGCACAAAAACACAATGAGGATGTTCTATTTAATTATGCCTTTTAAAAATTATGTATTATCTTCAGAAATACTGTAAGCCTAATTATGGAAAATACTAGCACCCCAATAAAACCCTTATCCTCCATGAAAAAATATTTCCAAACCAATTATTAAAATGGAAGATACTAACTACTTTGTTTATCTTCTCTTCCTACAATCCAACAGAAAAATATTTTTCCAATTCATCATTTAGATTTTGCCCCCAGTTTTTCTTTGGTCTCCTAACCTAGCTTTTATTTTTTTGTATCCTGACTTCTACAGCCATACTCGTGTGTACCTAATGCTTTGATCTTTTTGTCAGTCTTTAAATGCAAAATATTAATCTAATCAATTTCCTTTTTGCACTTTTTGTCAACTTTATTCCTTCTTCCAGGCTCTCCAGTGACTTGTTTTCAAATATCAAGCCTCTCAGTCATTCAGCTGGATGTTTAAGACCTTCTGTTAATGTATTTCTAGCACTTTGCCTACGTTCTCCCCTCTTGCTAATCCCCCATTAACACATGGGGGGGAGGTCAGGTGCGGTGGCTCACGCCTGTAATCCCAGCACTTTGGGAACTCAAGGTAGGCAGATCACAAGGTCAAGAGATCAAGACCATCCTGGCCAACATGGTGAAACCCCGTCTCTACTAAAAATGCAAAAATTAGCTGGGTGTGGTGGTGTACATCTGTAGTCCCAGCTACTTGGGAGGCTGAGGCAGGAGAATCGCTTGAACCTGGGAGGCGGAGGTTGCAGTGAATCAAGATCACGCCACTGCACTCCAGCCTGGCGACAGAGCAAAGCTCCATCTCAGAAAAAAAAAAAAAAATACATGGGGGGAGAAAAACTTAAAAGCTATCTTTTCATCTTTCCTCAAACATTTAAAAAATATTGGCTTTTATGCCTCTATCCAAAATAAATTTTCAATTTCTAAAATAAAAACTCTATTAGTGAACATCTACTATTTGTCTGTACTGTTTTTAGTACTATGGATGTGCTTTTTGTCATCTACAAACAACTGTGTAAACTAAGTGTTGTTATGCCAATTTTACAGATGAAACAGCTATAGCGCAAAAAAGGTAAATCCTTAGCATGATATCACACAGGGAGTAAAAGTTCTGGAGTCACGTTTTGAGCACAGAATTGCTCCAAAGTCAAGATTAGTTCCACTCCAGTGCTTGCCCCTCTGAGTTAACATGAGAGTGTCCTTTCAGTATCTTCTTCAAGGTAAGATACATTCTTTACTTTGTTAGGATTACTAGATGACACCAATATTTATAATTTTTAAATGACTTTTTAAACAACGCAATAAAAATTTTATCAAATCAAACCCAAGAGAAAAATAAATGGTTCTAACAAAATACATTATACGATTAATACCCCACAATCTCAACTTTACATAATATAGTTTCATATAATGAATATTTTTCATTAATATTCATTAATACCAGAAATAGCTGCTGCAAAACCTATGCAATAAGCCCATATACGGATAACACCTTAAAATTGAAGAGGATAGTCTCATATGTATAATTATTAAAGCTTTATTTAAATTATATAAATTTCTAAATCACAGAGGATCAAAAGAAACAAATCAGAAGATAAATAGGGAAAGTAACTAGAGCCAGATAAAATGACAATTAGCTTTTCACCCAGAGGGAGAAAATAACAGACACAAAAAGCTGATCAACAAAGGTTGACAAAAATAATTACCAAATTCAACAATATTAATAACTATAAAAATTGCATTGAAAAATGCTTAAATAGTATTCTATATTACTTATTTAAGAAGAAGCACAAAATATACTTCTAAGAAATTTCACAAAAAAATGCAGAATTTTACTTTTGTGTTTTGATTTTTGAACGGTGAAGCTGGAAGAGCCAGGTATATAGACCACTTTAGTCCCCAACAATGCTGTGAGGACTTGGAGCTCTATGTCTTCATGTTAGTACATTAGCATAGTATTTGTATTACAGATGAGTTACATATGACACAATTTTAACTTTGTAAATATCTTTAAAACGATAAGAGGCCTATCAATTTTAGAGATATTAGTAGCACACTTACAGCATGGTGAAAACCCTGAAGATTAGGAGTAAGGACAGGATAGCGAACTCCTGGATATTGATGAATGCCTTTCATTACTTCAGTGTGATCAGCCATCTTAAATACATAATAGTTATATGTAAATGTGTAACTTCGAATATGTTACCGAGAATCATTTTAGTTTCAGGTAGGTTATAGTTACATGGACAGTTAGAGTCTTTAAATTAATATCTGAAATAAAAAAAAATGCCAGTGAATGTAAAGGAAAGTAGTTCTCAGTCTCATAGACTTATAATAAGTAGAGATAAGTTTAACTGTTTTACAGAATGGGATCTTGTAAAATGAGTTATTACAGATAGGAATTCGGAACTTTATTATTTTCACTTAACCAATCTTTATTCCCTTCCTTTCATTTCATGGTCCAAGGCTGAAATACTCCTGAGACTGGGGAAAGTTGGAAAGGCAATATGCTATTCATTTACCATACACATGAAAATTTTATGTCCAAATAATTTTCAGTGTATGAAATTTTACAATGTTTAGGAAAATGTAAATTACACATATTCTTTAGAACAGTTTAACAAGGCTGAGATCCCAGAATGCTATTTGGTGAGCATTGGTGCTTTAGTTAGTAATAGTTATAAAGCTTTATGTAACACTATCATAGTATTACCACGTTTTCATATGTGAACAAATTAATACAGTAGAGTTTTCACCTGAAAAATTTAACCTACCCTGTCAACACTTTGTTTTCTGTATCTCTAAAAAACTCAACTTTGAATTAAAATATCAAATTTACCAGTTTGCCACAAAGTCTAAGAATTAGCTTCTTAAAACAATAACTATTAATCAGATCCCATAATCATCACACAGAGAAATTACCATTGACATAACCATGAGCCTTACATATTTAAAAATAATAAATTGTGGCATGAACAATAAATATGAAGAATAGTATATAAGCAGTGGAAAGTATACAAAATGAACATGCAAAAAGCTGTGAAAATATGCCAAACCAAAACTGGAATCCTCAATATAGAAATGCAGAAAAAGGGCTATTGGGTTTTCTTTATATAACTTGGTTTGCTATCATCAGAATGCATTATTTTTGAATTTAAAAAATTAAAAGCAAATAAATCCAAACAAAAAATGCTTTTTAAAACATAGTTAAATACATTTGAAAAATATTATAATATTAAATATAAAAATACATGTTACAATATTTACTCTTATTGATACATTCATCTTGTCAACTCTCAAATGCCAGCAGAGTTAAATTTAATGCTTTCAATTAGTATAATCTGCATTACTTATATGAGTTTTTAAATACATATAAATTTGAAATTAAATACCTAAGATGCAAAGAAGTACCTTCCTTTGACTGCCATCATGACTTATTACATTTAAGCTTTCGTGTTTCATTCATAAACACATTTATTTGTGTTTACCAGGTGATCTTTTCTCACTTAATTCTATACTATTGTATCCACTATCCCCTGCCTCACCAATTCCCGTCTTCTCCAAACAGTATCTACCACATTCATTTACAATGCATAAAAGTGATATCTCTCATTTCATTCTAAATCTATCTGACTTTAATCTAGCTGTTTATTGAGCCCCTACTATGTCCAAAGCTCTATGCTAGGTCCTGTGGAAAATAAAAATACAGACCTTACTTTCCTGGGGGAAAATGAGGTTATTGTGCTGAAGTAGTTAGTAGTATAGTTGGGGAGACAAAACAGATACACATGGAATGTTAACAATTCAAAGAAATATACTGGTTGTAAATGAGATCACAGATTATAAGAGTTCAGAATGAATAAAGGTTGGTATGGCCTATAAAAGTCTGGGAGAGTTTGAAAGAGCACATGGGATACAAGCTGCAGTCCTTCACTGTGGCATTGTTCCAACAAAAAATGGCCACACCAATATTTCTGGTCCTGTATGTTCTTCCAGGATCTCACCACTTTTCACAAAGAGGTAAACTTTATTTACTCTTTTCCTTGAAGCTGGGTAGACTGTGATTCCTCCAACTATTAGAATGTAGTGGAAATCATACTATATGACTTCTGAAGCCAGGTTACAAAAAAGGATACAGCTTCCATATGGCTTTCTCTTTTGGGGAAAGCCACTGTGGGGAAATCAGCCAACATCCTGTAAGAAAGCCCAAATTAGCCTACGCAAAGAGGCCACATAAGGAGACCCTCTTGGAGAACCCATGTGAAGAGGAACTGAGGCCCCCAGCCAATAGTCAGTGTCACCCCCTAAATTTGTGATTGAAGTAGCCTCCAGATGACTTTTGCCTCCAGCATTTGAGTCATCCAGCTGAGGCCCTAGACACTGAAGACCAGACACAACCTGTCCCCCATGTCCTGTTCAAATCCTGGCCCACAGAATTAGTGAGCATAGTAAATGTTTACTTATGCCACTAAGTTCTCAGGTAATTCATTTTACAGCTATAAAAGCTGCAACACTGAAAAACCAATAGGGTTGGAAAAGAAAGACGGACGGTTGCGTAAGTGGTAACATATTATTTGGCTAGAGAAGATTAGTAGTGAACAATTGGGGATAAGCTTATAAATGAAGAGGAAATCACACACTGTGATGTGTCTTTGAGTTAGGTTCACGTTAGTATAAAGATTCTGATTTATGCTGAAGGCAATAGAAAGCCATGGAGAATGGGTGTTGAGAAAGGAGAAGACTGGACTAAATGTAGTATTATAGAACAATTAATTTAGGGGAGGTGCAAAGGATAGTCTAGATAGGAGAGGCCAACTCTCAGGTAATTGTGAGAATCCATCTTGTGACAAGTTCTGTGGTAGAAAAAAAATGGTACTGGGAATAGAACTAAAGAAAAATGAAGAGGACACAGTGGCTAATAACACAGAGGAGCACTTTACTCAAAATTGTAATTCTCACCATTTTATAGCCTTCCTTTGTAAATAGTTTGTACATATTTACACAGTTTTTGATTGCATATCCATGAATTTAGCTTTTGTGCTTGATGCTATTTAGAGTGTGAGTACTCTCTGTCTCTGTCTCTGTTTTTCTAACATGCACACACAAATGTGCATGCACACACAAATTACAAAAAGAAAATAAGCAAACTTATTTCCGATAATAAGCAGAAAGAAAAGCAAAGTTTTAGGATATTGTAATAAAATGTAAAACAACACTAAAGAATAATGTTAATCAATATTATTAATGCTTAAGCCTAAGTAAACATAGTATGTATAAGTATTTATTAGAGACATATGTATTCTCATGATAACAAAAGTTAATAAAGATCATGTTCCTAACCAAATACAGATTTGGATAGAGATTGGCAGTATATCATAAAACGGAATAATGGGCAAATAAACAAATTTTAATCTACAATAAATATAGATAATCTTGGCCTATATTTAATTCATTCTGCACATAATTTAACAAAAATCTTGAGACAGTGGGAACAAGCTTATATAATGAAGCAAACAATAATTTTTTTAAATAGATGTTTCAATCAATAGATCAAGAAAACCAAACACCACATGTTCTCACTCATAAGTGGGAGCTGAACAATGAGAACACATGGACACAGGGAGGGGAACATCACACATCGGGGCCTGTCAGGGGGTGGGGGGCGGGGGGAGGGATAGCATTAGGAGAAATAGCTAATGTAGATGACGGGTTGATGGGTGCAGCAAACCATCATGGCACATGTATACCTGTGTAACAAACTGCATATTCTGCACATGTACCCCAGATCTTAAAGTATAATAATAAATAAATAAATAAATAAATAAATAAATAAAAGAAAAAAAAGGAAAATGAACAGGGATGATAATGAAGTTCCCAGATCATGAAAACTAAAAATTGATAATCACTGAAGGTATCTTAATAAAATTATGATAAATACAGAAAGTAGAATCCAAAAAAATCACTACTTTTACATTTTTAAAAGTGCTCACAATATAATGAGGCCATTCAAGAAATAATAGTATTCTGTCTTAATTTAGTCAGTAAAGGCAAGTAAGTAAAGAGTTTTAGGAAATCCTGATAGAGTATCATTTTATTCCAATGAATAAAAAAGGGCAGGTTCCAATTCAAGGTACAAAGTCCTTGCTTTAATTTTTTTTTCTCTTGGGGAGTTTATGTTATACTTCAATCTTAATATTGTTTTAATGTCTAAAGTTTATAATTTAAACAATGAAACTAACAATTCATTTACATTACTGTTTTGACATTTTAAGAAAGCCTTTCTACATCTGGTTTTATTTAACAAACTTTTTTCAGACGTTGCAGTGATTTTTTAAATTTAAAATGATAAAAATCCTCATGATTTGGTTAGTAACAAGTTTTGCCATCACCAGCACACAGTCTGGAAATGGCAATATCTGTATATCTCTAGCCAAAAAAAAAAAATAGGCCTACCATGGTTAAGAATTGTTTTAAGCATGCACATTTTGATATAGATCCAAATCATCACAATATTTGCGTAACATTCTGCAAGAGTTTTCAAGATATGCAAAGCATCATGAAGATTATAGCCTAACAAGCTTAGAGATTTTATTTGCTACTAACTCTTATCATGACGTAATTAAACTGGGATAGTTCACACTATACACATTTAGATATCCTATCATGTTGTAATTACCTGAATACTATAATGTGTTCCAAATATTTAGGCTTTCAATATGTTCCCCAGACAATGGCAATGGCTAAAATACAGTTTAAGTGTTGTTAGTGTCATCAGCTCACCCAAATTCCCTGAGATTAGTGGAATTTCAAGATAATGCATATGAGAATGCAGTGATAAACAATGAAAGAGTTTCTCAAAAACTTCTGAAAGAGAATCATATTGGAAGTTTCAACTGTTTTTTTGTAAATAGGCTACAGCAGACCTAGCTTTATTCAGCTGTGCTTTATTGTATTTCACAGGTACTGTGTTTTTTACAAATTGAAGGCTTGTGGGAGCTCTGAGTTGATCAAGATCTATTGGCATCATTTTTCCAACAGAATGTGCTCACTTTGTATCTCTGTGTCACATTTTGGTAATTCTCACAATACTTAAAACTTTTTCATTATTATTATATCTGTTATGGTGATCTGTGATCACTGATCTTTGATTTTACTATTGTCATTATTTTGTGGCACCATGAACCACACCATATAAGATGGCAAATTTAATAAGTAAAGGTTGTGTGTGTTCAACTGATCTATCAATTGGGCATTCCCCACCTCTCTCCGTCTCCTTAGGCCTCCCCATTCCCTGAGACACAACAATATTGAAATTAAGCCTATTAACAACCTTAAAATGGCCTGTAATGTTCAAGTGAAAGGAAGACTCACATATCTCTCACTTTAAATCAAAAGCTAAAATGATTAAGTTTAGTGAGAAAGGAATGTTGAAAGCCCCGATAGGTGATAAACCAGGCCTCTTATGCCAAACAGTTAGAAAAGTTTTAAATGCAAAGAAAAAGTCAGAAGGGAATTAAAAGTGCTACTCTGGTTTACACACAGATAATAAGTGAAACAGCCTTATTGCTGAAACGGAGAAAGTTTGAGTGGTCTAGGCAGAAGATCAAACCAGCCACAACATTCCCCTAAGCCAAAGCCTAATCCAGGGAAAGGCCTGATGCTCTTCAATATTATAAAGGCTGAGATTGGTATATTATTGATATATTATTTATATATACTCATATATTTGTATGATAAATTATTACTTTTTAGTGTATTGTAAAAGAAAAACATTTAATAACCCTAAACTTAAAGGATACTGTTTATTAAAATACTCCAAAAAGTTATAGGGTGAAATTTTTTATAGGAATTAATTTTTAACATTTTTCAAAGTATACAATTCTTTCATTTTCAAGTCCCACAAAATTAAAGGTAAAAATACCTATCACCCTTTACTTCTCTTCAAAATGACAGTTAGAGAAAATAGAACTTTCACTGAGTAAAGTTTACTCAGTTCCAACTGATAACATGCAATGTGGGATGTTCAATAAAGTGAAATAAATATTTACTTTAAATGGAAGTACATAAGGAACTGAGAGTTCCTATTCATTTTTTGACAAGAGTTGACTCCTATTCATTTAGATTTTAATCAGTGATTAACTCCCCGCTGCACCGGCCCTGAACAAATGCAGTTACAAAGCTACTCCATGTACAGGTCTCTAAATTCCAGAGCTGCATTTGTAATACACTTTTTATATGTAATTCTCTCATACCCATTTATGATACATGTCATTTCTATGTTTACTATTTTAACTTAATGAGAGATTAGTCCACTATAAGTTTGCAAACTACAGAAGAGGAGAATGTTTTGGGTGGTTCTGTATTACCATAGAAATTATTCAGTGTGTTTTTGTAGCTCTGCTGAAGATGAGAAAATTTAACTGTGTGATGGGGTGGAAATATTAAAAGTTTAAGTTAGCACTGTTGTTAAGTGACAGAAGAGTTCAGAGGAGGATCTAAAATTCATGTGAGAAAAAAATACAAAGATATTTTTACAGTGGTATCTTTACAATGATATCTACAAAATTATATAACTTGACCACCTCTCTTAGAACTAGATCTTGTAACCTAAATATAGGACTCTATATTTTGTACCCTTTTCCCTGACCTGGTCAAGTTGATATGACTGAGTCAAGCATCACCAGTAAGTGAGTCTCAGCCATTGTCCTGTCTCCACTCCACCTATCTGATAAAGGGCTCAAATTGTTTCCCTACCTTGCCCTCTAACAAGAGAGATTTTATGCTTTGTAATAGTGTACTAGGTAAGAAGCTAGCTGAGAAGTCCTAGGTAAACAAGGAAGGCATAGCCAGAAAATCTAAATAATCTAAACAGTCATGATATTCGGGAAGGACAGCCTGGGATTTGAAAGGTAAGCTTTACTGGCAAATTGCTTTGACTGCTCTATAGCAGTGAAACGGTGTGAGATGAGAAGAAAAAAGGGGAGTTATACAAAGTATTGCTGTGATGTATACAGCGGTTCTCCTGCAATGGTCTTCAAGTAACACATGGCGATTGGAATACCATTTAATTCCTTAGGTTGCTATATTATATTTTTTTATGTACAAATCCAGGCCAGACTCTGCCAATTGGGAGAGCTCACAATTGCTGCACTCTTTCAGAATGTTGGTGTAAATATTCTCATACACTGAAAATATATAAAACCCAGTATATCATATAAGATATAGTACACAATTTTACCTCATATTACAACTCACTGTAGAGTAGAGCAAGAGTGCATATTCACCATGTTAATGTCCTACACTAACTGGCACCAGAAGTATGTAAATAGTTAAGGAGAAACAAAATTCAAAATGTATACAACCAGAGGCTAGTTTGTGCAAAATTCTTCCAAACATTATATACATACTGTTGTAAGGAAATGAATCTGTTTTCATCCATGTGAAATCAAATGGAAATTTTCATCTATCAAAAATATATTCCATATAACAATTATACTGTGCATGTTTCTATTTTTAATTGCATAAAATTACAAAAATAGAATATATCAAAATTCCTCCGTGTGAAGTGTGCAAAACTGTAGTAGTTCTTCTAAAATAAAGACTATATCTGCGTACAAATTTACATATATCAAAGTATTAGATTACATCTTAACACATTACTAATAATGAATTATTAAACTGAAAGATTTTTCTAACCTATAAATAAAGTTTTATTGACAGTGCTAGAGAAAAGACTGAATTATCTGTCTACACTCTCCATAGAAAACATCATAGTGTTGACCTTAGAAAGAGACGAACAAAGAATGTATAGTCACAAAATAAGAGAAAAAGCGTATTATGAATTAACCTCAGATGCTCACTTAAATTTTTAAAACTAAAATTTTATTTTTCTGAATTTTGAGATATTTGTAATATGTGTTAACTTTTAAAATTTTAAAATTTCATAAGTTCTTTTTTCTCATTTAAAATTAATATTTATTTTCCTATATAATGTTGTATTTGGCATTTATAGTCTTTAAAAAAAAAAAAAAAACGGGATCCTCCAAATTGATGTATTCAGTATCTAAAGTTCCCTACAAGTGGTTGGCCATATATCTCCTAGTGATTTGCAGATCTCACCCAGAGACAGACAGGTGGCCCTAAACCATCCAGACATATCAATTAGCAAGAGCACAAACAGTTGCTTCACTTGAAGTAATAGGGCATAGATAGTGGTAAATGACTCTCAAACTGAATGATCCCAGAGACTGGCTCAAACTTTGCATTTTGCCAGAAACGCGATCCTTGAAGACAAAAGAACCTGAGGCATATCTAATGATTGTCCCTTGGAAAATTTCATATTTCCTGGTTCCAGTGTTTGTGATGAGGGACCTTGACAGATGCAACAAGGCTAAACTTTACAGCACTTTCTGAGGCACTGAATAGGAAGTAAAATAACCAAGAAAAGGAAAAGAGGAATAAACTGTAACAGCATGGGTTTTTGAGTAGTGTAATTAATACTAATTACTATTACTATTAATTAATAGTAATAGTAATAGTAATTAATATTATCTGTTATAGAAGTACAAA
The DNA here is from genome assembly GCF_000001405.40 of Homo sapiens. Classification (NCBI taxonomy): domain Eukaryota; kingdom Metazoa; phylum Chordata; class Mammalia; order Primates; family Hominidae; genus Homo; species Homo sapiens. Next base: position 55,525,016 of record NC_000006.12, read on the forward strand.
AAATGATCAAACAGAGTAAAAATTGAGGAATAGTATTTAAAGGCTCTTCCTGACCCCAGCAACTTCCATGACCTCATCATCATTCAAAGACAGCTCTGCCACTGTTAGCATAAATCTTTCCCTTACTTCAATCCACAGACTTGGTCTATGCTGGTCTATGCGACACCCACCGGGATATGGAATCAGAAAACTAAAAAAAGAATTCTAGAGGGCCTTAGAGGCATAATGAAAAAAAGGATCACTTAGAGATCCTCTAAATGTTTAGGCTCTAAAACAGAGTTAGGGTATAAGATATTTGAAAAGGGGGATTTTTAAAGTCCTATGGTAGGATATGAAATTAGGTCCCTTCAAATATTCTAAATGAAGCATGAGTGAAGATTGGAATGACTTAATTATTTTGACATTTTGAGCATGCTTTCGTATATGAAAGGATAGCATGGGGCTCCAAATTTTATTTTAATTACATCTAACTGAAATAATTAAGGCCCTTTATCTTGTTAACTAAGCCAGAGTTACTGAGACTCAAAGCTGGAACTCTCTTAGAAAACCCACTTCCACCAAGTGGAACCGACTCAGTATGTGTCATTTACTGAAGGGTCCAGTGTGCTTAGAGCTGTGCTTCCAAATACTGGCCTGAGGACTGCCTAGGTCAGAATGATCTGGGACGACTTTTAAAATGCTTATTTCTATATTCTGTATTGGCCCCAATGAACCAAAAATCTCTGAGACTGTAAACTGGAAATCTGCACATTCAGTAATTTCCTCTGCTGCTTTATATGCATGGTTTAGAAAAGTCTGCAACTCCTCCCTGCGGTGAGGAGTAGAAGTTTTGGAGTAGATTCCTGTGTAACCCACATAGACCCTACAAAACAGATTTTTTTTGCTGTGCTTTACAATGAGCATTATTATGGTCCAGAGTACTGTGGTCAGGTCACACTAATCCCAACTTATTGGACTCTAAGAAATGGATGTCACCTTGGATCTGACATCCATGACCAATATACAACCAAGGAAAGCCTTATATTAAGGTTATCCTTACCCCCAGCTGGAACTTCGTTATCATCTTCTTACTACTGAGATTCCAGAATAATTTGCAGCTAAGCCTTTGAAGGTCTGGAGGACTCCAGACCCCTATTTTTTCTTAACAGCTCACCTCACTCTTATTGAAGTGCTCCCAGCTTGCCTTTGATGATAGCAAAATGTCTGCAGCATTATGCCCACTATTTCAGGTCTCTGATCCTTTACATTATTCCTTCTGCCTAAAAATCTTTTTCCCTTTTTTATCTAGTTAATTGATTTCATTTTTCCAATATTCAACTCAAAAATTCCTCTTACATGACATTCTCAATAACCAACTTGACTTAGATGTCTCTATACTTCCTAACTTGCTTTGTATTATCTATCATTGCTCTTATCAAATTTTGTATAATTTTTGATTCATGCATCACTTTCCATTATTAAATCATTAGCTCTTTAAATACTTTGCATGAAATAAGATTTAATAAATGATTGTTGAATTGAATTGACATTTATCTCCCTTGGTTTTAGCCCTTTATTCTAATTCGAATTCACTTTGAATTCAATCCACTTTGAATTGTGATTTTTTTCCCACTAATTCTTCTACTATTTTATTGTTAATAATGATGGTAATAATGGTAAAAGCACATTTACTTTATGCTGAGTTACATGTTAAACCTATGGGTATTTAATTCTTTATGTGGTATCCTTTTACAAATTTTTAACAACCTAATAAGAGACTCCTTTCTAAATTGCAATCACTTCAGGCCCATAAAATGGGGATTCACCTCTGAATAAAAATAAAATTAGGCTTTCCTTATTGAAGTAGGAGCAGAGGGCCTAGAGTTCACTGGTTTGGCCTCCCTCAAGCCAACCTTGCTGATTCCCAACCTTGTTGATTCCCAACCTTGTTGAAGTCTAACATCAACAGAACTAGATAGTGATATTAGAAATAAAGGTCACCCAGTTAGTGAGTGCAAAAGCTGGGCAGGGACCCAAGTCTATCTGACTGCAAAGCATGTTCTCTAATACCTCCTTGATAAACACATCTTCCATATCTTCTACCTTCTATATCATCCATATCTTATCTTTTCTATATCTTCATCTTAGTCACTACTAAAGATTGTGTGCATCAGAATATCAAAGGCAGAGCTCCTAGAGAGAACTCACCTTCAGGCTGAACAGTCTTGTGGCATATTTTATCATCTAGCCCAATATCTCTCAAACTGAATCCATCATCAGCATTATTTGAGGTACTTTTTAAAAATACAGATTTCTTGGACATATTGGTACAGATTCTAATTCTGTTCTCCTGTAAGAGCCAGGAATCTATAATTAACAAAACTTCTCAGGAGATGTTAGAAATCCTAACAAGTTTGGGAATCAATAAGGTTGGCTTGAAGGGGGCCAAATTAGCACATTCTAGGCCTTCTGACCCTACTTCGATAAAGGAAAGCTAATTGTATTTTTATTCAGAGATGAATCCCCATTTTGTGGTCTTGAACCTAAAGCGACTGCAATTTAGGAGGGGGCCTCCTTAAGAAAAAGAACACAAAAATATCTATTGAAAATTTCGTTAAAACTTATAACAGATGATGACACTGATAAGACCTCTCCTACAGCCTAGAAGGGACCTCAACAAATCTTTTATGGTGACTTTCTTGTCTATATCATATATTGAAGTTCTACATAAAGTTTTACCCATGACAAAAAAGAAAAAAGTTTCACTGATAAAAACTAAAGTTTGGAAAAATACCAGTTTTGGTAAAATTTCATATCTTGCTCAGAGAAATATCAACAAGATAGTCAAGGATATTTTTTAAATACTCCAGAAATACTATCAGCAAACAAGTGAGGTCAGTTTGGTATGTCTTTTTATTGGTACATCCATAAGATTTCCGAGTACATCTCATGTTCATAAATTCTCTGTTTAATCAACTATCCTAAATTTTGCTAGGAAAAGACTTAAACTCATGGACCTATAAGCCCTCATTTTTCCTTTTCACTAATATAGATTGCTAAATAATTTTAAAAATATATTTTTGAAGGATACTTTGCTTTCTTTGCCCCACCACCAACTCTATCGATAATCCAGGACAATATTCATTATCTCTTCAAAATGAGCGGATAATGTCAGAAGCTATCTGTCTACAATCTCCAGTAGCTGGATTAGACATAACTGACAGTATTACTTTCTATATGCAGGCGTACAACAGGAAAGAGACATAGAGCATGCAATTTCTTCAACACATGCCATCGATTACTATAAAAATGTAAATAATGTGGTTTCAGACCCTATAACTCAAAACTCAATTTGAGCAGTAACTCCTCTTAAAGGCGATACATTCGTAAATTCAGTAATGAGAAAAAATGAGACTAGAGCTCTTCCTGACAACCCTGGGTGAAAATGCTGTAGCCAGTTATGAATAGCACTGTAGCCTGGGTACAGTAACCCTGTCTCATTCACAGACTCCTTGCACAAACCCCATATATCTTAGCCTCAGTAGCACAGAGGAGATCTTGGTCTGCTTGAAGAAGTAAGACAGTTTTAATAAATCACAGTCTTACAATAATAAACACAGGAAATCTCTGGAAAATTGAACATCCAGTTTTTTTTTTTCTACCCAATACCCTGTCTTGGCTGCCAAAGCTAAAATAGACTGACACCATATTCACAAAACTTCTTAAGTCCAGAAGCCTTGAAACTAACTTGGTCTTGTGTATAATTTCCTGTACTTCCTTATTCAGCATTACCTTTGTGTACTAAGGACCTCTGTACTGCCCTCTATGGGGTGAAATGCCTACACGTCTCAAGAGTGACCAAAACAGGAAGCATATGACCCAAACTCTTCTATTGTAAATGCAGGCAAGACATTTGAGTCATGATCCACTAATGTCTACAAGTATTCATTTTTTAAATTAATAAAATAGACCCAGGCTACCCAAATGGATCTGTGAGTTATAAACTGAGAGACCAATATTCCAGATAAAGAAATAAAAGTCATTTTATTCAATAGCATTTCCTAGTTTCCTAAGATAAACATAATAAATATGCATTAGTTATTATTTGTTCAGGTTAATGCCTTTTGTGACCACCCTCCTGGTCTTCCCATGTCAAAACAATCATGTTCCCAACATCATTCTGAAGTAGGGCAAGAAGTCTCAAAGCTCCCAGTATAATTTTTTTTCCACTCAACTGTGCTGCCTCTCATATATCATGTCTTTATGTTTGATAATAACACTGTCAAAGTTGTTATTTCCCATGCATGAAAGCAGAAGTGATTTTTGAAATACTGTATCTAATTGTAGTTACTGTATACAGACTGTAAACAAAGTTTCCTTCCTATACTTACACTTCTTTCTGTAAGCCAACTTGCACAGAGTGGAGGGTAGGCCTGGGTTGTTGGAAGGAGACTAACTCACTGGTAATAAGACACTGGAAATAAGTAATAAGACACTGGCTGTGGAAAAAAAAGGGTCTTATTACCACAACAAGCAATGCCATCACTGCAAATTTGTGGTTTGGCCATCATATAGATCCGGAGATCTCCGTTTTGATATAAGACAGAACTTTAAAAAAACTGGCCAGAGTGCTCGATGACAAACTGCTTAACATACCCTGGTTACTAAGTTCTATTTTATAACTCATTTACAGATATTCACTTGATTTTAAAACGCCATTTGTATGAGTTTGATTTTTTTATTATTTTTTTCCAATTATCTATTTTAACTTTACACTTACCTTATTAGGTATATATTATGGTTATCGATAGCAACTACTTATTATTCAACATTTGGGTCCAACAGAGAACTCAATACAGTTTTGAATAGAGACACAATAAAAGCAATAAATGGGTGAGTGAATAAATGGAAACAATCCAAGGCATAGAGAGATGAAACTACTTCGCCAAATCATATCATACATGAGTAAGAGTCAGGTCTCAGATTTTGTATTGCTCTACCAGAAAGCATGGGTTAAACAGACAGAAAAAGTGATAAAAACCTCAGAAAACCTGAAACCTGGAGGATCTGGTGGGGGGTTGGGGGGCGGGGTGTGGATGACTATATTTGGGCTACTAGAAATATATTTCTTACTACGTATTATAAGCAGAATTCAATACAAGATGCATCCATCTTGACTGATAATAGTGTTAAATTTATAAATAGATTACACATTATAGCAGTATAAGAAGGTCTGAAGTAAGTAGTATTAGTGCTATAAGGTTATTAGCATGAATTTGCTTCAACAGGTTGATATTTCAAAGTTCTTAATTATAACCTATAAGTTTTTGCAATGACAAATTTAAATTTGTCCAAGACATTTATAAAATAAATAGCATTCTTCAAAATATATCTTATATATTAACAATGAAAATACCTAATATCCATAGATGTTATAAAATATTCTACTATTCTAAAAATTATAATTCCAATCAGTGATGAATTGATAGGTCAAATGTTCAAGATAAATAAGCTTGGATAAAATTTTTAAAAGCAAAATAAAATCAAATATTTTATGAAATATGTTTTTGATTTACAGGCATACTCTAAATAAAAAACGTATATTCTTTTTCTTTTATCAAATGTAAAACAAGTGAAACATTAGCATATATACATTTCACTAATGTGTAGGTTTTGACATGTAAAATCCATTGTCTAATGTGATATTCGGGATACAATATTACTTTCGGCATTCATGTTTATCTTTCTAAGTCTCTATGTTTACTAAATAGTACTTCTAGAGAACTTTCCAGCAATTTAATCAGATAATATTAGATCAATCCGTGTGTACCTAAAAATTAGAAAAATCACTTTATTTTTATTTTTAAAAAATATTCAAATAACATAACTCTTTATGAACATCAGCCAAAACGTATGTCTTTAAAACGCATTATCCTAATTATTTAAAAATAACTGCTATGATATGTTTCATTTTAAGTGCTCAAGGATACAAGGATAATGTATTCTTGAAAATAAGTACTGCTAGAAAATACTCAAAACTGGGCTATCCAGACTACGCTTAATATCTTAATGCTTTAATGTTTAAACCAGGTTTTGAGTAATGGATGTGAATCTCCAAGTGAGCAAGTCGTAACTATGGCACACTGGAAATAAGTATTACTAAATACTTTCATTCCCTCTAGTCTAGTCCCTAGGGCATACTCTGCATTTCCCAAAGTGGATTTCACTTAAGTGGCTTGGGAGTCATATCAATGAAATGAGTTTGCACTAAAATAATATCAACAATGTTTATCAACAGACTAATCACAGTAATGCAAAAAAGACCACTAAAGAGTCAGAATCAAGTCTTTCTGAGCCATACTGGACCTCTATTTGGGTTTTAAACAATTACATACAGACCTTTCAAATGTCAATGCATGCACACAGTTCTACAAGACCAAATTTTAAGGTACTTTTAGTCAGATACAAAAGTGGAATTTTAATGTGACCAACACGGCTTTGAAAGGTTTTTTTCTCTTTCTCATGGAAAAACTTATTTACAAAATTGACAAACATGATGAACTCAATACAATTGAATAAAAGATAAGGTAAAGCAGTGGTACCCAACCCCCAGTCCACAGACCAGTACTGGTCTGTGGCTGGTTAGGAATGGGGCCACACAGCAGAAGGTGAGCAGCAGGAGAGCAAGTGAAGTTTCATCTGTATTTGCAGCCACTCCCCATCACTCATGTTACCTCCTGAGATCCACCTCCGGTCAGATCAGCAGCTGCATTAGATTTTCATAGGAGTGCATGCAAGGGATCTAGGTTGTTCACTCCTCATGAGAATCTAATGCCTGATGAACTGTCGCTGTCTTTATCATCCCCATATGGGACTGTCTAGTTGCAGGAAAACAAGCTTAGGGCTCCTACTGATTCTACATTATAGTGAGTTGTATAATTATTTCATTATATATTATAATGTATTAATAATAGGAAAAAGACATAGTAAACGTAATGCACTTGAATCATCTGGAAACTACCTCCCACCTCCCCGTTTGTGGAAAAATTGTCTTCCACAAAACCAGTCCTTTGTGCCAAAAAGCCTGGGGACCTCTGAAGTAGAATATTTTATTTTAATATTATGTTTTGGTTATTTTTTTAAATCTAAGAACAAAGAAAACCCAACTTGTTAGTCAAAGTGTAATTGAGCAAATTAATTATCATCCTACTGAAAAGTAGTACATGCTGAGCATAATAATCTTCGAGTATAATACTTTTTAGCTAGTGGGGGTAAAAAGGACAAAAATGCTTGAATTATATGTTCTGCTTGAAAATATGAGCATATTAAACAATAAAATTGCTGACATTATTGCTTTCATTATAAATTTTGCTTTTTCTTAGGATACAGTAGTGGAACTACATCCCAGGTACAGTAGAAGTTGTTGTTGAATGCTGAGTAATACCAAACGATGTTAGCAACAAATATTTTCCCCCATTTTATTGCATATTAACCTTAAAAAAAGTCCAAAGAGAAAAAATAATAGTGGCTGGGTGCAGTGGCTCATGCCTGTAATCTCAACACTTTGGGAGCCTGAGGCAGGTGGATCACAAGGTCAGGAGTTCGAGACCAGCCTGGCCAAGATGGTGAAACCTCGTCTGTACTAAAAATACAAAAATTAGCTGGGTGCGATGGTGGGCACCTGTAATCCCAGCTACTTGAGAGGCTGAAGCAGGAGAATCGCTTGAACCCAGGAGGTAGAGGTTGCAGTGAGCTGAGATCACACCACTGCACTCTAGCCTGGGCAACAAAGCAAGACTCTGTCTCAAACATAATAATAATAATAATAATAATAATAATAATAATAATAATAATAATAATAGTTTCCACCATCCCAACAAAAACAGTGTTAACATTTCCATATTCTTTTTTTGAGCGAGACAAAGAGTGTTTTAAATATTTATAAATAGGCTTTGGGCAATTGTTTCTCCTATGTGGTAACAGTAGCAATGATTTAATTGTACAGTGGAACAGCTTTAAAGTATTGCATTTCAACTTAATCCCTACTTAAAAACACAGGAATTGATTAGTAGCCCCCACTCTTAACCAGAGGAATTCAGGAATTTATATCATCACTATTTGTAAAGATATAGTAAATAATACCACTATTACATAAGTAACACTTGTATAGGATATAAATCAAATATACTGCCACATTATAGAGTGTCTAGGATAGTATTCAGAATATTTATTATTATATTATTTTAGTATCCAAAATATGTACTATTATTGTATTATTTTAGTATCCAAAATATGTACTATTATTATATTATTTTAGTATCCAAAATATGTACTATTATATTATTTTCATTCAATAAGAGATAAGTTTGCAAATTTAGAGAAACATTTAACACGGCAACTTAAAATAATTCTGGGTGTTTGTGCTAACAAAAGAGCAACAAAAATCTAATTGCTACTTTTCATTTCTAGAGTACATTGATATTTTGCTCTGAAAAGAGATCCTCCTAGTGTGTATTATTTCAAAAGCAAATAGGTATTCATAAATAATTTAACATATAGAACTGAATGATGTGTGTATTCCAGACGTGTCATAGAAGTTACAACAGACTCGGCCGGGCGCGGTGGCTCACGTCTGTAATCCCAGCACTTTGGGAGGCCGAGGCGGGCGGATCACGAGGTCAGGAGATCGAGACCATCCTGGCTAACACGGTGAAACCCCGTCTCTACTAAAAATACAAAAAATTAGCCGGGCGTGGTAGCGGGCGCCTGTAGTCCCAGCTACTCGGGAGGCTGAGGCAGGAGAATGGCGTGAACCCGGGAGGCGGAGCTTGCAGTGAGCCGAGATCGCGCCACTGCACTCCAGCCTGGGCGACAGAGCGAGACTCCGTCTCAAAAAAAAAAAAAAAGAAGTTACAACAGACTCTGAAAAGATGTCAGTACAGAGTTAGGACTTTGATGAACAGGTCTGGACATAAAAAACAGCTTCAGAAATACAGGGACATAATTTCATTCTACAGTAAAGACAGTGATTTGTGTGGCGGTGTGTGTTCACTGTTTTCAACACCTCTTAATCTCATTTAAAGCAAAAGAAATTAATTTTATAGAGGGAGTGGATAGGAGTGAGGTAAGTATTGTAGCCATGACAGTACTAAAATAGGTATTCTTTTTAATTTGGGAGTTTTTTGTTTATCTATCAACTGTACTTATTATTTAACTATTAGTAAGAAAAAGCATATAATTAGGTTAGTTATTAGGCCAGTTTTAAAAACATAAAAGTGGCAGATTATAAAAAGACCTCAGTGGTATTTCCCCTCCCACTTGCTCTTCCAGAATGCTGTGACCCAATATAAAGGTGGTAACTGTCCCCTCCTTTTGAAACTCGGTGGGCTTTGTAACTGACTCAACTAATAGCTTATGAAAAAGTAATGCTATAAAATTTACAAGGCTTGGTTATAAAAGCCATACCACATTTGCCTACCCCTTAAGACACTCATCTTTGGAACTCTGAGCCATTTATGTTAGATTAAAGCTGCTATGCTGTGATAAAGTCCAAACTAGCCCCTGCAGGAGACCACGTGGAGAGTCTTTGAGAACACAGGAAGAGAGAGGTGGACAGCAAGCCTGCAGCTGCCCAAGCCCCCTGCCCCTGCTGTTGCAGCTCTGACCACTGTCTATCTCATTGTGAGTACCTAAGAAACCTCTAGCTAGAGATGCTGAATTGAGCCATTACTGAATTCTTGATACACAAATACCATAAGCAAAAACAAATGTTGTTATTGTTTTAAGCCATTAAATTTAAAGATTATTTGGTGTGCGGGTAATCGAAGAACCAACACAAATTTACTAACGCTCAAGGATATGTAGCAATTACATATATTTGAATATATACATTTGCACAAACACATAAAATATTTCCCACAAGCTGCATAGTCAGTGAAAACACGTTAGACCGATTGAAGCAATGTGGAGTCTATGGTTCATGCCATTTAAGTACTGGGAAAAAAATGAGGTGGCAAATAGTGTATGCTTGTTCTCAATTTTCTTGAAGAGCTAACATATTTTATCTATGTGGATCTAGCTCTCAGAGCACAATTTTACCTACATTTAAATTTCAATGACCATTTGAGATCATTTACTAAAGAACTAAGTGTCTTCATTCCTTCTCTGAGACCAAATATTGGACAAACAGCAATTATTTGTTATATAAGAAATTCAACGTGTTTATATAAGTTGAAAAACAGAACGAGCCTCATATATTTAGAAACAGAAAATGAACCATGACAACTCTTATAAGGAAGCAACACTAGTGTGCATACCTGCTCTACGAATTCAGGAGAAAAGACAAGAATATGAAGACTTCACCAATAAATATTCTCAGTGATTTTAATCAGCTGATTCTCTAGGATAACTGATTAATAGATCTACTTCTGTCATAAAAATATGTGGAAGACCCACAGTTGCTGAGTAGATCATCAATTAAGTGAGAGTTGGGTCATAATATGGTTTTGATCTCCATGCCGGCATCTTAGTGTGCAGAAGAAAATAGTGTTCTATGCACAGAATTGAGTATTTTAAGTCAGGCTCATTTGGAGATAATTTGGTTTAAGTCTCCCTCCCTCTTTCAGCCAACATTCTCCTCTCCTCTACCTGTCTGGGTAAAGGACTCCTATAGCACCAGGGAATAAGAATTGTGATCTTGGTAAATTTCACCAGGAACCTCTTTGGGAAGGTGACAGAGGCCAACTCATCTGGATAATAATGGATGAGTCTTACTCTGGAAAATTTCCCAAATGGAAAGTTTTTCTGAATGAACTGTACCTTATAAGCAAGCAATTTGGGGGCTCTCTGCCTCCTTTCTTTCTCACTCTCTCTTTCAGCCCCTTCGTGCACCCTCACATACACCTCGTCAAAATCACCTCCTTCTTTGACTCTTTTCCATACCTACCTTCCTCAAAAGAAAAGAGCTAGGAGGAGACATCAGGACTGGACTTGGTAGCAGAAGGTATAGCCTCCTGCATCTCATCAACGTAAATCTGAATTTTAAACTTCAATCCAGTAAATGTGTCTTCAGTGCCAATAAAGAGCTACTTGTATCACACACCAAAAGGAGAGTAGGGGTAATTTACTCGTTCCTTCTTGCTAACATTGTGTTTGGTCCATATTTTTAAGTTTTAGAGTGACTTGAAAATAATTATTTGTCTTTTACATACATTTCTTTCTACTTTTATTAAAAAAATCTATTTTTATTCCCTGGTGTTGGGACTTGTGACCCATCTATTCCAACAGTTAAAAAATAGCTAATGAGGGAGCAAATATTTTTAAACTAAGCCTTTGCCTATGGCATACATAAATGTACAATGTTATGTATATTTAATGTATTTTTATTTTTAAATAAGTGATATTCATTTTAATCACTTGTGAATAAAATATTTACAATCAAATGGCTAAACTAAAGATGAATGTAAAACTCTAGTTCACTTTTTAAAAGATTATTGTATTTACAGTTTAAATAGCTTACTACTAACGGCCACATTCCAATGTTGCAATAAACTTTATCTATTTTTATAAACATGTTTTCTTTCTGCTGCTATTGTTCATTCCATCTGAGCGAGGGGCTATCTGGACTCATTTCAAATGTTCTTATATTTCATGTCACTCTAAGGAAAGCTTTTCCCAGATAAGTTGTAAAGAACATGTATTTTTTAATGACAGGTATTTTATCATCTCCAGCCATTCAGGTTATAGGTGTGGGATCCTGTTTTATATGGCACCCTGCTACTGTGGAACTTTTCTTTTAGCTGTTTGAGTTAGAAAGTCTTTGCCAAACAAAACAGTAGGAGGGAAACTGTAAAAAAGCTTTAAAATCCTAAAAAAAGAAATAAGTGATCAAGCAGCAATCTAAACATCAACTAGAGGACTATTCCCATGACCTACATTTGAGGAAAAAAATATAAGATGTAGAGAATTAATAGAATACCAATTTAGATCCACACACATTGTCCTTAAAAGTAGAAATTATTTCAACCAATATATATGTAAGCTGTTGTACTAAAATTATCGTCAAAATCTCAGATGTTAAGTTAGACAAGTCTGACTTCATAAGATTTTTTTTCCAAAATAAGAGAGTAATATAAAACTTCAAAAGAGAAATTTTAAAATGGTCTGCTCAGACAAGCTCCCTGAAATCTAAAATCAAATTGGAAAAGTAGAATATCCTCAATATTTGCCTTTGACAAACATTTAATGTGTTATATAGTAAGTGACTGATACAACTTTGGAAGATAAATTTCCTGTCTTGGATTCAGGCACACTGATCTTTTACAAGTATGTGATTTATTTAAACCACTTAAAAAATTGGAATGTATATAACTAGATGAATATTAAAGTAAAATATATAACATAGCCTTTAGCATTTGAAAGGCAAAATATCTTCAATTATTCAACTTGAGCTCAACTCAATATTGTAACTATACACATACTTTAATCTTCAGAATAAAGGCTAGTTATCAGAAAAGGCAGTGAACTTGTGTAGAGCCCAAGATCCATCCATCAGTATGTCTACTAATCAGGCATTCCCTTAAATAACAGTACTGAGCACTGGTCAGGAGTCAGGTGCTTTGGACTGTGGGCATTCACACTCAGGGACCATTCACGTGCCTTATAATCTCCAACACTCTGATACTGCAGGCATCACTGCTGGGATTTCCAAGGTTCAGAGAGGTTAAGTCACTTACTCAAGTTCAAGGCAGAATGTGAACAGGGACACAATTTCGGAAGCACTTCCTCTCACCACAGCTGTCCTCAAAAGCTATGTGGGGGAATTCAGGCACTTATTCGATAATACTTTGAGCCTTGGAAGAGTTCATTAAATTTGAATAGTTTAAGCCCTAAACTCAACTTGGGAACAAACCTAGAATAAATCATATCATTTTATAGTCCTATCCCATGTATCTACTTAATGTAAGGTCAGGAGGCATTTTCCAATTACTTCTCACAAAGGGACTGCCTTTTTTTTTCCTTTTGTCCATCTTTTCTCTTAACTAGCTATGCAAGAAGTGTAGCCTTCTAAAAATTATTTCTGCCTTATCCTTCTAAATGTCACTGAGTATGTCCTAAATCAGTTTTTAAAAATCTATCATCAATTTCCACTCTTGCATAATACTAGAAGGTGGCCATGAACATTACTATAGGAAAGACTATTTTGTAGGCAGCTTTATAAAACCACTGAGGAAACAAAAAAGAATTTCAAAGAGGGCTAGCAACAGTTTGTACCTGAAATATAACTTTAGTTGGTCAATATTCATCAAATAATATTAGCGAAATCTATTATCTTTCCTAACACTAATTCTAAAGTTATATCAGCCTATTCAGTTTCTCTCCAGCAATAATCAAATATGTGAAATTAGCAAAGACTGTATTAAAGACAGAAGTAAATTTATGAAGATATAAAGACAATAAAAATGTCTAGAACTCTCTTAAAATTAATGGTGGCTAGTGAAATAATAGCTAGCATTTTACAAATTGACAATTTCAAGGAAATATACCTAGCCTAATCAAACTAGTAGTGTTTTCCTAAAAAATAGTTTTGTGACCTTCATTATACAGGACCAAATACATGAACAAAGTGAGAGTCAATTGCCGATGCCAGAGAATTGAAAGTAATATGGTATTGTTCTCTCAGACTGATTGATTTATTTTTTTTATTTTACATTGAGCACCTACTTACTATGTACTGAGAAATGGGTGTACAGTGATAAGTAGAAGATAAACGATACATGATCACTACTTTTAAAATACTTATGGTATAGGTAGTGGCTAATCAAAACAAAATATATACACATACACACACACACACACACACTATAAACAGCAGTGACAATGGGATAGAGAAAATTAGTTTCTTTTGAGGATAAATAAAAGTCACCCTCTGTGAAAGGTGACATATTACTACTACTCTTAATCCTATTTTGGCTTCTGTTACTTCAAATGTAATACAATTAAAAAGCCTTTAATGTTTTAAGCCTTTCTATCTAATTGAGTTCTAACTGCAGAGAAACGCAGAAATACAGATACACATAAGCAAGTACAGGTAAAGTGCTATATGGACAAAGAGGCAGGACATGTAAATAGAGGACAAGAAACAGTTAATTTAGCAGTAGCTTCCACAAAGTAATACAGTTAACACTAAGAAGGAAAAAACGTGGCCAGGTATAGACAGTCTTGAATACCAAACCAAAGTTTCCAGGCTTTGTCAATGGGAGGAAGGGAACCATTAAAGAACTTAGAATGTGACTTTTTGACCTAAAGACAGAAATGCCATTTGACCCATCAATCCCATTACTGGGTATATAACCAAAGGAATATAAATAATTCTATCATAAAGACACATGCATGTGAATGTTCATTGCAGCACTATTCACAACAGTAAAGACGTGTAATCAACCTAAATGCCCATAAATGATAGTCTGGATAAAGATAATGTACTCCTGTATACCATGGAATACTATACAGCCATAAAAAGAATGAGGTCATGTCCTTTGCAAGGATACGGATGAAGCTGGAGGCCATTATCGAACATATTATCTAGCACATTAACTAACATAGGAATAGAAAACCAAATACTGCATGTTCTCATACATAAGTGGGAGCTAAATGATGAGGACACACGGACACATAGAGAGGAACAACACACACTGGAGCGTATGGAAGAGTTGAGGGGGGGAGGAGGAGAGAATAAGGAAAAATAACTAAAGGATACTAGGCTTAAGACCTAAGTGATTAAATAATCTGTACAACAAAATCCCGTGACAGATGTTTACCTAAGTAACAAACCTGCACTTGTACCCCTAAAGTGAAAGAAAGAGGAAGAAAGAAAGAAAGAAAGAAAGAAAGAAAGAAAGAAAGAAAGAAAGAAAGAAAGAAAGAAAAGGAGGATGAGGAGGAGGAGAAGGAAGGAAGGAAGGAAGGAAGGAAGGAAGGAAGGAAGGAAGGAAGGAAGGAAGGGAGGGAGGGAGGGAGGGAGGGAGGGAGGGAGGGAGGGAGGGAGGGAGGGAGGGAAGGAAGCAAAGGAGGGAAGGGAAGGAAGGAAAATATGACTTTGTGAAAGCTGATAATTCTGGAAGATTATTTTACAAGGAAAGTATGACGAATGGAGAAACAGTGCTTATAAATACCATTTAAGGGACTACTGTAATGATTATTTAATGAGGACCTGGATCACTAATGTATCAATGGGACTGAAAAGAAGACACAGGTGTAGGCCATACTGAAGAAGAAGACATTTCATACATCAGTAACTGTTATGGACTGAATGTTTGCACCTCCTCAAAATTAATATGTTGAAATCCTAACCTGTAATGTGATAATATTAAAAAGAAGGATCTTTGGGAGATAACTAGGTGATGGGGGTGGAGCTCTCATGAATGGCATTAGTAACATGATAAGGAGAGACATGAGTGTGCTCCCTGTCTCTGCTCTCCACCATATGAGGATAGAATGAGAAGGTGACCATCTGCAAATAAGGAAGTGGGTGTTCACCAGACACTGGATCTGCCAGCACCTAAATGTTGGACTTCCCAGCCTCCATAACTGTGAGAAATAGTTCTCCTGCTGTTTAAGTCACCCAGTCTATGCTATTCTGTTATAGTATCCCTAAGTGACTACGACAGTAACTGGATACAAAGTCAGCTCTTAAAATCCAGATTTTAAAGGAAAGATTTGCACTCCTGGCATAAAGCAGGGTGGACAATGAGTTTGATTTTAACCCAGTGAGATTGAGGTGGAGATGGTACATCCACCTGAAGTTTATCAGGGAAGGCAGCACTAGAAATGCAAATGACTGTTGGTATTGGAAAGACAGCCAAAGAAGAGAGGATAGGCAGAGAAAAGCACTGAAAACAGAATCTTAGGGGAACCTTAAACTAAGAGGTCATGAAAGATGTCAGAGATGACAGAGAAAGAGCAATTGGGGAAATAACTGATTCATTAGAATAGAGAATAATGGAAACCAAGGAAATGATATCAGGAGTAGTCAGTGAAACTAAGTGCTGTGGAGAAATTAAGGGATCCAAGGACTGAGAACAGACACTGGATTAGGAAGAGTGTTTTACTGGTTGCTAATTACTAGTGATGTTTCAAAGATCAGAGTCAAGTTTCAGAAGTAATGACTGCTGCCACATGCCTGAAAACCCTAGAGAAAGCTCTCTCATCATCTTTCAAGGCAAAATTCTAGATGACTCTCTGCTTTATCTTCAATGATATATTTGATGACGTATCCCTGTTGCAAATACAAGTGTCAAAAAAAGCAAAGTAAAAGGAGTATGTGTCTCCATTTCTCACTCTTCAATATGGGATTCTAGAAGGAAGCTATCAGGCTACTTATTATCATTTGCCTCTAACAGACAAAATGACTAATGCATTTGGAGATGTTCAGATTATTTAGAAAGTCAGCCATAAAATGATAAAGAAAGGGCAGACCCCCTAAAATGCTATTCAACGGCCTTGTCCCCTATTCATTATATTGAACCATACTCACACAGGCTTAGTATAAAGTTCTAAGTAACTTGTAGGACTTCATCAAAGGGTTTTTATTTAATCATATCACAGTCCACAGGTTAATATTTTGAAAGAATATGGAAAATTAGTAATTATATCAAGTTAATATCACAGTATTTACCAAATATTTTTTGGTGAAGTTGAATTAGGATCTAATTAAGAAATTGTGGGTTTACATACCTGTGGTACCCATCTGGAAGACACAAAGCTAGTCACTTCTATTACAGACAAGCCAGTTTGGGAAAGTCGATTGATAAATTCAATTTTTATATCTGTAGGAACTATAACCTATGAAAACAAAAAATATTTTATAAGTAAATTGTATAGGTCCTATTTAAGCACAAACAGAAAATTACTTCCTAAGTCAAAGTGAGTATTATTTGTAATTTACAAATTCAAGTAGCAATTGAGAAAAAATATAATCAGATAACATATGAAATCCATGTAAATCTTTACAATCTTAAATTTATTAATTTGTAGACAGCATTTGAAGTAAATGATGTAAAACTACCTTTTCATTCTGCAATCCATCCCTAGGCCCAACTTCTACTATTTTAACAAACTCAGGGAGTCCAGATAACTGGGATGTTTCCTGAAATGCAAAATGTAAGAACAAGATAACGTAACTTTTAGATTGTTACATTTGCTTATTTGAAAAGTTAAACAACTGCACTTTGTTATACTCTTACCCCAGAGAATTAAAATACTGAAAAATCAATACAATGATATCATGAAAATGCACTATTTATATTACTTGCAACATGAAGTATTTTTTCCTTATAACCAAGTGATATTTAGTCTAGTTATGATTAAAATTCAAAAGATTAATTTATAAAATATAATTGAAGAATAATTGATTTACTCAGGACCTAAAGATCAAATCTGTTGGGTGATTCCGCATATGACAATAAACTAACTACTGTTAGAGTTCATTTAAAAATTACATCTTGACCAGGCACAGTGGCTCACGCCTGTAATCCCAACACATTGGGAGGCTGAGGTGGGAGGATCATGAGGTCAGGAGTTTGAGATCAGCCTGGCCAACATAGTGTAACCCTGTCTCTACTAAAAATACAAGAAATTAACTGGGCATAGTGGTGGGTGCCTATAATCCCAGCTATTTGGGAGGCTGAGGTAGGAGAATCACTTGAACCCAGGAGGCGGAGGTTGCAGTGAGCTGAGATCGTGCCATTGCACTCCAGCCTTGGTGACAGTGCGGAATTCCATCTCAAAAAATATATATACCTATATTTATATATATATATTACATATATATGTAATATATATGTATTATATATAAATATATATATATTTATATATTTTTATATTTTTATATATTTATATATTTAGATTATTTATATTGTTATTAGATTGTTATTATATTACTATATTTATAAGTGTATATAAATAATATATAATATATATTATAAATAATACAATATATATTATAAATTATTATAATATATCATATATAGATATATAATACATCATATATAATATATCATATATATGATATATAATATATATACAGGTGTGATATATATAATATAATATATGATATAATATATAATATATATCATATATATGATATATTATATATTATATATATTATATATATAATATATAATATATAATATATAATATATTATATATTATATATTATATATTATATAATATATAATATAGATATAATATAGATATATAATATATAATATAATATATCTATATTATATATAATATATTATATATCATATATGATATATAATATATAATATATATTATATATCATATATGATATATAATATGATATATTATATATTATATATATTATATGATATATAATATCTCATATATAATATAAAATCATATATGATATATATCATATATCATATATGATATATATGATATATATCATATATATCATATATAATATATATATGATATATATCATATATATCATATATAATATATATATTTTTATGTGTATATATATATTTACATATATATTTATATATTTTTATATATATTTATATATTTATATATATATATTTTTTTGCCAGCACTTTGGAAGGCCAAGGCATATTTGCTTGAGCCCAGGAGTTTGAGACCAGCCAGGGCAACATAGTGAAACCTCATCTCTCTTAAAAAAAACAAAAAATCAAAAATTAGTCAGGCGTGATGGGGGTGGTGTATCCTAAAGTCCCAGCTACTCTACTTGGAAGGCTGAGGTGGGAAGATTGCTTGAGTCCAGGGGATCAAGGCTGCAGTGAGCAGTGGTTGTGCCACTGCATTCCAGCCTGGGTGACGCAATTAGACCCTGTCTAAATAAATAAATAACTCTTTAAGTTAAAAGACTATTTCTACTTCCATGAAGAGGTATACAGGATGCCACCCTCTCTACCTTGAACTTGAATATGAATTTGGTTTTGGGAATTGGGCCCAGAAAACTGAGGCTAGAAAAGACAATTTGCTGCTTATTTTTTCTCTAGGTCACACAGCACAGCTACCACCTAAGTGTCGCTCCCTGAAAGACAGACCTATTCCTAGTGGAACCTATACCACAATAACCCACTGGGAGCAGCCTAGCTCCAGCCAAATGTAACAAACCCCTTGTTCTACCTTTTGCTAAAATCTGAGATGGCAAATGGTCTGGTTTCTGAAACCTCTGGTTTCAGACTAGGTACCATGGATCTAGTTTAGAAGATATATTTGCCTTCTAAATATGCCCATTTAGAAGGCTGTTATTTAAAATCGGGGGAAAACGAAACAGCCTTTGAAATAGTATATTGCAGTTAAAGTCAGAAGCATACTCCATCTTTCCAGACTGTACCAACATAATCTCTTGGTACCTCTGAGCCGAGTTAAGTTTGGGTAACCCATATTCAAGTTCTTTAAGTGGATAGTTGACAGAATCAGCCCAGAACCACAGAACCTGTACTTCAAAAGTTTTTGTTTGCTTGTTTTTGCCTTTTATCAGGAATGATGAATTCAAGCCAACCAGTTTATACTGTCACACTCTGTCCTTGTAAAAATTAAAGCATACATGGGTAAGGTGGCTGTTTTGAATGCAGAACCAAATTCAAGTCTGTGGAACAAAAAATATTCAAAGGCCATTTTTAGGGTCCAGAGCTGTTATTGGTTTTATCAGCATTCTGAGCTATCAGCAAAAGAACCCAGATGGTCCCCATTACAATGTTTACAGACCACTCTCTACAATTTCCATGAAATTAGTCAATTCAATAAGCAAAAAAAGCAACCTAGAAGAAAAAGAATTTTCTTTTCTGCATTTTCTGTGCAGGTTGTGATGCATGAAGTTAACCTGAGAGAGTGGAGGGATGAGAGGAAGGCCTGGGGTTCCTCAGCTTTAAACTCCATTTGGATGACAACATGAAATCATGCCTGATTTACAAGATGCCTATAATTTCAACAGAACAATAAATAAAATATATGACATGGGAAGGTGAAGTAAATAAGAAAAGCTCACTCTTCTTTCTTATTACCTCTAGTCTTCAGTTGGCAGGAATGAAACAAAAACAAAACTAGGCAATCTTAAGCCATGTGGTCTCATTATCACTGATTGTTTCTTGAAACTGCATTTCAACAACAATTAGCTTGGCACATACATGGCAGAAGAGTTTTCTTTTACTCAATGACAATGTTTGCCAAAAAAAAAAAAAAAAGAAGAAAAAGAAAGGTACGTAGTGTTTTTTAAGGTAATAACCATATGCCTCCTGAATACAGTTGAAGAACTGAGGACCTTTCTTTGCATCAATGTATTGTAGCTGGCATTATTAACAAGTAATCTGAAGAAATTAAATCACCGATTATTAACAATTATGGCCATTTCAATCAAAGCAGAATATGTGTTCACTTGACATTGTTTTTGATTCCTCTTGAATCTAATGTTACTATTTAGTCTTTCTAGACTATCTGAATTAAGCCAGTGACAGAAGTGACAGAAGAAATTATCCAATATGATCAACAAGTAATTATTGAGTACAGTCCATATGTCATGCATTGGGCTGGGGCTGATATATGCCAACTTAGAGCCAGTAATAAATGGTCCAATTATATATAAGTGTAAGATAGAAGGTAAGGAACAGCATGTACTGGGGAATATCTGGGGAGAAATATGTTCTGGTGGGGAGATAATGAGCTTATTTTTGAATTATTGAATTCTACGTGCTTGTATAACATTTAGTTGGATTTGCCTACTAGGCATTGTTTGTGCATATCTAAGCTCATTAGAAAAAAAAAGTCAATACAGAGATAGTAATGCTCAGGAAGAGACTAAAGATCAGTAAGAGAGGGCTCTTAAATCACACATAGTCAACAAGTATGAAAGGCAACCCATTTAAAAATGAGAAACTAGAGGATGACCAGGTAACACCAGCATATGCAATGGCTCACACTGCAGGAGCTGCACTTGGGGAACCTCAGAATTTCATAATGGGCTGTAGGCATACCTGCCCTTTGCCTTAGAGAGAGATACTATCTCTCTTTCTATGGCTGTTTGCTAGAAAAACATTCTTGAAAAGATATTCTCAAAGAAAGGCAATCAGTGCCTTGCTAATAAAACATGCAGATAAGCAAGGGTTCCATAAAAATTGTTCCTCAATACTATTATTAACTCCATTAATATCCAATTATTTTCAACAAAATTTTTATTGATTTTATTGATTTTATTGATCATCCAAGATTCAATTTGTCATCTACTCAAGAGACTTCTGACTTCCGCAGATGGAATTAAGTTATTTCATTTCTGTATTTTCATAACGTTTTGTAGAAGCCTATTTTAAAGCATATCTATGAGTACTTCTTTGCTTGCCTGTTTCTCCTTTTTTATTAAAACCCTCAGAGTTATCAAAATGGATACATAATAAGCACTTGATCAATGTTTGACTAAATGAATGAATAAAATTTGGACAAGTAAAATTGAACTTTCTTTTAGCTAACACATGCTAAGTAGCATTATTATAGTTATTGGGTATAGGAGGTGAATCATTCAACCAAAACTCCTGCCCATAACTAGCTTACATTTTAGTGCTATAGAGATCTGGAAGCAACTGTGAGGCAGGGATGGGGAGGGACACTTTTCTTACATACTGAATATATGAAAATTAACGAATGACTTGTAAGTTACAAGGAATTGTGTTGCATTTTAATGTAGTCTGGAGAAGTTAGAAACATACTTCTTAAACAGGCCAATAGTCTAAAAATTTATTTTTATAGCATTTAATGTCCTACATTACAGAGCTCAGTATATCCTGTTTAATGTGCAGTGTAGTATATGATACTAGCGAAAAAACAAAAGATGTTTTATCCAGAGTGAGTGTTTCAAAAGGCTATGTTTTATGGCTGAGCGTATGCCCACGTTTGGCATCAGATTTCTAATGGTTCACTTTCATAGAGTAACAATAAAAGAAATACTATCTTGAATTTATATGTTACTTTACTTTTCCAAAGAACTTTTCTATCTGCGTTTCATCTGTGAAGCTACTCTGTGAGGTAGGCAGACCTGAAAGAGATTAAATGACTTCCTAAGTTTACCCAGCTAAGCTCCCTGGCTCTTATTCTAGTTTTCTTTAGGTTAAGATTAAATACATCACCAACTATTGAGTTATGGTTGAAGAAAATAATAATGAATCATTCTTTTATACAGAACATAAGTAATGTGCTTCACTCACATTTTTCAATCTTACATAAAATTAAATGGAAGGCATATTTTGATGGGGATTTCTCTGAAATATTTAGAGTGTGTGTGGGTGTATGCCAGCGTGTGTATGCTTGTGTGTAGCACACACATTTCTCAGCAGTAATAATGGATGACTTCTATATATACAATCAACCCTTCTAATGGTAATAGATATGATTGCTTATTAGTCACCCTACAAGTACTGCTTTTTTTTCCCCTAGGAAAATAACATCATCTATAGTAGAAATTTCCAGACATATTTGCTTATGTTTCATGCACTTCATTTCTTGAGAAGTATTTTTTTGTGTAAATAAGGTCTTTATGAATATTGAAATATTCTGTTTCATAGCCAGTATTCCCAAGAACTGCTATGATGTTCCAATCAAATGTTCCTATTACACAGATCAGAGGGCTGAATCAGGAAATTGTGTGACTTTCTTTCAAAATTAAATTAGGCTTTTTAAGGGGGCATTAGAGATCAGCTTTTCCAAGAAAATCTATTTTTGTTGTCTCATTTGAAATATGCACATGGTGCATTTTGTGGTAATGTTAAACTCTCCACATTCTGCTATTTATTGCTTTTTAGATATTAATTTCTGTTTTAATCAAATATAATGAGAAATACAAACTATTATCATTTATATAGCAGATATCCATAGAAACCTTGATCATCCAGAGCAATCAAAAGACATTTCTCTTCCTGGGTATCTCTCTAGAATGGAAAGGTGACTCAACAAAGCTGATAGTGAAACTGTTCTTTCAGAATACCTATGTGCCAACGTTGATTCACAGGCAATCTTTGGCAGTTTAATAAAAATTTATTTGTAACCATGCAAAAATAAGTTTGTAATGTACTATTATGTCATCTAAGACTCAATAAACAATATGTCTTAACTTACTACATCAAAAAGTAAAGGAAGGTATCTGCTTACTTTTTAGCAGTTTTTGAACAGCCAGAAGAGAAGTGGAGAATTGTGCTACACTTTGTTTTCAACAGCCTTCAGTAAAAGCTTTAGGAGAGATTAAAAACAAGCTCTAGAAATGATAAAAGCCCTCTCTGTATATGTATCCTAATATTAACTCTTGGAACTCAATGGAAAATCAGTACAGAGTATCAGTGTGGACATACAGCATAAATAAATACAAGTTTCTCCTGGAAATATATACATTATATACATTTCATGAACACTTGAATCAATCAAGAGTAGTTACAAAAAAGCAAAAGAAAATTATACAAGGGGCATTTGCCACATATGACAGATTGAAATGTAGTAGAAAGATGGACAAGGTAAGATCATCTAAAATTGTTTATTCAAATTTTTAAAATGAGGTTTTTAGCATCTTTACCATATGTGTTCACTTACTACTTAAATAAATTCCATTTTTTTAAAAGTAGCTTCAGCAATAAATGCAGCCAGGTGTTTAATATTCATCAATTAATTATTGTTTTAATATAAAACTACATTATGAATAAAACAAACTATGAAAGAGGAAATAGAAAATATGAGATTAAAATAGATAATAGTAAGTAGATTAGAGAATATTAAGTAATAGAGAAAATGAAGAATATTAAGTTTATAAAACATGGATAGTAACAAAATAATAGAAAAAACAAAAATGAGACAAAGTACATGTAAGAAGAAAAAAATCAAAGAAATCAAGAATAGGAATTTTTAATGCAAGAATTTAATAAAGCATTAAAATAATTCAAAACAGAAAAACTTCTATGAATTGATAGAGCACAAGATGCTGTAAACATGATAATGCTTCTTTAAATGGTGGCTGTTATTTACATTATTTATTTTAATAAATAAAATTATTTATTCTTGTATTCATGGCAATTTAACATTGAAACAAAATAAACTATGAAAAATAGCCAACATGACCTATAGGTGTTTCATTACAATTACAATCATTATTGCTATATTGAAGGTTAAGATAGTAATAAAAGTGTTACTTTGAAAATCAAAAGGAAATGTTTGACTTCAAATATTTTATATAGAAAATTTCTTCTCCTTAGTGTCTTCACCAACAAAATTTGTTTGATCTCACACTCTCCCACCTTGCTGTCAGTCCCAAAATTTATTTTGAAAACTACGAAAATTGTTTTTGCCCCCTGCAAATACAGAAGTGTGTGTGTGTGTGTGTGTGTGTGTGTGTGTGTCTGTGTGTATTTGGTAAAGCTTAATTTTCTGGGATAAAATTGTGATATGCCAAGTTTCCTCATGGAAATATTTTCTGGGATGATACATTTCTGAAAACTACGGTTTATAATAGAAAATGAAACTATTCATATTAAGCCAGTTATACCAGCAGCATGTCCTGATAGCCACAAAGTTGAAGGAAACTATTAAAATGCATAAATTGTCAGAGTTTTCAAGTTCAAACTCCTAAGATGGCATAGCAGTGTGTTAGCTGAGGACACTTGGTTTAATATTTAGCTAAGAAGACATAATTCATCATTCTAAATAGTTATTTTAATTGAGGCTGTTATTATTTATAAAAAGCAATCAAATTTCATTACTTTTTTTTTGTTATGCCATATTGATTATATAACAATGTCAAATTGGGAAATCACATCAGTGATGTGCTATGAGTTTTCAGCTTTATAATACACTCTATTAAGCACAGTAAGACTACTCAGTCATCCACACAGTCATCAACCCAAATCCATTCAAACTTCAAATAAAAATTTTCAGATATTAATGAAACTTCCATCAAAATACAGCTTTATGTAATGTTTCTTTTCTGATTGGCAAAAATAAAAATGAGCATTTGCGTGACTACAGACACACAACAAAAATTCTCAGAAAACAACAATCTATGGTCCCTTATACTTCTTGATATGTGAACAGTGTTTTATATTTGTTGGAGATGAATTATTGAGTGCTAAAGGTGGCAGAAGGGGTTGAGAAAAATGTTACCATATCCTAGTGAAGTTAGGTGAAATCTATACCTTTGGAAATTTTTATTTCTGATTAATAGACTACAGCGGATGTTGTGAGATGTTGCTCAGGTACTCCTAGGGTGGAGAAATTCTCAGAAACTAAAGTTTTGGCAGCTGATGGCATTTCACTGGGCCCCTTTTCTGTAATCACCCTCAGCTACAGCGCCACTTTATCCAAGGTCATGCCCCCATCCTAACTGGAAAGGCCATATCAGCTCCTGGGATTCCTGTGTGACTCACTGAAGCCTCTGTTGTGAGTACATCATAGTTCAACTTATTCTTCTACCTAGTTTTATATCCTTTACTTCCCCACAGTTATTGAATCCAATGGCAATAACGTCCCGCAAACAAATCCTTGTCCAGGAGACTGTTCCCAGGGAACCAGACCTAAGAAAATTAGTGCCAGGAGTGAACTGAGGAAGTGGTCTCCAAAATGGGATTTGGGAGCTAGATGAGTTGCTGGTTAATTTTCAGTTATTTCATATTCTTCGAAGTAGGTGGGATATTGCTACTCCCTGGCAACCTGCAGCAGTGTAATTATTAACATATTCACTCGTTCTCATTCAGGACAATTTTGCACCCCAAGGGACACCCGGCAATGTCTGGAGAAATTTTGGTTGTCAAAATTGCTGGGCACTACTGGCATCTAGTAGGGTAAAAATCTTACAATGCACAAGACAGGACTCCACAACAAAGAAGACATCCAAAATCCATAGTGTTAAGGTTAAGCCATCCTGACCTATACAATAAAAATTAATGAAGGCTATAGCTCATCAATTAGCTTTGGTTAGCTGCTTCAATGTAAAAGTCATGATCCCTTGCCTAGTCTATACATCTTAGCCAATTTTCAGACCAAAAAAAAAAAAATAAACCACAAGTGACTGAAGCAGCAGCCAGATGTTTATGATGAGGACCTTGTAATACTAAGAGAACTATATAAAGTAATTCATATAATCTTTCCCCAAAGAGATCTATAGGCATTCATTTGAGTAAATTTACACTGGGTAAAGAAGAATACCAAAAATTTCAGATTCTTGGATACAAGGTTCAATTTGACAATGACACTTGGAGACCCAAAGTATCATTATATCCCCATTGTTAAAATGAGAAATAGGAGGACCGCATAATAAGTGGAGTCCTGGGTCCTTATTCCCTGTGGTTATTTCTCAGTCCCTGAGTATATAATTGGAAATAACATATTTAGTATTAGGAACAGGCCTTACTGCATCTTAGTTCCTTGACTTGTAATGTAAGAGCTATTGTAACAAGGAAGGGCAAGTAGAAGCTTCTGAAATCTCTCCCTCCTCTCCTTCAGCTGAAATAGTAAAAAAAGAAAAAGAAGAGGAAGGGAAAGGAGGGGGAGGAGAAGAAGAAAGCATATTAGGTGAGCCAGCAGAGATTATTACCATCCTCAAGAATCTAAAGAAAGTAAAAGATACAGGGGTGATGGCCTCATCAGCAACCCCCTCTAATCACCAGTACAGCCTCTACCCAAACCAGAAAGATGTTATGATTTTGGAGGATGACACTAAGCTACCATAAATAAACCCCAATTGTAGCTTCTGTCCCAGTTGCAGTATTTTTGCAAAAGCAAATTAACACTGCCTTATTTAAATGGTATGCAGCCTCCAATGGATGAAAGCTTTCTTTTCTGTACCTGAAAGAAAAAACAGCATTAAAATTCCAATTTGCTTGGGACAGACAACAGCAGATTTTATAGAATTCTCTCAGTGCTATATTCATTCACCTATTGTCTGTCATAATATATTTCAAAGGGACCTGAAATAGCTGGACATTCTGCAGAACATCACATTGATCCACTGTATCAAGACTAACCAAAGTTCTAACTATATGAAAGGAAACTCAATTAAAATGAATTAATAAATTATAAAAGTAATTTAAGGGGCATTTTAAAAAAATGCAGGGATCCAAAAACAAACAAACACACACAAAAAAGATAAATGATTGCTGAATACTCATTACAGAATCTAAAGTCTCAAATAGACAACCCCGTAGTGATCTATCTCTGTAGGGCATATACATGTAGCATAGAGATTTAAAATCCTAAACATGAATGCTACCAGTCCTCCATTTCAAACTCGGGACAGACAATAGTAATTCAATATGGCAGTTTTTCACAATGAGTACAGGTGCATCTTCTAGGCATTCTCAATAGAGCTACCTACTCCAGTATCTGCTATCCAGGTAGAAACTATTATCTAAATTCAGGTATCTACTATCAATGATTGACTCTATTCTGCAATAAAAAATATATTTTCCATCCCTAGTATAGTGAAAAATTCTATTACCACTCTGTACCTCATTTACTCATCTATAAAAAATGGAGGTTACAATAGCTAAAAAGAGTTGTGGTAAAGCCACATATAGTGCTGTATGTATATATGTGATGACCATTATACAAATAATAGGTACAGAAAATTATTTTTTGTTTATTTATTCATCCACTTACTACTGAGTGGACATTTAATGTGTGTAGGACCCTGTGCTAGAATTTGGTCAAAGAAAGCCTATTTGGATACAGAGACTAATTTTGAAGGAGATACCCTAGTTAAAATATTCCTAAAATAAAGCATTAGTTTATTTAGCAGCTGTGTTTCCAATAGCTCTACTGAAGGAAATCTTACAAAAGTTTTAAAAATGATGGTATATGCCGGGCGTGGTGGCTCACACCTGTAATCCCAGCAATTTGGGAGGCCAAGGCGGCTGGATCACCTGAGGTCAAGAGTTCAAGACCAGCCTGGCTAACATGGTGCAACCCCGTTTCTACTAAAAATACAAAAAATTAGCTGGTCACTGTGGCACGTGCCTGTAATCCCAGCTACTCAGGAGGCTTAGGCAGGAGAATCACTTGAATCCGGGAGGAGAAGATTGCAGTGAGCCGAGATCGTGCCATTGCACTCCAGCCTGGGCAACAAGAGCAAAACTCCATCTCTCTCTCTCTCTCTCTCTATATATATATATATACATACACACACACACACACACACACACATACACACACATATATGTATATATATACATGTATTTACATATATACGTGTGTGTGTGTGTGTGTGTGTATGTATGTATGTATGTAACTAGCAGGGCATGGTGGTGCATGCCTGTAATCCCAGCTACTCGGGAGGTTGAGGCAGGAGAATTGCTTGAACCCAGGAGGCGGAGGTTGTGGTGAATCGAAATCAGGCCACCAAACTCCAGCCTGGGTGACAGAAGGAGACTCCGTCTCCAAAGAAAAAAAAATGATGGTATAGTAGGGCATCCAGACTGGTGATGAAAAACTCTAGAGACAAACAATCTAGCTCTATCATGTACTGATGAGAAAACATGAGAAAATAATGTAGTCTTCCTCATTCTCCTCTGTTAAAAGTGGGAATAATAATAGCATTTAGCCCATAAGTCTGTTTTAAGGATTAAATGAGAATGTGTATATAAAGCATTAGCACATTGATGAGTTAATACTTCATCAATGTTTGTTGCTTCCCTTTTTGTAAGGCTAACTTGAAGACATGGGACATTTTTTTCTGATATTTTGCAAAAATGGTAACTTAAATTATTCCATTTATCATTTTAAAATATAACTACTTGTTTAAAATTTGCAATGAAAGGAATCATTGTTGATAGTAGAGCAGATTACCTTACACAGCTCTTGCCACAATCAAAATAATACCTGGAAATTATTCAAGTTCTTTCAGCAAGGAGCTCAAAACACTTTGGAGACATTATCCCATTTTGGAACCTGCCAACATTTTTATCCACCTCCAGTGCTGACAACATCAACTCCACCCATCCTGTTCCACTTGGCAATGTCAACCTCAGTTTGAACCTTTGAGAGGCAACAGAGGGGCACTCACTTCAACATGAGGATAAATGAGAGCTCGTATTCAAAACCTGGCTCAATAATGCCATAAGTGAATACAGGGGGCACAGCTAGTTACTTGTTAGAAATGTTTTCATGGAAAAAAATACTAATGTAAAAAGCAAATTAAATACATTAATAATTCTGATTGGCATCATATGCTTAGAGGCAAGAGTATCAAAAAAGTCCTATCTTCTTCACAAGCTAGGCTTTAATTTCTTCTTTCACCCCAGGGAGTTTCTTTGTAACTTCAAAACATAGTTTTGGGGTGTAAAAAGATCTAAAATTTTTTAAATTGTGGATCCACTTGCAGAATATGGAGCTGGCAGATGAATAGTTAGACATTCACATCACAGGATAAGGTTTGAATTGACCTACACCCTCAAGCAAAAGAGACTTCACGATTCCTTTAAGCAACCCAGTTATTCATTTAGCCATCATTCTTGGGGTACATTAGTGATTCTAATTGCCACTATAGTTAATTCAATGAAAAAAACTTGACATCAAAATGTATCAGAATTTTCAGAAACCATAATATTTGGGACATTCAAATTATAAGGGCAATGAAATATGCTGAGAACAATCCAAGCAGTAGAGGGGGACTTAGGCATTTAGAGGAAGCTATGCCAATACACAGGACCCCTTTAGGCACCATGGCCAGGGAAGGGGTCCTCCTTGCCCAGGTCTAAGGCGTTTGTTCTAAAACTGATACTTAATCCATTCCTCTACATTCTGTTCTCCCACAGACTTCCTGTTCTTTGGAAATACACATGAACTCATCTTTGATTCCTCTCTTCTTCTCATACCCTATATCAGATCTATCAGCAGATCATGTTCTATCTTTAAAATAATTATTTCTTACTTGGATAACTGCAAGAACATTATAAGCAATCTCTCTACTTCCACTCTTGCCACCTCCTCTGCAAGGCAGAAAGCAGCCTTCCTAATACTTTGAAAACATCAACTAAATCACATCACTTCTCTGTTCAATATCCTCTATAACTTTCCATTTCCCTCAGAGAAAAATCCAAAGTCTTTGCCATGGCCCTGGAGGCCCCATGAACTTACATCTTACCACCTTTATGATGCCTTCTCCCACTCATCCTTTGCCTCTGTTGAAGCCACACTGAATTATTTGCCATTTCTTGAACACCTGAGCATTTGCATTTGCCCCTGTTGGACTGTTCTTCCCCTATATATATCTGTGGCTCACTTCCTCACTGCCTACAGGGGCTCTACTCCTTAAAAATACTCCATAAAATATCAAAAAGTCAACAACAACAACAACAACGATCCCACAACAAAAAGGAAACTCCACTCTCTACTCCCCTTACTCTTTATTATGCTTCTAGCACTCATCATCAGCATGTTATATATGCATCTATTTGTTTGTCTATTTCCTGTATCTTCTCTTCAACTAAGAGCCCTTTGAGGGCGCTTCATTTTGTTGGGTTCACTGCTGTGTCCCAATCTTTAGAACCGATCCTGTTGTATAGCACACACTCAGTAAACACTTATGGAATAAATAAATGGGTACAATTCATCCAATCAGATTTCAAAGAAGCGATGAACTTTTTGTCAGCCACTTAATAAAGGATGTTCATATTCATATTATGGCTTTGAAAACTAACAAGAATTCACTATACATGGTGTGTCTTGACACTCTGGGGAAGACAAATAGAATCATTATTTGCATATTAGTTATTCAAGGGAAGCCTTCACAAACACTTGGAATGGGAGCTGCATTTGGTGAGGAAATTTCGACAAAAGGAAGATTGAATGCCTGGATCACTGCTCTTTTAAACAGTAGGTCCCATGGTCTAACGGAATACACATGTTTCTGTTGTGGGGGTTCTTTTGGGCAGGATGAGGTAGAGTTGAACATTTCCATTGGTATTACTGGCCATAATAAAGATTTTTGACCCTGAAGGCCAGTATGCAGGATCTTTGCGGGGGTTCCCTAAACTGGAAGGAGAAAAGTTGCAATAATTGTTAGCAGCATCAACTTACCTGTGACTATTGATAAGCTATTAAAAAGCTCATCAAATCATTACTTTATTTGATGAGGCCTGGCAGACAGCAGTGAACAGGACACACAAAAGTCCCTGTCTTCACAAACTTACAGACAATAGCAAAAAACAATAATAATTAAAATATATAGTATAAGTGTTATAAAAACAAAGAAATCAAGTAAAGAGGAGAGGAACTAAGGGAATAAGAAATAGGTTGCCATTTTATGTAAGAATTGTGTTTTGAGCAAAGAATAAAATGAAATAAGTGGTGGGGATGACTGCAAAGCTATACAGACATCCTGAGGAACAGCCTTCTATTCAAGGGGACAGCCAGCACAATGTTCTGTGAGTTGATCAAGGGAAATGTGCCCAGGGTGTTAACTGTTCTAGCAAGAACCAGAAGACCAGTGTTAGATGGAGAAGAGTGAGCAAGGAGTAAGGAAATAGCAAATTGGTATTGGAAGTGTAAAGAGGGCCTGGGTAAAGATTTTTGTTCCCAGGCAGATGGAAAGCCACTAGAGAGTGGGCTCGGGAGCAGGGGGATGATATGATCTGAGGTACATTGGACTATGCTCACTCGGGATTTTATAGAGAATAGACTGAAAAATGCCAGGGCAAAAACAAGGAGACTAAAAATTAGGAGTTCATAGAAATAATCTAGACGAGAGATGACAGCTGATTAGATTAGGATCTTTTGGGTACGAGGGCCAAGTGGAGACGCTGAGAGTACATTAACTTTTCACCCTGACAAAATAAGTCTCCTGACTCCCAGGCTGGGCAGGGCAGATGCGTACCTTACATCTTGATTTCTCCTGGAAGTTTGATGTAAAATGCATAGAAAGTCAGAATACTTACGAGAGGGAAACAGTCCCAAATGTAATAAAAAGTAAAGTAAATTGTTAAATGTATTCAAAACCTGCTTCTCAGTTAAACACTTTCCTCCCTTCCCCCAGAATACTGCTAAATATTTTCCTAGAAGCTTTCTCACACTTTATAAAGTTAGATTCAATCACCCTAATGATAGCAATATTTTGCTCTCTCCATTTTACTTCCAAGAACCCCCAAACTGAGAATTCATCTACAGACACTAATTTATACTACATAGTCTTACACGAAGATTTATTCGTATATTTTTCCAGCCACTAAGCTTTAAAGTATATGGTTGTCTTTAATCTGATCCTGCTTAAGGGGATGAGCCTTTAAGCCAGACACTAACTTATTTTGCTTTCCTGCCTGTAGCATCTAACATCAGGCTGGTGCGCCAAAATAACTGCACTTCTGGTTGCCTGGCAGCGCGTCTGTGCTCCTGGGCAGTGCTTGCCATCAGCAACCCCAGCTCTGCTCTCAGCCATATCTAGTTTGCTTCTCACTCACTGACCCCTCACTTGGCTTCGCTTTCTAACACACTGACCTTTCCCAGCCCCGATTCTAATTAAAACTTGTATTTTGTTTCTTTAGGGCTCTGTACCCAGCTGATGAGGTTACTACCGGCTTTATTATACTTTCCTTTCCAGGTGACCTATTTCATTTTAGAGACACCATATTTTGAACCCCAGAGGTGTCTCTAATGTTGGGAATGTGAGCAGGCTGGTGAGGGGTGGTCTGGGGCCACTGAATTTCTAATCCTTCTTAAATCACATCATGTGTGTATTTGCTCATTCCATGTAAACCTAAATCTAGCCCTGCTTAAATGTTTTCCGTATACAAGGGGGAAAGGGGTTAGCAATAAATTACGTTGCCCGTATAGAGTACAGCTGGTGCCCGTACTGTACTTAAAAGTGCTTCATGTACTTGCAGGCTGTGCCTAATTTGTTCCACAACCTTCTATCCTCAAGCTGAACAAGTGAGAAACAGGATACTTAAATAAAAGTTTAGGTTTAGGTCTGTCAAAAATACTGGTGCCTTACTCAGGTTTGGTTGAAAACTAGCTACAGAACCCTGTCATGCTTCAGGCTCCATTTAAATGGAGAAAGGGAATTAGGAAAGGTCCGCAAAATGATTAAAGCACATCTTATAGGTAGGACAAGCAAGGCTAAAACATACTGGAAATGCATAACCAGAAGGATAGAAAACTAACATGCAAATTTATAACTTAAATGTGCAAAGGGTTACCCTACTAAGGTTAATTTTTCTGTCAAACTTTATTTAACATAGGATTAAGTTTAAACTATAGGTTGAGGATGAAAGCTTCTTAAAATGAGGGCCATTAAATACTTGTGGGTTATCGTTAGATGAATGCACTATCACTTTTTAAAAGTAAGGTGGTTATACATCTCTGTTTGTTTGAGGTGGTCCTGGTTTATACCTGTTTTCAGAGGGTAATTAATCCTATCCCCATATTCTCTCATATGGTCCTTGTTAGGACCATAAATTACTTGATTGTCCCACTTAAATTTACTATATAAATTTACTCTGAAAGAATACAGACTTAATGATTTTACACTTCCATTCCAGCTCTATCAGAATCCATAGCTTTCACCGTGACAGAACAAGATCACTGTCTCTGGCTCTGCTTCTAGATCTCATAGTCCTTCCATGTGAATATGATGACCAATAACAATCACAAATAAGCAGAGCCACTGCTCCAAGAATCACTTAGTCCCATACATGGGCCATCCTGGAGACTGAGCTTTTTCCACTTTCTTTTCCAGAGGGTAAGCTCTGGGCAAACATGTGAAAAAGGAACTTTGCTTTCAACCATGCTACCCCAAGAGCTGCTCCTTGGCTCTTTAAAACAATTTTCCTTCTATCCCTTAATGATTCCACCATGACCAGAAGTATCCAAACTGCTACTCCTTCCAAATCTCAATATAATTTATCTAACCTTGTTCATAATCTGCCAGGACTATGATTTTGGTTATCTAAATCTGATTTCCACCCCAAGGTAGCCATTTTGGGAAAGTAGGCATTTCCATACCTTTCATTTAGCTATGGATCCAACCCTAAGACACATTTTAGCAGACACATTTTGACTTCTCAGAGGCACTTAATGAAACCATCACCCTAAGGGAACGCCAGTCTAAAGAGACAGATAAGCAGCAAGGCTGGACAGGAGGAGAGTTATTGAAATTAAATTAAATGAGACTTTTTGTTCCCGCCAAAAAAAGTCCACGAAAACGTTTTGCTCCCCTAAGTTTTAGTGTAGAGCAAATACTACAAATATAGTCCTTTATTTAATTTGCCCAAATTTGTTTGTTTCTAAATGTGCCCAATTTGCTTAACATTTCCTTATAATCAAGAAAAAGAGGAGCCTTCCTAGAGATTTGACCAGAAGGTTAAGTCTATCTGGCAGAGACTACTATGAACATAAATAGGTAAAACTCTGCTGCCATCCCCACATCTGAGTGTGACCATTGAAGTTATTTCTGGACAATGGAGTGAAGCAAAGTCATGTTACTTTCTGAGTGAAGTGGTAGGAAGTGGATGTTTCCTCCTATGGTCTCTTTTCCCAGCAAAATGGAAATGACCTAGAGGAGAGCAGGGGCACAAGAAGGAGCGTGGGTCCTGGAATGACCAGATCATTCACACTGGACTTGAGCAAAAATTCACCTGCAATTATTATAAGCCACAAAGAATATGGGGTTGTGTGTTACAGAGTTTAGACATACTGCCTAATTAAATCTAATTCTTCGATGTGCAGAGATTGAATCTTATGCTTGCAAAATCTCCATACATTTAAATTAAATGACCTCTCAGGGATGATTATGAAGGACTGGGGCTAGAGAAGAACACTGGCTTCCATAATGCTGCCTTACCTTTCTCTGTAATTTCTCACTTTTCCAGATGCTGAAATGTCTAGCATCAAGAAGAAAAGCATATATTCAGAGTTAAACTTCATTTTGTTTTTAAAATAAACATGAACCTTTAAGGAAAAAATAAACTACTTCTTATATCATCTAAGCATAGAGCTTTGTTAATATATACATTCATTCCTGTATTCACTAATTCATTCGTTCATTCACAATTGAGAGTGGAAAGTGTCATTGGGCAAGATAAATGAGCCAGAAGACAGGATTGTTCACAAGAAGAGTAAAACAAAATTTTTGTTCAAAGTAACTTAAATCAACACTGCTGCAGTATAAGTAAGTTATCAAACTTCTAAAGCAAAATCACTCACTTGATCAAAGCCTTGGATTTCCATTTCCAAAGGCCAGCGTTTTCTTAGGACTTTAAAGTAGGGCCAATATAACTAGAGCAAAACTATAAAGGTGTAATAGCAGGATGTCTTTGCAACTCTAGGAAATGACGCCTAGTGGCTCTGAATAACTAAACATCATCACTGTCCTTTACTATTCCAGAAAAATGCTTCCCAGTATGTTCTGCATTATATGAATCTCATGTTCTGTTTCATGTGATACCTATAAGCTGTTCTGTCCAAATTCCAATTTCAGTTTTTTATAAGTTCAGCTGTGATCTGTAGTTCATTCTGTTAAGTCTTTTCCATAATCCCTCTGTTCCATATTATATATACACCTTCAGTGCTTCCTTCCCTCCCTCACATCCTAACACCTTCATTTAATCGCCTCTTAATCATTTGCCTGAAAAGTAAACCTTCCAATCACTTATTGTTTCCTTCCAGATGCTGCTGTTGAATGACTCCCCATGGGCTTCACCTAACATTCCATCCATGTTCATTTGGCTGTGCAGACTGTGATTCCAGCACACCAAAGCTTTTAAGCTCTTTCTTTCCAAGAAAACTCATAGCTAACACCATTATTTCCTCACAAAAAACAGCTAACATCTGCAGACTGAAACACCAAAACAAAGAAAAAAATTTGCACACTTCTGCTAAACTTGGATGCAACCTTTATCAGCCATCTTAAACAATAAATCAATGTTTTTCTTTTCAATCTCTAGTAAAAAATAAACCACAGTGGTTGATTTCAATTTCCCCTCAAAGGAATAGTTAACAAACAGGTTATAAGTGAACTAAGCCTCTATTTGGAAAACTAATCTCTAACACAATTCATCGGGTTGTTCAATTATGTTTAATATTATTCTGTATATTAACAGTTCATTTCAGCAGCATTATTTAGTCAATTCACTAAAATATCCCAACATACTATATATTATAAACAAATAGTATGTAATGTTTATCAAAATTATTTCTTCCCAGAAGATTCTCATATTAATAACAACTTGGAATATATCTAAACTACATTATCTTACAAAAATCATCTTTAAAACATTGATCCTTTTTGTCCTACAATCTCAGGAAATTTAGATTCCTTATCTAAAAGAAGGAAATAAGGGCCCTACAAGTAAAACTGAGAAAAGAAACCCAATCTGCTAATTCCCAGCTGTTTGCTATATAGATCATAAGGCCCTTCAGCCATGGACTTTTAGATCAGTGGTTCTCAAACTTTAATGTGCATATGAATCCCCTGTAGAACCTGTTAAAGCCATTTCCTGGGATCCCTCTCCAGAGATTATAATTCATTAGGTTAGACTGGGTCCATGAATTTGCATTTCTAACCAGCTCACAGATGATGGTGATGCCGCTGATCCAAGGAGCAGTATTTGAAAACCATAGCTCTCACTTAAAAGCCAACTTAAAAAAAGTATATGATTATGTCTAAATAACAGTTTATCATCAGCTGTAAAATTGATTTGAACAACTCTTCTATCAGTATAATGCAGCACATATAAAAATTTAGATTCCAATTTTTATATTACTATCCATTCTAATTCCATAGTTTGAAGAGCATTTTCTAATTTCTTCTTTCATTTTATTTCATTTCATTTCATACCACTCTTTCATTTTTGAGTGAAAATGATTTATCTTTCTTCACTTGGACCATTCCAGGTAGGTCTTCTCAGCATACGATAAACTAAATGATGGAAGAAATTATAAACTATAACACAAATGTTCTCAAACAAGTCTATAAAATTTCCTTACAAAATTCATAAGTCATTTTAAATTTCTATTAAATAATAAACCACAGTGGTTGATTTCAACTTCCCCTCAAAGGAATAGTTAACAAACAGGTTATAAGTGAACTAAGCCTCTAATGTAGTTTATATATTTTCTTCTTTTAGATGAGGAACCCAAATTTCCTGAGATTGTAGGATGAAAAGGATCAAAGTTTTAAAGATGATTTTTGTAAGATAATGTAGTTTAGATATATTCCAAGTTTTTATTAATAAGAGAATCTTCTGGGAAGTAATAATTTTGATAAACATTACATACTATTTGTTTAGAATATACAGTGTGTTGGGATAATTTAGTTGATTGACTAAATTTAAATTTTTCTATCCTTCTTTAAGTTTCCAGTTGTATTTTAGAAGTACCAATATCAGGAACATCTACATGTATTACAGGGTACTGAAAGAAACACACACACAGAGACATTATTTTTAACGCTGAGTACTTCGAAAAAAATGAGAGATGATTGTTTGGTAAAGGCCTCAACATCTGTTGCCACCACCAGTTGCCCTGCCCTGGAACGGTCTCCTTTCAGTTCTTGTGGAGAGAAAACATCAACAGCTGACTTACATGGATTTTGTCCAGTAATAGTAAGACTATGTTTTACTGTCCAAAGCTACTTAAGAAGAAATTTAGAAACTTAAAATGGTCACTGGAAAACTTACTTGAGGTACTGTTTTACAGTCACAAGGACACTCAAAGACAAGAGTAGAACAGGCTAAGCGATCAACTACAAGGCTGATGAAACAGTGCAGGA
Organism: Homo sapiens; assembly: GCF_000001405.40. Lineage (NCBI taxonomy): Eukaryota > Metazoa > Chordata > Mammalia > Primates > Hominidae > Homo > Homo sapiens. The sequence continues at coordinate 55,562,763 of NC_000006.12, forward strand.
TAGTGGAGAGTCTACCTTATCAATGCTTTCTCATACATACCCAATTTTCAGTGGTTTCTTTCAGTTCTCATTATACCAATCTCATACACAAATGTCCTCAATTGCTGCAGTTCCTAATTTCTCTTTGGCCAACTCATTACTTCCCCTTAAGAGCTCTAACTCCAAGAAAAAAAAATGCTTTGATATACTACCATTTACCCAACAATAGTAAATATGTCCATATATAAATATATATATTCATATACATAAACCTACATACATAAAGACACATTCATATACTGACAAATATATTTGGATATGGATAGTGTCAATTTCAGTGGCTATGTGTATATGCACACACGGTGATATATAAAAACATATTTACAAGAACAAGTCTATAAGCAATAAGTGTTTGCTCTTATGAAAATTATAACAACTAAATTTTATAAACACTCGGAAAGTATTCAAATGTTTAGTTGATAACTAAGAAATTATAAATTAGTGATCTAAGAAGTATTGGCATGTGCTTGGGTGGCAAGGGGTGGGAGGAATTAAAGCCAAAATGTAAAAAATAAAACATACACCCTATAGACCAAATATAATTATGTTCTGCTGCAATGGCAGTCCAGATAGAAAAACTGTGTAAGATATGCCCAGTTTTTTTGGTTTTCAATTCCTATTATTTCTACTGTATATGGAAATTCTATGTTTTATTGATTATGCATAAATTTAATTTTTCACACTTATTTTTCACTCCTGGGAATTAGTGAAATATCATTATTTTATAGTATAATTCAGCCTATTTTAAATATTTTAAACTTTGTGAAAGTGTTCCCAGCATTCACTTTCTTCTGTCCCTGCTGATTAATAGTAAATGTTTCCAAGCACACTATGAATCTGAAGACAGAAGAAAGTTTTCACATGTGGTTTGAATAATCAAAGAACCTGATACCAAAGTTTACATATGGCTGCATCAAAACTAGCTAAATAAGAGTTCATACAAAATTAATGACAAGGATCATATTTTATTCTCCTTTCAAACAGTTTGAGAAGTTGTTAGGCTTCTCCTATTCTCACCTTTAGTAAAAGAGGGAGAGGTGCCCTCAAATATGATGGGGATCAGGGCTTCCTGAGAGGTCCATGGTGCAGCATCAGCATCACAGACTGAAGCTCCTTTGGAGAGGAGGAATGAGGAGCTGTTGAAACAGGGCATTGAAAACTTCTGGCTACCTCAACATTCAGCACGTGCAGTTTTTTGAAATGCTAAGCAGAAATGGAAAGGCAGCAAAGCCTCATGAAAGTGCATTCAGTGATAGCATAAATTCAAGTTCAAGTGTTCAGTCACAGTGTGACTGGCTCTGGGCTCCTGAGACTCCTCATTTCCTAAATGAAAATATACTGAAGCTCTTATCTTATGGGTGGGGTTGTGGGTATGAGGACAACTGCCTTGTCATTATTTTTTTCATACATTATCTTCTTTATTCTCTGATCAATCATGTATAATTTGTTGCAGTATCTTTACTTTTATGTTTCTTGTGAAAACGATGGAAAATTATTGTTTTATATGTCTCAACTCATATCTTAGTAACCAAGATTTTCATTAACCTCAAAATAGCACCTCAGCATCTTTTAGGTGACTGAGGTTTTCTTTTTCCTTTTTTTATTATACTTTAAGTTTTAGGGTACATGTGCACAATGTGCAGGTTTGTTACATATGTATACATGTGCCATGTTGGTGTTCTTATTACATTTATTGCATTATACTTTACACACTATGGCTTCAGATGGTCTCTTATAAACAAGATTAAATATTCAGTGGTTTGAAGCAAAGTAAATATATTTCCCAACAGAAGTTATCCAAGAATTTTCATTATGTATGTGAATTTTACATTACACAATATTTGGTATAAATGCAGTAATACATTTTACACAAATTTGATCTTTTTGATGACTTTGAGTCAATGGTACATGCTTTGATTTTGAGCTACTTTCTAAAGAACTAAGAAAGGATGCATGTATCAGAAATAGCCTATAAAGCTTACAAGAGTTTTGGTGGTGTGGCATGTACAGAACAAAAGGAGAAGGTCATGAAAGTTTTCAAAAAAAAAAAAACCACTATGGAATAACTTTACAGAGTCTGAATAACATGTCTCTGAGAGAAAAGTGATTCATTCAGGTTTTTCCACCTCAGCCTGTGAATGTTGGGTCTCAACATGAATTAATGATAGAAGTTGAGCTACTTCATCCTAAGGATTTGTAGCAAACTACAATTTGTTTCCTTAAAGTGATAGCTTAATCTAGAACTTAATTAATATATTAAAAGAAAAAAGTTATCTTCCAATGAGTACTAGATAAATAATTGTATTATTATAACCTAAGTTCCTACTAGTCAATAGACTGACATTATGCAGTGAAAAACATTCACGCTTTGGTACCTAGTGTAAGTTAAAGTCCAGTACCTCTACCAGGTGAGTGGCCTAGAGTGGGTTTTATTAACTCTCTGAGCCTCCATTTCCTTATATTGAAAGTGAGAATAACAGGATCTTCTTTGCAAAACTCTAAGAGTTCAAAAATTATGTAAAGCCTTCAGCAAAGTCACTGAAATTATTTTGCTACTTGGTAAAGAGGAGTTAGTATTATTCTAATCATATAATTTTCCAGATTCCTATTAATAATACTCTATTAATGGTTAATGTAGTATTTTGTATATTGTGTATTATTTCATTTGTCCCATGTGATGTAAGTTGCAAATTGACAGCAAGTATGTTAAAATAATACTACTGCCCTTATATAACACTTTTTAATTAAGACAAATGATTGACATTTTATTTAATAAATTATCACTATATCTTTCCCATCAAAAGGTCAACATCTGTACAAATTCTTCAAAGAGCAAGTAGATTTAAGGGATCCAGCTCTCTAGAGATGAGTATTTATGCAAGCTTTATGTTCCATCTTTTTTAGCTCAAGTTTTCCTTTCAATATTTTCTAGAACATACATTTAGCAGAATTAAATTAAATATTAAAATACGGTCATAAGGGAATGGGGGCTAAGTGATAGTAGACATTCATGAGTGAAACCCTGAGTAACTATATCTGTTTCTCCAAGGTCTTGAAATTGTCTTTTAGACACAGTCCTAAAACCTAGGCAAGCAGAGTTCTAAATTACTCTCAGCTTTAACATTTGACCAGGTCCACAGTTTTCTATAAAATGCAAGGTTTGAACTGTCTCATATCATTTTAAAAATTAAGGAGTTATCAGCCCTTACATCAAAATTCTCAAAAATGGAAATTGTGTCTAACAAAAATAAGATTCATATTTTGACTTCAACATTAACCTATGATCAGTTTCTATTTCACAGTGAAATAAATATGAAATTGAGTAGAGAATTTAAAAAGTGAATGCCAGACTCTGTACACCCAGTGGGTTACAGATGTATGAAAGTGGTGGCAGAGAGCCACTCCACTTCCTTCAAGATCCAAAAACATTTGGAAGGAAAACTCAGAAGGAAAAATGTCTGACAGACATGTTCTCTTTGGGGCTTCCTGCCTCATTGTTTGCCAAGCTTCCTAGACCCTATTGCTTCTTAATAAAGTTCACCAAAAAGACTTTATGAAATGCAGATTTCATAGAATAAAACTTGTGTTAAAGGCGTTTTTATGTAGTTGAAGTTTTCTGCCATCTGTATTTCTCTACTTCACAAAATCAAGGAAGCGTGACTTGGAAAGTTATAAGTGTAAGGTGACATTTGAGGCACTTACTATTGGTGGAAAAAAGAGCCCGAACACTGAATCCTAAACCGGAGACCATAGCTTAGACATTGCAACAGAGAAGCTGCTTAACCCTGAGGGGATCATTACATCCTTCAATGTTTCTACTCCTTCTCCTGTAAAATAGAGTCATGTGAACATGCATATTGTGCACTGTGTGAATTAACTTAATAGAAACACAGATATGGAAAAGAAATGAAAAGTTGGAATCTAATTTCTCTGATCTTTACAACAGTAGCCAAGAAAAGGAACAAATAGGCTTTCAAATTTTCTAAAAACACCACCAGGATTTAAAAGTAGGCATTATAGTCTAACATGAAAAAGAATAAATAAGAACTAAAGCTACTAATTTTACTACTCAAAGATATATTTGATGTAATTAAATACATATTTTGCCAATCAGAAAGGCAGTTAATTTGGCTAAAATCACCTAAAGTTTAATACCAGAAATGTTGGTTATATTTACTTCTATAAACATTTAATGAAGACCTAAGTGTTTATGTCCTTGGGATAACAGAAAACTAAATAAAATATAGCCACATCCCTTAAAAAGACCTCAACATACCAGTGCTAATATTATACATTTAATAAAGAGATATTTCATTCTATTCAACCATATTGTAAAAGGGAACATGAAGAAAACAAGGATGGGTATCCCAAGTACTTCAAAAGTATTGAGGTTGGCCATTGGGAGAGGTGAAGGATACAAAAGAAATAGTCTTAATACTTGTAAAAAGTGAGTGAACCTCCAAACTCATCAAATTTGAAAAAAAATGTATAAAACAATTTATAAGATTATGGGGTCTTAAAATTATTTTTGTAAAGTGATAGATTAGATAGATGGATGAATATAGATAATAGTTATAGTTTTATAGGTATACACACACACACACAACTAAATGAATAACTCCCATGATTTTGCTCTGTCAATTCCACCAAAATCATCAATCATCTTACTCTGAACAGGAATGCCTTCTCTCTATCCAAATCCCACCTGACCCTCACATCCACCTTCACCACAAAGATTACTATTGTTATCACTAATTGAATTAAGCTGAATTAAAACAAGTTTATAGGCTTGTGTTTTTAAATGAATTGCAAGAAAAAATTGCAGGGAAAAGAAATTAACATGATCTAAATAAACAGCAGAATGGAGAACTGAACTTTCAAAGGAACACAGCAATGAAGAATGAAAATGTGGTCTGGGTCATGCCCTTGAGATAGAAGCTCTAGGCGTTCTGTTTCTCATAACACTTTGTCCCTCCTCTTCCACAGTGATACTTACAGCCCTGCTAGCGTCGGAGTGCCAGAACCCAGCTCTTCTGCTCTCTCAACCAGGAAAGTAAACCTCAGTTCCTTGTATTAAAAATGTGTTTGGAACTCACAGCTCCGGTCCCTTCATTATTGTTTAGAAACCACAGCTTTTGTTTATTTACTTATTTAATTTTCAGAGGTTTTCTATCCTTGTTATTACTTGGCAGTCATATAAACTATATGGGGGGAGAAACATTTTAAAAATAAAAACCTCCATGAATCTAAATAATTCTAAAAATGACCTTCACATAAAATTATTTTATGGTCTGGTTTTGGAATGAATGTTTTGGGAACAACATTTACTAATTGGTATTATTTTCTATAAGAAAAAATGTAAAAATTGGCTTATAAATATGGCTATATCTGAGAGAAGAAATTAAAAACACCTGAGTTTTCATTTAGGACTAAATTCTGATCACTTAGAAAAAGGGAGATTGTCCAAAAGGGAAGATGGCAACCTTCTGGCAATTTAAAGATAATTTCCTGCTTGTTGAATGATAATGAATGATTAGGCTCCACCCTGCAGAAAAATAATCCAGTGTTCAGAAATGGTCTCATTTAAATATCCCTATGTAATTGTTCATGTGAAAGATCATAAAACCAAACATCTATAATCACAGGAAGATAATCTTGATTCCTGAGGAAGCTAAATATATTAATTAATAGTGCAAATTCTGTTTAAAGGCATTCAAGTTTACTTATATTTTAACTGCAGTTTCAACTAAACAAAATATTTCAGGGGTTATATTGGGCTCACCTAGGCTGATAATTTGCAACTACTACGTAGACTAACAATACATAGTCAGAACAGTGGTGGGAAACTGGGATTCTAAACTTTGTTTTCATTATTAGGGCTTTAAGCAGGCTGGACAATCCCTTTCAAATCTGAATTTCTATAAAAATGATAGCCTCCAAATACACAATTTTGCTTTATATCTTTTAAAAACCATGGGTCATATGAGAGTAACCCACTAAGTTATGGGTGTGCACGGTCTAGCCCCTTGGTTGATTAGGGGAAGTAAAATGAAACACACACACACACACACACAAACAGCTAAACTTGGAAGGGGATAGACACAGAAAGAAGAAAGGGTCAGGGAAAGTTACAGCACAGAGTGAATAAGCATAAAGAAAGCCAGAAGACTTGGAGGAGCTCAGAGCTAATGAAAAAAACAAGAACACAGAGTAGGGGGAGGGAAAGATGTGAAAGCCAGCTGGAATCTGAGAAAGCAAGAAATACAGGAGCCAACAGAAATCCAAGGACAGAAAGTATTGAAGATTGAAGGGAACAGGAAATTTATTGGAAACCAAGTTGTTTTTCCTTTTGTATCCAATGCAATTCTATTCCAGGCAGAACTCTAGTCTCAACCTCAAAAAGGATAGAAGGGAAGTCAAAAATCATAGCAGTCTTTTTTTCATGGGCAGGAGCCAGGAGCTCTGGAAAGACAGATTAGAGGAAACATGACCCTTTGACAGCAGATACAGGGGTAGAGGAGTAGCAGCACCATCCAACACAGTGTTTACTAAAATTGGGTTAAGTAGAAATAAAGATAATTGGGCTCCAACTCAGAGCTACTGAATCAAAATTTCCTCTATATTTAATAAACAATTTAGGTGACTCTTATCACAAGAAAAGTTTAGGAAGCACTGGTATCATGGCAAAAATTGCAGGCTTTAGAACTAGAACTGCTTGAGTTAAAATTCTAGCTTACTAGCTGTTGATCATAGGCACATTTTTTTAACCTTTCTGAACCACAGTTACCAAATCTGTAAAATGGATTATTGTAAGGATTAAATGAGCTACTGGATGTAAACAGGGAGTGCCGGGTTCATATTGAGCGTTCAGTAGTGGTAGCTGTATAGCTACAAAAGTCCTTATAATAAGCAACTCATACTAAATAATATATGTGACTTGATTAAAAATAAAAAATAAGGAGGGTATAACATGGCTATATCTCTTATGAAACACCAAGGAACACACTTGCTAATGGCACAGAGACAAAGCCGCACTCCCCTGGGATGCTGGCCTTGTTCTCAGCATGCACTAGTCAGCCATTTCCCTTCAGGAATCAAAATGTGAACAGCCTTAAGCTTTCCTTCAAAAGTGCATGTAAGTCAAGTCAAATCAAAGGTGGCTTTAAAAGCTAGATTCTTCATGCTACAGAGATAAGGACTCTCTTAAAATGCAATAAACCCAGGACTTGGCTGAGGCTGAGATACCCAAAAAGACTCACAGCCACCTCAAGACTACTGAGATTTACTCACTTGATAAGCCACCTTATTTTACAGTCCAGCTTTCTTTAGTCATTTCCCAATATATTATTCCCAAGAATCATCTACTCCTTCTGTAGAACCCTACGTAGTTATCTGACTTTCCTGTTATAGTAAGATTCAAGTCTTCTTTATTTTTCCAGCTATAAACTCAGCTTCACACCTAAAACATTCTAACACATTCTCAGCCTCTTTACTGAACAGTCCTATTATCTACTGGCCTTAGATGAGGTCTCAATTACCCTTGAGAAGAAGGCACCTCTCCTGTAACCCTCTCAAGGAGAGCCTGCTTAGTCTCCTATTCTTTGCTTAGAGACTAGAATTAAGGATGGCATCTTTAATTTCCATTACTTCTTGAAGACTCCCACTTCTTTTTACTAATTTAAAAGTCCCTGCTTTTGGAATCTATGTGATTTGGCCATATAGTCTCTATCCCTGTTTGATGATTGGTATCCTTCATATATCAAGGCCATTAGAACTTATTTCACCATCATTCCCTTCATCCCAAATCCTGACACCATTCAGCAGTTTATTCAATGTCCTGGTGGACCTTCCATCCAATATTTGGTTTTCAGTGAAATTCACTGGACTTTTACTCCATTCTGACCATAATCTATAGGGTCATAAAAGGGGCTTATTATTTTTTGTGGCAGCTCACTTATTAAGTCTGTGACCACAAATACTATATTAGTCCATGTTCACGCTGCTGATAAAGGCATACCTGAGACTAGCTAAATTATAAATAAAAAGAACTTTAATGGATTCACAGTTCCACATGGCTAGGGAGGCCTCACAATCATGGTGGAAGGTGAAAGGCTCATCTTACATGGCGGCAGGCGAGAGAGAATGAGAGCCAAGCGAAAGGGGAAACCCCTTATAAAGCCATCAGATCTCATGAGACTTATTCACTACCACAAGAACAGTATGCGGGGAACACCCCTATGATTCAATTATCTCCCACCAGGTCCCTCCCACAACGTGTGGAAATTATGGGAGCTACAATTCAAGTGAGATTTGGGTTGGGGACACAGCCAAACCATGTCAAATACCTATCCTTTTAAGTTTCTAACTTTATTGTGTTCATGATTAAATCTTTAACCTCAAGTAAAAATTACAAGTCTTTGGAACTCCCTACCTTCACCTCATCTGTTAGATGCTTTACATCAACAAAAAGAATCTTGAGAATGGTAATATGCCTGGTACATGTTATTTGAAGAATCATGGTGTAACAATTAAACAATCTTTTTCTCAAGATAACTGAATTCATTCTTTAAAATATATATTTTGCTCTAAACAATAGTACTGATTTAAATATAAAATAAGAATGCTGAAAAGGCATAAACAGCCTTAAAAATAGGAAATGTAAAACGGTGAGTGAGGCTGATAGATTTGGCAGAAAGTAGGATAAACATAGTAATAGATCAAACGCTGGGCAAGGTGGCTCACGCCTGTAATCCCAGCACTTTGGGAGGCCGGGGCAGGCAGATCACGAGGTCAGGAGATCGAGACCATCCTGGCTAATGCGGTGAAACCCCATCTCTACTAAAAATACAAAAAAAAAATTAGCCGGGCACAGTAGCGGGCACCTGTAGTCCCAGCTACTCGGGAGGCTGAGGTAGGAGAACTGCATGAACCCAGGAGACAGAGCTTGCAGTAAGTCGAGATCGCGCCACTGCACTCCAGCCTGGGTGACAGAGCAAGACTCCATCTCAAAAAATAAAAAATAAAAAATAATAGATCAAACATGATTAGAGGTAAATTCATCTAATTAAAGCTAGAGAGTAATCATATAAGCAGCTTATAAGACATACATTTAAAGCAAAACAATAGAGAAATGGGCAGGTATAGTCTTAAAGCACTTAATTTTTAAAAAGACTAAAATCAAGTGAGCTAAATATTTAAAGAAAATTAAAATGCTAATGTAGAAAAAGTAGAGAAGAATTTTTTCAAAGAATAGAAATCAGTTGCTAGCACATCATCCATATGCATAAGCACATACAAACATACACATACAGTCAAGAGCATAAACAAGCCTACAAGATACTTCTAAGTAAAGTGATAAACTGTAGGAAGACTTATAGAGAGAGAAAGAGAAAGAGAATGTACCCATATCAGAAAGAGGCAATGCAAAAGATAAGATTGAAAAGAAAGGTAAATAATAATAAGAAAATACTTTTACCAACTTTATGCTAATAAAATGAAAAGATTTGATATACATTATGACAATAGAGGTAAAATATTATAAAGGAAGTACTTTAACAAATTTTATTAAACTATTTTATTCATCTATCAAAATTTTATTGAAGTATATTACACATAAAGAGGGAGTAAATAGTACATTGTTCTTCAAAGAGCAGATACTAAAATTGGACATAATATTACTTTTAACATTATTTAAAATATATATTCATTACCTTTATAACTTGTTCTTCATACCAAAAACCATTTGGAATAGTCATTTTTTCCATACAATATTTTTCATGAGGCAGATAATCTTTTTATTCTTTCTTTGTAATTCAAATTGGTAATCTGAATAGTATGTATGCTACTATACATATATAATGGAATATAACAAGTTCAAGTAGTATGGTAAATGAATATATTTTTACAATTTAAACTAAATTGCACAATTGGTATTTTTAAATTTAATTTCCTTATTATATAATCTTTCAATAATGGCTGACTAGCTTGTTCACAACAAACCTCTCACTGACAATGACTATATTAGTTGGATAAAATATTAATGAAAACCTAATAGTCTCAGAAATTTGGTTAATGAGTATTTCAGCAGCCAATATACTATGCAGGAGAAAAAAATAAAGTGGTGAGCCCAACAGTCAGCAGAACTTTTCTTTTTGAGGCATTTGCCAATTCTGTATGAGCAACTGAGAAGCCAAAACCATCAGATCTTCCAGGAGCCTAGCAAGGCTGGAGTGGAAATAGTTTGAATTCAGGTCTCAGCAAGGAGGAGCAACCCTGGTAAACATTTTAGGTTTTAGTTAGGACCTCTGAATGACTGCAGAATACAAAAAGTAAGGATGAAGAGAAAAAAGTAAAGCCCTTACAAGTAAAGTAGGCTAAACCTCATATCAGGTAAGCACTTGATTAGCTTAATTTAAGTTATCTCTACGCTTATTGTTTGATAACACCAAAGAGAAATCCCACCTGAGAAGGACAGTATTATTCAGAGTCTCAAATTACATCTATAATTATTTTCATACCAGGTGTCTAACATATTATTTAAATTTCGTAGGCATACCAGGAAGGAAAATACATAAAACAGACTAACTGGAGATCTGGATATTGGAGTTGTCAGACATGGGATCTAAAATAATTCTAATAAGTATTCAAGAATTTATAATATGATAGAGAATTGTGGCAGAGAACTGAAGCCTATCTTTTAGAAATCATAGAAACACTTTAACTCAAAATATAATAACTGAAATTAAGAACTCAATAAATTAGATTAACAGCAAATTAAACAAAGCTGAAGAAGAAATTACTGAAATGGAATATAAATGAGAAGAAAATATTCAGATTGAATACGGAGAAGAAAAGAAAGAATGAAAAAAATGAATGTAAGAAACAAATAAGGCACAGAGAAAGTTCTAATATTCTTCAAATTGTAGGCCTAACTGGAGAAGATTTAAAAGGAAACAAGAAACAAACAACATTCGAAGCAAAAATGGTTGAAAAGCTTCCAAAATATGAAACCCAACAAACATCAAGTCATAGATCCAAGAAGTGTTGTACATTATTAGCCAGATGAATGCAAAAGAAAGTATGCCTAGATATGCCATAGTAATACTATTAGAAACCAAATACAAAGATAAAAGAATGAAAGATAAATTATCATCAAAGGACCAAAAATAAGACAAATCGCTGATTTTATTGTAACTGGCTTCCACTGTATCTGTTGAGAAATCTGCATTTTGCACTGCTATCATGGCTGTTAATTTTTTAGATAAAACTTATGTTTATAGTAAACATTCATTTATACTTATAAACATCATATATGTGTGTGTGTATATATATACATTAGTGTATATGTGTGTATGTAATTTCAAACAAAGAAAAACTGAAAAAAATCAATATTAGTACTTTTTTTACTAAAGAAAATATTGAAACAAATACTTCTGGTTGAAGGAAAGTAATCTGAGGAAAAAATGGAGATGAAGAAAGGAATAAAAAGAGAAAATATGTGCACAAGTATAAATGGATATTGACTGTATGCATATGTATTGTAAATACACCATATAGATAATAAGTATATAGAAACAAAAACGTAAAAGGCAGAGGACAGAAAATGAAGTTAAAGAGTCATATTTGCATTTTTAATAAGTTGTAATAGTACTAATATATTATTTTAATAAGCCACGGTTGTATGTTGACATCTTATAGACAGCAATTAAGGGTATAGTAAAAAAAAGTATATCACTAACATGTCAATTCAGGGGGAAAATGAGAAATTAAAATGCTACATGATTTCAAAAGAAGCTGGAAAAGAATAAAAAATGGTAAGGAGACAAATAAAGAATACATGAGACAAATAGAAAACAGTATGATGGCAGTTTGGTCCCTGTCTGAAAATTCCTCCTCAATCATCCTAAAATATTTAGTAAATGTACTAACAACTACACAGTTGCAGGCCAAAAGTATAAAGATACATTATCATCTTATTACATTTAAGCAGAAATATAATACATTTAAATTCCAGAGACCCTTTAGCACCAAATAACTTTACGCTGAATCATAATTTTTGCTGACAGCAAATGTAACACAAAGGATCAGAATCGAATGTAAAATAACTATAAATTTAATCTCACATAATCTACTACTTTATTTTAGAAATATAATAGGTTTGAAACATTATTTATATTAGAATTTAGGTCTTTGGAAATTTTATTTTTGCAAAAGGGCATTAATATGTGAAGAGATTTAGTTATTGCTTAAGGAACACTTGAAAATCAAAGGGGGATCGCTTCACTAGGAAACTTAAATTTAATCAAAACTTTAAAACATGCCAATTAAGCCAGCTTCATTATACTCTTTTTAACAGAGACAACTACAGAAAATAAAACAGGTCCTAAGAGATAGCTTGAATTACAGAATGAGCAATTTCAACCTCTTGGTCTATTAAGGGAATTTTCTGCAAAACCATTGTCATTAGCAAAAACAGAGACCCACATAATTTAATTAGTGGACCTGTGATAGAATAAGCCTTTCATTCATATTTATTCTTTTTATATTTGATAGTACATTGTTAAACTTCTAATATGTATATGTGTATATATTCATACACACAATATTTAATTTAAGTCTAATAATTCATCAGGGATATATTATCTCTAATATGTAAGCTGAAAAATTAAGGTGTGGCCATGCTCTTGCACACACAAAACCATGGAATAAGTTGGTAACAGAAAAATATCGAGGTTTTCAATATTCTATTGCACACACATAATTATTTCAAAATACAGAATTTTCTATCTGTTCTAACTACAATCAAATTATTTCATATTACAGGAGTCAGGTTTATTCATGATTCTCTCTGCCAGATTCAACAATAGAGAATTAGTTAAGCTCTCTGCTGTGTTGACAGCCTCCAGAAACCATTTTTACCTCATCTCTCCATTAAACTACTATGAGGTCCTATGAGACAAAAAGGTGAGAGAAAAACAGTAATAATATTCATCGATTGGTGCTAAGATCAAACTCTATACCATGTCCCCATTCTCACTGATTTTGTATTCACTTAGCAAATATTTATCATGATGCTACAGTGTGCCAATCATTTTGTTGGACCTTGAACAAATGCTAAGAAGAAGTCCATGGTCTTCATGGGCATGTGATGCTTATGGCCTATAAGGGAAAACATTAATTCATTTGTTCATTCAAAAAGTATTATTGGCCATAAAAAATTAACCAGACATTCTGATAAGTGTTGAGAATCCCGTGGTGAATTGCTTCCTTAGTTTTACTATGCTTAATATCTGCAAAGCAATTAAATATCAAGTAATCATGAAAATAAATATATAATGCATATTATCTACAATAGGTTACTATGCAATAGAAGTCTAACAAAAGCTGCTGGCATGGAGAGTCTGGGAGAGATTTCACGAGAGGGTAACATGCAAGTTGAGGGCGGAAGATTAATTAGAAGTTAATTTGTTGAAAACAATCTTCCTAGCAGAGAGGAAGGTAAGCAAACACTGTGGTTCCAGAGGGAACACAATTTATTATAGAACTCAAAAAAGGCCACTGTGGCTAAAGTGGCAAGAACAAAAAAGAATAGCTTAAGATGATGTTGCTGAGAGATGCAATGAAAAGATCATTTGAAGTTTAGAAAACACATTAAAAGTTTTGGTGTCCACTCTTAAAAGCAATGGAAATTCACGGATGGTTTTGAAACAGAGAAATAGCATTATTTTATTTGAAATAGGGAACACTTTCCAATTAGCTATATAGGCATTGGGTTGAAGAGGGATTCCTGGAAAGTAAGAAGACTACTGCAACAGCCCAGTCATCCATATGAGAGATAATGCCATTTTAAAATTGATTGGTGCAATGAAGTTGGAAAAATAGATTTGAAAGAAATTCAAGAAGTAAAATTGCAGGACTCAGTGATACTTTGGGTGTGAGGGAAATGAAAGAAGATAGTTTCTGGTGTATGGCTCATAGAACTGAATAAATTATACTGGCATTCCCTGCAATAGGAAATATTGCAGAAAGTCCAGTGTTGGAAGAAGTAGAACATTAATAAAATTTTGAAAATGTTTGAGTTTGAGTTGCTTTTGAGATACCTAAGCGATGATGTCAAATGAGCAGCTGAACATCTGGACTGGAATTCAAGAGAAATAGGGGAATGTAAGTCTAGAAAACACTGGTACACAAACAGTAATCAAATCAGTGAGTGTAGATTGTCACTCAAACTCACACTAGGAAGAGTGTAGATAGTGATGGGGCATCTGGATATTTACCCAGTGGATACAAGCCACCGTGCCTGCCAAGGAGACTGAGAAGCCAGAGACATCGGGCTGAAAGCAGTGAAGGTTTGTTAGAAGAGAAGTCTAGGAAGATAAAGTTCAAAAAGCCAAGTGTCAGATGTTAGTGCTGCTGTGAGTTCAATTACGATAAGATAGAAAAAATCACAATTCAACAGTATTGGAACTAAAACAGAATTATTTTTAAAAATTCCCGAGAACACAAAAAGAAGCATAACTCTGGAGGGAGCAAAGGGCTGGACTAAAAAAAAAAAAAAATTTAAAATCTGTACTTGAGAGACAAATAAGAGTTTTCTAGGCAAAGCAGTTGGTGGGTAAAAAGGCAATATTTAGAGAAGGGCTATTATATCTTCAGAATGGGCCAAAAAAGTCTTCATTAAGCTGATGAATGCCCCAGAATTTTATTTCTCGGGAATCCTAGTCATTTTCATTTAACCTGCTTCCATATCTTAGCAGGGCAAATAAGACATCCTTACCTGCAACCAATCTTCTATCATTGTCCATAAAACCCACAAAATGTGTAAATCAGAAAATAAAGAGGGAGAGAGAAATATAATATTCACTCAAAAAGAAAAATCATATAAACTCTCAGACTTAGGAAATATAAGTTAATGGTTCCTGATTAAATAACAGACTGAATTTAAAAAGTCAAGAACATTAAGATAAAAGTTACATCAGGAAGGTCAAAATAGAAGGTAGGAAAATTAAATAGACATATTAACATGTGGGAAGATAAAGGATAACTTTTCACCTCTACCACTGTCATCAACAGGTTTTGAGTTAGATGACCATGGCCATCTTTTAAGTAACGAGAAACAAAATATCTTCTAAAGAACACAAATGCTGAATTCCAATTTGTAAAGATAAGATTGCAATTTCACATATGATACACTAAACTGAGAATACACAATAGAAAATGAATATTTTATATTAGAATAGTTGATTTAAATCCACATGGTACAATTATGCTTAATGACTAAAATATTACAATAACAGAAGTTATTTTGTTCACTAGTCGAATCAGAAATAATCTTGTATCCAGCACCTGTAATTTAACAAGAAGTCCTCACAGTGCTCCTCCTTTATTCCATGTTTCAACATTTTCATAACAATTATCAGTTATTTAATATTTTGTGGAATTTTAGATTTTCAAGTTTTTTAAGGAAAAAGTTAATTTCTTTATACACCTTTTCTTTATTTATCTGACACTGGTTAAGAGTGCATTAAATCATAAGTATATGAATAATATTAAGTTGCCTATTGTCTTAACATGCCCTTTCAGGAACAATGTGGGAATAAATTTTAGTCTGAAATTGCTGTTATTTACACTTTCTTTCAAGTTTGTTGAAGCACAAATACATTTGGGATAATTAATGTTCTGATGGATTATTTCATCCTACTATGTCTTCTTAACCTTCTACCGGTTTCATTCCTTTTTCTGCCTCACATTGTGACAAATTTGTAGTCTTTGTTACACAGTACAAGGAGCACTGAGAATAAGGGCGGTATCCTTGAAGGAATACCTATGAATACAAATTGTATTACGTAATGCATCCCTTTCCAGGAAAACACAGAGAAGGAATTCTTTTCTTTAGGCGACCAGCAAATGGTCACAGGCAGGGATTTTGCAGGGTCTGATCTGTAGAGGCGGGTCGATACATTCACCGAAGAGAGATAACGGGAAACCGTTTAAGGGGTGCGGCCTAACACGACAGAACTGCTGCGGGAAGGGTCCTGGGGTGAGGAGGTGACATAAAGGGAGGAGGGCACCAAGAGGTTGCAGGGAGAGAGGCTGGCTGTCAGTGTGCGCATGAGGGTGGGGACACCCTGGGCCGCGAGGTGGTACCTGCGCGGGGTCGAGCGCCCCTGCCACTGAATCCCCGATCCAGAGATGCTCCCGGAGAAGCTGCTGGTAGCTGAGGCAGTGCTTCACCGCGGATGGCACATTCCCCATGGCGGAGCCTGGGGCGGCAGTCGGCGAGGGGAGGGAGACTGGAGGAGGATGAGGGGCGGGCACCGCGCTGGGAAACTGCGCCAGCTCGGGAGCGCGCCCCTCCGGTGCACTGGCTGTGAGGACCAGAGCTGTTCTGCGCACTGCGGCGGCGCCGAGAGGGCGGGGAGTGGGGCGTGGCAGGTGGCCGCGCCTGGGGCAGCGGGTGCACGGGGCACCTGCGGGAATCGACAGAAATGCCGAGCACCTGAACAGGAGAGAAAGGAGCTGAGCCAGAGGATGTCCAGGGGTGTCTCATTTTCCGCACTACACTGAGCGCCCAGGGCTGACTGTATCTTAACGTGCCCACCTACTTCTCACCTGGCATAGATCAGGTGTAGAAGAAAAGGGGTCTAAAATAAAAGGAAGGGGCGTGAGTGTTTATGTTGATGAGTTCGTTCATTCCCAGCTGCAGCCTTGGGTGCTCAAGTGTAGATTTGCCTACCGTTGAGCTCACGGAGTTTATGCTTTATAACAATAAGCTCTATTTAAAAATGTTTTTGAGGCAATCAGCAAGGTTAAAACATATCCAACAGTCTAATGAAAAGGAAAAGATAGTCTTAAATTAGGTTACATGTCAGAGGTACTCTCAGAGGTACGTTCCTAAATGAGAGGTAAGCTGTAAGTTGGTGCTGCGGTTAAGCGCTGAAATGGAACTGCGTGTTTAAAAGTCTCATGGCACAAAATTATTAAAGCCCTAAGGACTAGATTTATCCAAACGGAAAATTCTATACAAGTTCTTAGGATATTAGAATTGGAGACATTTTTAGTGGAAGAGAGGGTTTGAAAAAATAGCCTTCGAGCAGACCACCGGCCTACCTTCCCCCCCTCACTTTCACATGTAAACTTACGTGTATTGTCACACCCTAATAATCTTCGCAGTGGGTTCAGTGGTTTGCAGCTAAAATGACATAGTCATCAAGAATAGTCTCGTGCAGGATACCTAGGGTCTTCCGGAGACCCAGCCAGGGTGTCCATGGCCAGGAATACGCATCAGCCCTGGTGGCTGATGGAGCAAATGTAAACCAGGAGCCAACCGATGCACACCGTAGTATAAACACACAGAAGAAATTTACCATTCAAAGTCAAACCATCCTTACCACTTGTGTGTTGCATGGGTGGGGGTTTGGGGGGTGGGCAGTGAGACTTCCACAGGTAATAAAAATAAATGGGTTAAGGGAGGAAAAAGACAAAGAGTGGAAGAGAAATCGTGTAGATCCTTCGGTAAAACTGCACTAGAAAGGGCAAAGAGGATGAGGAGGTCATAGTCTTCTTCTCACAGTTAACCAAGGATTTTTTTTTTCTTTTTTCTTTCTTTTTTTTTTTTTTTTTTTTTTTTTTTGAGACGGAGTCTCGCTCTGTCGCCCAGGCTGGAGTGCAGTGGCGCGATGTCGGCTCACTGAAAGCTTCTCCCCCCAGGTTCACGCCATTCTCCTGCCTCGGCCTCCCCAGCTGCTGGGACTACAGGCGCCGGCCGCCACGCCAGGCTAATTTTTTGTATTTTTAGTAGAGACGGGGTTTCACCGCGTTAGCCAGGATGGTCTCGATCTCCTGACCTCGTGGTCTGACCTCCTCGGCCTCCCAAAGTGCTGGGATTACAGGGGTCAGCCACCGCGCCCAGCCGGATGTTTAACCTGGAGAACATTCCCTGAACTGCTAAAGTGAAGTTATCCAATTCCTGGATGCGCTTAAAACTCTGTAAAGCACCAAAACTCCGGTTGTTATTTACCTAAGCATGACTATCATATAGGTGTACATTCATAGAGCTAAATCTATTAGCTGTACCAGCAGAGCTCAGCTGTTAGTTATTGTTCCACTGCAAGTGAAATGGACGGTACTGGTTATATCTATGCTTACTATCATTTTTCTCTCTATATTTAAATTCTGCAACAGGGAACATGATATTTAAAAATAATTTTAAAAGATCCAACTTCAACAACAATAATTTAACAAGGCAACCTTCATAATGGAGTCAACAATCATTCTAAACCTCAAAAAGGATTGGCAATTAAAATTGAAGTCTAAACTTTTGGAGAATAAGACCTCTAAGATAAGTCAGATATGATATGATCTTCTGCTACTAAGAACAAGAACATTTAGGGAAAAAAAAATTATTGCTTAATCGTTTTCTAAATTAAAAGGGTCTGAAGAAAATTTCATATACCAATTAGTTGACCATAGTGATACGTGTTTTTTTACAGAAAAGTCTTATAAATATAAAAGTATTTGTTTTTTATTTTAATTCATATCATATGGAAAATGCTATGATCTCAAATTTTTAAACAAAATTTGTACAAATGCCAAAATCTTAAAGACCAAATATCTTAAGAATGTTTAATCTAATGAATAAACAGGAGTTAAAATAGATGTGATTTTACTGGTAAGTAAAGTTTGGTGTTAATTTATGAATGCTTAAAATTTATACATTTGAAAAGCATATGTTTTTGTACTTAGTATTAATGTACATCTTTCTGTTCTGATTACTCAAATAAAACATTTTCAATATGTACCCCTGTTCTAAAAAGCTCTAGATAAAATGAGAATAAAAAGAAGTTTGTGGAAGGTTCTATAGTTCTCTCTTGCAATATAACAGGTTAGAAGCTTGGGCTCCATTAGAAAAATAAAGAAACCAGTTGTTAAAAACTACGAAGTGAGTAAGTGCCATATCCTGCATCTGCACTCTATACTATGCTTGCTGCATCATATGACTAAGCCATTTTTATTTCATTGCATTTTACTCACTCAAGCAGAAGAAGATACGAACATTCACCTCAAATTAAAGTAAATTTTCTGTTTTCTCTAGTGACTTTATTAATGATTTTACTATGTACAAAAGCATTCAATTCAACCTGTCTCTCCTGAATTATTCTTGACTTCCTTCTCTCCTTAATCCCACCAATCTGTCAACAAGTGATTTGAGTTAAATATCTTGGACTCATCCCTTGCTCTTTTTCTTTTGCTAAGAACTTCTCTCTGCTCCACTTCCTATCTGTTTGACAAGCAACACCATAATGCAGTGGGGAAGGGCCTAAGAGTTGGTTCTAGATTATCTATGATGGGAGCCAGGTTCTAACAGGGACTGAGTGACCCTGGACAACTTTGTTAGCATCTGTATCCACATGTGTAAAAGGGTGACAATAACAGTTCTTACTTGTTGCCAAAATTAAATGACAGAATATATAAAGTGTTCAACATTTGGTCTCTGGCATGTTGTAGGCAGCCAGCAAATGTTAGCTATTATTATTATTAATACAGTAGTCTGGCTTCCTGGGTGATTTTGCACTCAACAATTCATACTGTATAGTCTGAGAGATTTTGAAAATATATATCTGATAAACATTTCTGAACTTAAAATTCTTAGAGGTGTCCCATAACCTCTGGGGGTGGGGGTAAGTCATATTTCTTAAAAATGGTTCAATTAATATTTCATGAAGAGACTCTTAGCAGTCTTTGCAGTCTCAACTCCTACCCATTTTCTAAACTTATCCATAACTTCAGCAATATCAAATTATACATGTTTCCCCAAGTTTTAGGATTATTTCATGTCCTATCACTCTAATTATGTTTCTTATTACAGCAATTTTGAGAAATTCAGAAGATACATAAAGATATCAATGAAGACACCTAGTGTTCTAATTCTAGAAACATTTTAATACATTTTATTTCAGAGAGAAAAAATTAATATTTCTTGTATATACTTTTTGTTTTTCCCATTTTATTTTATTTAAATTATTTGAAACCATGATGCTATTGGCTGTACGATACCTGTATATATGTATACATATATGTATGTACACATACACACATATAATCAAAATCATTTCTTATAATAAGTTTCTAAAGTATAGCATGTTATTTATTTTTTGAGAGAAAAGTAGGTAGCTAGAAAATGATCATACGAATCTTTGTATGTATAATTAATTAATTTGCCAAAACAGCATGACGGTGGAAATCCTCCACTATAGTTCTGTTTCTGTCAATTTCTCTTTATATTTTTAAAGTTTTGCTTTGTATGTGCAAAGCAAATACATATACAAACCAAATTTGCATGCTTGGTAATTTGCTTATGTAAACTTATCTTTGATGAAGCCATTTATTTTTCTTTTTTTTATTATTATTATACTTTAAGTTTTAGGGTACATGTGCACAATGTGCAGGTTTGTTACATATGTATACATGTGCCATGCTGGTGTGCTGCACCCATTAACTAGTCATTTAGCATTAGGTATATCTCCTAATGCTATCCCTCCCCTCTCCCCCCACCCCACAACAGTCCCCAGAGTGTGATGTTCCCCTTCCTATGTCCGTGTGTTCTCATTGTTCAATTCCCATCTATGAGTGAGAACATGCAGTGTTTGGTTTTTTGTCCTTGCGATAGTTTACTGAGAATGATGATTTCCAATTTCATCCATGTCCCTACAAAGGACATGAACTCATCCTTTTTTATGGCTGCATAGTATTCCATGGTGTATATGTGCCACATTTTCTTAATCCAGTCTATCATTGTTGGACATTTGGGTTGGTTCCAAGTCTTTGCTATTGTGAATAGTGCCACAATAAACATACGTGTTCATGTGTCTTTATAGCAGCATGATTTATAGTCCTTTGGGAAGCCATTTATTTTTCTATAGGAATCTTTCATGGGTTATTGAAATATTCCTAAAGGATGATTTTACTTTTGCTTCACTGGGATATCTAATGGATTTAATTTGGTGGTGCTGAGATTTGTTTTTGTTAACATCTTAGCTTGGAGTCTCATAACGATATAATAAATATAGAACTTAAAATCATGCATGATGACACTTGCTTTCAGTCTTCTTACGGAGATTTACTTTCTCAACCACAGAACCAGGTGACCTTTTTTTCATCTCTCATATATGGAATGGCCTTTTGAGACCAATGGTTCATGTTCATGGCCCAGTTAACTACCATACTTACATGGCCATTTGCTTAAATGTACTCTTCCATTTGGTGCTTAAGACCTCAGATCCTGACTAGCAAGGCCTGTGCCTTCTTGTGAGCCTCTTGGCAATATTTAGCTTCTGAGAATGTTCTTGATATCAGTAGTTTGAGGGGAGGGGAAATAATCTCCACGATAAGCTCCATATTTAACAGAATTCTTACTTGAAATTTTCTCTGAGTATTATATTTGTTCCATAATTTTCAATGTATTCTGGAGTTCCTATCACTTCTATAAATAAAGACAGGGAACAAGAGATGCTGAACAGAATGAAGAACACTGGATTTAACTCAGAGCCTGAGGATCTCATGATATGGTTCTGATGTCTTGACTAATCCACAAGAAAGAAAACTGAACAGAAGCCACATGCTCTACACTTACTCCCATTCTTCACCCTATCTCTTCTCTGTATAAAATGACCGCAATAAATTACTACCATATAATAAATTACAGGGTTGTTGGCACTGTCTATATTCTAGACAAAGGGTCTCAAAAACAGAGTGAGGAGGGATTTGTGTTTCAGAGATCAATCAACGCCAAACTAGGCAGACTGACTATACCAATTGTCTCGAGTGGGAAGTACTTGGGTGAGAAGGATCTAATTAAAACAGGTTGCTATCTTGTGAGTTTCTTTGGTCCCAGAGATGGCTATTTGAAAGTCTCTATGCTGACAGCATGGATAGAATCAGAAGCAAGTGAACCAATTGAAGTTCTTATAGTAACAAATGCCAAACTGACATGTAGCCAAGATACCTATTGGGCAGGGATAAAAGACACATATGGTGAATCTCAAACAATGATTCCATAGAACTTTGGTGAGCATTACAAGAGTGATGTGGTACAGCCTTAAACAATAAAAAAGAAACAATGAGAACAACCTGGCTAACAATACTAGATGATACCTAAGGGGAAAAAAGCTTTCATCATATCAGTTTTATTGCTGAAAATTTTAGATAACTTCTCACATATGTTATATCTGGCTGATCTAAATTGATCAGAAGGATAACAGAGTGTTTAAAAACATTCTTGGCATTTGGTTCTAAATTCAAAGTTCCATTAGCAATAGAATTGTTCTGAAATAGAGCATTCTTTTGAGAATAAGTAATGAGTTCTATTTTACCAAAATAACACCCCACCCCAGGTGATGAGTACCTGGCAGCAAATACTGAAATCAGAACAAAGCCATAAACCACATTTATCCAGATGTAGGAGTCTATTTATTCTCTCACTAATTCAGAAGGATCCAAAAGCATTAGCTTTGCCAACTGTATTGCAAAATAAAAGACACAGACATGGACTGTTCGTTAACTAGTTTTACTTTGTTAGATGGTTGAAATCCGCATATTTTTTGCCAACAGATATAAAAATATCTTTGTTTCCATTAACTACAAGCTCAAACTTCACTTAGAAAATATTTTATCAATTAGTTGATAAATTTTGGTGGGTTATAATAAGATCTTAATAGGTAAACTGTATTATCTCTTATCCAGAGATTATATCATTCTTTGAAACTGTATCAAGTACTATTGAATGAGAACACAATTCACTATCAATTATAATTATAAAGCATTTAGTATTTTTCTTTGCACATAATAACTGCTCAATAACTCAGCTTTCTTTTGCCTTTATTGAATCAAATTCATCCATTTTTAAGAAGACGTAGTAACATTGTTCCAGCTAGTGGGAATCTGTAAAAACCAAATTTAGGACATTTGTTTAGTCCACTACAGATACTTTTAAAATTTAATACTCAATAGCTAATGGAAAAATAAGTATGAATATATATTTAAGATTAAGATATGCCTTCTTGGCTTTAAATACCTCACATTCCTGTGGCAACATCTTAAGAAAAATAACTAAAATAAAAGAATGCAAAGCATATCTATTTTAATTAGAGGAGTATAAGAAATTAAATTCTAAAGCTGTAGGATCTATATACAAAACATTATAGTAGAATTTGCATATCCACCAAATGTGAATTGAATAATTAATGCTTAATAAATACGGGGCCATATAATACTGTGTGGAGGGTAATGCTAAACAAGGTAGTCAACACAAGAAACTTCTAATTTAATAGGGAAATATAATGTTGCTTAACTAACTAAAATAGGCCAGTATGTTGATAAGTGCCAAGTGAGAAGATAAGTTTAGAATCATAGAAGTAAAGGCAGTAGGTTTCTCGTTTAACTATGATAATAAGAGAACACTTCAGGGAAAGAGACCACATTCGAGAGGATTGGGTAGACAGAGCCTATCATGATGAAGAGACAGTGCAGGGGAAGTGTGAGTAAGAGCAACTGAAAACAGCCTCATTATTACCAAAAACTAACAAAACATGGAAATCAGTTTTTTTTTTATTATACTTTAAGTTTTAAGGTACATGTGCACAATGAGCAGGTTTGTTACATATGTATATATGTGCCATGTCGGTGTGCTGCACCCAATAACTCATCATTTACATTAGGTATATCTCCTAATGCTATCCCTCCCTCCTCCCCCCACCCTACAACAGGCCCCAGTGTGTGATGTTCCCCTTCCTGTGTCCATGTGTTCTCCTTGTTCAATTCCCACCTATGAGTGAGAACATACGGTGTTTGGTTTTTTGTCCTTGCGATAGTTTGCTGGAGAATGATGGTTTCCAGTTTCATCCATGTCCCTATAAAGGACATGAACTCATCATTTTTTATGGCTGCATAGTATTCTATGGTGGTGTATATGTGCCACATGTTCTTAATCCAGTCTATCGTTGGACATTTGGGTTGGTTCCAAGTCTTTGCTATTATGAATAGTGCTGCAATAAACATATGTGTGCATGTGTCTTTATAGCAGCATGATTTATAATCCTTTGGGTATATACTCAGTACTGGCATGGCTGGGTCAAACGGTATTTCTAGTTCTAGATCCCTGAGGAATCGCCACACTGACTTCCACAATCATTGAACTAGTTTACAGTCCCACCAACAGTGTAAAAGTGTTCCTATTTCTCCACATCCTCTCCAGCATCTGTTGTTTCCTGACTTTAAGGATCGCCATTCTAACTGGTGTGAGATGGTATCTCAATGTGGTTTCGATTTGCATTTCTCTGATGGCCAGTCATGATGAGCATTTTTTCATGTGTCTTTTGGCTGCATAAATGTCTTCTTTTGAAAAGTGTCTGTTCATATCCTTCTCCCACTTGTTGATGGGGTTGTTTGTTTTTTTCTTGTAAATTTGTTTGAGTTCTTTGTAGATTCTGGATATTAGCCTTTTGTCAGATGAATAGATTGCAAAAATTTTCTCCCATTCTGTAGGTCGCCTGTACAGACAAGCAAATGTTGAGAGATTTTGTCACCACCAGGCCTGCCTTACAACAGCTCCTGAAGGAAGCACTAAACATGGAAACGAACAACCGGAAAATATGCCAAATTGTAAAGATCATCGAGGCTAGGAAGAAACCGCATCAACTAAGGAGCAAAATAACCAGCTTACATCATAATGACAAGATCAAATTCACACATAACAATATTAACCTTAAATGTAAATGGACTAAATGCTCCAATTAAAAGACACAGACTGGCAAATAGGAAAAAGAGTCAAGACCCATCAGTGTGCTGTATTCAGGAAACCCATCTCACGTGCAGAGACACACATAGGCTCAAAATAAAGGGACGGAGGAAGATCTATCAAGCAAATGGAAAACAAAAAAAGGCAGGGGTTGCAATCCTAGTCTCTGACTAAACAGAATTTAAACCAACAAAGATCAAAAGAGACAAAGAAGGCCATCACATAATGGTAAAGGGATCAATTCAACAAGAAGAGCTAACTATCCTAAATATATATGCACCCAATACAGGAGCACCCAGATTCATAAAGCAAGTCATTAGAGACCTACAAAGAGACGTAGACTCCCACACAATAATAATGGGAGACTTTAACACCGCACTGTCAACATTAGACAAATCAACGAGACAGAAAGTTAACAAGGATATCCAGGAATTGAACTCAGCTCTGCATCAAGTGGACCTAATAGACATCTCCAGAACTCTCCACCCCAAATCAACAGAATATACATTCTTCTCAGCACCACACCACACCTATTCCAAAATTGACCACATAGTTGGAAGTAAAGCTCTCCTCAGCAAATGTAAAAGAACAGAAATTATAACAAACTGTCTCTCAGACCGCAGTGCAATCAAACCAGAACTCAGGATGAAGAAACTCACTCAAAACCACTCAAATACATGGAAACTGAACAACGTGCTCCTCAATGACTACTGGGTACATAACGAAATGAAGGCAGAAATAAAGATGTTCTTTGAAACCATCGAGAAAAAAGACACAACATACCAGAATCTCTGGGACACATTTAAAACAGTGTATAGAGGGAAACTTACAGCACTAAATGCCCACAAGAGAAAGCAGGAAAGATCTAAAATTGACACCCTAACATCACAATTAAGAGAACTAGAGAAGCAAGAGCAAACACATTCAAAAGCTAGCAGAAGGCAAGAAATAACAAAGATAAGAGCAGAACTGAAGGAGTTAGAGACACAAAAAACCCTTTAAAAAAATCAATGAATCCAGGAGCTGGTTTTTTGAAAAGATCAACAAAATTGATAGACCGCTAGCAAGACTAATAAAGAAGAAAAGAGAGAAGAATCAAATAGACTCAATAAAAAATGATAAAAGGGATATCACCACTGATCCCACAGAGATACAAACTACCATCAGAGAATATTATAAACACCTCTATGCAAATAAACTAGAAAATCTAGAAGAAATGGATAAATTCTTCAACACATACACCCTCCCAAAACTAAACCAGGAAGAAGTTGAATCTCTGAATAGACCAATAACAGGCTCTCAAATTGAGACAATAATTAATAGCTTACCAACCAAAAAAAGTCCAGGACCAGATGGATTCACAGCCGAATTCTACCACAGGTACAAGGATGAGCTGTACCATTCCTTCTGAAACTATTCCAATCAATAGAAAAAGAGGGAATCCTCCCTAACTCATTTTATGAGGCCAGCATCATCCTGATACCAAAGCCTGGCAGAGACACAATGAAAAAAGAGAATTTTAGACAAATATCCCTGATGAACATCAATGCAAAAATCCTCAATGAAATACTGGCAAACCGAATCCAGCAACACATCAAAAACTTATCCACCATGATCAAGTGGGCTTCATCCCTGGGATGCAAGGCTGGTTCAACATACACAAATCAACAAACGTAATCCAGCATATAAACAGAACCAAAGACAAAAACCACGATTATCTCAATAGATGCAGAAAAGGCCTTTGACAAAATTCAACAACGCTTCATGCTAAAAACTCTCAATAAATTAGGTATTGATGGGATGTATCTCAAAATAATAAGAGCTATTTATGACAAACCCACAGCCAGTATCATACTGAATGGGAAAAACTGGAAGCATTCCCTTTGAAAACTGGCACAAGACAGGGATGCCCTCTCTCACCACTCCTATTCAACATAGTGTTAGAAGTTCTGGCCAGGGCAATTAGGCAGGGGAAGGAAATAAAGGGTATTCAATTAGGAAAAGAGGAAGTCAAGTTGTCCCTGTTTGCAGATCACATGATTGTATATCTAGAAAACCCCATTGTCTCAGCCAAAAATCTCCTTAAGCTGATTAGCAACTTCAGCAAAGTCTCAGGATACAAAATCAATGTGCAAAAATCACAAGCATTCTTATACACCAATAGCAGACAAACAGAGAGCCAAATCATGAGTGAACTCCCATTCACAATTGCTTCAAAGGGAATAAAATACCTAGGAATCCAGCTTACAAGGGAGGTGAAGGACCTCTTCAAGGAGAACTATAAACCACTGCTCAACGAAATAAAAGAGGATATAAACAAATGGAAGAACATTCCATGCTCATGGGTAGGAAGAATCAATATCGTGAAAATGGCCATACTGCCCAAGGTAATTTATAGATTCAATGCCATCCCCATCAAGCTACCAATGACTTTCTTCACAGAATTGAAAAAAACTACTTTAAAGTTCATATGGAACCAAAAAAGAACCCGCATTGCCAAGTCAATCCTAGGCCAAAAGAACAAAGCTGGAGGCATCATGCTCCCTGACTTCAAACTATACTACAAGGCTACAGTAACCAAAACAGCATGGTACTGTTACTAAAACAGAGATATAGACCAATGGAACAGAACAGAGCCCTCAGAAATAATGCCACACATCTACAACTATCTGATCTTTGACAAACCTAATAAAAAAAAAATGGGGAAAGGATTCCCTATTTAATTAATGGTGCTGGGAAATCTGGCTAGCCGTATGTAGAAAGCTGATACAGGATCCCTTCCTCACACCTTATATGAAAATTAATTCAAGATGGATTAAAGATTTAAATGTTAGACCTAAAACCATAAAAGCCCTAGAAGAAAACCTAGGCAATACCATTCAGGACATAGGCATGGGCAAGGTCTTCATGTCTAAAACACTAAAAGCAATGGCAACAAAAGCCAAAATTGACAAATGGGATCTAATTAAACTAAAGAGCCTCTGCACAGCAAAGGAAACTACAATCAGAGTGAACAGGAAATCAGTTTTTAATAAAAAATCTTCATAAAATTTTCTGATTTCATGAGATTTTTATCTCATGCTTATTAAACTGTGGATACTATATGTAAAATGATCTTTTTTATTTTTCCACAGATAAATATAAGCACATAAATTTTAACATATATACTAAAGACACTAATTTTAAAGTATTTATTTTGAAATTCAGCTTTAGATGTCTTAAAGTGTGTCATGCCAGTTCTCCAAGGGCAGAGGAGGAAAGATAGTATTCATTAAGTGCCTAAACCTATGAAGCACTTCACTGGATATTTTAACTATGTGTATGAATTTAACATATGAAGAAACTGAGAGTCAGAGAACTTGAAAAACTATTCGGAAGTAACAAGGAAGTGTAAAAAGTGGATTCAAAATTGTGTCTGTCAAAGCCTTTGCTCTTTCTTTTTCATCTCATGATTTTCAAGAATAAATAATAAAAAGACACTTTTTATGTACATGGTATTTCCTGCTTCTAATATATTTTAGCGAAAGAAACCCTTGCTCAGAGATGTTAAATTTTTTCCAAGAGAGCTTCTTTAGAGCTAGAATTTGAATTCAGTCTTCTGACTCTTCATTCTAGAGATTCACACACTATGTGAAGGACTCAATCTTGTCCTAAATATGAAGCCCAAGAATGTTTTCAGTCCTGATAACATCATAAGTACTATCCAGGAGAACATCATAAAGTTAAAAAACTCTTAATATCTTCAGCAGTGATGTGTGTTCTGCCTTCTTCTAGGGTTTAAACTTTAGTTCTAGGTCTTCGAAGCAAACTTGCAGAGGGGCACTTCATCTTGATAATCATGCCTGGTGGGGGTGGGACTTCTCTTTTCGTAAATCATGCAAGCCATGATATTTTTATTGCTACACATTTATAAAAACATCTATGTATTGGATAGGAATTAAGATTTTTGAGTTCCTGTTCACTTTTTTTTTCCTTTCCCTTTTTTTCCCCTTGGTGGCCTGGCATACTCGTTAATACATTTTCCCACATATCATGTGGTTTTGTTTTGTTTTCCCAAACTAATGAAGTTTTACTCTACCACTTAAGGAAGTTTTTTTTTTTTTTTCCATTAGGGAAAACATAATTTTCTTGCCAAAAGTTTCCCAGAGTTCCCATGGAAGTACAATTCTCTAAAGAATTCATTAAAATGATTGAATAATGGAATCCTTTTCTTACTAGAATGCCATCATTCCAAGAACATTTTAGTTGAATATTTTAAGGGCAGAAAGTTATAGGAGTGCTTTATTAACTGGTATTATTCAATGACCTATATTTCACAAATCTCAAATCTCCACTAAATTTACACATGGAAATACACCAATGTGGAATCATTACTTTTCAAGGCAGTAATCTATAGTTATTTTATAATAAAATACTAATTTTTATAACTTTCAAATTACATTTGGAAAACTTTTTTGCTCATTCACTTAAAGCTTGAAATTACCCCAAAAATTATAAGCCAGTGCTAAAGACCTGGGAGGGAAGGAGGTCAGGGAGAGATGGGACAACAGGCCTAAAGCAATATTCCTCAGATTCTCCTCTTCCCACTTAATTTCTGTTCCTATTAGGAAGACATTCCTCTAGTGTCTTTTATTTTACCTTTCTCTCTTTTAATTTATTTACTACCATTTATTACCCTAATTTTTATACTATTCTCTCAGAAACTTTTCCCTATTGCATAGTTATAAGTTCATGAAGATATCTGATTCTTAGTAATTCATAGTTTGCTTAACAAAAGTTTAGAAGATATGGATTTACTAAGTTAGAATTAGTCAAGTTTATGTGCAACATTTTGAAAATGTTTGTTGGTCTTTATGCTTCATCTTCAACAATAGAATAGCTTAAAATGGTGTTTTTCAACCTCAGCACTATTGACATTTTGGGCTTAATAATTCTTTGTTGTGGGTGGTGTCCTGTGCATGGTGGGGATTTTAGCAGAATTCCTGGCTTTTACTCACTAGATGCCAGTAGCCTCTGAGATGTAACAAGCAAAAATATATTTGGACATTGCCAGATATCCCCCTGGAAGGCAAAATCATTCCTAAATGAGAACCACTGGTTTAAATAATGGTAATGAGAACAAGTACTAACGTCTGCTGAGCATTTTTCAAGTGCAGTTCTAAATATTTAAGTGGACACTAATTCATGAGAAGGGTCCTATGATTCCTATGTTACAGATGAGACCATTTGAGCACAGAGAAGTCAACTAAGTTACTACCAACACATGGCTAGTAAGTAAGAGAGCCAGAATTCAAACCCAAGAAGTCGGACATCAGAGCCCCCTTTTTAAATTGTTGGGCTATAGCTGTCTTGCTGAAATTACACTAAGCTAAAGTGAAATCTATAAAAAGCATGCATCATATATAAGGTTAAATTTTTTCCCATGATTTCAAACATTCAAACCTTGGAAAGGAGACTTCCTACAAATTCAAAACCTCCCAAGATAAGTAAGTTTCCTTATTCCCCTCATCCTGTTCACTGAGCTGTTGAGAGCCCTTCAAAGCTCAGATTCCCCAGGCAGATATTTAAAGACCAGGTCAAGGAGTCAGATTCCTGGGATCACATCCTGACAGAACCATATTCATGAGTATGAGACCCATGAATATCATAAAGCTGCTTACATGCTTTATTCATAACAATCATTCAAATATTAGAAAATGTTTATTTTTTAGTGTCAGTAGTTGAGAAGAAAACAATTAAAATTAGTTTTTTAGGATTTATCCTATATTTCTCAGCATTCAAACATCATTTCCTTTTAACCTTTTACAAATAACAGCCAGCAAAATTAAATTTATTTTTCTACCTCTCCATCTGAACTGCGTGTGGGAGAAGTGATATTTCTCCTATCACTTATGTAAATCATGCCATGGGATAACAAAAATTATCACACAGCATAATTTATAAGGCTTTCATCTTTGTAAGTACTTTGTCTTCAGGAAATGTGAATTAGCTTGTTTTAAACGTTGTTTTAATTTTTAAAGGAATATAGTGTAATAACCAAGTTTTATATCTAATCAAACACAACTAATTCATATAACTTGAAATACATGGTATATATTATCTTTCCAGTTCCTTAGACAGTTGATTGAAATAATAATAACAACCTATACCTAACTTACATTTCCATGTGTCAGGCACTGTCCTAACAGTTTCTCATATATTAGTCCATTTACTCCTCATAATAATCACTTAGGTTGGTATTTTTAATATCCCGATTTTGGAAGTGAAAAATCAGAACCACGGAGAGGTAAATTACTTGACTAAAGTCACAATAGCTAATAAGTGATTTAGCTGGCTTATAAACCTAAACGGTTTGGGACCAAAGCTGTGCTGGTTATTACTTATATATACTTCCCTCCTAAAGAAGAGAAATTATCACCAAATATATTATTCATCATTTTATTAGATGGATCAAATTAGAATATGTGTCTTATATTGACACAGGAGAAAAAATATATTCGGTCTCAAAATTGTACAACCTATGAAATTCTTGGCAGCAGAGAGTAAGAATTTTATCTTATAAAGAAGTGAATTCATAATTATAAAAAAATTTGAATCTAATGATTCTGAATTATTCCTTAAACAGTTGATTTATTTTTCTTCTTTCCTTCTCACTAGTTCAAATGTCTGGGTTTCCCCATGTCATCACATTATCTAGGTCATTGAGAACACATGTCCCAGTTTTCCTGGTTCAGGTCTAGTTTACACGGTCTTGGTGTCCTCTACTGTTCAGAATTTCCTGAATTTATCATTTTTAACCAAGAATTTTGCTTAGTAATTGCATTAAAATGAGCCAAGGTGAGTTAAGTCAACCTTCACATTGTACTTCCAGCTTCTGCCACAATCTCTTCTTGAGTGTGTGAAACATTTGTTCTGAGAATAGAGTTCTCACTTTAACACATGGTTAAATGTGCAGGAAAACCAACAACAAACCTCTTTCTTTACTTGATCATTTCCAGATGCAACATATCTACTATTCCCCTTTCAAGTAGAGCACGCAGGGTGCTAGCTGATAAGATGTGCTTGAGATAAGCAGCTAGGGACAGCTAACTCCCTCTGGTATTGGGTAGTGGTGGTGGGAGAAGTCTGTCCTGTTGCCCTGATGGTCCCTTGGTTTAACAGCAAGTTGTCCCATGACCTGTGCCTAGTGTGATGAGATGCTTGAAGGTGTCAGGACACGAATCCTCTTAGTCAGAGGGAAATACTTAAAATTATAGCTCAGATATACATGAATTACATGGGGAGATGGAGGCTGAGCAGTCCTGCTACCAAGTATACAGAGTAGTAAACACTCTGGATATTGTGTTTCTTTAAAAAAATATATTGTGCAGTATAAATCTACAACTGTTTTTTGGCTTTTAATTTCTGTTAATGCTTTTTATTTTTCCGTACAATATTTCAATGACAATTTCTTGGAAAAATAGAAACATACATTTCAAAAATAAGTTCTCAATTTCCATTTCTCGAGAAAATTGAAAATGAATTTTTAAGTATTTACCAACTACCATGAAGGTTGTACTGACCACGTGAAAATCACACGACACAAATCTACTACTGAATCACAATCATTTTATGAAGACTATGTACAGAGACAACATCCGAACAAATATAAGTAGAGAGATGAAATATATCTATCTATAAAGCCTGAATTTTCATTTAGATAAATGACTATTCTAAATAAACGCTGTCAAATTACATTTCAAGAGTTTTTGTTCTCATATGTAAATAGTGAGGAGAGGACTGTTAATATGTCCACTCCAAGAAGAACTCTGTAAAAGGTGACATATATTTATTACATTACCTACAGAAGTTTCAAATAGAAAAGCAGTTCAGCTAATGACAATAAAGTCTTAACTTTGTTCTTCACAGGATTTATGGAATCAAGGTGAAGCTATAGAAATTTTATTCTACTAATGTAAAAAATCTGACTTTATTGTGAATGCTACTGTAAATTCAGTTAAAAGTCCAATATGAGAGATAAAATTCTTTGTGTAGTAACACAAAATTTTTGATGGAGCACAGCAGTGTAGTAAAAGCAGTGTTCTTACTAAGAACCTATGAAGAAAAAATGTACTTGGAATTGGTTGGGAAACACAAATAATTCATGAATCTGGCCAAACTGGGGGAAATACTCTGTTAATAAAAATTGAAGATAAAGATGTAAAATTTTATATACTAGGAAATATATCATTGACCCACAATTTTTTGAACCAAACTGACGTTAAACGCTGCAGCATGATAACATAACATTTACTCTTCAGTGGTCATCTTTGATCTGATTTTAGAAATTTTGGAGCCTTTGTGAATGAAATACTTTGTAAATAATTGTCAATCTTCAACATGGTATCAAATGTTTTGTAAAAGATGTATCTACATTGTGATGGCGTTTTATTAAAAAAGGAATTGGAAAGTTGGGCTCGATGGCTCATGACTGTAATCCCAGCTCTTTGGGAGGCCAAGAGGGGTGGATCACTTGAGGCCAGGAGTTTGAGAGCAGCCTGACCAACATGGTGAAACCCCATCTCTACCAAAAAAGTACAAAAATTAGCCGGATGTGGCGGTGTGCACCTGTAGTAGCAGCTACTCGGGAGGCTGAGGCAGGAAAATCGCTTGAGCCCGGGAGGTGGAGGTTACAGAAAGCTGACATCACACCACTGCACTCCAGCCTGGGTGACAGCAGTGAAACCCTGTCTCAAAAATAAACAAATAAATAAGTAAATAGGAATTGAAAATCTTTAGTACATATATACAATTAGCACCAAAGGCTTCAGGTGTTGAAACTTAGACAAATTGCAATTGTAGAAAACAAAGCCTGCAGACAGATGGTTTTAATGTTTATCTCTAATGCAACAAGCTTAATAATGAATATTACATGATGTAAAAGATTTAATTATGAGGTTTCATAATATTCTGAATTTTAATTGCAGCTTTGTAAGATCCTGAGGAGAGGACTCAGTTGAGCTACGCCTAAACTCCTAAGATATGGAAGTGGTTAGATAATAAAAACATA
The DNA here is from genome assembly GCF_000001405.40 of Homo sapiens. NCBI lineage: Eukaryota > Metazoa > Chordata > Mammalia > Primates > Hominidae > Homo > Homo sapiens. The sequence continues at coordinate 55,596,644 of NC_000006.12, forward strand.
GTAAAAGTTTCAGGACATCATAGATTAGCAGTTTAAAATCTCAACTATATTTCTTCATGCATTAAGTATAAATTACGTATATACTTAAAACAAACTTTTTGTCTCAAATTTGTTATCAGCAATTAGTTCATGAAGTTTGTATCCCTGGAAGTTCAATTTTTCATTTAACAATCATTTGCCAAGTTAGCATTTTACATTTAAAACTGCTGTGACTATTCTATTTACTATGTAGACATTGAAAATCAATGAAGGATGCTAAAATATATATAGCCTGTAACTAAAACCAGTTGTTAATTTATCAACATAAAAAAGTTTAAATACTACCATGTAAATGAAAAATATATTAAAATAACACGTTATATATAAAAAGTAAAATATAATGCACAAAACCCAATGATTTTTGTGATCAGCAACCAAATATGTGTATCATTCGCTTTTCCACATTTTGTTTGAATTTTATTTCAAGGTTGAGTTGCAGCATGTTCCAGGATAAATAATGTAAGATCTTCCTTAGAACTTAACGTATGGAAGTGAAAATATTGTGATTTTTGGCTTCCATTACAAACATCATGTCAATAAACTTAATAATATTTCAATTTAAAAATTCTGAAAAAACTTAGATTCATATATACTTTTAAAAAGATTATAAATGGAATGCCTCTATGAGAATTCTCTTTTCATCATAAGAGTGCTAAAGCATATTGAAAGAAAAAGGGTTAGATGTGATTTATAGACGTTTTCTATCAATGACAACATAGCTTCTTGCATAACAAGACAGTTCTAAGAATTAATCCCAGATTTTCATATCTGTGTTTAAAAAGGATACAGAAGTTGATAAGAGGGAATTGAAGTACAAAACATATTAAGATGTTAAAAAAAAAAAGAAGGAAAAAAAAGAGGTTGTAAGAGCTTGGTGCTCATGACCAAGAAAATTACATGTATGGATTCTACGGAAATCCAAAAATTTGAATTTCTCCGCTTTTTTCATTATATTTGAGGGATGGTAGAAAGGAACTACCAACAACAATGGTAAAATAAAGTAATTATTTTCAAAGCTAAGGGCTTAAAGTTCCAAGTAATATGCTAGTTGAAATTATAAATGAGACAGTTTGTAAAAATGGAAAATGGAAATATTATTATGGCCAGCACAACTTTACAAAAGTAAATCACTTTAAACTGAATTCATTTTTTTGATAGACTTATTAGCTTGGTAAGACAAAGAAATAGAGTTGAGATCTGTATATTTCACTTTAATAAGACAAACTCATAAATGAACATGATATATAAAAATAAATATTTGGGGAAATTCATTGTAGAAGGATTAGACTGGTCTGCGTGGCTAAAAGATTAAAATTTGGACTAGTGAGTGAAAATCAAGGCTCACTGTAATGAAGACTAGGTTTTCCACAATAAGATCATGATCAACTAATCATAGCTCAAGTCATATAAGGTCCTCATCAGTGGATGTGTTCAAATACACGGTCAAATAATAATAATAGAATAAATTTGTGCTGTAAAAGAATCTATCAGTTATCTATTGCCATGACTGTTGCCAAATGTCTTGTATATACAGAACATGTCCTGTATTTAATGATTTTTATCCTGTGTCCTGTTCTTACTTTGACGAGATACCCTAAATATCCTTTATTTAGCTTGTGTTGAAAAAAATTACAAAAAAAATTAGAGAGCAATGTTTCTGCCACAGTAAATGGTGTTTAAATCACTTAAATGCCAACAGTAGTTGAAACCAATACTCCACAAATGAGCTCAATTGCAATTCTAGACAACACACAGACTGCGTTGTACTCCAATGACCATGTTTCTGAAACTCAACCAGTCAATAGCAGCCTTCCTCCTGTTACCACGCTAACATAGCTGAAAGCATTGAAACCATGCCCATTTCTGAAAGTCCACCAGTCTCCAAATAGCAAGCTTTTCAGAACCTTATAGAAGATCAGTTCTGGCTTTGTAGTCATACCTCACAAGTACCGTTCTCTGTTGAGGCAAACAGGAAGTTAATTATTTTTTGCATGAGATATCAAGTTCATTTATTGTTAGTTTTCAAGCTTGCAAACGTTTAATGGTTCAATCGCTGATTACAGTTGGTAATGAGTTTGCATTCATGAGTAATAGACACACTGTTGTGGCTGTAAAACTAACAAATGAACTCTTTCCAATTCATGTAATGATTACTATTATTTACTTTTATGTGTGCATATTTGTACCCAAAATGCAAGAGTAAATTTTATGATAAATTATCTGAACAATAACATTTATTAAAATGCAGCCATAAAAAAGGATGAGTTCATGTTCTTTTCAGGGACATGGATGAAGCTAGAAACCATCATTCTCAGCAAACTAACACAGGAACAGAAAACCAAACACCGTATGTTCTCACTCATAAGTGGGAGCTGAACAATGAGAACACATGGACACAGGGAGGGAAACATCACACACCAGGGCCTGTCGGGGGTTGCGGGGCTAGGGAAGGGATAGCATTAGGAGAAACACCTAGTGTAGATGACGGGTTGATGGGTGCAGCAAACCACCATGGCATGTGTATACCTATGTAACAAACCTGCACGTTCTGCACATGTATCCCAGAACTTAAAGTATAATTAAAAAAGAAAGAAAGAAAAGAAAAAGAACTCTTGAAGCTCATTGAGTAGTATGCATTTGTTAATTCAATGTTGAAAATAATGGAAACTTAGATATAAGCCAGCATTTTCCAGCTATATCTGCAACTAGTACCAAAGTGATAAATAATATTTTTTATGAAGATAAATTCAGATAAAGAAGATAAGTTGGAAGAAGTTGGAAGAAGATTATCCTTCCATATTGGATATTTTCAACAGTCTTTCAGCCCAAATGGCTAAATGAACTACTACTGAAAGAATTTTCTGATTCCCAAACTGCAAGAACATTTTCAAGTGCCCAGATGAAATCTACCGCAATTAAAGAAAAATAAGTACTAACTCCAATTACTATCACAGAGATTATAAAAAATATAAATGCCTTGCCTTTTTACAGCATAACCATGGATGCAAGTAATCACAATACAGAAAACAATTTTCCCTTGGTTCATACACAATTTTTCTTGTGAAAAATTCTTGCTTATAAGATGAAACTTAAGAAACAATAGAAAATTTTGCAGAAACACTTAGTGAAAACAAATGTACTGCCACTGTATAAAAGTGATGCAAGTATACATTTGGTGAATGTTTGCTTAAAGGTAAAGACAGTGTTTCTTCAAAGCCGAAGCTAAGCATGAATGATTCTGTGAAAGGTGTTGGCTATCTTGTCCATATTCTCATTAAGCTCTCAATTATCATTAGATATTTTTATGTTGAAATTAAAGTAATTGTTATAAAATTATTCTCTTACTTCAGTGTTTCTTCTGTTTAAACTGAATGATTTACATTGGCGGTATTTTTTAATTCTCTCACATTCAAACCCTGATGACTCTCTTTAACAAATGTAGTTGAGAGAATCTTCAGTTTTTTTAAATCTCTAAAATCATATTTCACTTCTGAAAAAAAGGCCTCCAAAATTATTGTTGACATTTTAAATCCATTAAGTGAAGTCTAGATAAACTCTTTAGCAAAATAATTATGCAAATTAAAAGAAGAGTAAACAGTGTTATTGAAGTACTCCTTTGCTTAAACTAACTTCTTGAATGTGGTAAAGAAAGAATTTTGAAAAATATATCAATTTAGGTGTGAGAGCTATTTTTAAAGCAGGCAACATCACTTACCAACAGGAAAATAAGCTCTGATTTGATGTGTAAAATTATTCAGATATTTCTCATGACTATCTTTTGAAGTAAATTTAATTACATTTGATTTTGAGTAGATTTAATTAAATAATTTAATTCTTATATATGGATGCTAGTAAATACTATTACAGCATGAAAACACGTGAAATAATCATGTGTATTGTTGAAGACAACAATGTTCTTTTTGTTAATGGACAGCCTTTTAAAAATATATTAATCAAGATATGCAATGTAATTCTAAAGAATAAAAAAATTAACATAAAAAACATTTTTATGTGCTTCAACAAATCAAATTTGAAAATCATTTATCACAGTTGTCAACTTTCCCCAGTATGTGTTCTGCAAACCAACCTATAATGCTAATGTTGCATGCATTTTCTCATTAATGCTCAATGAATCAAATAACAAAATAAGTTAGATTTAACTATTGTAGAAGCTATGTTACAATGTAAATGGAACATAGACTGCAACTACAAAAAATCTGATAAGCAAATTATGCAAAAACAAGGAACTGTTTATTGAGCCAAATCATGAGAAAATCATAGTTTAAGAAAGAGGTATGTAATTTAAATACTTATAATTTATTTCCAATAAATAAAAAATAATTTTTAACATTTTATGTCAATGTAATATATCTTATTAGAAATAATTTAGATTTACCTGGGCATCCTGAATTTTACTTATTAAATATAGCAATCCTGATTGCCACAAATGACAACACCTCAGTGCCATATAACAATGAAAACTGTTTTTCTTGGGAATTGTGAGACTGCAGGTCAATTGGATGGTGCTGCTCATTTGAGGCAGGCTTGGCTAGTCTTGGCTGGGCTTTTTCCAGCATCTACAGTCAGTCACTAAAGGTAAGGGACCAGCTGTTCAGGAATGACCTCACTAGTCTGTATGGCTGACAGCTAACTGGTGACTGCAGGTATGCAGGTGACTGGGCTGCACGATTCACATTATTCTGCAGGATAGCTTTGACTGGTTCGCATAGCAGCTAGGAAGTTTTCAAATAAAAACAGGGCAAGCACACAGGTCTCTTAACTTGCATACTATAAATTCCACTGCATTCTATTAACCAAAACAAGTCCCAAATTTAATCTAAACTCAAGAAATAAGGATATCAACTTTACTCCTTGAAGCCACTGCAAAGGGCATAAATATATAAATAAATGTAGAATTGCGGTCATTTTTTAAATCAGTCTACCACACAAGGATTCAAGCTGTTTAGCCCTAAAAACTTTTTTTTCCTTGTAAGTCCATTCACTTTCGAATTTTAAAACATTTTTGACTGAAAGGTAAATTGAATATAAATTAATGCTTTAAAAATTGACTTGGCTATTAATCACTGATTTTGAGCAAATTTCTTCACTGGTATATTTTATAATGTTAATTTCACATATTAAATAAAGACTATACAACCCCAATATTTCAAACATAAGTAATATGATTTGAGCTAAATGCTTTTTCTCTTCTATTTTTTAGAAATTACTTTTCTACGCACTTGTTTTCAGTCTAAACAAATGCAATCCATTCAATCCTAATGTGTTCTCCTTATGGGCCTTTCCTTACAGTTTCCACAAAAATTTCTTCATTTTTAAATATAATAAATAGGAGAAATTTTGATAAAATGCCCCGTTATCTCTCAGATTTTTTCTTTGGCTCTTCATCTCTTAGACGTATGTAATAAAATATGGAAAGATTATGATAAATAAAAATACATGGTCAAATAATCTAATCAGCAGAATGTATGCAGAGCATAGTGGGGAGTAGAGGTGGCATTCTATATTTTCCTCTCTGGCTCCAGGAGATACCTCATAGATCTTGTAGCTTGAAGACTTTTTTTGTTAATGTTATTTACACTCCCACAAAAAATGAATATCCAAAACTATAAGGGAAAATAAAAATGTTTCCATTCCTGGTAAGACAAAAAATATAATACAATCTAAAATTACATTTTCCTTTAAATCATGATCTTAAATGATGTTTCCCGCATTTCATACATTCTCTTGACTTGTTTGTATTTTCTTCTATGATTAGACACAAAATCAATAGGACTAAGTTCTATAAGTATGTAGGTGGGACTAAAAATTTGCAACTTCTGGTGAACTTAATAATTAACAATTAGGCATTAATCATCAAGTATTATTTTACATAGAATCTGTGAGAATTCTATTTAAATAAGTAGCAGTGGCACTTCGATATTTTTTCTGTGTTACATTCTTTGGATAACAAAACAAATAAGATGTAAAAAATGTCACATTCAAAAATTGACCAAGCAGATACTTAAATACAGATGCGAGATGATCTTGAGGAATGAACCATTGCCATCACCATGTATTGAAACCAATTGGAAATGCATCAGCTAATGTCTAAACTGCATGTGATTTAAAATCTATACATATAAAAGTTGAGATCTGTGTATTATTTAATAAAATAACATTTCTTGTTTAAAGGCATGTAATTTTTTCTAAAACAATGGTTATCATCTTAAGAAGACTGAAGGACCTTACTCCAGAAATTTTGATTTTGTAGGTCTGCAGTGGTGCTTGAGAATTTGGTTTTTTAACGAGTTCCCATGTAATGATGCTGCTGCTGTTCCAGAGACCAAACTGAGAATTCCTGATTTAAGAGAGACTGGGGAAATAGTATAAAAATGATATCACCTGTTATTTCTGAGTATTAAGTCTACCGCCTCTTCAGATAAATTATTCTCGTTTCTAAGCAACTTAATAAAATTATTCTAGTTTCTAGACAACTTAATAAAACTATCAGTACCAATCTGAAAATAGACACTACTATTAAATATTACATAACCTAAGAGAATATTTTAACCTTTTCCTTATAGCAGGTTGACATACTATCTCTAACTCATTCTTACTTGATAATTTCAGATATTTGGCACTCTTTTGAACTTCTATATTTAGGTTATAATTTAATTTAAGTATTATCTCTAGTTAACAAATTCCACTTTTTTAAAGGGTTAGGGAGGTATTTGTGAGCACTCTTGCTACACACAAATATCTATTCATATCAGTTGTTCTCATTGCTCAGGGAGAACAGTTTTGCCACCTCTTCTGTACACTCAACACAGGAATGTACATATTATAAACACTGAAGTCTTCTCAGTCATCATAGCATTGGATTTATTCACTCGAGGATTTGGGAAACAGAAAAATGTCCATGCCTACTCAATTTTATGTCACCACAGAAGGTCTTCTTGGGGAAAACTGGTAGTATCTTTCCTATGGCCCACCATTAATTTTAGTCTTTTCTTACATCTCACCAGTCTGAAAATTATTAAGACAGTGAGCGTACTTAACTCTGAAAAAACCAAAGTTATATAAGCATGTTTATGTTTCTATAAAATGTATGTATGAAAAATCCGTAACTCTTTTTGTAGCTTAGATTTCTGCCACAAGAATGCTTTACTTTTCCTTATGAGGGGCAAACTAAAAAGCAGTGGTTTTCTCGCATATTGAAGTTAGACTGTTTTCTCAGCAAAAATACTCAATAAAGAAATGTAAATTGATTTTATTCCATAAGTACATACAAAAATTATATTGATTTAATATCTATTCCCATAGAGAAGTAGTTTGTTGGGTGTCTGGAGAGTCTGGTGGGGAGAAAGGTTATTCAAAAAATTGTTTCAGCCAAAATTTTCCTTCCCTTTTTTTTCTTTAAAAGGAAAGCATTTAGAGAAAAGTAAAGTGCAGCAAGGGAGTTGGCCCAGTTGCTGCAGGCTTCACCCCTAGTGAATGTTTTATCTACAGAGCTCTTGCCAAGTTTCCTACTGTCAAAGAAGCCCTGAAATATGAACCTTTAAGTCAATTCATCAGAAAACAAATATTACATATAAATTAGTTTGAGGAAAAGAAAATCATATACATTCTTTAACTTCCATAGTTATTTTGAAACAAAACAAACCTTTTGCCAAATTATGTAGCAAGCACACATAATTAGTACATTTTAGGTCTTAATATTGAATTTATATTTCTAGATTAGATTGAATTAACTTTGTGTTTCTCAAGTTTTCTAGCTTTATATATTGTAACTTTAAAAATACATTTTAAACGCTGCATTTATTTCTAGAAGGTTTTGATAAAGACAAAAGAAATTTTTGAAAGTTAGTATATTATACTAGAGGGACATATTAAAAATAGAATGAAAAACAATGGAATTTTCAAGGGCTATTGACAAATAAAACTTGTAGTTTTAAGTTTTTCTTAAACTTTTTAAAAAGTTTTTGCATTAATAACAAATGAAATATTTTTCTTGAAAATATTCCATTTGGCAGAAAACCCAAATCTACAGAACAACTATCACTATTATGATACCAGCTATGAAGATTTTACTCTCTCTGAATACACGGAGTTATGTTAGTACTTCATAATCCCCAACATTCACACAGTGGGCACTACATTACAGGGAATATTGTAAGCATTTTTACATGTATTAATTTTCCACTATCCTATGTATAAGTGACTATTTTTTAAATGAGTAAAGTGCATGGAAGTTAATTAGCTGAAGATGATATAAGTGTAGTTTACATTATTTTATTTGTTGCTATTTAAAATCATAATGTGCTATGCACGGTAAACATGGAGATCTGCTGTTCAGATTCCACTAAAAAGAAGTAGTAGGCACAGCTACTAGAAAGGCACTGGGAAGGCAGACAGCCTTCAGCTGGCAGTACTTACAAGGACTGCCTCAGTGCAGAGAGCAGCACCTTCCCCAGGGTGGTCTATATCCAATGAGTAAAGAAGGAAAGGGTAAAAACACTGGTCATTCCATTTAAGATGGGCTAACTCTGCCTGTCTGTATTAGCTCCAGAGGCTATTGTTAGGCTTACGTTACACTCCGACTACTCCTTTTATCCCATCCTGCTTCCCTTCCCTTCCTTTCACAGGTATTAATTCCAAGAATATTTCCTAATAAATATCTTGCACATTAAACTGCATCACAGTACCTGTTTCCCAGATAACTCAACCTAGAATGATATTTCTGCATAATAATTAAATACATTTGCATCTATGTTACACATTTCTAATTACTCTACATAATATTGTAATAAACATCCTTGTAATATATTTATAGATATTGGTGAAAAATTCCTGTTCAAATGTGTCTGATATTTTTTATTTGATGCCTAATTTTGCTTGAGCTTAGGATTATACTTCTTATCCTAAAAACTCATTTTCATATATTGATTTACATATCTTGATTCACAACAGCTCTCTAATTATGTATTCCTACCAGGTCTAACAGCAAATATTCTAAGATTGATGGTTTTCTATTTTCTATAGTGCTGTATCCTCCAGTAATAGTGAGTAACCAGTATTACCACTGCATCAACTCTCTAAATCACCTTCCCAAACTCCTGAGTTAGAAATCCACTACAAATGTTGCAATATTTATTTTCATAAATCGTTTCTAACTGTTACGTAGACCTTAGGGCCATTTTAATTTTCCATCAATGATATAGGTGCTTTGTAATTTCCCTCCAGCAAAATAACAATGCAGTACAATTTTTCTTGCTTACTTTTTTGAAATGGATGTAATAGTGTAAGATATTCTCTTTAACATTTTCCTATTTGATGAATTGAAGAGGTTCAGGTTATTGAAGAGTTAGTTATCCAGTACAAAGATCATTCTCCTGTGTACTTCTATTACTACTTTTTAAATATTTCATTGTTCTGTAAATCCTCTACTTCTTTTTGAGCTAAGAAATGAGTAAGGGAAACAGGAAACAAGAATTCGAGCTACAGACAGAAGTTCACCTTCCGATAAAAAAATTTGGTGAAAGGACACAACAAAATCCAAACAATAAGTAAAAATTAATATTTGAGATTTCTCAATGACTTTTTATACACACGACATATATCCATTATTGGGACAAATATCCCATTTAAGGTTAAAATAAGAAATATATTTATATTTTATATCTTGGACAGACAACCAGACTTTTAGAAAAAAATACTGAGAACTGTGAGTTTTCATAATCAGTTAGTGGCAGAGATAAGATTTGAATGGAAGTATCTTGGTTCCTAGCCCAGTGTTCTGCCATTAGCCAATCAATGTTGCACAGGCTATCTAGACATAATTTTTTATTTGCTCTTCTATACAGTATAAACTAATAGTTTTTTTAAAAATTTATAAAAATATTTAGGCAGATATTTTTATATGGGATGATCTACATTTCTACATCAAAGATGTCACCACAAACATAATTCATGCTAAAATTAGTTTTATTCTGTGTTGTAGACAGAATTCCCTCATATATATATTTGTCCAAATCCCCAAAACCTGTGAATATGTTATTTTACATGGCAAAAGGGACTTTACGCATGTGATTAAGATAAAGGATTTTGGGTGAGGCGATTATCCTGGATTCCCAGGTGGGCCCAATGTAATCACACAGCACCTTAGAAGAGGCAGAAAGTTTAAACTCAAAGAAAAAAATAAGGAGATATCACAGTGAAAGGGAGAGAGAGAAAGAGAGAGAGGAGAGAAGAGATTTGAAGATGCTATGTTTGCTTGATTTTAACCCATAGAGATGCATTTTCAATTTCTAACTTCTAGAATCATAAGATTTGTTATTATTTTTAAGCAATTAAGTTTTTGTTAATTAGTTAATCAGCAATAGGAAGCTAACACTCTCTGCTTGTCTCTCTGATATACTATGCAGGTGCATGAGATGAGTAGCACTAGAATAGCTCACTTTTGTTGTTATGCTTTGAATGGAGATAAGTATTTGTCACAACTCCACAAAATTTGGGGTTAATTTTTCCTGTTAAAAAAAGTTTGAGAAAGCAAATTTTGCATTTCTAACAAAAATTACTCTGAGATTTTTCATGAGCATTAAGTAGCTCTCAACTACATTTACTTACCACAGTTTGGAAAAACAATTACCAATATTTATAGGAGAATGCTTCCATCATTTAAAGTGCAAAAGAAGTTTGGATGAGCAGGTAATGTGGTGGATGCTATAATGTGCCTCCAGATTCTCCTTCTGAGAAAGAGTTGCTGCACTAGCTTCTGGGGATGCTGACAACAGAAAGTCTTCAGCTGTCAGTCTCTTCAGGGATTGCCTGAGCTGCAGGCCACCTCAACCAAGGTCATGCCCTTTCTCACGGCCGCCCACACAGAAAGACTGGTCCCTGTAAGGAAATAAAGGACCAGCATCTCAGCCCAAAAGGAGACAATGCCAAAGATCATTCTAACACCTAAAGCTCCGACTGGGGTCAGCTGCAACTGTCACTAGCTTGACTTTTCTCTCTACTCACTCTTGCTTTCTTCCCTTCCCTTTCCCAGGTGTTGATCCCAAGAGCCTTCCTTAATAAATATTGTGCAAAATAAACTCCTCCTCAAAAATCTACTTCTCCTAGAATCCAGACTAGAAGAGACAAGGTTCTTTGAAACCTGGTTCCACCTGTGCCACTAAATATTTGTGAGTTGAAGAACAAGTCATCCTTTCAGTTGCTCAGATGACACATCTATAAGATGAAAGAAACAAAACACACTAAAACCCTTTGATTCTTCTCTCATTCTAATCTCACATGAAAAAAAATAAATACTTCTGCTCTTTTAATGCAGCTAATTCCAGTCCTCTTTTCTGCTAGACCAAGACCATTTTCTCTCTCCTTAATACACATTAATTTGCCTCTTATATTAGTAAACATCTAGGATATACATCTTGGCATTCTCACTTCTTATATAGTTTATCCCACTCTACACTGCTTCCTTAGCCAACTAGAACCTACTGCTACTACTTTTTCTGATCTTCCTTCAAAAGTCTCATGATGTGTCCTTTAATATGTACTCCATGGGGACACTGTTACTTATACAGTTACATATATCGTCTTTAAAGAAAGTCAACACTCTTGCACTTGACTCTGCCAGAGACAAATTCTGAGTTTACAGGATGAATAAGTCAGTGACTCCAGAGAGATTTGTGGATGTTTAGTTTCGCCCTTGCCCTGGTCCAGACTGAAATAAAGTTTATGTTTCTCGGTTAGAGAATCAGGCATTTTTCAGTTAAAGTTCCTGAGAATTAAAAAGAATTTAGGGAAAAAAAACAGGCTAATCGGATTCCCCCAAAATTAATTTTAGGGCAGCCAAGAAGGCCAGTTAAAAATAGCAGCAAAATAAAGAAAAAAAGCCTGACTCATTATGATAACTCCTCCTTTCTTATCCTCTTAATTCAATGTGTGTATGAAAATTAAGAAAAAAGAACTATTTTCCAGTCTCACCTAAAATAATTTCTAAAAATAAAACTGTGTAAAACCTAGGGCATTATAAATCTACTTGAACAACAATTCTTAAAGTTGCATTTAAGCACATTGAAAAGCACGAATACTGGGCGAAGCCAAGATGGCCAACTAGCAGCAGCGTGATGGGAGACACTCACCAAGGAGAACCAAAGCAGTGTGCGAATCCTGCACCAGCAACCAAGGTATCCAGGTTCTGTCATCAGGACTGATTAGATGGTTAGTGTGACCCACGGAGAGGAGAGAAGAGCAAGGTGGTGCGTGAGCCACACAGGGCAGGGGAGGCCCTACCCCCAGCCAAGGGAGCTGGTGAGTGAGAGTGGTACCCAGCCAGGGAAACCATGCTTTTTCCTTAGAACTGTGCAACCCACGGATCGAAAGATCCCATTGGTGAGCCCACGCCACCGGGGCCTTGCGTCCCAATCACAGAGCCTTGCAGATTCTCAGCCTCCTCTCAGCTGGAATCTACCTAAAACAACAGGGCTCCCTGAGGGAGGGGCAGCCATCACCACTGCTGCTGCCTGCTAAGTCAACTGAGCTCCCTGGGGGAGGGGTGGCAGCCATCACTGTGAATGTTAGCTTCCTAAGACACTAAATTCCCAGGGGAAAGGGCAGCAGCCATCACTGTATCTCAAGGATGCACTTTTCCTCTGCTGGAGCCGGGGAAACTGGATAGCTTGGTCCAAAGAGGTATTCTCCCACAGCACAGCACACTGGCTGTGGCACCCCATGGCCACACAGCCTTTTAGGCCAGACCCTGACCCATTCCTTCTCACTGGGTGGGAAGCAGGAACTCCAACAACTCCAGCGAAGGGCTCAGGGACAGAACTCTGATCTCCCTGGGCCTGAGCTCCTAGGAGAAGGGGTAACCATAGCCTCCATGGACCAGCAGACTTAGTCTTTCCTCCTGCAAGCTCTGAGGAAGCTGGGCAACCCTGACAAGTGGGTTTCCCCCCAGGGCAGCACAACTCGTCCACCAAGGGACAGCCAAAATGCTTCATTAAATGGGTCCTTGTTCCCATGCTCTCCAACTGCATGAGAACCCCCAACAGGGGCTGCCCAACACCTTATACAGGAGCATTCCTACTGGCATCATGTCGGTGCCCCTTGAGGTCAGAGATCCCAGGGGAAGGAGGAAGCACCTGTCTTTGCTGTTCTCTAGCCTCCTTAAGTGACATCTCTAGGTGCAGGTGCAAGAGTGACCCAGATGAACAGGGCCCGAAGTGAACCCCCAGCAAACCCTACAGAAGAGAGACCTGACTATTGAAAGAAAAACAAACAAACAGAAAGCAACAACAGCATCAACCAAAAAAAGTCTTCACAAAAGGCTCATCCAAGGATCAGCAGCCTCAAAGATCAAAACTAGACAAACTCATGAAGATGAGAAATAATCAATGAAAAAATGCTGAAAACCCAAAATGTCAGAATGCCTCTTGTCCTCCAAATGATCGCAATGCCTCTCCAGCTAGGGTACAGAACTGGATGGAGGATAAGCTAGATGAATTGACAGAAGTAGGCTTCAGAAGGTGAGTAATAACAAACTTTGCTTAGGTAAAGGAGCATGTCCTAACCCAATGCAAAGGATCTAAGTACCACGATAAAAGGTTATAGGAGGTGTTATCTAGAATAACCACTTTAGAGAGGAACATAAATGACCTGATGGAGGTGAAATACACAGCACGAGAATTTCATGAAACATATATAAATATCAATAGCTAAATTGATCAAGCAGAAGAAAGAATATCAGAGCTTGAAGACTATCTTGCTGAAATAAGGCAGGCAGACAAGATTAGAGAAAAAAGAATGAAAAGGAATGAACAAAGCCTTTGAGAACTACGGGACTATGTAAAAAGACTGAACCTATGACTGAATGGAGCACTTGAAAGAGATGAGGAGAATGGAACCAAGATAGAAAACACACTTCAGGATATCATTCAGGAGAACTTCCCCAACCTAGCAAGAAAGGACAACATTCAAATTCAGGAAATCCAGAGGACGCAAGTAAGATACTCTATGAGCAGATCAACACTAAGACACATAATCATCAGATTATCCAAGATTGAAATGAAGGAAAACATTTTAAGGGCAGCCAAAGAGAAAGGCCTATTCACCTACAAAGGGAAGCCCATCAGATTAACAGTGGATCTCTCAGCAGAAACTCTACAAGCCAGAAGAGAGTGGGGACCAATATTCAACACTCTTAAAAAAAAGAATTTTTCAACCCAGAATTTCATATCCCACCAAACTAAGCTTCATAAGTGAAGGAGAAAGAAAATCTTTTTCACATGGCATTTACTCAAAAATCTATCACATAATTGGAAGTAAAACACTCCTCAGCAAGTGCCAAATAATTGAAATAATAACAAACAGTCTCTCAGACCACAGTGTGATCAAACTAAAACTCAAGATTAAGAAACTCACTCAAAACCATAAAACTACAAGGAAATTGAACAACCTGCTTTTGAATGACTCCTGTGTATATAATGAAATTAAGGCACAAATCAAGAAGTTCTTTGAAAACAATGAGAACAAAGATGCAACATACCAGAATCTCTGGAATGCAGTTAGAACAGTGTTAAGAGGAAAATTTATAGCACTGAATGTTCACATTAGAAAGCTAGAAAGATCTCAAATAGACACCCTAACATCACAACTAAAAGGACCAGACTGAATCACAGCCAAATTCTACCAGAGGTAAAAAAAGGAGCTGGTACTATTCCTTCTGAAACTATTCCAAACAATTGAAAAGGAAGGACTCCTCCCTAACTCATTTTATGAGGCCAGCGTTATCCTGATACCAAAACCTGAAAGAGACACAACAAAAAAAGAAAGCATCAGGCCAATATCCCTGGTGAACACTGATGCAAAATCATCAATAAAATACTGGCAAACCAAATCCAAGAGTACCTCAAAAAGCTTATCCACCATGATATACTCAGCTTAACTCCTGGATGCAAGGCAGGTTCAACATACACAAATCAATAAACATAATCTGTCACTTAAAAATGACAAAAACCACATGCTTATCTCAATAGATGCAAAAAAGGCCTTTGATAAAATGCAACATCTCTTTATGTTAAAAACTCTCAATAAACTAGGTATGATTGAACATATCTCAAACTCATAAGAGCTATTTAAGACAAACCCACAACCAATATCATACTGAATGGGCAAAATCTGAAAGAATTCCTTTTGAAAACCAGCACAAGAAAAGGATGCCCCCTCTCACCACTCCTATTCAACATAGTATTGGAAGTCCTGGCCAGGGCAATCAGGCCAGAGAAAGAAATAAAGGGTATTCAAATAGGAAGAGAGGAAGTAAAATTGTCCTTGTTTGTAGATGACTTTATCTAGAATACCCCATCGTCTCAGGCCAAAAAGCTCCTTAAGATGATAAGCAACTTCAGCAAAGTCTCAGGATAAGAAATCAATGTACAAAAATCACAAGAATTCCTATACACCAACAACAGGCAGGCACAGAGCCAAATCATGAATGAACTCCCATTCATAATTGTTACAAAGATAATAAAATACCTAGATACAGCTAACAAGGGATGCCAAGGGCCTTTTCAAGGAAAACTACAAACCACTGCTCAAGGAAATAAGAGAGGACAAAAACAAATGGAAAAACATTATATCCTTGTGGATAGGAAGAATCAATAACATGAAAATGGCCATACTGTCCAAAGTAATTTATAGATTCAATGCTATTTCTATCAAACTGCCATTTACATTCTTCACAGAATTAGAAAAAAAACCTACTTTAAAATCCATGTGGAACCAGAAAAGAACCTGTATAGAAAAGACAATCCTAAGCAAAAGGAACAAAGCTGGAGGCATCACACTACCTGACTTCAAACTACACTACAAAGCTACAGTAACCAAAACAGCATGGTACTGGTACCAAAACAGACACATAGACCAATGGAACAGAATAGAGACCTCAGAAATAAGACCACACATGTACAACTATCTGATCTTTGACAAACCTGACAAAAACAAGCAATGGGGAAAGGATTCCCTATTTAATACATGGTACTGGGAAAACTGGCTAGCCATATGCAGAAAACTGAAAAGGGACCCCTTCCTTACACCTTATAAAAATTAACTCAAGATGGATTAAAGACTTAAATGTAAAACCCAAAATCATAAAAGCTCCAGAAGAAAATCTATGCAATACCATTCAGGGTCATAGGCATGGGCAAAGATTTTATGATAAAATCACAAAAAGCATATGTAACAAAAGCTAAAATTGACAAGTGGGATCTAATTAAACTAAAGAGCTTCTGCACAGCAAAAGAAACTACCATCCAATTGAATAGGCAACCTAGAGAATGGGAGAACATTTTTACAGTCTACCCATCTAACAAAGGTATAACATCCAGAATTTACAAGAAACATAAACAAATTCACAAGAAAAAAAACTCCATCAAAAAGTGGGCAAAGGACATGAACAGACAGTTCTCAAAAGAAGACATTTATGCAGCCAATAGACATATGAAAAAAGGTCAACATCACTTATCATTAGAGAAATGCAAATTGAAACCACAATGAGATACCATCTCACACCAGTCAGAATGGTGATTATTACAAAGTCAAGAAACAACAGATGCTTGTGAGGCTGTGGAGAAATCGGAGCGTTTTTACATTGTTGGTAGGAATGTAAATTAGTTCAACCATTGTGGAAGACAGTGTGGCGATTCCTCAAGGATCTAGAACGAGAAATACCATATGACCCAGCAATCCCATTACTGGCTATATACCCAAAGGAATATAAATCATTCTATTATAAAGATACATGCACACGTATGTTTATTGCAGCACTATTCTCAATAGCAAAGACATGGAACCAACTCAAAGGCCCATCAATGATAGACTGGATAAAGAAAATGGAATATTATGCAGCCATAAAAAGGAATAAGATCATGTCCTTTGCAGGGACATGGATTTAGCTGGAAGATAACATTTTTCAGCAAACTAACAGAGGCACAGAAAACCAAACACTGCATTTTCTCACTCATAAGTGGGAACCAAACAATGACAACCCATGGATACAGGGAAGGTAACAACACACACCAGGGCCTGCCAGTGGGACAAGGGGAGGGAGAGTATTGGGTCAAATAGTTAATGCATGCAGGACTTAATACCAAGGTGATGTGTTGATAGATGTAGCAAACCACCATGGCATACCTTTACCTATGGAACAAACCTTCACATTCTACACATGTATCCCAGAACTTAAAGTAAAATAAAATTTTAAAAAAGAAAAAGCACTAATACTTCTGTTTTAATGAATAAAACTAATATTATATTCTGAACAATAGCAAGTATTGAAAAATATTGATATAATTTTAATGTCATTTTTTCTAAAATATCCACATTTCCTTCATATGATTTTTCTATTTGATTAGATATATGTAAATTCATGTGGAAATATGCAGATGTCTTATACAAATAAATTGCATTAAAAATGACCATAGGATGTGGACTGAATTCTGTCTCTCCAAGGATTCATATGTTGAAGCCTTAACCCTCCATGTAATGAAATGTGAAGATTAGATCTGTAGGAGATATTTAGTTCATGAGAGTGGAGCCCTAATGATGGTATTAGTGACCTAATAAGAAGAACTTAGAGACATCTTTCTTCTTCTCTCTGCCAGTTAAGGATATAATAAGAAGCACGGTCTGCAAATCAGGAAGAAGGCCCTCACCAAACACTGAATCTTCCAGCATCTTAATCTGAGATGTCCCAGCCTCCAGAACTATGAGAAATAAATGTCTATTGTTTAAGTCACTGAGTCTATGGTATTTAGTTATAGCGGCCCAAGCTAAGAACACCGAAATTATATATTTTCATAGTATGAATTAATTCTAATCACATGCACATAAATAATTTCTTCCGTTTATTAAAATTCTGCCAAAGTTACTTTTTCTTCATTAATTTAAGATGTCAAGATATCTGTAACACTTATATTTTTGTTCTGTTAGCCCATTTTGATCTATAGGAAGTTTAGGTTTTATTATTTTCAACTTTTATAGGTTACTTAGTGTATAACTTTCTAGCATTTAATCTTAAAGTTATAAAACTTCAAGAATTCTTACAATAAAAATCTGTCATTCGGTCTAAGCAACAGCAACAATATTCTGACATATGGTCACTTTTTCTATTAAATCTTATATGTAAGGCTGGGTGCAGAGCCTCATAGCACTTTGGGAGGCCAGGGAGGGAGGATTTTGAGGCCAAGAGTTTGAAAGCAGCGTGAGCAGTATAACAAGACCCCATCTCTTTAAAAAAAAGTTATATGAAATATATATTAGCTCTTGTCTCATGAATTAATTTATAAATAGAAATAGTAATTATAAACTGTATTTTGTTGCCATTTACCAAATACACATTTTATTTGGATTGGCATTTAGTGTAAACAGCATAGACTTTTTCTAACACCAGATTATACATAAATGAATGATAATTTTAGCATTGTTTATAAAAGTAAAAAGAAAAAGAAAAAAGAGGGAAGCATGTCTACTTCCACCACTCACTCCTATAAAAATTATGCTATGATTAAAAACCCAAAAATCATAGGAAAAAAAAGAAAGGAAATGATAGCAACAAAATGTTGAAATCTAGAAAGCGTACACATGAGGAATAACTGCCCCAGCAGAAAAGACAAAGGTGAATCTCAAGCTAGCAGTTGGGAAAATACTGCAGAAGATTTCAAGGCTCAAAGATTTGCAGGCACCTTGTGCCTCTATAAAATGTACTTGCAGGTGGAGTGTAAAGGGAAAGGCTTGAAAGAAGTTATTATATGAAGAGTTCCCAGCTCAATCACCTAATCCAATGTAATTAGGACGGTTGGTAAGACTTTTGTGAAATGTCTTTGGCTTACAACATATTAATTTAAATGTTTGATAAATAAAATATATAGCATTTGAAATTTGTACATCATGAAAAGATTTACCTATAGACTATTTCTGAATAATAGTATCTGGTAGGCCCTGCCTTAAAGCCACTTCATTGTTAACTACAGCTACAAACATCATAGGTGCATTTGTTTAAGGCTTTATCTGCTGTCTACATAATGAGACAACTTCCTCTCTACCAACTAACAGAAGACTGAAAGCTTATTCTTTGGGAAAGTTAAGCTAGAGGGTCTCTTGATTTATGTCAATAGGCAAAGATGAGTGTAGAGTACCAAAATGAATACAGAAAGTTTAATAGAAAGTTGGCATAATGACTGAAAAGACCCTGCCCTATCCCCCACTTGAAACAGTTGTAGCCACACTTACATTCCCTTAAAATTTTATTCCTGGGTAAAATTTCTTAAGAGAAAATATTTATATAATATGACATTTGAAAATACCCAGTAAAGCAACAGCCGGGAGCCATTCTGCAGTAGATTATAAAAATAGCCATATAGTCTTCTTCTCCTTGCATCTTGCAGTGTAACATTGAAGATCTTCCCATTAAGACTTGGGAACAATTTCCCCAGCCTTTGAATCTATGTTTGCTATGGGATTTGCTTTGGCCAAAGAACATTCACAAACATGATACAAAATTGATGCTTCATAAACCCTTGCCTACTGGGACTTGATCTCTTGATCTCTTGGAATCCTAAGGCCATCATGTAAACAAGTCCAATCTAACCTGCTGGACAAGGAGAGGAGAAAAACAAAGATTCATTAGCTAACAACCTGCCAACAACCACACTTAAGAACCTGTATCATCCAGCTACCAGCCAACATGACAGTTGATCACAGAAGCATGAGCTAATCCAGAGAGATCAGCTGGGCCAGTTCAGACTCCACCTGAACCATCATGAGCTGAATAAATGGATACTGTTTTAAGCTAGTCATTTTGAAGTTGAGTTGTGATACGGCAACAATGAACTGATAAACCAACTGACCAATCTACTGTAATGCCTACCATGTAATGAGATCGAATATTGAACATAAAATTTCCCACTGACCTTACAGAATCTAATTATTAACTAGAAAATTAAAGTCAAGTACAGTCTTAACTCATATATGAGAAAAACAATAATATGACTGAGAACAAAACAATTTAAAAAATTAAACAAACTAGAAGTAAAAAATATCAGTAAAGAAAGAAGAATAAAACATTATGAAACTTAGTTATGTCTTTAGAGAGGTGAGAGAGATTTTGCTATATAACAAAAAAATTAGATTATAAAAATGGAGACTTCAAGAACAAAAAAAGATCTATTGGAAATTTAAAATGTGACTGCATAAATGAAAAACTAGGTAGAAGTTTGGAAGATACAATTCAAAAAATCTGCCAGATAAAAATAATAAGACAAAGAGAAAAAAGGATAAGATTTTTAAAAATTTTTCTTTCCAACTTTTACTTTCACGGGTATGTGTGCAGGATGTGCATATTTGTTACACAGGTAAATGTGTGCCATGGTGGTTTGCTGCACAAATCATCCTGTCACAAAAAAAACCCTAAAGTTTCTTAATAGTTAAGGACTTAGACCACACTCATCTTGCACTCATGATGTCCTGTCTTGCTTGTTTTCTTGGCAAGTAGCCTGCACCTGGACATATCTTTGTGATGTTTGAGAATAACTTCTCATTAAGCCTGATTCTCCACACCCACCAGCTCATTTGGGAAGACAATATTTATAGTCTTGGAAACCGCATGCTAAAAGAGACATGGACAAAGTGAAGCATATGCACAGAAGAAGGAGTTAGACTGTGAAGAGGTTGGGAACCATGCTAAATGAAACCAACCTATAGACCACTTTGTCACTTGTACAGCAGGGGGCAGCAGTATTAATGGAGTTGCCAGCTCTGCTAGGTTGTGAGGAGAGGGCATACACTGAAGATATCATACTAAGCTTCATAATTGTGTTTTATTAAAAGTTAAGGTGGAAGCTTTTACAAAAATCAAATCTGAAATTCAGAAGTCTTATTAAACACCGTTGGTTGGCGAGAATGTAGAGCAACGACATTTTCATCCGCTGCTGGTGGAATTGTAAACTGGTACCACCACTTTGGAAAGTGAATTATCTGGTAAAGGTGATGATATATACCCTCTGTGCATCCTTGCAATTCCCCTTCTAGAGAGCTCCATGCCCTAGGGAAACAAATGCACATATGCCCAAGAATATATGTACAAGTAGGTCCACAGCAGGATGGCTCATAATTGTTCAATGTGTGAACCAACCCAAATATCCATCATAGGTAGAATGGATAAATAAATTATGCTATGTTCATACAATGGAACATTACACAGCAATAAAAAAACATAGTTATAAGGAACGTGGATTTTTATAACTATAATATACACATGAAGCAAGTTCGAAATAATGCATGTAGTATGATTGCATTTATATAAAGACCAAAATTTAGTCAAGTGAAATCATGATTTTTAGGAATGCATGCATAGGTGATGAAACTATAATATAGTGTAAAACAAGGAAGTAATTATAATAAAAATCAGGATAATGGGAAGGGAGGATGTTATAATTGGTAAGAGACATACTGGAAACGTCTGGGGTCTGGTAATGTTCTATTGCTTGACCTGGGAGATATTATGTGGGCATTTGTATTATAATTAGCTGTTAATTGTACATTTATATTTTATTTACTCTTCTGTATGTATGTTGTAGTTCACCAAAAAAAGTAAAAAAAAAAAGTGACCTTTTGAACAAATGGTGGCCTATAGAGCAAATCATTAATAAAATTATTCTCTAGTGGACTTCTAGTAAGAAAGAAAAAAGAGAAAATAAATTTTGAGAATGTATTTGGATATGAATAATAAACATGTCAGAGAGAACAAATAGAGAAGAAATTATCAAAAAAATAATTCAATGTATTTTTAGAAGTTAGGAACATGAATTTCCATATTACAGCACAACAGTTTTAAAAAGGCCAACACAGGTACTATGATTTGTAAACTTAGAATTCTAGAAACAAAGACAATATCTTAAGAGCTTACAGAGAGAAGAGGAAAAGAAAAGAAAGAGTCTATATGCAAAGTATCTGCAGTAAGTATGTTATAAGATTGTTAAAAGTAACTTTTTAGTTACATTATTAGCAATTTTGTTAACTAAGAGATTTTACTGAAATTTAAAAGCTAAAAATCATTGAAAGTTAAAAAGAACCAAAAGCTAAACACCTTAAACATTCTAAAAGGAAATGATTCTCAACTAAAATTTTACACCTAGTGAACTTAGTTATCAAGTGTGAGAGGAGACTAATGACATTTTCAGGCATGTGAGATTTTAAAGTGTTTACTGTTCATGCAACTTTTCTTAGGAAGTTACTAAAGGAGGTGTTTGCTCCAAACACAAGAAAAAACAAAAGGAGGAAAAACACGGATTTCAGGAAACAATGGACCCATCCCTGGATGGTAGAAATTGTCAGCAGGCCTCCAGAGCAAGCAGGCAAAACTGGGGTGGGAAGAGGGAGAGGTCAAAGATAGGGATCAAAAAGAAGATGAAGTTGGTAGGCTATCAGATGGATGAATTTGGAACATGTGCAGGGGCATGAAAAAGAACTTTCATGTTTGGTCTGTGCACTCATGTGTTACGAAGTTGAATACATGTGAAATTGTAGTGAAAAAAAATTATATAAAAAAATCAGGCTGTAAAAGCATTAAATTCACATTCCTCATAAAATGGCATCTAAATACGATTTTGTTTTTACCATAAACTGTTTCTGCAGAGTTAATAAGACTACTGATTCTAATGCCTTTTCGCATATTTCAAATTCATAATGAAATAACAATAGTGGCACATGGGAGGGGGGTTCTGTTGACTACTTATATTTAAAATTAGTCAATTATATTTATTTGGTTCTTCAACAAACCAAGAAGTTAATAAATACTTATTTTCCAAAAAAAATTAATTGTTATGGGTATGTGGTAGGTGTATATATTTATGGGGTATGTGAGATATTTTGATACAGGCGTACTATGTATAATAATCACATCAGGGAAAATAGGGTACTTATCCCAAGCATTTATCACTTCTTTCTATTATAAACATTCCAATTATACTCTTTAAGTCATTTTTAAATGAACTATAAATTATTGTTATCTCCAGTCACTCTGTTGTGCTATCAAATAGTAGATCTTACTCATTCTATTTAACTATATTTAGGTACACATTAACCATGCCCACACCGCCCCCGCTCCACTACCCATCCCAGCCTCCATTCTACTCTCTATCTCCATGAGTTCAATTGCCTAAATTTTTAGTTCCCACAAATATTAAGAACATGTGAGGTTTGTCTTTCTGTGCCTGGCTTATATCGCTTAACATAATGACTTCCATTTCCATCCATGTTGTTGTAAACAACGGGATCTTATTCTTTTTTCTGAGAGTACTCCATTGTGTATAAGTACCTCCTTTTTTTATTATCCATTCATTTGTTGATGGACACTTAGGTTGCTTCCAAATCTTGAGCATTGTGAATAGTGCTGCAGTAAACATAGGAGTACAGATATTCCCATGTTTGATACACTGATATTTTTTTCTCTTTTGGCAATATACCTATCAGTGGAATTGCTGGATCATATGGTGGTTCTACTTTTAGTTTTTTGAGGAACCTCCATACTCTTCTCCACAGTGGCTGTACTAATTTACATTCCCACCAACAGTGTACCAGGGTTCCCTTTTCTCCATATATTTGCCAGCATTTATTATTTCCTGTCTTTTGGATAGAAGCCATTTTAACTGGGATGAGATTATATTTCTTTGTAGCTTTCATTTTCATTTCTCTGATAATCAATAATGTTGAGCACTTCTTCGTATATGTTTACCTTTTATATCTTCTTTTGAGAAATGCCTATTTGAGCCTTTTGTACATTTTTACTTGGATTATTATGATTTTCTTTGCTTATAGAAGCATTTTAACTTAAAATATCCCATTTGTCCATTTTTATTTTGATTTCCTGTGCTTTTGGGGTGTTACACACACACACACACACAGACACACAGACACACACACACACACACAATTTGCCCAGACTAATGTACTGGAAAGTTTCTCCAATGTTTTCTTTTAGTAGTTTTATGATTTCAGGTCTCAGATTTAAATTTTTAATCCATTTTGATTTGATTTTTGTTTTGTTTTGATTTGATTTTTATATGTATAAAGAAGTCTAGTTTTATTCTTCTCCATATGGTTGTCCAGCTTTCCCAGCACCATTTATTGATGAAGCTGTCCTTTCTCCAATGTTTGTTCTTGATACCTTTGCTGAAAATGAATTCACTATAGATGTGTAAGTTTATCTCTGTGTTCCATGTGCTTTTCCATTGGTCTATAGGTCTGTTTTTATGCCACTACCATGCTGTTTTGGTTACTAGAACTCTGCAGTATAATTTGAACTCAGGTAATGTGATTCTTCCAGTTTTATTCTTTTTGCTCAGGATGGCTTTTGCTATTCTGGGTCTTCTGTGGTTCCATATAAATTTAAGAATTTGTTTTCTATTTCTGTGAAAGAATGTCATTGGTCTTTTGATAGAGATTGCACTGAATCTGTAGATGGCCTTGGGTATTATGGACATTTTAACAACATTGATTATTCCAATACTTTAACATGAAAGTGTTTTCATTTTTGGTATTCTTTTCAGTTTCTTGCATGACTGTTTTATAGTAGGGGCTCCCCAAACCCTGGGCTATGGATGGGAGCCATGGCCTGTTAGAAACTGGGCAACACAACGGGTGGTGAGTGGTGGGTGAGTGAGCAAAGATTCATCTGTATTTATAGCTGCTCCCCATTGCTCACATTACCGCCTGAGCTCCAACTCCTGTCAGATCAGCAGCAGCATTAGATTCTCATAGTACCATGAACCCTACTGTGACCTGCCCATGTGAGCAATCTAGGTTGCGTGCTCCTTATGAGACTCTAATGCCTGATGATCTGTCATTGTCTCCCATCACCTCCAGATGGGACCATCTAGTTGCAGGAAAACAAGCTCAGTGCTCCGACTGTTTCTACATTATGGTGAGTTACATAATTATTTCATTACATATTACAGTATAATAATAACAGAAATAAAGTACACAATAAATGTACTGTTCTTTAATCATCCCAAAACCATTCCCCTCACACCAGTCCATCATCGTTATATTCCAGGTCTTAGAGGACAGGCTTTCATCTTTTACCCTTTCAAGATATACTAGCTGTCTGTCTGTTATACATGACTTTTATTTTGTTGAGGTATGTTCCTTCTAGACCCAGTTTTTTGACAGGTTTTATCATGAAGTGTGTTAAATTTTATCAAATGCTTTTTTAACATCAGTTGAGTTTTCATTATAGAGAACTTTCTCTTCTTTGGTTAATTTTATTCCTAGGTATTTAATTTTATTTGTATCTATTAAAGTGGTATTACCTTCTTGATTTCTTTTTCAGATTGTTCATTGTTAGCATATAGAAATGCTACTGATTTTTGTATATTGACTTTGTATCTTACTTTACTGAATTTGTTTATGAGTTCTAATATGTTTTTGGTAGAGTCATTGTTTTTTCCAAATATACAATGATGTCATCTACAAACAAGGATAATTTGAAGTCTTCCTTTCCAATTTGGATGCCCTTTATTTCTTTCTCTTTTCTGATGACTCTAGCCAAAATTTCTAGTACTATGTTGAATAATTGGTGAAAGTTGGCATCCTCGCTGTGTTCCAGATCTTAGAGGAAAGGCTTTTCAGTTTTTACTCATTCAATATTATACTAGCTGTCAGTCTGTCATATATGGCGTTTATTATGTTGAGGTATGTTCCTTCTAAACCCAGTTTTTTGATGGTTTTTATTATGAAGTATGTTGAATTTTATCGAATGCTGTTTTAGTATCAGTTGAGATGATCATATAGTTTTTGTCCTTCATTCATGTATCACATTGATTGATTTGTGCATGTTGAACCATCTTTGCATCCCAGGAATGAATCCCATTAAGTCATGATGAGTGGTCTTTTTAATGTGTTCTTAAATTTAGTTTGCTACTGTTTTGTTGAGGATTTTTACATCAACGTTCATCAGATAAATTGAACTGTAATTTTCTTTTTTTGTTTTGTTTTGGTCTGGCCTTAATATCAGGGTAATATTTGCCTCACAGAGTGAGTTTGGAAATATCTTTTCTCTTCCCCTGTTTTTTGTAGCATAGTTTCAGTAGGAGAGGTGTTAGTTCTTTATATGTTTAATAATATTCAGCAGTGAAGGCATTGGGTCCTGGGCTTTTCTTTGCTGGGAGACTTTTTATTATGGCTTTGATCTCATTACTTGATATCAGTTCATTCAGGTTTTGGATTTCTTCCTGGTTCAATCTTGGTAGGTTGTATATGTCTAGGAATTTGTATACTTCTTCTAGGATTTCCAATTTATTGGTATATAGTTGCTCATAATAGTCTCAATGATTCTTTGAATTTCTATCAGTTATAATATATCCTTTCTCATCTCTGACTTTGTTTGATTCCTCCATTTTTTTCTTAGCCTGGCTCAACTAAAATTTGTCAGTTTTCTTTATCTTTTCCCAAAAAAACTTTTAATTTTGGTGATTTTTTTCATTTTCTTCACTTCAATTTCATTTATTTCTGCTCTGATCATTGTTATTTCTTTTCCTTTTCTAATTTGGGGTTTGATTTGCTCTTACTTTTTCAGTTCTTTAAGATATATTGTTAGGTTGTTTATTTGAAGTTTTTCTACTTTTTGATGTAGGCACTTATTGCTCTAAACTCTCCTCTTGGTACCACTTTTGCTGTATCCAATAGATTTTCGTGTGGTGTATTTCCATTTTCATTTCTTTCAAGAAATTTTAAAATTTCTTTCTTAACTTCTTCATTGACATCAGTCTTGCAAGAGCATAATGTTTGATGTTCATGTGTTTATATACATACACATATATATACACACACCACAATGGAGCACCCAGATATACAGAGCAAATACTATTAGAGCCGAAGAGAGATATATACATATATACATATATACACAAATAATATATATACACAAACATATTATATATAATACATATATACATATACACATATAATATATATTACATATATATGCATATGATATATATGTGTGTACATATATGTGTGTATATATGTGCATATGTATATACACTCACCATTTGGCCTTTCCCACCATCATAGCCCTCACTCTACCAGTCAGGGAATTCTGCCAGCTGCTAAGTATGTCTATGCCTATGCCAATTATGCATTCTGGCACTTGGGAAATGACAACAGGATGAGTCCAGGGACCGACTGTAAGTCAGACCTGAGCTAAAACTTTATTAATTACCTGACCTCCATTAGCCCCTACTTTACCTGGAGGACCACAATGACGTTTTGGATCCACTGTAATCAACATCAGTTCAGAGCCAGTGTCCAGTAGTCTCCGAAATGTCTGATCATTTCCTTTTCCCCAGTGCATGCTTACCCATGCCTCTACCTAGAAAAGTAGAAATTGAAAGCAATATTGCATCCCTATAGGAATTGTGCAAATTAGTGCCACCTTCAAGGACTTGAAAGATCCAGGAGTGGTGATTCCCACCATATCCCCATTCAACTCTCCCATTTGACCTATTCAGAAGACAGATAGATCTTGGAGAATGGCACTGGATTATCATGAGTTTAACCAAGTGGTGACTCCAATTGCAGCTGCTGTACTAGATGTGGTTTCATTGCTTGAGCAAATTAACACATCTCCTGGTACATTGCATGCAGCCATTGACTTGACAAATATCTTTTCCTCCATTCCTGTCCATAAGGCCCACCAAAAGCAATTTGACTTCAGCTGGCAAGGCCAGCAATATACCTTTACTGTCCTACCACAGGGGTATATCATCTCTTTGGCTTTTTGTCCTAATCTTATTCAGAGGGACCTTGATCCCTTTTCACTCCTGCAAGATATCACATTGGTCCATTCCATGGATGATATTATGCAGATTGGATCCAGTGAGCAAGAAGTAGCAAACACACTGGACTTATTGGTGAGATATTTGCATGCCAGGGGATGGGAAATAAATCTAACTAAAATTCAGGGACTTTCTACCTCAGTCAAATTTCTAGGGGTCCAGTGGTGTGGGGCCTGTTGAGATAGTCTTACTAAGATGAAGGATAAGTTACTGCATTTGGCCCCTCCTACAACCAAGAAAGAGACACAATGCCTAGTGGGCTTATTTGGATCTTGAAGGCAACACCTTCCTGATTTGGATGTGTTTTTCCAGCCCATTTATTGAGTGACCTGAAAGGCTGCCAATTTTTAATGTGGTCCAGAACAGGAGAAGGCTTTGCAACAGGTCCAGGCTGTTGTGAAAGCTGCTCTGCCACTTGAGCCACATGACCCAGCAGATCGAATGGTGCTTGAGGTGTCAGTGGCAGATAGGGATGCTGTTTGGAGCCTTTGGCAGGTTCCAATAGGTGAATCGCCGTGGAGGCCTCTAGGATTTTGGAACAAGGCCCAGCCGTCTTCTGCAGATAACTACTCTCCTTTTGAGAGATAGCTCCTGGCCTGTTAATGGGCTTTTGTGGAAACTGGATGTTTGACTATGGGTCAAGTCACCATGCCACCTGAATTGCCTATCATGAACTGGGTGCTTTCAGAACCATCTAGCCATGAAGTGGGTTGTGCACAGCAGCATTCCATCATCGAATGGAAGTGGTGTATAAGTGACCGGACTCGAGAAGGTCCTGAAGGCAAAAGTAAGTTACATGAGGAAGTGGCTCAAATGCCCATGGTCTCCACTTTTGCCACCCTGCCTTCTCTACCCCAGCCTGCACCAATGGCCTCATGGGGAGTTCCTTATGATCAGTTGACAGAGGAAGAGAAGACTAGAGCCTGGTTCACAGATGGTTCTGCACAATATTCAGGCACCACCCGAAAATGGACAGCTGCAGCACTACAGCCCCTTTCTAGGACATCCCTGAAGGACAGCAATGAAGGGAAATCTTCCCAGTGGGCCGAACTTTGAGCAGTGAACCTGATTGTGCAATGTGCATGGAAGGAGAAATAGTCAGATTTGCAATTATATACTGATTCATGGGCTGTAAGCCAATGGTTTGGCTGGATGGTTTGGGACTTGGAAGAACCATGATTGGAAAATTGGTGACAAAGAAATTTGGGGAAGAGGTATGTGGATGAGTGGTCAAAAACTGTGAAGATAATTGTATCTCATGTGAGTGCTCACCAGCGGGTGACATTAGCGAAGGAAGAGTTTAATAATCAAGTAGATAGGATGACCCGTTCTGTGGACACCACTCAGCCTCTTTCCCCAGCCACCTCTGCCATTGCTCCATGGACCCATGAACAAAGTCGTCATGGTGCAGGGATGGAGGTTATGCATGCACTCAGTAATGTGGGCTTCCACTCACCAACACTGACCTGGCTATGGCCACTGCTGAGTGCCTAATTTGCCAGCAGCAGAGACCAACACTGAGCCTTTGATATGACACCATTCCTTGGGGTGATCAGCCAGCTACCTGATGGCGTGTTGATTATATTGGACCTCTTCCATCATGGAAAGGGCAGTGGTTTGTCCTCACAGGAATAGACACTCCAGATATGGGTTTCCCTATCCTGCACACAATGCTTCTGCCAAGACTACCATCAGTAGATCACAGAATGCCTTATCCGCTGTCATGGTATTCCACACAGCATTGCCTCTGACCAGCGCACTCACTTTATGGCTAAAGTGCAGCAGTGGGCTTATGCTCATGGAATTCACTGATGTTACCATGTTCCCCGTTATCCTGAAGTAGCTGGATTGATAGAACTGTGGAATGGCTTTTTGAAGTCGCAATTATAATGCCAACTAGGTGACAATACTTTACAGGGCTGGGGCAAAGTTCTCCAGAAGGCCATGTATGCTCTGATTCAGCATCCAATATATGGTTCTGTTTATCCCATAGACAGGATTCATGGGTCCGGGAATCAAGGGGTGGAAGTAGAAGTGGCACCACTCACCATCACCCGTAGTGATCCACTAGCAAGATTTTTGCTTCCTGTTCCTGCGACATTATGTTCTGCTGGCCTAAGTTCCAGAGACAGGAACATTGCCATGAGGAGACACAACAATGATTCCACTAAAGTGGAAGTTAAGATTGCCACCTGGACACTTTGGGCTCCTCCT
The DNA here is from genome assembly GCF_000001405.40 of Homo sapiens. Taxonomy (NCBI): domain Eukaryota; kingdom Metazoa; phylum Chordata; class Mammalia; order Primates; family Hominidae; genus Homo; species Homo sapiens. The sequence goes on from NC_000006.12 coordinate 55,626,793, forward strand.
ACCTTTCAGTCAAGAGGCTAAGAAAGGAGTCACAGTGTTGGCTGGGGTGATTGACCTGGACTATCAAGATGAAATCAGTTCACTACTCAATGTAGGTAAGGAAGAGTATGTATGGAATACAGGAGATTCATTAGAGTGTCTCTTAGTATTACTATGCCCTGTGATTAAGGTCAATGGGAAACTACAACAGCCCAATCCAGTCAAGACTACAAATGACCCAGACCCTTCAGGAATGAAGGTTTGGGTCACTCCACCAGAAAAAAAAAAAAAAAAAAAAAAAAATACAACCACTGAGGTGCTTGCTGAAGGCAAAGGGAATACAGAAGGGGTAGTAGAAGAAGGTAGTCATCAATACCAGCTATGACCACGTGACCAGCTGTAGAAATGAAGATTGTAACTGTCATGAGTATTTCCTCCTTCTTTTGTTGAAAACATTTTTGTGCATGTATACACTTGTATTAAGAAAATATCTCCATTTTATTTCTTTTTTCCTTTATTATGTGACATAAGATTTATTGACTTCTTGTCAGCATTTAAGTATGGTTGACTTATGTAATAGTATTTGGTTTGGGGATTGGTGCACTTCTGGTTGTACGGAGGATAGTTGTATTACATTAGGCGTAATTATAACCTCATTATTGTCTTCATTTTAAGATTATGTATGATCTCAGGAGATGTGTATGGGTTCACATTGACAAGGGGTGGACTTGTGATGGTTAATACCGAGTGTCAACTTCATTGGATTGAAGGATACAAAGTATTAATCCTGGGTGTGTCTGCGTGGGTGTTGCCAAAAGAGATTAACATTTGAGTCAGTGGGCTGAGGAAGGCAGATCCACCCTTAATCTTGTGGGCACAATCTAATCAGCCTCCAGGGAATATAAAGCAGGCAGAAAATCCAGAAAAGGAGACACAGGTCTAGCCTCCCAGCCTACATCTTTCTCTTGTGCTGGATGCTTCCTGCCCTTGAACATTGGACTCCAGGTTCTTCAGTTTTGGGACTTGTACTGGCTCTCCTTGCTCCTCAGATTGCAGACAGCTTATTGTGGGACCTTGTGATCATGTAAGTTAATACTTAATAAACTCCCTTATATATATATATATATAGTATATATACTATATATATATAATATATATACTATATATATAGTATATATACTATATATATAATATATATATAGTATATATACTATATATATTATATATATAGTTATATACTATATATATAATATATATATAGTATATTTTATATATATATAGTATAATATATATAGTGTATATATATAGTATATTATATATATAGTATATATACTATATATAATATATAAAATAAATATATATAGTATATATACTATATATATAATATATATATAGTATATATACTATATATATAATATATATATATAGTATATCCTATCAGTTCTGTCCCTATAAGAGAACCCTGACTAAACAGTAGGATAACATTTTTTTCTCTTTCAGCACTTTATTGTTCTTATTTTTTATTTAATTTAATTTATTTATTTTTTTGAGACAGAGTCTTGCTCTGTCACCTAGGCTGGAGCGCAGTGGCACAACTTGGGCTCACTGCAACCTCAGTCTCCTGGGTTCAAACAATTCTCCCTGCCTCAGCCTCCTGAGTAGCTGAGATTACAGGCACGCATCACCACACCTGGCTAATTTTTGTATTTTTTAGTAGAGATGGGGTTTTGCCATGTTAGCCAGGCTGGTCTTGAACACCTGATCTCAGGTGATCTGCCCACCTCGGCCTCTTTCAGCCCTTTAAATATGTTACGTCACTCTCTCCTGGCCTGCAAGGTTTCCACTGAAAAGTCTGATACCAGATGTATTGGAGCCTGATATCATTTGGCAGTGTCCCCACCCAAATCTCATCTTGAATTCCCACGTGTTGTGGGAGGAACCCAGTGGGAGGTAATTGAATCACAGGGGCAGGTCTTTCCCATGCTGTTCTCATGATAGTGAATAAGTCTCATGAAACCTGATGGTTTTATAAGAAGGAGTTTCCATGCACAAACTTCCTTTGCCTGCTGCCATCCAAGTAAGACTTGACTTGTTCCTCTTTGTCTTTCACCATGATTGTGTGGCCTCCTCAGTCATGTGGAACTGTAAGTCCATTAAACCTCTTTCTTTTGTAAATTGTTCAGTCTCAGGTATGTATTTATGAGCAGTGTGAAAACAGACTAATACAGTAAATTGGTATCAGTATAGTGGGACACTGCTGTAAATACCTAAAAACGTGGAAGCGACTTTGGAACTGGGTAACAGGCAGGGGTTGGAACAGTTTGGAGGGCTCAGAAGAAGATAGGAAAATGTGGGAAAGTTTGAAACTTCCTAGCAACTTGTTGAATGGCTTTGGCCAAAATGCTGATAGCGATATGGACAGTAAAGTCCAGGCAGAGGTGGTCTCAGATGGAGATAAGAAACTTGTTGGGAACTGAAGCAAAGGTGACTCTTGTTATGTTCTAGCAAAGAGACTGGCAGCATTTTGCCCCTGCCCTAAAGATTTGTGAACTTTGAACTTGAGAGAGATGATTTAGTATATCTGGCAGAAGAAATTTCTAAGCAGCAAAGCATTCAAGAGATGACCTGGGTGCTGTTAAAGGCATTCAGCTTTATAAGGGAAGCAGAGCATAAAAGTTCAGAACATTTGCAGCCTGACAATGCAATAGAAAAGAGCATTTCATTTTCTGAGGAGAAATCCAAGCTGGCTGCATAAATTTGCCTAAGTAACAAAGAGCCGAATGTTAATCTCCAAGACAATGGGGAAAATATCTCCAGGGCATTTCAGAGGTCTTCACAGCAGACCCTCCCATCACAGGCTTGGAGGCCTAGGAAGAAAAAGTGGTTTCTTGGGCCAGGCCCAGGGTTCCTGTGCTGTGAGCAACCTAGGGATTTAGTGCCCTGCATCCCAGCCACTCTAGACATGGCTGAAAGGGACCAACATAGAGCTCAGGCCATGTCTTCAGAGGATCCAAGCCTCAAGCCTTGGCTGCTTCCACATGATGTTGAGCCTGTGAGTGCACAGACATCAAGAATTGGAGTTTGGGAGCCTCTGCTTAGTTTTCAGAGGATGTATGGAAATGCCTGGATGTACAGGCAGAAGTTTACTGCAGGAGTGGGGCTCTCATGGAGAAACTCTGCTAGGGCAGTGTGGAAGGAAATGTGGGTCAGAGTCCCCACACAGTGTCCCTATTGGGGCACCACATAGTGGAGCTGTGAGAAGAAGGCAACTGTCCCCCAGACCACAGAATGGCAGATCCACAGACAACTTGCACCATGCACCTGGAAAAGCTGCAGACACTCTCGCCAGCCTGTGAAAGCATCTAGAAGGAGGAGTATACCCTGCAAACCCACAGGGGTGGAGCTGCCTAAGGCTGTGGGAGCCTACCTCTTGCATCAGTGTGACCTGGATATGAGACATGGATCAAAGGAGATCATTTTTGGAACTTTAAGATTTGACTGCCCTCCTGGATTTTGGACAAGAATGGGGTGGGTGGCCCCTTTGTTTTGGCCTATTTCTCCCATTTAGAATGGTTATATTTACCCAATGCCCATACCCCTATTGTATCTAGGAAGTAACTAACTTGCTTTTGACTTTACAGGCTCATAGGCAGAAGGGATTTACCTTGTCTCAGATGAGACTTCAGACTGTGGACTGACATGTAAATGCTGAAATGAGTTAAGATTTTGGGGGACTGTTTGGAAGGCATGATTGGTTTTAAAATGTGAGGACATGAGATTTGGGAGGGGCCAGGGGTGAAATGATATAATTTGGCTCTGTCCCCACTCAAATGTGGGGACATGTAAATTCCCATGTATTGTGGGAGGGACCTGGTGGAGGTAACTGAATCATGGGGGCAGGTCTTTCCATGCTTATTCACTACTCTCCTGACAGTGAGTAAGTCTCAAGAGATCTGATGGTTTTATAAGGGGGACTCTCCTACACAAGCTCTCTTTGCCTGCCCCGCTCCATGTGAGACATGACTTGCTCCTCCTTGCCTTCTGCTATGATTGTGAGGCCTCCCCAGCCATGTAGAACTGCAAGTCCATTAAACCTCTTTCTTTTGTAAATTGCCCAGTCTCGGGTATTTTTTTATCAGCAGCATGAGAACAGACTAAATCAGAGCTTCTTTATATGTTACTACTTTCTTTTCTCTTGCTGTTTTTAGAATCCTTTCCTTATCCTTGACCTTTGAGAGTTTGATTATTAAATGTCTGGAAGTCATCTTCTTTGGTTTAAATCTGCTTGGTGTTCCATAATCTTCTCGTACTTGAATCATTAATACCTCTCTCTAAGTTCTTGTACTTGAATATTAATACCTCTCTCTAATATTAATAGCTCTAAGTTTGGAAAGTTCTCGGTTATTATGTCTTTGAATAAACTTTCTATGCTGATTTCTTTCCACCTTCTCTTTAAGGCCAATAACTCTTCGATTTGCCCTTTTGAGACTATTTTCTAAATTTTTAGGCGTTCCTCATTCTTTATGAAGACTTTTTTTTATATGCATAGTTGTTCAATTTGGTGTTCCTGAAGGGTGGGTGGTAGGCAATAACTTGAATATTCTGTTCAGCCATCTTCTATAAGGAATTATTTGTATCATTATAACCCAGGAACATTTTCCCCAGAATGAAAAATAATGCCAAAAAGACACCAAGACCATGGTTGTCTGCCAGCGTCAGGACGCTGAGACAGGCTTTCAGAAACAATGCAGTCCCAGGAAAAGACAGTGCCCTGCTTTGGTGTCTACGACTCCCAGCAATATTTGCATTTTTCATTAAGCCTCGTGATCCTAAACTAGAACTAGAGCGCACTGTTTCTAGAACAATTGTCTTAGAAATTTAACAATGCAATAATTCATTGATTACTATGTAATCAATTAATTATATAATTTCTCTGTACCGTTACTGGGCACCTTCTCCACAATTTACTGTGGAATTGATATATGTATTCTAAATACAACATGACAAATTAATGAACACATTTTAAAAGATATACAAAGTTTGATTTAATAAAGTTTATACTCTTCCCCCTTGGATGTCAGGTAGGTCTGACTCTGATAATGTAGTCTCAAAACCCTGCAGAGCAGTAAAGGTAAAAGGCACAGCACTTTAAGGAAGGGTATTCTATGGGCCTTACCTATTTTGTCATTTTTCTGGAAAGTTTTTCTGAAATTAGTTTCTATGAACTCCTGTGTTTGCAAAGTATTAAGGTTTTTTTGTTTGTTTGTTTTGCTTTGTTTTTAAAATTTTTAAGTGAAGTCATGAGTGAAATGGATTAGTTAATACTTTAAGGAGACACCTAGATGAAGAACCAGTGAAATGCTAACAACATTTGAGCCAAGATGTAGGTTATAATTTGTACTTAAAAATAAAACAGCTGCAGAACCATTTTTACTTGCCTCACATTTCACCTTAGTAAAAGCATACAATAATATTGACAATTTAAAACATAATAAAGAAACTTGTACTCAATTACATCTAAGGATTCTTATAAGGAGAGGAAATGGAGAATAATACAGCTACTCATAATAAGCTAAAATAATCTGCTTTGGTCATGGCATCTAATTGAATGAACATATTTTAATATATATTATATAGATAATTTCTTATAATTAATAATCATTATAAATATGTTTCATATAAAGTTATATATATAATTCATGATTGGCAGTTTATCATTAGGTCAGAATGTATTACTCATCTATAAAATATCAAAAAATAGCAAGCCTTGTATTTTGATTCAACTTACTAGAACAGATCTGTTCTGTTTCAGATTTTTATAATACAACTTACATCAGTTTAATATTTTTGAAGTATTCATATTTTTAGGGGCCTACTTATTATATCAATTGAGAGAAAAGTGAATTTTGTATATACCTATATTATAGCACCTGTTATATCATAATGGATTTGAGCTCCTGAAGTTGAGTAAAATATTTGCATTAAAGGTTACCATGCCTGGTAAGTAAGCAATACATTTTGGTTTAGTAAAAGCATAATCATATTCTTCCTTGGAATCTGCTAGATTTGGATGATAGAAAATTTCAGTGTATAGTTGATTCTCCTGTGAATTTTATTGACTGGCTGGGGATACTAGACCTATACATGAAGCAATGAGGAAACCACATAAAGCTGCATATAGACTCTTGACATCTCTGAGAGAACTGTCTTGAGTTCTGTTTGACCCTCCAGATTGGCAAGAATTTACATGTACAGCAGATGTTATTTTTTACATGGGATAAAAATTGTATTACTTTAAAAATGACTGTAAATGTGAATATAAGCAGAGAAGTACAGTGCTGGCCAATTCACTCACTAGCAAGTGACTCACTAGCCCACACCAGCCTCAAGGCATATGTCATTCAAATTTACGTTTCACAAAATTACAAGGGAACTTACATGAACTTTTGTGTTCTTGAAGAAGGTCAAAACTGGTAATATAAATAAGAGAATACCTATGGTTAATGCATGGTCAAGCATGCCCTTTAGTTACAGGAATCAGAAGAAGGGGTAGTCAAATATGGTTGGGCTAGTTATTAGTTGTTCATGGAAAAGGGAAGTATAGAGTAGCCTCAGGAGAAATAGGCAGAGAGAGAATTTCATATAGATAAATTAGCATAACATAGGATTAAACATTGAAATGAGAATAGTGTGCTCATGGAATAATAAAAAAAACAATCTAATTCAAGCAGAAGGTAGACATATGAAAAAATGGAAAATAAGGTCAGAAAAAAATTTTCTGCATAACCATTTTATGCAAAAGCAAACAAATAAACGTTAATGTTAATTTGGGAAATTCAGACATCAGGGAATCACTGTTGGTTTTCTAGCAAGGTAAAATGATATAAGCAAATAGTGTTTTAGAAACAGTAAACCAACGTTGATGAGCAGAACAGGCTAAAAAGATTAAAATTTCACAGCAGGAATAATCATCAGGAAGCTCTGTAGTGACGTTAAACTGTGGGCAATGGGAAATGAAGAGGCATGTACAAGTCTAAAAAATACTTAAATGATATGTTGCCACAACTAAAGAATAGATATGAGAAAGTAGAGGCAAAAGTGCCGAAAAATTGTTTTTAAGTCAAATTCCTCAAGTATCCGAAACATTCTTCTGAATAAATTTGCAAATATAAACGCATTTTACTTATATTTGCAAATATTTCATTCAAATAAATTTTGTATTCTTATATCATATTACTTTCAATCCTTCTATTTTTATGGTCTATAATTTGACATCACTTTTTTTTTAACTGAAGGAAGGCAAACTTTTTTTTTTAATAATGCAAGCCTCATCCTCAGTGATAGAAAGCAATATTAATATGTAAAGTTAATACAATGCAAAATGGTGTTCTTGATTCAAAGTGTCAACCAGCAGTGGAGAGCAGGGAGGTCATTAGCCAGATGACAGATATTAATAAAATTGATAGATTTAGGTCTTTGCTGAAAATGTGTGTGGAGGGGCATGGGGAGGAATGCTTGCTAAAACATCTGCTCAGCCACAACATCCAGCAAGAGTAATAAGAAATGAACAGGAAAGAAAGATCTGAAAAAGCATGCACACTATATGTCTTAAACCTCAGAATCCCTGAGTAAGCTTTTGCTACTTGACTTTAGCACTCTTTCTTCAAGGCGACTACTGTGAACCCAGCAGGAATTTAAGACAAAGAGGAATTGGAGAAAAGACTTGAAAGATCTTAACCTGGTAACCAGAAGTGATAAATGACATTTCTAAAATGACTAAAATGTTTCTTCCCAACATTCCTGCAGTTGAGATGTCCATGATAATGAATATGTACACATCAAATATCTTTCCCACATAGATCAGTCTGTTAATATGTTTCCCAAATTCTTAGAACTTTACTTGATTGAAACAATAAGAACCCTTGTGGCACACTGAGTAAATTATTCACCCATATTTGGTCCGTTATTCAAATCTTGGAAATAGAAGATCCCTCAGAAGAGAATTTTAGTCTCTAGAAGATGTTTTACTTCCTTTGCTCACTATTTAATTGGGCCTTTTGTGAATAAAATCAACACTGCTTAATGTGAGGATGGAAAATCGTACTCTATAAAAGAAATTTAAAGAAAAGGATTTCTAAATACTCTAAAAGCAACTGAGACAGCTTATTATTGGTTAAGGCACACTCATCTTGATTTTTCAAGTAAATAAATCCCTGAATATAAAAACTCAAAATCTCCCTAAAGGACAGTTGGATGTGCCTATAAACTGAAAATAAAGTGACTTAGACAAAACACTTAGAACTATATTGTCTGGACAGACAAAATGACCTGATTCGTATAGATGTTTTTCATGTCATTCTCAAGAGCTCTGAGTAACTTACAGAAAAAAAAAATCATATGCCCATGACAACAAAAATAGAAAAAATCAAGTATATATGGAACTTATTTAAAGTAAAGCTTATCTCTCTGTCCATATCTAATGGTAGGGTAAATAGACAACTGAAACTTAGCTTTGAATTATACACACTTATATCACTAAGAGAAACATCCATCGGGTCAAGCCCTAACCCTTAGTATGAAACATTGCAGAACTAGGGACTGTCAAAAATTAGTTATGGCCAAGACCTGACTGTTTTGAGGGCCAAGCCAAGAATTCTAGATAAAAAAAAAAATTCTTTTATTTTAATGGAATATACCACCTACAAACAAGGGATTAAGTTTCATATGTATTATATTTAATATTCTGTAGTTGAACAGATTAGCTTACAAATTAATAAAGACTATATACTGTCTGTCCAAGGTGCAAGCTAGTCATCATTTAGATGCCATTCTTACTGATAGTTGATTTTTGCTTTCGCTTAAGTTTGTGGAGAAGGTGCTGCATTATATTGAATAATCTGCCAGGCACCTTCAGCAGGATTTCTCCTTTATGACAGCACTATGAGAATGGGACAAGAAAGAAAGAGTAAAGAGAGCTCAAGTGGTAGGACAGAGGGCATAAAAGAAAAATTCATTGTTCCAGCCCTATTGATGCTGGCCATTGCTGAACACAAAGAATAGTGACATTGAATAAAAAATGTGACCAGAGAAGTAGAGTTAAAGTTCTGGGCACTTGGTAGCGGCCATGAGAGTTGAACACAGAAGCTGCTCTGGGAACCCAGTCTTGTCTTCCAGCATCGCCCACCCTCTGACCCAGATATTAGCCTAATAAGAAGTAGCTGGAAGTCCTCCAGCAGCATAATGAACCTCTGGTGTTTCCACTCTGAAACACTGAAAATATCAGTCTCATGATCAAGTATAGCACTAGATTTTAGGGTACTTGTTTCATTTTCACAAGTGATTAATAATATGACCTAGGACATCACACAGAACCCAGTCCTACACACATATTAATAAAGTAGAGACCACCTCAAAAGGGAATATAATTAAGGAATGATTAAAAACATTTTAAACTAGAAAAAAAGCCAACATTTTAAAGCATATTTTGAATGCTGATGTGTTCAAAATATCCTGCAAGTATTATGGAGGGTATATGTAAACATTCAGGTAAAGATCAAGATGGAACATCAACAGAACTTTGAAGGTTAATATGAAAAATGAGTAAAATGTACAGTAACTTGTTCTCACTAAGAACAAAGGGTCTAAGTTTCCTGGCTATACCAGTGGCAACTCACTCAAATTTCCATATGTCCTTATTACTATACATGCTTTGTTTCCAGTGTTACAGCTGGACTCACAACCTAAATCTTTTAAATTCAATTGCTGGTAAGCTAAATAACTTATGGCTTAGTGTAAGGATTCATATTTCTTAACTCTAAGCAATGAGCTGTTGCCTGTGGGCATGTGTTAAACTAACATATGAGTAATATGCCTCTGGAGAGTGCAAACAAAGGAGGCATCTTGCATTCACACCAGGTCCCCCATGCATTTTTCTCATTGCAATTACAGGCAAAATGGTATCACTTTTAAATCTATATAATAATAAAGAAAAAAGTTTAGGGTCAAAGTGATGAACTGTTTAACAAATTTAATAAAATGAAACAAGCTCTGTGAAAAAGGTAGATTGAAGAGAGAGTTCCTGGTATCATTATTCACTTCTGACAGACCCACCTGGAGTATAGGACGGTACAAAGGGCTTCCTGCAGTGATATAACCTTTTAAAACCTTGAGTTAGTTGTCCCTCCAAAGTCTAAATAAGTGTGATAATAAAATTACTTCCTCCACACAATACATTTGAAGATTGCCTTTTTAAAGAGCCAGCTAAAAAATAAAAACAAATGGAGCATTATTTTTGATATACATATTCAAGGAATTCCTTCTATTTTCGAAATACCTTATTACCATTTAAGATGTTTCAGCCAAGGAACTAGCATACATCTGTCAAAGAGAAAATAACAACAGTATAGCTATAGACTTGACGAGCTTTTATTTGAGATTCATAAATCGGCACAGTCTCCATTCTACAGAACAAAATGAGAGCTCCCTCTGAGCAATGGTAGATTATAGGGTTTGTAAAGTGGTGATAAGGAAGCAGAATATAGAAAACAAAAACAAAAACCAACATTGGTGAACATCAGGTTACTTCGGGTTACTTTTTATAATAATTAAAGCTGAGGGGAATAACATATTATGCTGTGGTAGACTAGAATCTCATGTTCACGAAAAATTGGTCTGTTTTGGGATTTATTTGCTTTCTTAATGTTTCAGTTCGATTATGTGGCATTTAACATCAGCAACTCCCTTTTGACTTGGCTTGATTTGTTAGGGCCTGGTGTATAAGCTCAATCCAAAACAATGGTCTCTCTTAATTTCATTTAATACACTCTTCTGAGTAGAGATCATATCTAGTCATAGGCCTCCTGTATTCTTCCTAGAATAGTGAATGCTCAGCATGAACATCAAAATTATATACATTCCCCTGGTCTTCCTTCTATAATTTGATATGTGTGTGTGTGTGTGTGTGTGTGTATGTGTCTGTGTGTGTCTGTGTGTGTGTGTTTCCCATCAGCATTAAATTGATATCATAGATACATGTATGTACAGCATATTTAATGGAATTATTCATTAGAGAATGAAGACTAAATCATTGTCACAACAGTGGCTTTGTAAATCCAAGAGGAAGGGCACTAAGAAAATATGTAAGAGAAGATCCACAATGGATGCCCAAAACATAATTTGTATTATCCATATTACTGTCAAATGTTGAAACTACAAAACTCACTTTGAACATGATCTAAATAGCTGTGACCCTAGAATTTGATGCTATAATAAATGATAAAATTAAGTCTCCATTGCAATTGTGATAATAAACCAAACTGGCAGAATAGGATGGGGACAAGGTGATATTAGAAATAAAAAGTTATAGCTGGGCGTGGTGTAATCCCAGCACTTTGGGAGGCTGAGGTGGGTGGATCTCCTGAGGTCAGGAGTTCGAGACTAGCCTGGCCAACATAGTGAAACCCCGTCTCTACTAAAAATACAAAAAATTAGCTGGGTGTGGTGGCGGGCGCTTGTAATCCCAGCTACTAGGGAGGCTGAGGCAGGAGAATCCCTTGAACCCTGGAGGCATAGGTTGCAGTGAGCTGAGATGGTGCCATTGCACTCCAGCCTGGGCAACAAGAGCGAAACTCAGTCTCAAAAAAAAAAAAAAAATGGAAATAAAAAGTTATTTAGACACATCTATTTTAAGAAAGAGTTTAATATGCAGCTTCCAAAACTACCTCAAATGACAAAAGCTTAGTTTAGACAGAAGCTAGCTAGTTTAGAGGCAAACCTAAAAAACAAAAACAAAACAAAAAATACTTTCAGTCTGAAATGAGTCCTGGATTCTTTTATTTTCAGACTTTGTTATGTTTTGAAAGTCATGTTGTCTTCTTGAAAACTTCATTTACTCATTTATATAATGTAGATAAGGCTGCCTAATCCACAGGATTCTTAGTCAAATGACAGGAGATATGCCAAGTGAAGAAATCTGTTTTCATATGTTCCTAACCTTGTTTTGTTTTAGGTAGCTTTAAAAAATATATACAGTAAAAGAGATAAATTAAATAGTTTAGGGAATTAAGATAAATAAAAAATGGAAACAGGAGAATAAAGCCAAGAGTATAATAAACACTAAATTTATACCATATGGTTCTAAATATTGCTAAGAATAACTTGCAAATTTAAATCTATGTGTCCTAGCAGCAGCCCAGGCAAACACAGGAAAATGACAATATTTACACATCTGACAGATAAACAGACTAATTATTTAGTTACTATGGTATCATTCTATAAACTCTAGTTATAATTAGTAATAATTGTTTAAACTTTATTTGCTTTAGTTTTCTTATTCATGAAATGATGGTATTTATACTTGCTGCAAAGAAATGTTGAACTATTAAATTAAGTAATTCATGTGACTGACATATAGTGCCATCTCAATAAATGTTAGCTACTATTATTATTCCTAATAACAAAAACAGCATAACCACTACCATTACTGATAACATTTTTGCTGCTACTAGCAGGACAGTACCTTATTAGCAAACATTTAGTGAGCACTTATTATGTACCAACACCTTGCTAAAATAGTTATTTCATAAATTCTTTATTCTGTGAATATTTATTGAACGTCTACTAGATGGCAGCACTATTCTAGACACAGGAAATGCTTTCCAAACACCATGTTTCTGAACCAAATACTCATATTTCTTGTCTTTCTGGAGCTAAAATTCCACTGGAGAAGACAGGCATATTTATTTTTGTTTATTGATAAGGAAATAGAGATGAATAGTCTATGAAAGAGCATATCATAAAGACAGGCAGTGCTGGAACTAGAACTTAAGTTGCTGCTCTCCACACATAAGCACCATACACTCTAATTTGTTTAAGTGTTTTAAGGTTATAATCTCCTAATAATCACATAAATGTTCTCTACTCTCAGTTTTATTCTAGTTTTCCTTCACTAGTTGCATAAACTAGGGAAAAGAAGGATAATGACAATGAAAATTATGAAGGAGAAAGAAAAGAAAAAGAGAAACGTGGGCCAGGCACAGTGGCTCACACCTGTAATCCCAACACTTTAGGAGGCTGAGGCGGGCAGATCACCTGAGGTCAGGAGTTCAAGACCAGCCTGGCCAACATGGTGAAACCCCCTCTCTACTAGAAAAAAAAAATTAGCCAGGCGTGGTGGCATGTGCCTGTAATCCCAGCTACCTGGGAGGCTGAGGCAGGAGAATAGCTTGAACTCGGGAGGCGGAGGTTGCAGTGAGCCCAGACCATGCCATTGCACCCCAACCTGGGCAACAAGAATGAAACTCCATCTCAAAAAGAAAGAAGGAAAGAAAGATTAAGAAAAAGGGAAAGAAGAAGAGAAAGTGGATAAGAAGAGGAGGAGGGGCAGGTGGGAGATAAGAGGAGGAGAAATAATGGGAGGAGGAATTTGGCAGTGTCTCCAAAAGTTGAAGATGTTCATGCAATACTCCAGTAATTTAACTTCTCAATACATACAAATAACAAACAAACTAAATGTGCATTAACAGGATAACAAGTAAATGAATTTCATTTATTCATTGAAAATTATGCCCAAAACTAAAAGCTAATGACAATAACTAGACGCTTGCCTACTACAAGAATGAATCACATAAATATAATATATACAAAAAAGAAGACATAGAGGAGTACATACAGCATCATTCTTTTATTAAGCTATACAACTTGTGCTGTATAAAGAAATATATTAATTAATTAGTTAATTAATTTAAATTAATAAAAACATAAAAATGTAAAACCTCACATTCAAGATTGTGTTATCACTAGCACTATAATGAGGTGTAAGAAAGAAAGGAGAGAGTGATATTTGAGAAAAGAGAAAGCCCTTCAAATGCATTAGTGATATTGTATCACCATTGTAGGCACATGCTACATTATTCTTTAAAACATTATCACATCCTTATTTGTATTATATCATATATATTTGTGACATATATTATATTACAAAATTTGTATTTTATGTATTATATATACTATTTAGTGTAATATTTTAAAATTTTACTTCTATGAACTAAAGTTTATCTTTCTGTTGTTTGAATGGAATTCTCCAAACCCACGATTGACTTAAAAATATTTTTGGAAAGACACAGTTTTCATATGTTCAAAGATGTCCACTATATCCTTATATTTTGTGTATAAATCAAAACTTAATAACTAATAAATTCACATTGATGAAAGAGTGGGTGAAAGAATCAAAAAATGTCTAAATCAAAATATAAAGCCATTAAGAAATAAATTAGAGTAATATCACTTTATTTGGAGAGATTTTCACAAGATATTACTGAGCAATTATTAAAACATACAAATATGATAAATAGGAAACCAGATAAATTTTTGGTAAAAAAAAACAGTAACAAAAACTATGTATTTATAATTGTATATATTATGAGCTATTATAAAAGACAGGAAGGAGAGGGGAAGCAAATAATAAGGAAAAAGAATGAATAATTTTTAAAGCTAGCATGTGTTGTATAATTTCTTATATATAATTAATTTTCTATTTATATGCATTAATGAATTAGAGCAGCAACAGGTTAAAATTTGATCTACTGACCAAAAAGGTGGGCCCATTTACTAAGTGAAAAAGCAAGTTGCATAGTAATAGGTATATTAAAGACAATATCTATAAATAACAACAAATGATAAAAATGTTATATACGTGTGTGTGTGCCTGTGTGTGTGTGTGTATTCACACACATGCACAAATAGATATGCTTTTCTGATCAAGGAGAAATAAGTACAAGGATATACTCTGTAGTTACCCTAGGAAAACAGAATTGGAAGAAGGGAGTAGGAAAACAGTAGGGAAAACACAACTGGAATAGAGAGTAGGGAAATGAATAAATTTATTTTTGTATATCTTCCAATTATTTCAGCCATTATAATAAATACGTATTCTATAACTAGAAAACATCAAATGCAAAAATATCGTTTTGTAAAAGGGAAGAAAATCAAATCTGTTTCCTAGCAATTGTATTTCTGTTTTGATGGCTAAAACAATCCTTGTAATTTTAAATTTATAAAGGTATTTCACATTCCCTCATAATTTTCTTTTTTTTTAATTTTTTTTTATTTTTATTTATTTATTTATTTATTTATTTATTTATTTATTTTTTATTATACTTTAAGTTTTAGGGTACATGTGCACATTGTGCAGGTTAGTTACATATGTATACATGTGCCATGCTGGTGCACTGCACCCACTAACTCGTCATCTAGCATTAGGTATATCTCCCAATGCTATCCCTCCCCCCTCCCCCCACCCCACCACAGTCCCCAGAGTGTGATATTCCCCTTCCTGTGTCCATGTGATCTCATTGTTCAATTCCCACCTATGAGTGAGAATATGCGGTGTTTGGTTTTTTGTTCTTGCGATAGTTTACTGAGAATGATGATTTCCAATTTCATCCATGTCCCTACAAAGGACACGAACTCATCATTTTTTATGGCTGCATAGTATTCCATGGTGTATATGTGCCACATTTTCTTAATCCAGTCTATCATTGTTGGACATTTGGGTTGGTTCTAAGTCTTTGCTATTGTGAATAATGCCGCACTTAATCAGAATTAGAAAAAGATATAGCTCTTTTAATGGACTGATTAACAATAATATAAAATTATGAGTCAATCTGAATGAATTTTTTATGGCTGCTTTTAAAAAAAATTTATGGGTATGTATAGGCATATATATTTATGAGATACATAAAATATTTGAAACCAGCATGCAATGCTTAATAATCACATCATGGGAAATTGGTTAGTCATCCCCCTCAAGCATTTATCCTTTGTGTTACAAACAATCCAATTATACCTTTTAGTTGTTTTGTTTTTTAAAACTTCTACTTTACGTTCAGGGGTACATGTGCAGGCTTGTTGTAGAGGTAAACTTGTGTCACGGGGTTTTGTTGTACAGATTGTTTTGTCACCCAGGAACTAAGTACTAAGCTTAGTATCCAATAATTATTTTTTCTGACCTTTTCCCCCATCACCTTCCACCCTCAAGTAGGCCTCACTGTCTATTGTTCCCCTCTTTGTGTTAATATGTACTCATCATTTAGCACCCACTTATAAGTGAGAATATGCAACATTTGATTTTCCATTTCTGCATTAGTTTGCTAAGGATAATGGCCTCCAGCTCCATCCACGTTCCTGCAAAGAACATGATCTTATTCTTCTTTATGGCTGCATATTATTCCATGGTGTATATGTACCACATTTTCTTTATCCAACCTATCATTGATGGGCAGTTAGGTTGTTTCCATTTCTTTACTATTGTGAATAATATAGCAATGAACATACACGTACATGTATCTTTATGAAAGAATGATTTATATTTTGTTAGGTATATACCCAGTAAAGGGATTGCTGGGGTGAATGGTAATACTGTTTTTAGCTCTTTGATGAATTGCCACACTGCTTTCCACAATGATTGAACTAATTTACACTTCCACCAATAGTGTGTAAGTGTCCCCTTTTCTCCGCAACCTTGTCAACATGTTATTTTTTGACTGTTCAATAATAGCTATTCTGACTGGTATAGATAGTATCTCATTGGGGGTTTGATTTGCATTGCTTTCTAGTTGTTTTCTAGTTCTGTGAGTAATGTCATTGGTATTTTGATAGACATAGCATTGAATTTGTAAATTGCTTTGGGCAGTGTGGCCATTTTAATGATACTGATTCTTCCTATTCATTAAATTATTATTGATTATAGTCCCCTTGTTGTGCTATCAAATACTACATATTATTTTTTCTTTCTAGTTTTTTTGTACCCATTGACCATCCTCACCTTCCCCCACTCCCCACCACATACTACCATTCCCAACCTGTGGTGACTATCTTTCTGTTTCCAAAATTCAAGTGTTTTTATTTTTAGATCCCCCAAATAAGTGAGAACATGCAATGTTTGTCTTTCTGTGCCTGGCTTATTTCACTTAAAATAATGACCTCCAGTTCCATCAACATGGTTGCAAATGACAGAATCTGCCTCTTTCTTATAGCTGAATGACACTTAGGTTTCTCTCAAATCTTGGTTACTGTGAACAGTGCTACAACAAACAGGAGAGTGCAGACATCTCTTCAATATACTGATTTCCTTTCATTTGAGTATATACCCAGCAGTGAGACTGCTGGATCATATGGTAGCTTTATTTTTAGTTTTTTGAGGAACTTCCAAACTGTTCTCCATAGTGATTGTACTAATTTACATTCCTCCCACCAGTTTACTCTGGTTCCCTTTTCTCCACATCCTCACCAGGGCTTACTACTGCCTGTCTCTTGGATATAAGCCATTTTAAGTGGGGTGAGATGATTACTCATTGTAGTTTTGAATTGCATTTCTCTGAAGATCAGTGATGTTGAGCACTTTTTCATATGTCTCTTTGCCATTTGTATGTCTTCTTTTGAGAAATATCTATTCAAACCTTTTGTCAAACAGTTGTTAGATTTTTTCCTATAAAGTTGTTTGAGCCCCTTATATATTATGGTTATTAATCCCTTGTCAGATAGGTAGTTTGGAAATATTTTCTCCTGTAATGTGGGTTGTCTTTTCACTTTGTTGACTGTTTGCTTTGCTGTCCAGAAGCTTTTTACCTTAATATGGTCCTGTTTGTCCATGTTTGCCTTGATTGCCTGTGCTTGTGGGTTATTATTCAAGAAATTTTTGCTCAGACTAACGTCCTGGGGAAATTCCCCAATGTTTTCTTGTAGCAGTTTCATAGTTTGAGGTTTCAGATTTATGTCTTTAATCTATTTTGATTTGATTTTTGTATAAGGCAAGAGATACAAACCAAGTTTTATTCTTCTGCTCATCGATATCCAGTTTTTCCATCATTGTTTATCGAAGAGGCTATGTTTTCCCCAATGTATGTTCTTGGCACCTTTTTCAAGTGTGAGTTCACTGTAGCTTTGTGGATTGGTTTCTGGGTTTTCTATTCTGTTCTATTGGCCTATGTGTCTGTTTTTATGCCAGTACCATGCTGTTTTGATTACTATAACTCTGTAGTATTAGTTGAAGTCAGGTAATTTGATTCCTCCAGTTTTGTTCTTTTTGCTCATAGCATAGTTGGCTATTCTGGGTCTCCTGTGACTCCACATATGTTTTAACATTGGTTTTCATATATCTCTGAAGAATGTCATTGGTATTTTGATAGGGATTGCACTGAATCTTTTGATTTGTTTGCTAGTATGGACATTTTAACAATATTAATTCTTCAAACCCATGAACATGGAATATCTTTCCATTTTTTGTTATCCTCTCAATTTCTTTCATCAGTGTTTCATAGAACACTGTTGTTGTAGAGAACTTTTACTTCTTTTTTTAAGTTAATTCCTTGGTATTTAATTGTATTTGTGACTATTGTAAATGAGATTTTTTTTTACTTCTTTTTCACATTGATCACCATTGGCATATAGAAATGCCACTGATTTTTTTATGTTGACTTGTTATCCTGAAACTTTACTGAATTTGTTTATCAGTTCTGGTATTTTTTTGGTAAAGACTTTAGGTTTTTCCAAATATAAGAGAATACCACCTGCAATTGAGGATAATTTGACTTCTTCCTTTCCAATTTGGATGCCTTTACTTCTTTCTCTTGTCTGATTGCTCTAGCTAAGACTTCCAAGTACTAAGTTCAATAACAGTGGTGAAAGTGGGCATCCTTGTCACATTCCAGATCTTAGAGGAAAGGCTTTCAGTTTTTTCTCATTCAGTATAATACTAGCTGTGGGTCTGTCAAATATGCCTTTTACTATGCTGAGGTATGTTCCTTCCATATCCATTTTCTGAGAAGTTTTAACAGGAAGGGATATTGAACTTTATCAAATGCCTTTTCAGAATGAATTGAAATGATTGTATGGTTTTTGCCCCTCATTCTATTGGTATGATGATTCCGTTGATTGATTTGCATATATTGAACCATCCTTGCATCCTTGGGATAAATCCCATTTGGTAATGAAAAAGATCTTTTTAGTATGCTGTTGAACTCAGTTTGCCAGTATTTTGTTTAGGATTTTTGCATCAATATTTAGAGAGATATTGGTTTGTAGTTTTTTTTAATGTATCTTTGTCTGGTTTTGGTATCAAGGTAGTACTGGCCTCATATAAAATGAGTTTGAAAGTATTCTCTCTTCTTCTATGATTTGGAATAATTTGAGTACAATTGGCATTAGTTCTTCTTTAAATGTTTGATAGAAATCAGCAGCAAAGCCATCAGTTTCTGGACTTTTCTTTACTGGAAGATTTTTTATTACAGCTTTGATCTCATTATTTGTTACTGGTCTGTTCAGGTATTGGATTTATTTATGGTTAAATCTTGGTAGGTTATATGTGTCTAGGAACTTACTAATTTCTTCTAGATATTCCAACTTATTGGCATATAGTTACTCACAGTAGCCACTAATGATCTTTTTGATTTCTGCAGTATTAGGTGTAATGGCTCCTTTTTCATCTCAAATTTTATTTATTTGGGTCTTCTTTTTTCTTTCTTAGTTACTCTGGCTAAAGTTTTGTCAATTTCATTTATCTTTTCAACAAACTTTTTATTTCATTAATCTTTTATATTGTTTTCTTAATTTCAAATTTATTTATTTATTGTCTGATCTTTATTATTTCTTTTGTTCTCCTAATTTTGGGTTTCGTTTGCTCTTGTTTTTCTAGCTCTTCAGGATGCATATTAGGTTCTTCTTTAGTGGACATTTTTCTTCTTTTTTGATGCAAGTGCTTACAACTATAAATTTCCCTCTTAGTACTGCTTTTGCTCCATCCCATAGGTTTAGGCATTTTGTGTTTCCATCATAATTTGTTTCAAGAAATTTTTCAATTTCCTTCTTACTTTCTTCATTGGCCCACTGGTCATTGAGGATTATATTGTTTAATTTCCATGTGTTTGTATAGCTGCAAAAATTCTTCTTGTTATTGATTTGTAGATTTATTCCATTCTGGTTGGAGAAGATACTTGATATTATTTCATTTTTTTGAATCTTTTAAGACTTGTTTTGTGATCTAACATATTCTTGAAAATGATCCATGTGCTGAGGAGAAACTTGTGTATTCTACATCTATTGGATGAAATGTTCTGATAATATTCATTAGTTCCATTTGTTCTGTAGTGTAGATTAAGTATGATATTTCCTTGTTGATTTTCTGTCTGGAAGATCTATTCAATGCTGAAAGTAGGGTGCTGCAGTCTCCAGCTATTCTTGTAGTGGGGTCTATGTCTCTTTTTATCTCTAGTAATATTTGCTTTATATATCTGGGTTCTCTAGTGTTGGGTTCATATATACTTACAATCAATGTATTCTCTTGCAGAATTGAGACTATCATTAAATTATGAACTTTATCATTATATAATGACCTTCTCTTTTTTTAAAGTTTTTTTCTTGAAATCTATTTTGTGAGGCATAACTATACTTAATCCTGCCCTTTTTGGTTTCCATTTGCACAGAATGTCTTTTTTTATCCCTATTTTCAGTCTATCTGTATCTCTATAGGTGAAGTGTGTTTCTTGTAGGTAACAGATCATTGGGTCTTATTTTACATCCATTCAGGCACTCTATGTCTTGACTGAAGAGTTTAGTCCATTTAAATTCAATGTTATTATTGATAAGTAGGGACTTACTCTTACAATTTTATTATTTGCTTTCTGGTTGTTTTACAGTCTTCTCTTCCTTCTTTTCTCTCTTCCTTTTAGTGAAGATAATTTTCTCTGGTGGTATGCTTTAATTTATTGCTTTTTAGATTTTCTTATCAATTGTATGTTTTTTTTATTTGAGTTACCATGAGGCTTGCAAACACTGTCTTATTACCCATTATTTTAAACTGATAACACTGACTGCATAAACAAACAAACACGCAAAAAGGAAACTAATAAAAATTCTACACTTTAATTTTATTCCCCCATTTTAACTTTTTGTAGTTTCTCTTCATGTCTTTTTTTTTTCCTTTTTTTTTTTTTATTTTATTTTATTTTTTTTTTTTATTATACTCTAAGTTTTAGGGTACATGTGCACATTGTGCAGGTTAGTTACATATGTATACATGTGCCATGCTGGTGCGCTGCACCCACTAATGTGTCATCTAGCATTAGGTATATCTCCCAATGCTATCCCTCCCCCCTCCCCCGACCCCACCACAGTCCCCAGAGTGTGATATTCCCCTTCCTGTGTCCAAGTGATCTCATTGTTCAATTCCCACCTATGAGTGAGAATATGCGGTGTTTGGTTTTTTGTTCTTGCGATAGTTTACTGAGAATGATGGTTTCCAATTTCATCCATGTCCCTACAAAGGATATGAACTCATCATTTTTTATGGCTGCATAGTATTCCATGGTGTATATGGGCCACATTTTCTTAATCCAGTCTATCATTGTTGGACATTTGGGTTGGTTCCAAGTCTTTGCTATTGTGAATAGTGCCGCAATAAACATACGTGTGCATGTGTCTTTATAGCAGCATGATTTATACTCATTTGGGTATATACCCAGTACATCACAATTAAAAGAACTAGAAAAGCAAGAGCAAACACATTCAAAAGCTAGCAGAAGGCAAGAAATAACTAAAATCAGAGCAGAACTTAAGGAAATAGAGACACAAAAAACCCTTCAAAAAATCAATGAATCCAGGAGCTGGTTTTTTGAAAGGATCAACAAAATTGATAGACCGCTAGCAAGACTAATAAAGAAAAAAAGAGAGAAGAATCAAATAGACACAATAAAAAATGATAAAGGGGATATCACCACCAATCCCACATAAATACAAACTACCATCAGAGAATACTACAAACACCTCTACGCAAATAAACTAGAAAATCTAGAAGAAATGGATACATTCCTCGACACATACACTCTCCCAAGACTAAACCAGGAAGAAGTTGAATCTCTGAATAGACCAATAACAGGCTCTGAAATTGTGGCAATAATCAATAGTTTACCAACCAAAAAGAGTCCAGGACCAGATGGATTCACAGCCGAATTCTACCAGAGGTACAAGGAGGAACTGGTACCATTCCTTCTGAAACTATTCCAATCAATAGAAAAAGAGGGAATCCTCCCTAACTCATTTTATGAGGCCAGCATCATTCTGATACCAAAGCCGGGCAGAGACACAACCAAAAAAGAGAATTTTAGACCAATATCCTTGATGAACATTGATGCAAAAATCCTCAATAAAATACTGGCAAACCGAATCCAGCAACACATCAAAAAGTTTCTCTTCATGTCTTATTGTACTATACATGACTTGAATAGTTGCTGTAGTTATTATTTTTTATTGGTTCATCATTTAGTCCTTCTACTTAAGTCAAGAGAAGTTTACACACCACAATTACAGTGTTATGATATTCTGTGTTTTTCTGTGTGCTTACTATTACCAGTGAGTTTTGTACCTTCAGATGATTTCGTCTCACTCATTAACATTCTTTTCTTTCAGATTGAAGAATTTCCCTTAGCATTTCTTGTAGGACAGATCTGGTGTTAATGAATTCCTGAGCTTTTGTTCATCTCAGAAGGTCTTTATTTCTTCTTCATGCTTAAAGGACATTTGCATCACAAATACTCATATATAGGGTAAAAGGTTTTTTTTTTTTTTCCTTTCTCCACTTTAAATATGACATGCCACTCTCTCCCGTCCTGTTAGAGTTCCCCTGAAGTCTGCTGCTCCTTTATATATTATTTCTTTCTTTTTTCTTGCTGCTGTTAGGATCCTTTCTTTATCATTCTTGGCCGTCAGGAATTTGATTATTAAATGCCTTGAGGTAGTCTCCTTTGGGTTAAATCTTCTGGCTGTTCTATAATCTTCTTGTACTTGAATGTTGATACCTTTCTCAAGGCCTGGAAAGTTGTCTGATATTATCCGTTTGAATAAACTTTCTACCCCTATCTCTCTCTACCTCCTCTTTAAGGCCAAAACCTCTTCAATTTGCCCTTCTGAGACTATTTTCTAGATCTTCTTGGTATGCTTCATTTGTTTTTATTCTTTTCTTTTTAATCTCCTCTGACTATGTATTTTCAGGTAACCTCTCTTCAAGCTCACTAATTCTTTCTTTTGCTTGAACAATTCTGCTCTTCAGAGATACTGATGAATTTTTCAGCCTGTCAGTTGCATCTTTCTACTTTAGAATTTCTGCTTGATTGTTTTTAATTACTTCAATCTCTTTGTTAAATTTATCTGATATAATTCTGAATTCCTTCTCTGTGTTACCTTGAATTTATTTGAGTTTCCTCAAAGCAGCTATTTTGAATTCTCTGTCTGAAAGGTTATATATATATATATATATACACACACATATACATATATATATATATATATATATATATATATATATATATATATATACACACACACACACATATGTATATATTTCTCCAGGATGATTCCTGGTGCCTTATTTAGTTCATTTTTTGAGGTCACGTTTCCCTGGATAATGTTGATGCTTATAAATGTTCTTCAGTGTTTGGGCATTGAAGGGTTAGGTACTTATCACATAGTCTTCATAGTCTGGGCTTGTTTGTGCCTGTCTTTCTTGGGAAGGCTTTCCAGGTGTTCGAAGGGACTTGGTCCCCAAGCCTAACACTGTGGTTGGTTGTCTTGGGTAAGATCTGGAATAATTCTCTGAATTACTAGGCAGAGACTCTTTTTCTTTTCCCTTACTTCCTCCAAAATATATGGAGTCCCTCTCTCTCTCTGTTTGTGCTGAGCCACTGGAACTCAGGATGTGATGATGCAAGCAACCTTGTGGCCACCAGTACTGGAGGTGCACTTCGTCTAACATGAAGCTGGCCAGCACCAAGTTACCTTGCCTTGTCAAGGTCTTTCCCTTCAGCATGGCAAGTTCCCCTATCCCCCGGGTATGTCCAGAGATGTAGTCTGGAAGCCAAGGATTAGAGAAAACAATCTTGGCAATTTATCTGATGTTCTATTCTACTGTTGTTAAGCTGGCACTCAAACCACTATACAAAGTTTTCCTTGCTCTTCCCTCCCATTTCCATAGGCAGAGGAGCCTCTCCCTATGGCTTCCACCACAATCTGTCCACAGGGTGTTCTGCCAGGCCACCACGAATTTTTACTTAAAGCCCAAAGGCTCTTCTGTCAGCTTTTGGTGAATACTGCCAGGCCTGAGACTCACACTTAAGGGAAGTAGGCTCCCAACTGGCCCAGGGTAGGCCCAGAAATGCTGTCCAAGAGCTTCAGCCTGGACTTGGGGACCCTAAGAGCCTGCTTGTTGGTCTATCCTGCTGTGGCCAAGTTGGAACCTAGGGTGCAAGGCAAAGTCACCTTTACTTTTCACTCTGCTTTTCTCAAATAGAAAGAGTCTTTCACTGTAGCCACCACACCTGCAAATGTGCTGGGTCTCCCCTAAAGCCAGCATGTGTAAGAGCCTAGTTCCTGCAGCATACTCCCTCAGTTTCACTGGCGGTAATTCAGAACTCAGCTCTGTAGTCAGAACGTGATAAATCTTGCCAAAACTACATCAGCTTCATGTTAGACGAAGTGCAGCTCCAGTAGTGGTGGCCACAGGGTTTCTTTCTTTAAGGCAGTGGGTTTCCCTTTTGGCCAAGCCTGTGTCTAGAAATGTTACCTATAAGCTAGGGACCAGAATGGGGCCTCACAACTCTGCCCTATGCCTTATCCTACTGTCACTGAGCTGGTATCTAAGATACAAGACAAAGTCCTCTTTATTCTTCATTATCCTCTTCTTAAGCAGAAGGAAGGAGCAACTTTCCTTGCTAAGAGCTGCGCTGCCTGGGGTTGGCGGGGGAATGGCACAAGCATTTCCTTAGCTGTGCCAGTTGGTTTCTCCCTAGGTCATGTGCCACCCTAGTTCACTGGCTCTAAGCCCAACCTGGGACTAGGAGCTGCCTAGGAATTGTAGTCCTTGTGACCTAGACTGTCCTTTAAGTTTACCTAGGACCCCAGAGCACTTCAACCCATGGCGGCAAGGCTTGCCAAGAAACCCAAGTTACCACTACTGGGATAGGTGATGCCCTTCTGACTAGGGCTGGTCTAAATGTTGCCTCCATGTACAGGTGCTGGCTTAGCCTAGCAGAGCTCTATTCTCTGTTGTGAGAGAGCAGCACTGAATTCAATGTAAAGTCTCTGAGTCACTCCACTCTCCCTTCCCAAAGTGCACAGATTCTCTCTTTGGGTCACGTGGCTGCAGGGAGGATGAAGGAGGGGTGGTATTGTTGATTCAAGGCTGTCTCTCCTGCCCTCCTCAATGACTCTTAGTGATATGAAGTTAAAACCACGTACTGTGATTTTTCGCCTGATTTTTTCGTTCTTAGTCCTTTTCTATGTGCAGACAGTTGTCAAAATTTGGAGTTCCGTGGTCACGGGGAGGGGAGATAAGTGATGTGTGCTTTTATTCTGCCATTTTACTCCATCCCCTGAATGAATTTTTGATCAGCTGGATTTCTTATGCTTCTAACAAGATATTCATTTTTGTGACTTTCTTCCATCTATCTCTTATAAAATCTTTTTTTTTAGCCAAGAGGACTTCAATGTTGTCATACCACTATTAGTACATCAATATCAACACTCTTTAAAAATCTGGTAGACATCTGTAGGTAAATAAAAACTGATTTTGAATGTGTAATGTCTAGATACTGAAAACTCTGCATTTACATAAAATTTAGACACTTTAGTTCATTATGCAGTCATTTTAAGGAAAAAAATAAACCCTAAGAGAATAAACTGCTATGAGAATAGAGAATAGAATGTTCTCCATGAGATAGAAAACAGGTATCTGTGTCTGTGCTGAGGAACTCCTGAATGATTCTGTGGTTCTGCAAGTGGTTTTTCAGATAATTAGACTTGTCAGTGATGTCCATGTTCTGCAGTTTGTCTAACATTGTTCCTGTTTCACAGAACTTGAAACTCATACAGCTCACGGCCAGGGAAATTTCATGGCCTTCACAAGTCACATGCAAATCAATCTTTTCTGTAAATCTTGTCTACTTGGGAAAACAAGGGCTGCCTTTGTCTTTCTTTCTAGAAATTCTCTTAAGTATCATAAAAACAAGAAAATATCCATGAAAAAATTGTCAAATTAAGAGCGGATCTTGGATTGTTACAAATTTTAACACATATGTCTTAAATAGCTTCTAATTTATCTGTATGCAAATGTGTTGTTATTATTAGCTCACCTGAATAAACAACTAGCACATTCCTTATCTCTTTACCTAGTTGCTTTAAATAATTATGGCTTGATTCTGAAGTCATCATTCTTTCCCAAAATGGTGTTTGTGAAGGAAGAACTCATGTTTATAGGGAAATAATGAAATCCATATCCAACTTGATTTCTAAATTCCATATTATATCATTATCTTTTCATTGCCATATTAAAGAAACAAAAAACCGGCTTTCCAAAAGTTCATAGCATTCAGCTTCTTTGTTTCTTTTATGGCAAGAAAAAAATTCTTAGCTACTAACAAAAAAAAAGTTCTTCCCCAGTATTTTTCTTGTTGTATCCAGTAATCTTCCTGTGAGACAAAGGTCTTCAACACTCCAGGACAAGAGCAAACACAGAAATGAAACAATTTTAAGAAATCACTTAAATTTTAAAGTCGATTGTATGAAACCTAGAACAGGAAAAAAATTGAAATACAAAACAGTTTGGATTTTCAAGAGGCAGATCTTAGAGAAAAAATACATTTTTTATTACCAAAAGACATGCTTTCAAATAATAATGAAAACTTCAAACTACCCTGTAGGTAGAATTTATATCATAAACCAGGACTAGGAAAAATGTATGATATCTAAAATAGACAAAGTCAATCCAGTTTGAGGAAATAAAAAACTTTAAAAAGATGAGCAATAGAATTAATTTTTGAGAATCCCTAAGAAGGTACCTTGCTTCCCATCTCAGCCACAGGCAGAGCCCTTAAGGTATTACCAATAGGAACCCTGGACCAGGTCAATGGGAACCCAGAGCAGAACAACACTTCCCAGTGTGTGTTCTGGGAAGCGCCTTGGGAAGAGCTGACCCCGTAGAGAAGTTCCACTTCCAGCATAGCACCAAAGTACCTGATTACAAATGAGGCACAGTCCATCTAAGTAAAGAGAAGACCTGTATTAACCCTCCCATTCCCTGGGGACTTAAAAACAGTTTGAAGAAAGTCTTGAGAAGTTTCATATCCCAAAATAATTATGTTGAGTTTGACATTGAGATGGAGCACCCACGGAGATTTCTGATGGTAGGAAAGAGGGCAGTATTTAATGGTGAGCATGGCAAGACTGGGATCATCATCTAATTATCAGCTTGGGATCATCATTTGAGTATCAGCTAAGGAGTGTAAATGCCAACAACATAAGGCCAACCACCTAATCCTACCTTTCAGCGAAAGCCTACCTAAGAAAGTACTGATAATTGTGAACTAAAAATGTCTTCCCCAGATACTAAACAATATATAATCCTATGAAAGGGAAAGAGGAGGACACTGAACTGACTGAATTTGACTGAATTTATAATGAAATTTTTGAACACTCACAAATTTAACTGTGTTTATCTTATAAAAATTATATATTATATAAATATGTATTATATAATTTATCATTAGATTAAACTTTCTGTTATTGACTCAATAAGGACTTGAAGTCAAAATTTGAAGTTATTTCTGAAAATGAAGAACATTATATTTTGCACAACAGAATAAGTTGCTTATGAGCATATATCCACCATAATGTCATCTATCGACTAACTCTGGTTCCTTGAAGACTTTAGCATGGACTACTATCTTCCTGGCAATTAAAAGTTCTGCCATCTCCTAGGTGATTTCAACACCATTGAAGATGATATATTCAATAGCATAGCTTATCAGTTGTTTGACTTCCAGTAAGTGCTTGATCAGCACTTCCTGATCAAGCACTTACTGTCCAAATGGGTACCTGGAAAACAGCAGGATAGCTCATCTCTGAAATATTATATTGAAACATTATATTGGTCATCACAACTCCTCATCCTTCAGCTTGCACATATCACATTATCAAATTTCTTCTTCTCTGTCAACCCTTTCCAGGATTCATTTTTTATAATATTCACCTTAGACTCTGTAGTTAAATCATGTAATCAACTCTCCTCCTCATAACCTTAAATGAGGTTCTGTGGTCTTGCAATGATTCATTCTAAAAATCCCAATGAATTCCATTGAAAAATCCCAATTTGAATCCCATGTTTCAAATGGTGAATTTCTCTTGCACCTACACATGCAGGCACCGAGCACTGTTGGAGAAAATTTTAAACTACATAGATTAGCCATATTATAAATGTTTTTTCTTCAGCATAAATTGAGTCCTCAGTTCTTCTCATTTGTATTTCTCTGTTTCCCAGATAAGCTATTTTCCCAATCCCCTACAATGTATTTTCAACCTACTCTACTTTTATCACATCTCTGATCTTTCTACTTATTTCATTTTAGTCGATAGACTTTCCTTCTACTTACTAGAGAAAATATAATCTACCAGTGAAAAATTACATCAATTTACTCACCAAACCTATTCACTTACCTTAATACGTATGTATTATTTCCCCCAACCTCCATCCCCCTCCTGTTACAATTATACAGAACTCCTTATTTTAAGGTAAATCCTGTCATGCATACTATGGCTCTGTGTCCTCTCTTTTTAATTTATATTTCTACTGGATTCTTCCCATCAACGTTTAAATATGTTGCAGTGTTTCTTTACAATGATAAATAGATGATAGAGAGATAGTTGGATAGGTAGGTAGTTATATTGGTAGATAGATAGATAGATAGATAGATAGATAGATAGATAGATATCCTGCCTCCAACTCAAGTTTCCTTACAAATACCACCCTAACATATTGAATGAAATATGTATGGACTCTTTCTCCACTTAATTACCCCATTTGTTCCTCAACTCACTAAATCTGTCAACCACCTTCATACTTACCAACACTTCTTTATACTATGGTCTTGGCAAAGTTTTCTACAGCTTATCTTTGCTAAATTATTGAATTGCTTTTAATTGTTATCTTAGATGACCTCATTATGTGAGAACATTTGAAATTTTTAACAATTTCTTCTTATCAGAAACATCTACTCCTATACATTATCCCCTCCTAATTTAATTCCTATTTTAATGTTCTCCTAGTTACACATTGGTCATCCCTTGATATTTGCTGAGTTCATTTCTAGAGATCATTTCTTCTTAATCTCCCAAGGTAATCTCATATATTCTCTTGATTTCCTTTCCTATGCACATACTGATAATTCCAAAATAATATATCTATCCAAGATTTCTCTACTGAACTCATGATTTAGAAACCCAACTTCCTATCGGGAATTTTTTTCAATATCTCATTGGAATCTCAACTTTAATATATTCAAAAAGTTTTATTTCCAAAGATGTCCCTCCTACCTCACTGAATAACATCATTACCTAATTCATTTCACAAGTCAGAAATCTAGATGTCATGTTTTACCATACCCTCCTCCTAACCTAACCCTAAGTTTCTCCAGGTCTGAATTTATGGATTATGGTGAAAATTTTAGACTGCACTCTAAGAATTATAGGAAACAATTGTGAGAAGACAAAGTGTTCATCAATATCTATCTTTTTATTTTTCTTCCTGATCACACAGCTAAGCCATATTCCTCAGCTCCCATGCAGTTATGTGGGGCATATAACTAACTTACCAGGTGAAAATTATAAGCACCATTAACAGGCCTGGCCACTTAAACACCTTGTGTACGTCCCTCCACTCCTTGATATCTCTCTTTTCATCCATCTGCCAGCCAGATCCAGGAGACCCAGTGGAAGACTCGGAGTCTCTGTAGGGTAGTGGAGCCACAACAAAGAAGGAAACTGGGATTCTGAAACACCACAGTAAATAATGCCCACTGAATTATGATGCACTAAGAAATAAACTATTGTTGTGTTAAACTATCGAAGGTTTCTTTTTTTCACCTAAAGCAAGCAGTTTATCCATTGAAAGTTTCTGAACATAGTAATAACACAATATGATTTCAAAGATTGCTGAGGTTTCTGTGTTGAGACAAGGACTAGAGGGCAATGAGTGAATGTTGATGAAGGGAGACCAGTTAAATTTTTATTGCAAAAATCTGGGTAAAGAAAAATGGCTACTTTGACACTGTATTACTTGTGGCAGTGGTGAGAAGTGGTCAGATTCTGAATATATTTTGAAAGAAAAGACCACAGAATTTGCTGATGAATTAAATACAGAAGTGTAGGATGTACTTTGCCCACTTTTTTATGGGGGTTTTGTTGTTTTTTTTCTATAAATTTGTTTAAGTTCCTTACAGATGCTGGATATTATACCTTTGTCAGATGCATAGTTTGCAAAACTTTTCTCCCATTCTGTAGGTTGTCTTTTTACTCTGTTCATAGTTTCTTTTGCTGTGCAGAAGCGCTTTAGTTTAAAGAGATCCCATTTTGTCAATTTTTGCTTTTGTTGCAGTTGCTTTTGGTGTTTTCATGATGAAAACTTTGCCCATGCCTATGTCCTGAGTGGTATTGCCTAGGTTGTCTTCTAGGGTTTATATAGTTTTGAGTTTTACATTTAATCTATCTTGAGTTATTTTTTGTATATTATATAAGGAAGGGGTCCAGTTTCAATCTTCCACATATGGCTAGCCTGTTAGCCCAGTACGATTTACTGAATAGGGAATCCTTTCTCCATTGCTTGTTTTTGTCAGGTTTGTCGAAGATCACAGAGTGTGTGGTTTTGCTTCTGAATTCTCTATTTTGTTCCATTGGTCTATGTGTCTGTTTTTGTACCAGTACCATGCTATTTTGGTTACTGTAGCTCTATAGTATAGTTTGAAGTCATGTTCATTGTAGCACTATTCACAATAGCAAAATATGGAATCAACCTAAATGCCCATCAGTGATAGATTGGATAAAGGAAATTTGGTACATATACACCATGGAATACTATGCAGCCATAAAAAAGAACAAGATCATATCATTTGCAGAAACATGGGTGGAGCTGGATACCATTATCCTTAGCAAACTAATACAGGAACAGAAAACCAGATACTACATGTTCTAATTTATAAGTGGGAACCAAAACATGAGAACACATGGACACATAGGGGGAACAAAACACACTGGGGCTTTTTGGAGAGTGGAAGGTGGAAGGAGGGGGGAGGATCAGGAAAAATAACTAATGGGTACTAGGCTTAATACCTGGGTGATGAAATAATCTGTACAACAAACCCCCATGACACAAGTTTACTTATTTAACAAGCCTGCACTTATACCTTGAACTTAAATAAAAATTTAAAAAAAAAGTGTAGGATTTGTGACAAGAGGGGAATCAATAAAAATTCTAAAATTCTTGAGCTCCCATTTACTGAGCTGAGGACAAAAGGTTGATTTGACAAGACTTGAGAATAGATGACAAATTTATGGATCAAAATGCCATCTGGACTTAATCTTCTCTTTTTGTCTGCCTTCCACCTTGACAGCCCATTCTCACTTCCAAGTAGAACCCCAGGCAAATTCTGTTTCAACGTCTTAGGTTAAATTCTACATAAAATTGTTGCTGTCTTTTGCTAATACTCCCAACAAAAATATCATCTCTGATCCTAAATTGAATAATGTGTCCAAACCTGAAACAACATCCTCCACCCCCAACCCAGTGCAAACACCACTGGGAGTGAGATGGGAATGCGTTGTGGGGCTTGGGCTTCTGTCAACTTGGGCACAGAATTAGAGTCATTCCTCTGCAAACCCCATGGACCGAGATCTGAGAAGTGTTACTGTATTATGTATATATCTAAAGAAGGTTAATGAATATAGGGAAACCAACAACAATGACAACAAAAATATATAAAACCTCTTTATTTCAATAATCTACCATAGGGATTGTGTAACATGGTATATAGCTAAATCATTTCTTTATTCAACAAATACTTTTGTTAGGTATTGGGATATGTTCTGATAATAAATGATAAGTAAAAATAGACATGTTCTGTATTTTCGTAGAGTTGAATAATTCTATGAAGAAGAGAGATTTGAACCAACAACTCACTAAGCAAAGTATAATTATAAACTTTGTAGGTACTATAAAGAAGCAAGCATATTCTAGGATAGAATATCAAAGCACAGCGACCCAGACTGGGGCATCAGAGGATCCTCTAAGAAATTTGTAAAGATCATTCTGACTTCTGTGTGGAGAATGAACTGAAAGAGGGGGCAGAGTCTATATGTGTAGACAAATTAAGAGGCCAAGTTAGCAGTCTAAGTAGAGGTCAATAGTTGATTTAGCATAATGTTAGCACAATATGAAGAGAAGGGGACACATGTAATGGATATTTATGAGAAATACCATATCGTATATGGGTGGATACAGGTAACAAGAGAGGGAGAAAGGTCAAGGGTTACTCCTAGGTTTCCAGCTTATGCAATTGAGTGGATAGAGATGTCATTCCCTGAGAGAGAGAACACAAGCAAAAAACCCCAGAAAATTATAGCAGGAAAGAGCAATAATTTTTGTTGGATGAATAATTCAGTAGAATATATAACACGGGCCCTAACTAAAATCATTTATAACTTCATTGGGTATAGTCTCAAAGATTCTCTGGGCTGAAAATTAAAATTTATTTCCCACTTCTCGCTCTTTGTCTCTCTGAAGGGCAAATTGCCCTGCAGAGATAGAATCAGAAACATGTGTCTTAAATGTCAAAATAAATGTCAAAAGAAAATAACTGGCATAATTGGTTAATTGCTAGTTGTCATGCAACTGAAGGAAGGAAATGCAATTAGAAGAGGGTGATTTTTCCAGACTTCTCATATCTATCATACTTTTCCTTTTACTGTTCAAGAGACGTATGTGAAGTATAATTTTTCACTGACTGGCTTAATTATATGTTTAAAATTCTCATGTTTTTTGATGTGTTCATTTATTTCTATCTATCCTGAAGTTCTACAGACATGTATCTTTGTTCTTCACTTTATGCTGTATTCAGCACTAGGTTATTCCTTCCTGAATACAACTGAGAGGTAAATTACACTATAATATCCTCTAAACATAAAGTTACCAAAGTATTTCCCCCTTGAAATGTCAGTCTATAATGTAGCTGCAAGATCAGTTCTAAATCTTCTTGTATTTTGGACATATCATGCTCTGAATACATGTCAGAAAACTACAGAAGTTTGGGATTCATTGAATTCACTACTTCCACAGAGTGGAAGTCCAATGAGATAGAGGTGTCCAGTGGGATACTACTAAAATAAATGCCTCCTTCAGTGCTTTTATCCTGGCTAGATTGTCTTCAAATTAGGGAGGGAGTCAACTCAATAATTGGTTTGTGAGCTGAACTATCTAATTTATGCACCTCATACCCCTGCATTACTGAATAATATTTAGTGTGTTCCAGACTCTGTCTATGGTTTCAGAAAGACAAGAAAAAGCCAGGTACAATCATTATATTTAACTTTTATTTTACTTTCATGGGTACATATGCAGGTTTGTTATACAAGTAAACTCATGTCACAGGGTTTTTTTGTGCAGATTATTTTGTCACCCGGGTACTAAGCCTAGTACCCAATAATTGTTTTTTCTGTTCTTCTCCCTCCTCCCACCTTCCACTCGCAATTAGCCCTGGTGTCTATTTTTCCCCTCTTTGTTTCTGTGTGTTCTCATAATTTAGCTCCCACTTATAAATGAAAACATGCCGTATTTGGTTTTCTGTTCCTGTGTTAGTTGCTAAGAATGATGGCCTCCAGCTCCATCCATGTACCTGCAAAAGGCATGATCTCATTATTTTTTATGGCTGTGAAGTATTCCATAGTGTATATGTACCACATTTCCTTTATTCAATCTTTCATTGATGGACATTTAGGTTGATTCCATGTCTCTGCTATTGTGAATAGTGTTGCAATGAACAAACACATACATGTGTCCTTGTGGTAGAATGATTTATATTCCTTTGGGTATATAACCTGTAATGGGATTGGGCAGGAAAATTTTAAAAAGTTCTGTTTTTAGCTCTTTGAGGAATTGCCACATCGCTTTCCACAACGATTGAACTAATTTACACTACCGCCAATGGATTATAAGCATTCACTTTTCTTCTTAACCTTGCCAGCATCTGTTATTTTTTGACTCTTAATAATAGTCATTCTGACTGGTGTGAGATAGTATCTCATTGCGGTTTTGATTTTCCCTAATGATCAGTAATATTGAGCTGTTTTCCATTTGCTTGTTGACCACATGTATGTCTTCTTTTGAAAAGGGTCTGTTTATATCTTTTGCCCACTTTTTAATGGGGTTGTTTGTTTTTTCTTGTATATTTGTTTAAGTTCCCTATAAATGCTGGATAGTAAACCTTAGTCAGATGCATAGTTTGCAAATATTTTTGCTCACTCTATAGGTTGTCTATTCACTCTGTTGGTAGTTTCTTTTGCTGTGCAAATTCTCTTAAGTTTAATTGGATCCTATTTGTTAATTTTTGCTTTTTTTGTGATTGCTTTTGGCATCTTCATCATGAAATTGTTGCCAGTTCCTATTTCCAGAAGTCTGTTGCCTAGGTTGTCTTTCAGAGTTTTTATAGTTTTGGGTTTTACATTTAAGTCTTCAATCCATCTTGAGTTTATTTTGTATGTGGTGTAAAGAAGGGGTACAGTTTCAGTCTTCTGCCTATGGCTAGACAAGTATCCCAGCACCATTCATTGAATGAGTTCTTTCCCCAGTGCTTGTTTCTGTCAGCTTTGTTGAAGATCAGATGATTGTAGGTGTGTGGACTTATTTCTGGGCTCTCTATTCTGTTTCATTGGTATGTGTATCTGTTTTTGTATCAGTACCATGCTCTTTTGGTTACTGTAGCCCTGTAGTATAGTTTAAAGTCATGTAGTGTGATGCCTCCAGCCTTATTCTTTTTGCTTAGGATTGCCTTGGCTATTTGGACTCTTTTTGGTTTCATATAAATTTTTAAAAAGTTTTTTTTTCTAGTTCTGTGAAGAATATCACTGGTGGTTTGATAGGAATAGCATTGAATCTGTAAATTGCTTTAGGCAGTATTGCCATTTTAGTGATATTGATTCTTTCTATTCATGAGCATGAATTGTTTTTTCATTTGTTTATGTAATCTCTGATTTCTTTGAGCAGTGGTTTGTAGTTCTCCTTGTAGAGCTCTTTCACCTCCCTGATTAGCTGCATTCGTAGGTATATTCTTTTTGTGGCAATTGTGAATGTCTCTTGGCTGTGGTTGGTGTATAAAAATGCTAATGATTTTCGTATGTTGATTTTCTATCCTGAAACTTTGCTGAAGTTGTTTATCAGCTGAAGGAGCTTTGGGGTTGAGATCACGAAGTTTTCCAGATATAGAATCATGTTGTCTCCAAACAGGGATAGTTTGGCTTCCTTCCTTCCCCTTTGGATGCCCTCATTTCTTTTTCTTAACTGATTGCTCTGGCTAGGATTCCCAATATTATGCTAAATAGGTGTACTAAGAGAGGGCATCCTTGTCTTGTCCTGATTTTAAGTGGGAATTCTTCCAGCTTTTGCCCATTCAGTTTGATATTGGTTGTGGTTTTTTCATTGATGGCTCATTATTTTAAGGTATAATCCTTCAATGCTAGTTTACCAAGAGTTTTTAACAAGAGGGCTGTCGAATTTCACTGAAAGTCTTTTCTAAGTCTCTTGAGATTATCATGTGTTTCTTGTTTTTAGTTTTAGTATGTGAGGGATCACATTTATTGATTTGTGTATGTTGAACTAACCTTGCATCCCAGGGATAAAGCCTATTTGATCATGGTGGAGTAGCTTTTTGACATGCTGCTGAATTTGGTTTGCAAGAATTTTGGTTGAAATTTTTTGCATCGATGTTCATCAAGGATATTGGCTTGAAATTTTCTTGTGTTGTGTCACTGCCAGGTTTTGGTATCAGGATGATGATGGCCTCATAGAATGAGTTAGGGAGGAGTCCCTCCTCCTCAGTTTTTTTTGCAATAGTTTCAGTAGGAAAGGTACCAGCTTTTCTTTGTACATCTGGTAGAATTTGGCTGTGAATCCATCTGACCCTGGGTTTTGTTGTTGTTGTTTTTGGTAGGCTATTTATTACTGATTAAATTTCAGAGCTAATTATTGCTCTATTCAGGTAATCAATTTTTTTCTGTTCAATCTTGGGAAGGGGTATGTGTCCATGAGTTTATATATCTCTTCTAGGTTTTCTAGTTTGTGTGCATAGAGGTGTTCACAGTAATCTCTGATAGTTGTATTTCTGTGAAGGCAGTGGTAACAAACTCTTTGTTGTTTCTTATTGTGTTTGTTTGCCTCTTCCCTGTTTTCTTTTTTATTAATCTAACTAGTGACCTATCTTATTAATTAAAAAAAAACATACTCCTGAACTCATTAATCATTTTAATGATTTTTTTTCTTTGTTTCTCAATCTCCTTCAGTTCCGCTCTGATTTTGGTTATTTTTGTTCTCTGCTAGTTTTGGGGTTGATTTTCTTTTGCTTCTCTAGTTTTTGCAGTTGCAATGTTAGGTTGTTGATTTGAGATATTTCTAACTTTTTGATATGTGTATATAGTGCTATAAATTTCCCTCTTAACACTGATTTAGCTGTGACCCAGAGATTCTGGTATGTTTTATCTTTGTTCTCATTAGTTTCAAAGGCCTTCTTAATTTCTACCTTAATTCCATTATTTACCCAAAAGTCAATCAGGAGCACATTGTTTAATTTCCATGTAATTGCATGGTTTTGAGCAATTTCTTTTAGTATTGATTTCTGTTTTTATCGCTCTGTGGTGTTTGGTACAATTACAGTTCTTTTGCATTTGCTGAGGATTGTTTTACTTTCAATGTGTGGTTGATTTTAGAGTAGGTGCCATGTGGTGATCAGAAGAATGCATATTCTATTGTTTTAGGTGGAGAGCTCTGGAGAGGTCTATCAGATCCATTTGGTTCAATGTTGGGTTCAGGTCCTGAATATTTTTGTTAATTTTCTGCCTCAGTGAGATCTACTACTGTCAGTGGAGTATTGATGTCTCCCACTATTATTGTGTGGGAGTCTAAGTCTCTTTGTAGAGCTCTAAGAACTTGCTTAATGAATCTAGGTGCTCCTGTGTTGGGTGCATATATATTTAGGAGAGTTAGTTTCTTGTTGAATTGAACCCTTTACCATTATGTAATGCCCTTCTTTCTCTGTTTTGATCTTTGTTTGTTTAAAGTCTGATTTATCTTAAATTACAACTGCAATCTCTGCATTTTTTCTAATTTCCATTTGCTTGGTAGATTATTCTTTATTTCTTTATTTTGAGCTTATGTGTGTCATTGCATGTGAGATGGGTCTCTTGAAGACAGCATACCGTTGGGTCTTGCGTTTTTATGCAGCCTGTCATTCTGTGCCTTTTAGATGGGGCATTTAGCCCATTCACATTCAAGGTTAGTATTGATATGTATGGATTTGGTTTTGTCATTGTTTTATTAACTGGTTACTATGCCAGCTTGTTTGTGTGAATGCTTCATAGTGTCAGTGTTCTGTGTATTTAAGTATGTTTCTGTATTGGCTGGTAATGGTCTTTCCATATTTAGTGCTCTTTGCAAGATCACTTGTAAGGCAGGTCTGGTAGTAATAAACTGCCTCAGCATTTGCTGATCTGAAAAAGATCTTAGTTCTCCTTTGTTGAGGAAGCTTAGTTTGACTGGCTACGAAATTCTACCCTGTACAATTTTCATATATATACAGAGATTAATAATATATATGTGTGCCTTAGTAAAAATGTTATTAAAGTATAAAGTAAAATCCTATTTGTATTTTTAAACTGTCAAATTTAAGTATTTTGATTTAGCTATCTATTACTTTGTAGCCAACTTTCTCAACACTTAGGGCCTTAAAACAATAAACATTTATTATTTAACAATTTCCGTGGGTCAGGAATCTGGACAAGGCTTAGCTGAATGCCTTTGGCTCAAGGTCTCTCATGAGATACATTCAATTTGTTAGTCAGGCTGCAGTCATCTCAAAACTTTGCTAGGGCTAAAGGATACACTTCCAATCTCACTCACACAATTGTTGGCAGCCCTCAGTCCTTTGCTCCTTTGGCCTCTTCACACATATGGCAAATCCTCACTACATGGCAGCTGGCCTTTCCTAGAATGAGGGATCAGAGATAGAGTGAGAGTGAGGTGGGGAGAGAGAGAAAGAGACAGAAAGGGAGAGACCAGGAAAATTCATGGTCTCTTTATGAACCAAACTCAGAAGCAGTATACTATCACTTCTACCCTGTACAATTTATTAGAAGTGAGTCAACAGGTTCAGCACATACTCAAGGAGGAGGAGTTTATGCAAGAGTACAATTACTAGGGAATAGGAATCATTTCCCCTCCCTGCTTAGAATTTGCCTACAACCTACATATTTTTACATGTCTGTGTTAACAGGATAGATATGTATCTCGATAATGCAAGAAAATTTTGAAATTATCTTCAGGGGCAAACTTTTTGTTGTTATTGGTTTGATTTTTAGAGGCAGACAAGTGTATTTTAAAGTAGATTCTGAAAAATATAATAGATAATCAAGTTATGTAACATGATTTTATCCCAAATAAGGGTGTGGCTGTAAAGTAGGAATACACTCCCTTGTTGAGTCATCTATAAGTTTTCATTCATCAGGGCAGCCACAAGGTAATTTAAGTGCACACATTTTCATAATTAGGCTGTTCTTTTATGTTAGTAGGATTATAGTTGATTGAGGAATATAAGACTAGGAAGAGATTCCAATGCTGAAACAAGTGGTACTCCCTCTCTTGGTTGTTTCACTAAGTACATTACCTGCCTCCTTCCCCACCCCACAACTGTCCAGCTGTTGAAATTGTTTCTTCATCCAAGGCCAGCCAAAGCCTTTCTTTTTATCCTTGTTGGAAAATTCTCTTGGGCTTTTAACTGGAATTAAAACATTACTGCAAAGTCATCTGTCTCAAATCTCTGCTATGGTACAAAATACCTTTATGTTAACTGAATTGGTTACATGAGGAATTATTTAAATTATTGCTAAAAGTCCTCAATACAGCCTGTTCTAAAATTTCTCAAGATAAGTAGATGAAACATTTCATTGAAACGTTTATTTTTCTGAACTCTAAGTTATGTTATATAATAAAGATAAAATGATATACCTACTATAAAGTTGGGCAAATTGATAAATTATTAGTTATACAACTGAAACCTACAGGAAGGGCCACATATTGTCTCACAATAACCATATGAGAAACTATGGTTCCCTTGACTAGAACATAAGCTTCTGAGAATGAAGTAACAGAGAGAGGCAGAGGAAAGGAATCCCTACGCTCATAACTTTTCAGCTCACAAGCTTTTCCCCTACAGGAATGTACTTCTATAAACCCTCTTTTTTTTGGTTCTGAATCAAGCGTGGACAAGAAAGTCCCAATTGTATGCTAAAAAAGTAATGGAACCAGCATGATCCAGCCATGCAAATAATTTTATAAATAGGGCCTAGAAACAGCATTAACTAAACAGGACTGTATGCCAGAAACAGTTTCCCATTTCAAGAATTAACCCACAGGGTACTCAGTAATCAGTTAACCCTCTTCAAGGAAAACCACATTCTTATCCACTCAAAGTTTCAGAAATCAGTTACTGTACTTTGTGAAGTGCCCGAGTTAAAGTCAGGGTAGGCAAAGTCCTTAAGCAAAAGCAGTTATATTTTCTTTCCCACCCCTTGCCATGTCAAAGAAAAAAAAATTACATGTTATTGCATCTAATATTACATGTTAAAGCCTTGTAAAGATTAGAGTTTTTATTTTTTTATTATGAGAGACCAGGCCACAAATTATCATAGATTCATAGCGGGACTCATTTATTTTACTCTAATATTTTCTAGCTAATGGAGCATGGAGGACTCACACAGATATTCTTTCCAAAGCAATAAATCTCAAATTATTTTCTCTGAGCTATCATCTTAAATGTTTGATTTATACCAAAAGGAAACAAATCCTACTGCATGGGTAGCAGCCAGTTTAGAAAGCTGCACCAGTTAAATTTTTCAAAATTTTTGGACACATCATCTGCCAAAACTGCATGGAACATCCCTTAACCAGACATGGGAGGAGAGTACCAAAAGACATCGCAACTGAGTCTCTTTTACAACATTATACATAGAAGCCAGGAAACACTCACAATCTTTTATTTTTTTTTTTCAAAAGTTTGGGCTCCTGCACATCATGTTCTTAAACAGACTAGGTTGTAAAACTCATGAGTTTCCATTGACCTTTGCCCGGCCTTCTTAACTTTGAAGAGCATTGTATCTTGTGTTTGAAAAGAAGCATAAGTGGGTTTCCAGTAGAGATATTCCAGATTCTAATTACCTTCTAAGTCCACCACATACAAGAAGGTGGACAATATTTAGCATTGAGAAGCCCTTTAATTTATGAATCACTTGCAAAGAGTGCATCACAAATCACAAAATATTCATTGGTTGTAACAAGTAATTTTCATTCTACTCAACATTGAAGATACTTTTGATTATCTTAGAGGGCAAAAATAAATGACTCTATTTTATTGACATATTAAAAATTAATAATACTAAGCATAGCTGAAGTTACCAAGTGTGTACTATGTACCAGGGTTTACATTTACCTCATTTAATCCTCTCAGTAATTCTATAGGATTGGAACGGATATTATCACCCTCATTTCAAAGATAAGAATCCTGGATGCAGAGAAGCTAAGTAATTTATCCAAGCCTACTCAGCTAATAAGTGACAAGAAACGGTACAAAGGAGGCTTTTTCACATCAGAGTCTGTGTTCTGTACTCTACACATTAAGACATAAATACTTCAGAGGGAAAGAAGCCAGTTTGTGCTTTGTTGGTGGTGGTGGTGATTTGTTTATAGCACAGAATCATAAAAAGGAAACATATATAACATTATAAATTCTAAGCACAACTGGAGAGAACATTATCTATAAAATATTTTCCTTATCTACCAATGTTCAATGCCACAATCAAAACACGTAAAATACCTGTTAATTTTACTAAACTTTCTAGGAATATGAACAGATGAATGCTTTTCCTAGCATAATAGATCACATATTGTTAGTAAATAAATCAGGACCGGCATTTCTTATACAATATACACTAAATGCAACAGACTTTTTTTTTTATTTTTTGATTTTTAAGTTGTTTTATGTTTTTTATGTTTCTTGGTTGCCCAATACCTTTTGAATGCCCTGACTATGCTTGGGGAATTTTCCTCCATGAAGTAGAGCCCAGAGAATTCACTTCTATGGCACACTGTCACTGTTAAAAATATAAGTACATGACTTGGATTGTACAAATTAAACTCACCTATGAGACACTTTCATTTAGATGTGAGTGACTTGAGCAAGAAGGCATTTCGGGCTAAAATGGATGTTTGAGTTCTGGCTTTGGAGATGGAATCACTGCTGACAGCATGGCTGTTGTGAGAAAGCTGAGTTTCTGGCAAATGCCAACTTTGTTCTTGTAGCAGGTGTTCCCTGATCCAGCAGGATCTGTGACAGGGTTAACAGAATTGTCCCTAAAATATAGCCTTCCGGCTAGTTCTTAACACTCTCAAAACTTCTGTAAATTACCCAATAACCTTTTAAAAGCTTTTCTTCTTTATCAGCCAGAGTCAGCTTCTATTGCTTATGTTTAAGAACTGTAAGTTAGGGGCTCTGGTTCTGGGTAAAATAAAGTAAACACATCACATCCCATCCCATCTCTCTCACTTTACGTAACTATAAAACCTAGGCAGATTGAATGTACTGGACTATGAGGAGTCTGAAAAGGAAATAGCAATATGTGGATAAAGAAAAGATACCAGAATTCTAATCACCACTAAGCCTGTGGTGAGTTTACATTTTTTTCCTTTAATATCCTTGACCTGAACTCAAGGCAGCCAAAAACCCGGAAGTGAACATTGTGTTAAAGAGCGAGCTTTAAGAGAAGCCTGGCTCAGGGAACAGGGAAGGAAACTGCCAGATCTCAGAGAAAGTAGAGGAAATCAGCCAAGTGGTTATTTTTCTTTCATTTTTCCTGTATTCGCTCATGACTTATCCCCCAGGCAATTCACTGGTACCACAGCAGCAGCACCAGTAGTGGCCAGCAACAGGAATCAGTAGGGTATACAACTCCAGGGAGGGAAACCTTCCTTTCCACTTGGTAGAGCTGTGTCTTCAAAAGGGTGAGGACTAACCCATTTCTTTTTTCCTCTTCTCCCTGTCCTCCTACCACATGGCCTCAGACTTCGCACAGTAATAGAAGTGGACAATTTCTGGCCAAAGTACCAACAACTAGAGCCTGTGGAAACCAGAAAGTTCCAAGAAAACAGTAGAGAAGGAGGAATTAAAAAAAAAAAAAAAGAAATGTTTTATTAATTCCTGGAGTCACTGTCAACCTGAACATGCCTGGATCTATCATTAGTAGCATACAAAAGTTTCGCCAACTGAATAAATGGATCAATTTCCTTCCAGGTCCCACATGGAACAGTGAATGATGTACACATGAAACAAATTTGAATAACACTGCAACAACTTTGGCAATTAAACTGACTTTGGAAACAGCTTACAAAAGCTGGGTTGATACATGTAGTCTGAGCCAAACCAGTCAATTGCCTGCTGAACTAAAAAACATCAACTTTCTCCATGAGATTTAAACAAGACTCAGCCCCACAATATTCAAAATGCCCAGTATGTAATCCAAAATTACTTGGATTATGAAGAAAAAAATAATCTAAAATTACATGGTAAAATACAATCAATAGACACCAATAACAAGATAACACAGATGAAAAAGGCTTTAAAATACCTATTATAAGAATGTTCAAAAAAGCCATCACGAAGTCTTGAAACAAATATTAAGCTACAAAGTATCAGCAAATAAATAAAAGAGGCAAAGAAGAATCAAATGGAAGTTTTTGAAATGAAAAATTCAATAACCCAAATTAAAGGCTCACTGGATAGATTAAAAAGCAGAATGAAAACGACAGAGGAAAGAGCCAAAACACTTGAAGGTAGATCAATAGAAATTGTCTAATCTTAAAAGGTAGAAGAAAGATTTTTAAAAAATGAACAGAGCCTCAAGGAAATGTGGAGCAACAGCAAATATTTAACAATGATGTTGTTGAAGTCCCGGGAGAGAACAGACTCTAGAGGTTTAAAAATGTGAAAAAGTAACAGCTAAAAATGTTCTAAATTTGGTGGAAAACATATGACCACAGATTTAGGAAGTTAAATTACAAATAGAATCAATCCTAAGAAATTCACATTCAGATTCATCATAATGACAATACTG
The DNA here is from genome assembly GCF_000001405.40 of Homo sapiens. Taxonomy (NCBI): domain Eukaryota; kingdom Metazoa; phylum Chordata; class Mammalia; order Primates; family Hominidae; genus Homo; species Homo sapiens. The sequence goes on from NC_000006.12 coordinate 55,670,062, forward strand.
AAGACTATATACAAAGAAAAATTCTTGAAAATGGTCACACACTCAAAAAGACACATGACCCTATAGGAGCAGAAATATGTGAATGACTATGGAGTTCTTATTATAAGCCATGGAGGTCAGACAGGTGTCACAAAATATTTTTCTTCAGCCTGGAAAGAGAACTGTCATTCCAGAATTCTATCTCCAAAAAAAATATCCTTCCATAATGAAAGAGAAATAAAGATATTCTCAGATGAAGGAAAACTAAGATAATTCAATGCCAGCAGGCCTGCTATTTAATAAAGAATTGTTAAAAAAAAGTACTTCAGACAAAACAGAAATTATACCAGAAGAAAATACCATGAATAAACAAGTAACAACAAAATGGTAAACATCTGAGTTATGTTACATTTTTATTCCATTTGAGGTCTATTAAATATATTCGATGCTTGAAAGCAAAGAACATAACATTGTTAGGATTGTCAATATATGTAGATGTAATGAATAAGATACCTACATCATAAAGGGGGAATGTAAAGGAATTTATATAGTTATGTTTCCATATTCCTACTGAAGTGGTAAAATACAAATTCTTAATAGACTGTTAATAGTTTAGTATGGATTTATAATCCTTGGGCAACCACTATAAAACATTGTAAAAAGATACATTATGAAAATTACAAATGGAAGGCAGAAAAGGGGAAACATATAAAAAAAGTAGGAACCAACAGAAAGTAAATAATAAAATCACTTGCTAATAAACAAATAATTGCATTGTATATAATTGCAACATCAATAATTGCATTATATGTAAATAATCTAAACAAACAAATTGCAACAGAGATTATGAGTGAATACAAAGCATGACCCAACCAAACTCACTTCAAATATAATGATAAGGACAGATTAAAAGTAAAGGAAATCAAAGAAAGCTATAGTAGCTATATTAATACCAGGCAATATAGGCCTTAGAGAAAAGAAAATTACCAGGAATAAAAAGGAAAATTACGCAATGATAAAAGGGTCCATTTTAAATGTGTATTCACTTCTAATAAGTGAAATTCGAAGAATGATCCTTGACCTTTTGCCTTTGTATAATCTGCCTTCCTTTGAGTATGGGCTGAAGCAGTGAATAGGATGAAATACCACTCCCATGAATATGTTACGTTTCTTGGTAAAAGGAATGTTTCAATTGTGTTGAGTTTAAAGCTGAAAGTTTTCTCTGACTGGTGGGATTAGTTGGAGAGATTTGAAGCATGAAAAGGACTTTATATGCCATTGCTCTTTGGGACCCAATAGAATCCACCTGGACGTCTGACTTACAGAAACGTGAGGTAATAAATGGAAGTCATTTAAAGCCATTGAGGTTGTGATAATTTTTTACTCTGAAAAAATAAAAAACTATTACAACCTCTAACAAGACTTTTTACATGAAGCGAAACTAACAGAACTGAAAGGACAATATGAAATTTTAGTTGGAGACTTCAACACTCCTCACTCCTCTCCTAGTAGTAGGTACAACTGGTAGAAAACCAGCAAAGACATATAAAAACTTAAACTTGAGATTTTTCATTTATTCATATTTAAATGTTGGAGGTTCTATCAGCTTGATCCATTGAGAAAGAACTACGTGGAGTTAGGTACCTGGGAAACCAACAATGGACATGCAGCATGGATGAAAATTCAACTTTTATTGTATAAGCTGCTGAAATTTGGGGATTCTTTTTTTTACAGCAGCCGTATCTTCTTCTTCTGGTTGATATAGTCCATTATTAGGGTATTGCTTAAATAATTACAAAACATAGTGTAATGAAACATATTATGAATATTACACAATATAATTTTTAGATACATTGTTGGTTGAAAAAGATATAATACAAAAGAAAGTGAAGAATATGCTAGCCTACAGGGTATGTGTTTTTAGTGGATATGTATTTGTGTGTTCATATGCTCCTGATTAGCCCAGAAGGGTGCATAAACTAATAATATTGATTACCTCTGGGAAGAGGAACAGGGAACCAGGGGACAGAGGAAGATTTTCAGTGTCTATCCTTTTGTACCTTTTAAATTTTAATTCTTGAGAATGCATTATTTTTTCAAATATCAATAACTGATCTTAATTTTTTAATCTGTATAGTTTCAATTATATTTAAAAATACATTTACAGAAAAGACAGCCAAAAGAAATAAACTAATCTACTTTATTACCCTTTAAAATTACTGATTGCTTAAAATGTTGTCTGCAAATTTTATGTCATCTGTATCTTCTAGAATAAATAAAAATTAATTTTGTGAATTTAAGTTTTATAAAATGAAAATTTATTTATTAAGCTCAAATTCTCTTAGTTTAAAGAATACACTTTTAATCTCTTTTTATGACATCAAATCCTTCACCGTTTATAGCTATATCTAACCTGCTTTCCTAACCTATACTATTTTCCTTTAAAATAATCAAATATAATATAATCAAATTGAACAGCATTCTCTTTCCTTGAAGACAGGAAGAATCCTGTTTGTTTCCAGTTCGAGGGTATGTAATAACACAGAAAGAGCAACAAAAGCAAATTGGAATACTTTGCAAATCACTTTCACCTAACTGGCTTGTTACTGAACATTAGCCTTGAACATAAGAAGTACTATTCAAACATGCATATACCACACTAAAACTACTATTATATGTAATTGCAAAATACTATAATAATATATAGAATCTACTCTTGATAAGAGACTATATTCCACTTGAGTTTTCCATTGTGTGTTATTAGTAATCAGCACTTCTGCATGTGTGAAGTAAAATGGTTGATTTAGCTATAAAAACTGATCACAAGTTAAGTGCATGTTACGCATTCACATGGAAAACCTTTAGGCACACTAATATTGGAATTTTTTCTTAAGTATGTCAGGACTAAGATTTCTAATTTTCCCATTTGACAGTCATTATTAACAACTCAGTTTATATACTGGATACTCCTTATAGCTCTTTCTAAGGAGAAATAAAAAGAAGTCCCTTAGCAGAGGCCTTCAGCTGATACCTATGCAACCTTCCTATGGAATCAGTGTCCAAATATAAACCATTTCTCATAACAGCAAGATTTTAAACCTAATTTGAAAACTCAGAGATTTCCAACTCTGTAGGTGAGGTGTGTCTCCTCATAGCTCCTGTATAAATATGCAAGGAGGCAGGAAACTGGTTTCTCTCTTAGTGGAGAATCCAGCTATACTTAGCCTATTGGTATTGTCTAGAAGCAAAGTAAGCACAGTGTAAAAAGCCATGTGCACTTATCAGCCTCGGCTTGCAAGCGTTACTGAGCCTGTACTATGTATTTTATATGGTGATCATGCTCTCCCTGTGTCCAATGATTACCAATATTACAAAAAAATGAAATAAAGACCCAAACTATTTACATAAAGATAACTGATGCAACATGACATAAAATAAAATGTAAAAACAAGTTGGGAATAAAGTTTTAAACCTACACAAGGGCGAACGAACATGCTTTGGAGAAAATAGCAAACACCGTTAACAGAATTAAACAAGCAAATAAAAACAAGATGGGATTAAAAGCAGTCACGTTAAAATATTGCTAAGATTAATAATTTGCTGCAAATTAGATACAAATAATGCATAATAGCAAACTATTTTGGTAGTGATGCCCCTTAAGGGATGATGATAATAATAAAAATAATATAATTGCAACACTAGTATTAATACTTTTCCTGCTCATTGTGTGTCAGATACTTTACAAAGTATTTCAAATATATTATCATATTTAATATGATGTTAAATGGTCCATTTTGTTTTGACCCTAATGTTATGGTCAGTTTTGTTGTTTACTATTTTATAGATTGAGAGACTTAGGCTTAAGAACATTCAGAACTTTCAAAGACATCAGAGAGATTTAAAAAATGCCAGAAGTAAACTAAAACTTGTTATCTTAACTATTGTACTATACAAAATTGTGTTGATATCAATGAATGCAAATGGAATAAGATGGATAATTGGTAGGCTGAGAGTAAAGAAGGACAAAAGGGATTGCTTCCAAAGTAGTAGCATGTCGTAATGTTTCTAGTTGAAAATGATGTTGATACATGTTACCATTATCAAATTATTCTCTAGATGCCATTATCTTTTTATATTCCTGACTCCCACAGGACTTCAGGGAATCAATAGAATATGGTGTCAAGTTATATAAAGGAAAAGTAAGTTAGTTTTATGACTCATTCTGGCCTTTATTTACAAAAGAGATACCTAATTTAAAGTAGAATAAATGATTTGCTGAGCATGGGATTCAAGGTTATATGTGATATGATCATGCCTGTGGATAGCCATGGGCAACAAAGCAAGAATCCGTGTCTTAAAAAAAAAAAGAAAAAAAAATTTGAAAAATGTTCAATTTAATTTAGGTCATTGGTAATGAGAACAACTAACTTTAAAATATGCAATGCAAAAGCACTAAATTGTGAAAAGCAATTAAAGATCACAAGCAATCAGTAAATTTACCTTTCCTCCATGTTATTATCATAACTACCTACAAGGTTATGCAAATGAGCTAGATAACCATACTTTTGCTGAAATTTCTGTCTTTATGAGTCTACGCTTCCTAATTTGGGGCTCTACAAATGAGGGACAATGATAATGTTACTATAGGATTGCATCCAACAAAGTTAGCAAGGGTAATAGGACCTGTGAGGAAAAATTCAGGGCTTAGGGCTTTTAGAGGAACTGAAAAACAAAACGTTAAAGACAGACTTATTGTAAGAGCATGATGTCCAACAGCTGTTCTCTTTTTCCAGCAAACCAAAAGGAAGAGGAGACAGGCTTCAATTAAGGCAAGAGAAATTTAAATTAGACATCTGCTGAGTTGGCATAATGATCCCATGTTCTTTTGGAAGTGGAAAGAAATGAAGAAATCTATGAGTTTAATGTTTGAAAATATTATTTAAACAATTTCATAAAAGACAAAAATCCAGTCATACTGATACATGCTGGAAGAAGGAAAGAAAAACATTTACTTGTGCCTAAGAAGTATTTTGTTGCATCATCCAATAACATTGTAAATAAATATTTTTGATCAAAGGAATTAAATCAAAAGTTCCATGTAAACATGGGCATAAGGTAGAATGCAATCACTGGAAGTTGCACAGGATGTGCTGAAAATCCTATTCACCAGAAGTTTCGATAGTAAATTTTATCTTTGTATACAGGCAAAAGAAAAAATACTAGAGAACACACACATATTTTATCCAATCTATTCTTATCTTTTCTGAGTGGTGTTTCACCTAATTGGCTTGTTACTGAACATTAGCCTTGAACATAAGAAGTACTATTCAAACATGCATATACCACACTAAAATTACTATTATATGTATTATATTAACACTGCCAGTAACAATAAAATGTTTTCCATTTTTGGAATAAATTATGTCTTCTCAGGTGTCAGTGGCCATATTCAAACTGACTGAAATGTCAATGATTGATTCTTTTCTAAAGGATGTAATGCCTAGATATCTTACTGTGATTATTGGAATTCTAGGTTCCAGGTTCCTAAGGCATTTGAGAGACCAACAATGTAAAATAACAAGTAATAAGTGAATTTAGTCTGGAAACACTTATGGTGATGATCACTGCTTCTCTCTTCTGTCATGCGCTACTCTTTGAAACCCTTAAAATTCCTTCAATCCATGTAACCTTAATGACATCACTCTTTGTGTGTGTGTGCTTATTTTTATTCCATCTGAATGCAAAATAAAATGTGAATGTTTGATGTTATTGTTCATTTTAATACTGTAACTTTAATTACATCGTTCTTTGTGTTTGTGTGTGTGTGCTAATTCTTATTATAACACAAAATAAAATAGGAATGTTTTTTATTACTCATTTTAGAATTGTTAGTAATACAATCATTTCCCATTTACATATCAAAGCTCTGAGCTGCAATGCTTGAAATCAAGAATTGGATGCTTATCTGGCCACCTACAGCCAATTTTGCCTGAAGATTGGCCTTATGTGTTTGATTATTTCCAAATAGTTAAGGCATATGCTTTTTGAGAAAGCACACTACATATTTTTAGAATTTCATCACTCAAGGCCACAGCTGGTTAATACCAAACACCACTCATTTTCAAACTTTTAATAACCATTAAAGTAAAATCCTGCACATCACAGAACAAACACTCTTATGCTTAATGTACAAATATAAAAACAAACAAAGATAAACAAAAAAAACAAGGGGCTGTATGTCTCAGCTACCATAAACTACTGACACTAGAGACAAGTATAGCAAATTTTCCTTCATTTCTCTTCCTCCCTCTACCATCTTATGAGAAATGGCATACCAAAACAGGTCAATATTCAGACCAACGTCTTCCAAAATTTTAACACTATATTGCCTTATAAAAACCTGTGGATGCTAAGTTCATTAAATGGCCTTGCATTGAGGAAGTAATGACAGCAACAGTATGGCCTAAATTTTTCCCTTTTCCTCACCCCTTCTCCATGGCCCTTTACCAAGCATTCCTCCCACTTATTACACATTTGCCTACACTTAATAATGGCAGTGGAGGGACAGCATAGCATCCCATGCTGAGCATATTTTTTACAGTATCTGAAATCTCCAAAGTTGTAATAATCTTCATACACTTTCTTTCAAGAATGCTTGAAACAAACACTGCAATAAAACTCTTCAATTTGCAAATCTTTTGATTGTCCACAGTTTCCATAAAAGAACCCATGTAATAGCTTGGTTTTAAGAATAAAAAGAGTGTCTTAATAAATGCAGTGTAGAAACAGTTCAAACTGTCTATCTTGACTGAAGTTAAGTTCATAAGAGATGGTTCCCGCATGCGGGGAAAAATACTTTACTTGCTTTTGCATTTGCTTGGCACTTGGGGCCTATTTATTACTTCGTATACTTGGATGCAACAGCAACTAGCACATAGTTATAGTTGTGGAAAGGGGTGCTATTGTGGTAGATATACTCTGAGTGTTAGCAAATGTCACATAATTGTTATTTCTAGGCTTTTTCAAGCCCAGATAACAGGACAGTTTAAAAATATGACTTTACAAAATACTTCCGGCTGGGCACAGTGGCTCACGCTTGTAATCCTAGCACTTTGGGAGGCCAAGGCAGGAGGATCACTTGAGCTCAGGAATTTGAGACCAGCTTGGGCAATATGGTGAGACTCCGACTCTACAAAACAATTAGCCAGGCATGACGCTGCACACCTGTGGTCCCACTACTCGGGAAGCTGAGGTGGGAAGACTGCTTGAGCCCAGGAGTTCGAGGCTGCAGTGAGCCTTGGTGACAGAGCGAGACCCTATCTCAAAACAAAACAGAAACAACCCCCCCGACACATACACAAAATATTTCCTACATAATAATCTTTAAAGCCTGAGACAAATTGTGAGGAGAAATTTACTTCATTACAATTTACACTTTTAACATCCAAGTTTGTTTTTCTTATGATGTTAAAAACTGCTTTATACATATGGGTTAGTATTTTGGAACAAATTTCTTTTTAAGATTCCTTGGTTTGGGGATTGCACTAAAGTAATTCTTCAGTTACAGTCTGTGTGTCTTTAATTTGTCAGAGAATATTATAATTCCTACATTAGGGTGATACCTGTTATCAAATGACTACACAGGGAGGTGCTTATTTTGCTAAATAACTTAATCCAGTCTACTTGTGGCTCAATTTTACAGTTCATTAAGAGTGTGAAATAAAACACAACCTATAAGTGATAATATCACAGTAACCTTTGCTTCAAAAGCCATTCTTATTTATTTCACCTAATTTTCACATTTATCCAATAAAGTAACTATGGAAGACATTGTATTTTATGCATCTTGGCTGCCTCAATGTCTATCTGTAACGTGTAAGAACTTACTATTAGTGTCTGACAATAATGGATGAGGTTGATGTTGATTACCTAACCCCAGGCATTCAGTGAGACTGTGTCATTGTACAAACTAGATTCATGAACATACTCTAGCCTCCAGACTCTTCTCATAATACCATGCTGAAATTAACTATGAGATTGTTAATAGTCAGGAAGCTACCATGTATGAAAAATTATTAACCACTCTAGGTCAGGGTGTTGGCTCTTATGGCTGGCATTTTGAGAACCAGAGCTATGGGTGAGGTCATATTAAGTAGGAATAAAAATGCTTGGCACTTCCAATATCTGGAAAGATCATTCAGGTCTATCTTTGCCTTTCTCCTCCAAATCCTTTATCAGAGATACAGCTACACAGATTTTCTAGTTTACTAAGGGCAGGGAAAGATCATTAGCACAAACTTTAGTTTCCATGAACATTATTTAAATAAAATATAATCAAGAAATAAAATGAAATACAGGGAATGAATAAACAATAAGCTACTAGTAAGCCTGCTTTATGGTCTTAAGGGGGCCAACCTATGTGTAATGACTGGAAGTGATGTAATAGTAAAATTGCACCTAAGCTGTCAAGTACAATGCCTACGAAGTCTGATAAGCTCACTGATATTGAGCAAGAAAAAAGAGGAACCATCGAGAGAAGGGGACTGTTTTTCTTTGTGATGTCACTGCATTAGCTCAGCAGTTAGTTAAAAACAAAAACAAACAAACAAAAAAACTAGTTTTACATTATTCAGAAAAACAATAATCCCACTGACTTTCCAGTTTGTTACTATCATTTGGCATAGACCAAGGAAAGAAACAAGGTTGTAAGAGAATTTTAACAGAATTATCTTTTTTAACCAGTTAGAAAACAAATGGAAGTGAGAGGTGGAGGAGTAAGGAGAAATGAAAGGGCACAGACAGATTCCCGACATATAAGCATTATTAAATATTATTGGTATTTTGTTGAGTATACTTACTCTTGTTAACATTAACTTGGTCAGTGCTTGTCTATGAATCAGACTCACTGGACTCATGTCCATGGTGTACTCTAGAGCAGTAACTTATCATATTGTAATGGGCCTGCGATTATGTGGGAATGTTTTTAACATGCAAGCTCTGATTTAGGAGGTCTGGGCTGCTAGGAGACGCAGCAGATCCACGGACCACACGCTGAGTAGCACTGCTCCAGGCAATCCATATTAGCTAAACTGAAGGTCTTCATAACAGCTTTCTTCCTGTCCCACAACGGATTGTTATGAAGAGGTTAATATTTTCCCTAATTGTGTTTCTAATTCTCAAATAATAAGATCCCCATTGTAAGCAGATATTATCAATGTGACTTATGCCATAAAGAAACTGTGCTGTAACAGTTTGTGCTATAACAGATTATTTCATAATAGAATTCTCAAACAAAGATGATGAAATTATAGAATTTAAAGCTGTCTATCTGCACACTGGAGCTCTATAAAAATATGATTTTTTAAAAATGAGTTTTAACAACAGATGTCTTGTTTTTCATGTGAAACCTCTCATGCCTCTCTATATTCAATATGTGAATATGTGAAACAGATAAATGAGAAAGAGAATATCTTACCTCTGACTTTGCCTGTGTGTAATGATGCTGGGAACCTTCTTAATATCTCTGAGAAAGCCCTTGGGTATGAAAACAACTTTTCCAGGGGAAAAGTCCTGTCACCTTAAACCAAACGTGAGACTAAGGCCTCACACATAAAGTAAACCACAGAATGAGTCTTTGCTCTCTTTGCTCGTCAATACTGGTTTTCAGCTCAATTAACTCTGTCCCTTTCAGTCCATTTACCACACTGCCCAAAGTAATTTTGCCAAATATCATATTTCTGATGTTACTCTCCTGTCCAATAAAACCTTCAGTGCTTTCTACCTCTTTAGAAAACAACACATTTACTAGCACAACATTCAAGATTTAGAATTAAGCGTGGGTTCTAATTTACTCTGTGACACAAGTCCTTTAAGTATTGTCTTATTTTCTCCAACTACAAAATAAGGACTTACAATTGGGTTGAAAGAAATTTAGAAAAAACTAAATGAGCTTTTGATCAAAATGATTATTTGGTAAGAAATGAATAAAAATAGTCACTCCCCTACGTACCCCTGCCACAAAAAGCTAGTTACTTTGAAGCATCTCTGAGAAGTTTTATAATCTTTTGATTTTTGGGGGGAGTCTTTCATTCTTTTATTATAATATATATATATATATATATATATTCAGATACACACACACATATATATATACACACACATATATGTGTGTGTATATATGTGTATATATATGCAGGTTTGTTTTATGTACAACAATTGATCCCATCAAATAATCAGATGAAGGCATTCTACTGGTAATTTCCCCCCAAATCAATTCAGGTAAAATTAGATATTAATGCACTTAAGAGAATATTAACATTTGAGAATTCATGATCAATTTCAGTTCTGAGGCCATACGCACAATTCAAAATACACATTCACTGAGTTAAGGCAATAAAAGTGGATTGAAAGAAACCACAGTTTTCAGAACAATTAAACTTTGTATTTTGCTTGCATTAGAGTCACGATATGAAGAACAAATATTGTGTGTATCTCACAGGTGTTTTGTGCAGTGTGAGCAGCTTCTGAACACCTAAGGTGACTGCACAGCAGGTGGGCAAACAGCTGGTGTGGCCGGCTTAAGGCTTCTCGGAGGGCACATTTCTTCTCCACCTCTCCTTTCTCGGGTCCTTATTTTAGTTTGTAACCAGCCAAGTGGCCTTAGTTGCATCCTCAGCCAGCATGGAGCAGGCAGTTTCACAGGAGGAAGGCAGGGCTCCTTGGTGATGTCTGTGTTTTTGAGGGTATAGGCTTCCTCTATCATATTCTTTTTCACCCGGTCAGTGGCTAACGGGCTGGAGGCAACTGCAGAACTGCAGCCAGATGTTTTAAACCTCATGTCCACAATCTTCCCCTTTTTGTCCACTTGAATCTGTATTTTATCACCTCATGCTGAAGCCCACACCAATCCAATTCCAATATTTTTAGATGTCTTATCATGGGACACCACATTTGCAGGATTTTCACAGAAATCAACAATCTTCATTTGACCTTTTGTTTAAAATTTTTGTTGGTTTTGAAGGGTTTTATACTTGTTTGATGTTTTTCTATTTTATTTCTTTCAAATATTATTGCCTTTCCCTAACTATATTAGTCATATTAAGTTAGTTTCTAAACCAGTATGTGTGTTCCATGCAAGAATCATAGAATATGAACTTAATGGAAATAAAATCAAATGAAAAATTTTTGACTTTTTAAAATGTTAACATATTATTAGAGGAGGTACAATGAGATGAAAAAAATTGTGGAAGACAGAGGAAGGAGGGTTTGAAAAGGATAATCCTTCCAAATAGCAAATGTTAAAATTCTATTATTTGGTTTGTTGACTCCATTCAGTTACTGTTGTTGGAATTACAAAAATGTAAAATAAAATAAAATTGTGACCCTATCACACATATAAGAAAAATAGCAAATACAAGAATGGTATTAAAAAACTTATGAAGCTGTTCATAAAAATCAACCATAATCTGCACAGTTTTATATACTTCCAAATATATTTCTATGCACATATACATGAATTTACAGAATGGAGGCTCGCTTTGTCCCAGGCATTGAGCTAAACGCTATTCTTATATAACCTCATATAATCCTCACAACAACTTTGAGGAGTAGATAATATTCCCATTATTTTTTATATAAAGTGAGGTTTAGAGAAGTTACAAATTATTCCACTGCATTGTTATGTCATAATGTATTTAACTAATCATTTATGTTTAAAAATTCAGATTTTAAAAACTTTTAACTACCACAAAGAGCTCAGGATAAGAATAATTGCCTAAAAATGATTTCAAATAATTAACAAGAACAAGAACGAAACTTTATTTTACAGTTTAGCAGTTCTTGGATAAATGTTCACCTCTCTACCTTAGCTTCTTTTTGTCTAGTACAATATTGCAGCTTTACTATCAGACTCTGCTAAACACCTTCTTTGTGTGGGTGTGTGAGTGCACTTAGTGTCCACAATAGCTCTATAAAGCAGAAACATCATCCCCATTTTATGTAAGAGGAAACTATAGGTCAGTGAGGTTAAGTAGCATGTCTAAGGTGACAGAGCTACTGTACAACACATTTAGAATATAAGCCAGATCTGTCTTGCTGCCCAGCTTTTCACCATCAGTTCATCAAATTGCTTCTCACCCCACTAGAGTCTCTTCAAATAACAGAAACAGTGAACATTAGCAAACTGGCACTCTGTACCCTCCCTTTTGAACCCCTGATTATTGTATGCCCCACTAAAATAAGGTCTGTATCCTCCAAATGCCTAAGAAAACCTATCATCATCTATTTAGACTTAGTTTTCTGTTTTTTTGTTTTTTTTGTTTTTTTTTTTGAGACGGAGTCTTGTTCTGCCGCCCAGGCTGGAGTGCAGTGTCGCGATCTTGGCTCACTGCAACCTCCACATCCTGGGTTTAAGCGATTCTACTCCCTCTGCCTCCGGAGTAGCTGGGGTTACAGGCGCATGCCACGCCTAGCTATTTTTTTTTTTTTTTTTGGTATTTTTAGTAGAGACGGGGTTTCATCATGTTGGCCAGGCTGGTCTCGAACTCCTGACCTTGTGATCTGCCCACCTCAGCCTCCCAATGTGCTGGATTACAGCAGTGAGCCACCTCGCCCAGCTGGACTGTTATCTTTAAGTTTGTTTTTAATTTACCTCTCCACATATTCTAGATTTCTGCACTATGGGCTCATGCTTTAGGTGTTCAGTAAATATTCAAATTGCCATGAAGATGAAGGAAATGATCAAATTACCTGTTACTGTTATGTTGTTTCGATCACAAAATGCAGACCAAGCCTTTTTTCATCTTTGCAATAATTTTATTTTCTTTTAAGTAAAGATATTGCAAACAAAAAGTAACTTATTAATAGATATTTAAAGTAATTTATTCTTAATAAAATTTATTTTTCTATTGAATTTCTTGTTAATCATTAAGTAGTCATTGCCTTTAAACCTTTGGTCCCCAACCCAACCCCCAAGCCACAAACAAGTACAGGAATCCGGCTGCAGAGCAGGAGGTGAGCGGCCTGTGAGCAAGCATTACCACCTAAGCTCTGCCTCCTTAGATCAGCAGCTGCATTAGATTCTCTTAGGAGCAAGAACCCAGTTGTGAACTGCACATCTGAGGGATCTAGGTTGTACACTCCTTATGAGAATCTAATGCCTGATGATCTGAGGTGGAACAGTTTCATCCCAAAACCATACCCCCGACTTCATCCACAGAAAAACTATCTTCCACAGAAACCAGCCCCTGGTGCCAAAAGGTTTGGGGACTGCTGCTTTACACATTTTTTAAATTTATAATCTGTCAAAGATTAATTTTGCCACAGCCATTTTCCTTTGGTTAGTATTTTTCTTTCTCTTACCTTCAAACAATCTGTAAAGTGACTTCTGGAGGTGTCTTCTGTAAAAGGAATATAACATGATTTTTTATAAGCCAATCTACTTTCTGTTTTCACACTTTAGAAGTTAATGGCAAAATATTACAATGAGAAAACTCAAATTTAAAAAATTTTTATTTTGGGAAATAAAGCAAATTTTATAACAAACTTTCATTTATCTATCACCCAACTTCAACTAGTATCAACAATTAATTCAATTTTTTCAATGTATATCTCAACACACTATTTTCTTGAGAAAGTATCTTTTGACATATACCCTTGACCTATTAACATTTTTTGCAATTGATAAATATGGAAACTATTTCTACAACTTTTTTTTGCCAATTTTTCTTTTCTGTCTTTTATTGAATCAAATTTTTAAGTTCCTTTTCATCTTTTATTTATTGTACATTATATTTCTATTCCTTCAGTAACTGCTTCAAAAAAATATCAGTTTCTAAATTAACAAAACCTAATAATGATTAATATATTTTTTCTGCTACTGAATATATTTGATATGGTTTGGCTGTGTCCTCACACAAATCTTATCTTGAATTACAGCTCCCATAATCCCCACCTGTGGTGGGAGGGACCCGGTGGGAGGTAATTGAATCATGGAGATGGGTTTTTCCTGTGCTGTTCTTGTGGCAGTGAATAACTCTCAAGAGATCTGACGGTTTTATAAAGGGCAGTTTCCCTGCATATACTGTCTTCCCCCCTGCCACGTAGGATGAGCCTTTTCTCCTCCTTCACCTTCCACCATGATTTTGAGGCCTCCCCAGCCATGTGAAACTGTGAGTCTATTAAACTTTTTCTTTATAAATTACGCAGTTTCGGGTATTTCTTCATAGCAGTATGAAAATAGACTAATATAACTTTAAAAAGCATTAACTGTATATCCTAACCCAGTTGCTATTATTTAATATTTTATATTTACTTTCTATATACACTCAGATGATTATTTTTAATTTACATAGTCAATGTTTCTTTTACGTTTACAACTTGTTACTTCTTGCTTCCTTCTATTGCTTCATTTTAGGTGCAATTTCCTTCCTCGAAGTATTGCTTTGGTCATTCTCAGTGATGGTCTGGGAATGGTAACCACTTAAATTTTTACTTTCTCTAAATATGTCTCTACTTTACACTCAATCTTGAATGGTAGCTTAACTGAGTAGTCATTTTATTCTCCTAACTTAACAGTATCTCTAGAAAAGGAAAAGCGTTTAAGATTTTTAAAAAGTAGGGGGGAGGAGCCAAGAGGGCCAAATAGGAACAGCTCCGGTCTACAGCTCCCAGCGGCAATGACGCAGAAGATGGGTGATTTCTGCATTTCCATCTGAGGTACCGGGTTCATCTCACTAGGGAGTGCCAGACAGTGGGTGCAGGTCAGTGGGTACACGCACCGTGCGCGAACCAAAGCAGGGCGAGGCATTGCCTCACTCTGGAAGCGCAAGGGGTCAGGGAGTTCCCTTTCCTAGTCAAAGAAAGGGGTGACAGATGGCACCTGGAAAATCGGGTCACTCCCACCCGAATACTGCGCTTTTCCGACTGGCTTAAAAAACAGCACACCAGGAGATTATATCCCGCACCTGGCTCAGAAGGTCCTACGCCCAAGGAGTCTCACTGATTGCTAGCACAGCAGTCTGAGATCAAACTGCAAGGCGGCAGCAAGGTTGGGGGAGGGGTGCCTGCCATTGCCCAGGCTTGCTTAGGTAAACAAAGCAGCCGGGAAGCTCGAACTGGGTGGAGCCCACCACAGCTCAAGGAGGCCTGCCTGCCTCTGTAGACTCCACCTCTGGAGGCAGGGCACAGACAAAAAAAAAGACAGCAGTAACCTCTGCAGACTTAAATGTCCCTGTCTGACAGCTTTGAAGAGAGCAGTGGTTCTCCCAGCACTCAGCTGGAGATCTGAGAATGGGCATACTGCTCCTCAAGTGGGTCCCTGAACCCTGACCCCCAAGCAGCCTAACTGGGAGGCACCCCCCAGCAGGGGTAGACTGACACCTCACATGGCCCGGTACTCCAACAGACCTGCAGCTGAAGGTCCTGTCTGTTAAAAGGAAAACTAACAAACAGAAAGGACACCCACACCAAAAACCCATCTGTACATCACCATCATCAAAGACCAAAAGTAGATAAAACCACAAAGATGGGGAAAAACCAGAGCAGAAAAACTGGAAACTCTAAAAAGCAGAGCGCCTCTCCTCCTCCAAAGGAACGCAATTCCTCACCAGCAACAGAACAAAGCTGGACGGAGAATGACTTTGACGAGCTGAGAGAAGAAGGCTTCAGATGATCAAATTACGCCGAGCTATGGAAGGACATTCAAACCAAAGGCAAAGAAGTTGAAAACTTTGAAAAAAATTTAGAAGAATATATAACTAGAATAACCAATACAGAGAAGTGCTTAAAGGAGCTGATGGAGCTGAAAACCAAGGCTCGAGAACTACGTGAAGAATGCAGAAGCCTCAGGAGCCAATGCGATCAACTGGAAGAAAGGGTATCAGCGATGGAAGATGAAATTAATGAAATGAAGCGAGAAGGGAAATTTAGAGAAAAGAGAATAAAAAGTAACGAGCAAAGCCTCCAAGAAATATGGGTCTATGTGAAAAGACCAAATCTACGTCTGATTGGTGTACCTGAAAGTGACGGGGAGAATGGAACCAAGTTGGAAAACAATCTGCAGGATATTATGCAGGAGAACTTCCCCAATCTAGCAAGGCAGGCCAACATTCAAATTCAGGAAATACAGAGAATGCCACAAAGATAGTCCTTGAGAAGAGCAACTCCAAGACACATAACTGTCAGATTCACCAAAGTTGAAATGAAGAAAAAAATGTTAAGGGCAGCCAGAGAGAAAGGTCGGGTTACCCTCAAAGGGAAGCCCATCAGACTAACAGCGGATCTCTCAGCAGAAACTCTACAAGCCAGAAGAGAGTGGGGGCCAATATTCAACATTCTTAAAGAAAAGAATTTTCAACCCAGAAATTCATATCCAGCCAAACTAAGCTTCATAAGTGAAGGAGAAATAAAATACTTTACAGACAAGCAAATGCTGAGAGATTTTGTCACCACCAGGCCTGCCCTAAAAGAGCTCCTGAAGGAAGCGCTAAACATGGAAAGGAACAACCGGTACCAGCAGCTGCAAAATCATGCCAAATTGTAAAGACCATCGAGACTAGGAAGCAACTGCATCAACTAACGAGCAAAATAACCAGCTAACATCATAATGACAGGATCAAATTCACACATAACAATATTAACTTTAAAAGTAAATGGGCTAAATGCTCCAATTAAAAGACACAGACTGGCAAATTGGATAAACAGTCAAGACCCATCAGTGTGCTCTATTCAGGAAACCCATCTCACGTGCAGAAACACACATAGGCTCAAAATAAAAGGATGGAGGAAGATCTACCGAGCAAATGGAAAACAAAAAAAGGCAGGGGTTGCAATCCTAGTCTCTGATTAAACAGACTTTAAACCAACAAAGATCAAAAGAGACAAAGAAGGCCATTACATAATGGTAAAGGGATCAATTCAACAAGAAGAGCTAACTATCCTAAATATAGATGCACCCAATACAGGAGCACCCAGATTCATAAAGCAAGTCCTGAGTGACCTACAAAGAGACTTAGACTCCCACACATTAATAATGGGAGACTTTAACACCCCACTGTCAACATTAGACAGATCAATGAGACAGAAAGTCAACAAGGATACCCAGGAATTGAACTCAGCTCTGCACCAAGTGGACCTAATAGACATCTACAGAACTCTCCACCCCAAATCAACAGAATATACATTTTTTTCAGCACCACACCACACCTATTCCAAAATTGACCACATACTTGGAAGTAAAGCTCTCCTCAGCAAATGTAAAAGAACAGGAATTGTAACAAACTATCTCTCAGACCACAGTGCAATCAAACTAGAACTCAGGATTAAGAAACTCACTCAAAACCGCTCAGCTATATGGAAACTGAACAACCTGCTCCTGAATGACTACTGGGTACATAACGAAATGAAGGCAGAAATAAAGATGTTCTTTGAAACCAATGAGAACAAAGACGCAACATACCAGAATCTAAGGGATGCATTCAAAGCAGTGTGTAGATAGAAATTTATAGCACTAAATGCCCACAAGAGAAAGCAGGAAAGATCCAAAATTGACACCCTAACATCACAATTAAAAGAACTAGAAAAGCGAGAGCAAACACATTCAAAAGCTAGCAGAAGACAAGAAATAATGAAAAACAGAGCAGAACTGAAGGAAATAGAGACACAAAAAACCCTTCAAAAAATTAATGAATCCAGGAGCTGGTTTTCTGAAAAGATCAACAAAATTGATAGACCGCTAGCAAGACTAATAAAGAAAAAAAGAGAGAAGAATCAAATAGATGCAATAAAAAATGATATAGGGGATATCACCACCGTTCCCACAGAAATACAAACTACTATCAGAGAATACTACAAACACCTCTACGCAAATAAACTAGAAAATCTAGAAGAAATGGGTAAATTCCTCGACACATACACTCTCCCAAGACTAAACCAGGAAGATGTTGAATCTCTGAATAGACCAATAACAGGAGCTGAAATTGTGGCAATAATCAATAGCTTACCAACCAAAAGGAGTCCAGGACCAGATGGATTCACAGCCGAATTCTACCAGAGGTAGAAGGTGGAGCGGGTACCATTCCTTCTGAAACTATTCCAATCAATAGAAAAGGAGGGAATCCTCCCTAACTCATTTTATGAGGCCAGCATCATCCTGATACCAAAGCCAGGCAGAGACACAACCAAAAAAGAGAATTTTAGACTAATATCCTTGATGAACATTGATGCAAAAATCCTCAATAAAATACTGGCAAACCGAATCCAGCAGCACATCAAAAAGCTTATCCACCATGATCAAGTGGGCTTCATCCCTGGGATGCAAGGCTGGTTCAATATACGCAAATCAATAAATGTAATCCAGCATATAAACAGAACCAAAGACAAAAACCACATGATTATCTCAGTAGATGCAGAAAAGGCCTTTGACAAAATTCAACAACCCTTCATGCTAAAAACTATAAATAAATTAGGTATTGATGGGACGTATTTCAAAATAATAAGAGCTATCTATGACAAACCCACAACCAACATCATACTGAATGGGCAAAAACTGGAAGCATTCCCTTTGAAAACTGGCACAAGACAGGGATGCCCTCTCTCACCACTCCTATTCAACATAGTGTTGGAAGTTCTGGCCAGGGCAATTAGGCAGGAGAAGGAAATAAAGGGTATTCAATTAGGAAAACAGGAAGTCAAATTGTCCCTGTTTGTAGACGACATGATTGTATATCTAGAAAACCCCATTGTCTCAGCCCAAAATCTCCTTAAGCTGATAAGCAACTTCAGCAAAGTCTCAGGATACAAAATCAGTGTACAAAAATCACAAGCATTCTTATACACCAACAACAGACAAACAGAGAGCCAAATCATGAGTGAACTCCCATTCACAATTGCTTCAAAGAGAATAAAATACCTAGGAATCCCACTTACAAGGGACGTGAAGGACCTCTTCAAGGAGAACTACAAACCACTTCTGAAGGAAATAAAAGAGGATACAAACAAATGGAAGAACATTCCATGCTCATGGGTAGGAAGAATCAATATCGTGAAAATGGCCATACTGTCCAAGGTAATTTACAGATTCAATGCCATCCCCATTAAGCTACCAATGACTTCCTTCACAGAATTGGAAAAAACTACTTTAAAGTTCATATGGAACCAAAAAAGGGCCCACATCCCCAAGTCAATCCTAAGCCAAAAGAACAAAGCTGGAGGAATCACACTACCTGACTTCAAACTATACTACAAGGCAATAGTAACCAAAACAGCATGGTACTGGTACCAAAACAGAGATATAGATCAATGGAACAGAACAGAGCCCTCAGAAATCACGCCGCTTATCTACAACTATCTGATCTTTGACAAACCTGACAAAAACAAGCAATGGGGAAAGGATTCCCTATTTAATAAATGGTGCTGGGAAAACTGGCTAGCCATATGTAGAAAGCTGAAACTGGATCCCTTCCTTACACCTTATACAAAAATCAATTCAAGATGGATTAAAGACTTACATGTTAGACCTGAAACCATAAAAACCCTAGAAGAAAACCTAGGCATTACCATTCAAGACATAGGCATGGGCAAGGACTTCATGTCTAAAACACCAAAAGCAATGGCAACAAAAGCCAAAATTGACAAATGGGATCTAATTAAACTAAAGAGCTTCTGCACAGCAAAAGAAACTACCATCAGAGTGAACAGGCAACCTACAAAATTGGAGAAAATTTTTGCAACCTACTCATCTGACAAAGGGCTAATATCCAGAATCTACAATGAACTCAAACAAATTTACAAGAAAAAAACAAACAACCCCATCAAAAATGGGCGAAGGATATGAAAAGACACTTCTCAAAAGAAGACATTTATGCGCCAAAAAACACATGAAAAATTGCTCACCATAACTGACCATCAGAGAAATGCAAATCAAAACCACAATGAGATACCATCTCACACCAGTTAGAATGGCAATCACTAAAAAGTCAGGAAACAACAGGTGCTGGAGAGGATGTGGAGAAATAGGAACACTTTTACACTGTTGGTGGGATTGTAAACTAGTTCAACCATTGTGGAAGTCAGTGTGGCGATTCCTCAGGGATCTAGAACTAGAAATACCATTTGACCCAGCCATGCCAGTACAGGGTATATACCCAAAGGACTATAAATCATGCTGCTATAAAGACACATGCACACGTATGTTTATTGTGGCATTACTCACAATAGCAAAGACTTGGAACCAACCTAAATGTCCAACAATGATAGACTGGATTAAGAAAATGTGGCACATATACACCATGGAATACTATGCAGCCATAAAAAAAGATGAGTTCATGTCCTTTGTAGGGACATGGATGAAATTGGAAATCATCATTCTCAGTAAACTATTGCAAGAACAAAAAACCAAACACTGCACGTTCTCACTCATAGGTGGGAATTGAACAATGAGAACACATGGACACAGGAAGGGGAACATCACACTCTGGGGACTGTTGTGGTGTGGGGGAAGGGGGGAGGGATAGCATTGGTAGATATACGTAATGCTAGATGGTGAGTTAGTGGGTGCAGCGCACCAGCATGGCACATGTATACATATGTAACTAACCTGCACATTGTGCACATGTACCCTAAAACTTAAAGTATAATAATAATAAATAAATAAATAAATAAAGATTTTTAAAAAGTACAATTTGTCAATATTTTTCTTTTATGTATCATACTGTTGGTGTCATATCTAAGAAATATTTGCTTAACCCAAGGTCACAAATATTTTTGTCTCATAAAGGTTTTTTTCTAATTTTAGGTGTTTCATTTATAATGTAATGAACGAATTTTTTGAAATGGATATTCAGTTGTTCCCCCACCATTTGTTGAAAAGGCTGTCATTGTTCTCTGAATTTCCTTTGCATTGTCAAAAATTAGTTGTCAATACCTAGGTGGATCTGTTTCTGAATTCTTAATTGTTTGACTTCAAATTCTTTTTGAAATAAAAATATCTTGATAACAGTATCATGTCTTGGTTACTATAACTTTATACTTTTTGAAATTACCAAATATGAATTCTTGGACTTTTAAAATCGTTTTTGAAGTTGTTTTGGTTATTTTTCTCATTTGTATGTCCATACAAATTTTAGAATATATCAATTTGGAAAGAATTAACAATATTAACAATATTGACTCTTCCAAGGGGTATCTCCTCATTTATATTTTTAAAATGTCTCTCAGTAATGTTTTGTAGTTTTCAGTTTAAAGGTTTTGCACATCTTTTGTCAGATTTGTCCCTAGCACTAATATTTTCAATGTATGGTTTACTTTTAATTTCAACATCCCTTTGTTCATTAGTAATAGAACTATGCTTGAATTTTGCATATTGATCTTGTATGCTGTAATATTGATGAAATACCTTAATAGTTCTGGTAATTTTTTGGTGGATTTTTGTGAATATTCTGTGTAGATGAACATGTTATCTTAAATACATATAATTTTACTTCCAATGTCTTTTTGCCTCATGGTACTGGCTCCCATCTTTAGTATAATGTTGAACAGAAGTAGTGAGATCTGACATACATGTCTTGTTCTTGATCTTGATGGGAAAGTATTTAACACTATTAAGTATAATGTTAACTTTCCAGATATTTGTTGGTCCCTTTTGTCACTTTTAAGATGTTTTCCTTTTTTTCTTATTTCACTGAGAGGTTTTAAAATTTGTTTTAAAATCAGGAATGGAAGCTTGATTTTTGTCAAATACTTTTGATGAATCTATTGAGATGATCATATGGTTTTTCTTTTTTTACTTACTAATATGGTGAATTATATTGATTTTTTGCAATGTTAAACCAAACTTTCATTCCTGGTATAAAATATCTTTGGCTGAAAATGCATTATCCTTCTATCTATTTTATTCAGTTTCTAAAATTTTGTTCAGAATTTGAGATTCTATGATTATGAGGAAGAGTGGTCTGTAATTTTGCTTTCTTTAACTGTTTTTGTTTGGTTTTGATATTAATGCAACACTAGTCTTATCGAATGTACTATGAATCTAAAAAAATCTGTGTAGAATTAGTATTATTTTATCCTTAAATGTTTAGTAGAACTCACCTCTGAAGGTATCTGAACTTGAAGTTTTCTTGTAGAAACATTTTTTTACTACAATTTTAATTTATACACATAGTACCATTCAGGCTATTTTTTCTTGAATACACTTTGGCAGTTTGTGTTATTCAAACAAGTGTCTATTTCGGCCGGGCACGGTGGCTGATGCCTGTAATCCCAGCACTTTGGGAGGCCGAGGTGGGTGGATCACCTGAGGTCGGGAGTTTGAGACCAGCCTGACCAACATGGAGAAACCCTGTCTCTACTAAAAATACAAAATTAGCTGGGCATGGTGGTGCATGCCTGTAATCCCAGGCATGGAGCTACTCTGGAGGCTGAGGCAGGAGAATCCCTGGAACCCGGGAGCCAGAAGTTGCGGTGAGCCGAGATCACACGACTGCACTCCAGCCTAGGCCGCAAAAGCGAAACTCTGTTTCAAAAAAATAAAAGTGTCTATTTTATTTAATTTGACTAATCTATTATCA
This sequence comes from Homo sapiens, assembly GCF_000001405.40. Classification (NCBI taxonomy): domain Eukaryota; kingdom Metazoa; phylum Chordata; class Mammalia; order Primates; family Hominidae; genus Homo; species Homo sapiens. The sequence goes on from NC_000006.12 coordinate 55,692,606, forward strand.
TACAGTTGTTTACAATGTTCTCTTAACTGTTGTTTCAATACCTGTAGGATCTCTAGTGGGCCATCTTTCCATTCCAGATATTGGTAATGTGTGTCTTCTCAATTTCCATCTTTTTTCAGATTAGTCTGGCAAAAAGTTTTTAAGTTTTAAAAATATTTTCAAAGAGACAGTTTTGGGTTTCATTGGTTTACTGTCTTCATTTTGTTTTCTCTTTCATTAATGTTGACTGTGTCATTATTTTCTTATTTTTTGTGCATGTTTGTTTCTTAAGGTGGAAACTGAAATCATTGATTTGAACTCTTTAGTGCAGTCAATTTTCCTCTTTGTAGTGCTTTTTCAGTATCCCAGGAATGTTGCTATTTTGTGTTTATATTTGCTATTTTTTTTTCAGTTAAAAATAATTTCTGACCCCAGTGTGGTGGCACACACATGTAGTCCCAGATACTTGGGAGGCTGAGCCCAGAGAATACTTTGAGCTTGGGAGTTCCAATTCCAGCCTGGGCAATGCAACAAGATCCCATATCTTAAAAAATAAATAAATAAATGCTCTTCTATGTATTTTTTGACACATCAGTTATTTAGGAGTCTCTTAATTTCCTCATACTTGGGGATTTTATAGATTAATTTCTACTATTTATTGCTAATTTAGTTCCACCATGGTTAGAGAATACATTGTGTATTCCCTTAATGATTCTGTATTCATTGAGAGTTGTTTCACATACCAAATCTATCTCATGATTTATCTTAGTAAGTATTTCATGCTCATATAAAATAACGTGTATTATGTTATTAGATAAAATGTTCTAGAAATGTTAATTAAGTCAAGTTGGTTGTTGTTATTCAGTTTTCTATGTCTGTGCTGATTTTCTGCCTATTGTCTCTGTCAATTATTGAGTGAGGGATATTAAAATCTCCAGTTGCAATTATAAATTTGTCTCTTACTCATTGTACTTCTAGTTGTTGCTTTATGTATTCTGAAACTCTGCTATTAGGAACATAAACTTTAGGATTGTTATGTCCTTCTGATGAATTGACCACTTTGTACAAAATGACTTTCTGTACATGTAAAAATGGTTAAAATGGTACATTTTATGTACACTTTATATTTGTATACTTCACCAAAATTAAAATAATTGAACATTAAATTGGGTGAAAAAATAATTTAAAATCAATTGTTTGCAAGTGCCTCCCATAATACCTTTCTTTCTCTTTTTGTTCTTAATATACTCTAGATTGTAATGTTATGATTTATCCCTTTCACTTCTGTTGCAGCCTACTATTTCTCCTCTATGAAACATGGAATTTCCTAGGTTTATAGACTATTACCATCCCAGCCTTTACAGTCTAATCTAAACACTCTTGAGTGACTTATCTTAAATTGACGAACAAAGAAATAAAATTGAAACATTCTGTGCTTACTAAGGTCAAGTTATATTTTTAATCTAATTTATACTATTTGCCAATTAAAATAAGGAGCATTGTCTTCATGAAAGAACAATTGATCTGTTAATGATTTTAGGCAAGGAGAAGTTTATTTTATCTTAATCCAGCCTGTAGAAAAGCATTTCCTTTTCTTTTATGTGGTCTAAATTAAGTAAAAACATCATACTCTGAGCAAAGAAATCATGGAATGGGCCCCTTGCTATTGTGTGCTGATGTTAATATAGAAGAGAGACTTCATGACTGGAAGGCATCCATGATATTAAACAGGCCATGGTGCTGTGAAGTGCTGAGAGTGGTCATGCCGAGCAACAGGCCACAGGAATGCAAATCATCCACAAAGCCAAGAGTGGAGCTAGCAGGTGGCCTCGCCCATTCATCTGATGTCAACACTTTATTCAGCTCAGGCCCCTTTAACATCTGGGAAGGCCCACTATAGCTTTTAATTAAGTAGAATGCAGGCCATGCAGTGTTGCCTTCATTTAAAAAAAAAAAAAAAAAAAAAACCCACAGTCACAAAAAGAGGTATCTTCTATACACTGAGGGTCACTCTCCTTATATAAATAAATATGGGCATTTAACTTAGATTGTATGGAGGTTTTAGTTTCACAGATTTTTCCATACATTATTTCAGCATTTTATAGAAAATATTTATTTGGCTTTGGCGACAGATCAAATTTTCTTTTGGGGAAAAATGAGTTCTTTTAGTTCTCATGATTAACATTTCAGACTTTTGAGATATGTCTACTTTAAGGAGTTTTGGGATAACCATAACATATCATTTCAAAATGAGTTTATAGAAGATTAACCTATAGCAGTGGAAAGTGTCAGGTTATGGAATTAAGTCATTTTCTGAGGTCTGAATCTGAAGCCAAAGTCATTTGTAAGTGTAATTCTGTCTGTAAGTGCATAATACATGCACCCACACACATATTGAATATTTCAAGTTATGTAAAACAAGTCACTGTCAAAAACTATTTAAACCACTACTCTTTAAGAGCCTTTTAAGTGTGAAATTTCTTAAGATACTCATCATGTATAGTAAATATTTAAATTAGAAAGGCCAGCCAAGGTACAAAGTATTTAGAAGGTTCATTTAGAATTTCATAACAAAGATCTTATAATGTAATGAGGTTAGTATTTTCCTTCTTTAGATGTCTTTGAAAGGCAAAATTTTGCTTTCAGAGGTAAAAATGTTCAATGTCTTTGTGGGAAAATATTGTTTTCTCTTGGAAATAGGTTAAACTTTCCTATACAAGTAACCAGTTGTTATAAATTCTAAATTGTTAACCATGACATAATTTTTACAGAGTCTAGTAAAGTATTAAGAGAATCACACTAAGAAATCTTGAAATCATAAATCACATTTTTATATCCACATCCTTAAACCTTTGTCTAACATATAATAGGTATTCGATATGTGTTTGTTAAGAAATAAAGGAAGGAAGAAAGGAAGGAAGTGGGGGTGGTTCTAAGTGTTAAAGATGAGTGACAATATAAAACACGAAAATGATACATATCCATAAAATAAACAGAAAGATGAAACTTTCTTCATTCAAAGTCCTAACTTTTGAGCAGATTGTTCAACAGTCTTGAAAATCCAATTTTATCTGGATTTTGACTGACGTCTTATTCTTTTCTGCTAATTTAACCTTCTATCCTTATGTTTTTCACCTTTTTGAATGCAGACACACCTGCAAAACTTCTTCAAGATCTACATCATAGAGTTCCATTCCAGGCATGCTTATTCAGACTGTCCCATTTAGGAGCCTGATATACATACTATCTATGGAAACATTCCAGATGGTTCTCAGGCCCAACAAATACCAGTAACCACCGCTTTAGCAGCACCAAACTAAATGTTTTTCTTTCAACATACTTTTTTTAACCTCTCTATTTTTACTTATACTCTTCCCTCACCCTCAAATGCTCTTTTCTCCTCCTATTTCTAATCGAAGCTTAAGGATTTCTGCTAAGTTACATATCCCTTCCTCCAAAACTAAGGCCCCTGGAAAAATAATTGTTCTCTGACCTCTCCTAAATCATTTCACTTGTAGTTAATAAAGTTGGTTACTCGAGAATATTTTGCAGCACATTAAATTTGATTCCAAGCTCTCAATGTCAGGAGATCCCAATAAAAGCCATTATTAGAGAACTGCTGTAGTCACTAAGGATTTGTAGGTATTTAGGCTGGGTAGACAAGGGTCATCTTGCCTTCGTTGAGAATGCCCAGGCCCTCAGGCTCATTCAAATGGCTCTCTCCATCCATGCAAAATAAAAAAGTCTCAAGCTCTCTAACCATGGCTGAGTGTCCAGGCTCCATAGGCACAGTACAGAGCTATTCCTCTTTAACCCTGGGAGGGAGGGACTCAGGTTTGGCTTAAGTATTTTTACTTACTCAGTTCCTAGAGTGAGTTTCCCAATGGACTTCATCTTCTATGATACAATCTGCATAGGGATTATTATCAAGACATTCCCAGAAATACATAGGAGTTCCTATTTTCCAATCCACTAAAACGGCACCTAGAATTCTGAACACAGATCTATACTTTTGAGCTCCTTTAAGAAGGCAAATGTACCTGCTATATTTTGCTGTCTCTGTGGCAACAAAGATGAACCACAAAATAACCTCTCAACATATTACCCAACCATAGAATTTTTAACCGGTTACATGGATGTTTATTTCTCTATCTAAAATGTCAGTGATCTTGTTTGAGATTTGTAATTCATTCATCTTGAGTTATATACTAAACTGCTTGGTTATGAGCACTGTGCTAAATGCTAGAGATAAGAGGGAAAATAGAAGCTACCAATCCTCACCCTCATGATGCATATAATCTGGTGAACAACTCAAGCAAGTAAACAGGCAATTACAATATAGGATCCTGTGATGTGTACTTGAAAAGTATAGGAGGCTATGGGGGTATATGAGAAGGGCTGTCTAACCAAGGTTTTCACCTTTAGAACATAGTGCCTGTAGATAATTGGTGACTAATGTTTATTAACTGAATAATTTTAGAAAAAAATTTAAAAATACATTATAAATATCATCACTCATTTTTCAAGGTTGATAGGCCTCTATTGTGAAGGCAACACTTTTAAAATTTATGAAACGGAAAGATAATTCTTTCTCCACTATAATATTAAATTATACTGTTTTAATATTTACCTTCAGAAAAGGGGAATGCTGTGGGGGTCTACTGCTATTATCTGGACTATGGGAGGAATAAATAATATAAAAAACCACACTGATGAAAAAATGTCAATGGCATCAGAATTATGTTCAAGTCTCTTGCTAAGAATTAGGAAGACACAGCCTTATGTGCCCAGCACCATTCAGAAAGACTTGGGTTCTTAAGACCTGGAGTCATTCATCTCTAGATTAAGGTCTGATGGTGAGAGGATGTTGAATCCTGGGGCAAATCGATCCTGTGCAAGGTGAGGTGTCCTAAAAGGTGGTGAATATTTGCACAGTACAGATTAGAAGAAAAGCAAGATTAGGTAGAGTCGGGCAGGTAGTACTTGGTTGACAATGGAGAAATCTGACTTTAAAAAATGAGTGTTCCCAGGCCAGGTGCGGTGGCTTAGGCTTGTAAATCCAGCACTGTGGGAGGCGGAGGCGGGCGGATCACGAGGTCAGGAGATGGGGCCCATCCTGGCTAACACGGTGAAACCCCGTGTTTTTCTGTCTCTACTAAAAATACAAAAAGTTAGCCAGGCGTGGTGGCAGGTGCCTTTAGTCCCAGCTACTCAGGACGCTGAAGCAGGAGAATCGCTTGAACCCGGGAGGCGGAGGTTGCAGTGAGCCGAGATCGCGCCACTGCACTCCAGCCTGGGCGACAGAGCAAGATTCCATCTCCAAAAAAGAAAAAAAAACCGGGTGTTCCCCAAAATAGACCCATGGGTGTACGGGGAAGCACAATTTAACAATGAAATTTTCAATTCGCTATAATTAGTACCAAACTTTGAGAAAAGTTTTATAAAATCATACCACTTTGAATGGTGGTGGTTTGAGGAACGAGACAAGGTAGCAGACTGAATGTGCTATGCCCCACAAAATATTCATTGCTGCTTCTCCTGTAGGACAGAAATATCTTTTTAGAAAATTGGGTCTGGAAACTTGAGGCTGCGACCAGTAATAAAGTGAAAGTTTTTCCATAATGAAGCTGTTAGCACCATGGAAGGCCCAGAGACTGAGGTATGTTTTCACAATACACAACTCAGGAGATAAATGAAATAGCCTCCTCTCTCCTCCTAGTATTTCCTTGAAGAAAGGAGAGGGAAGCAGGTGATTAATTATTCGGATTGACCTTAAGCAAAATTCACACTTCTCTCTCTCTGTTTTCTAATTAGAAACATGACGATATTTTGCCAGTTTCAGTGGACTGATGTGGAGAAGAAATAAATCAGTAAAAGAAGTATAAAAGTTCTATAAAGACAAAAAAGACTTTATCACTGTACATAGGCTAGATTATTCTCATGATATGTAGCAATGATTGGGATCAAGTTTTAAATTGTAAAAGTTCAAGTGCATCCTAAATCAACCTAACAAGAATGTGTTGACCTGTTAAGAATTTCATACATGTTGCTGTGATTAATAAATAACTAGAAAGAAAATTTATGGAATCTTGCCAAAAATGCTGTAGAAAGATGAGCATATTTGAAATTGTTTTCACCAAAAAAGTGTTCTGAGGCTCAAATGGGTATGCTTTTAAAAATATTATATTAAAAATATATGTTAAACTTACCTCCTAATATTGCATCCCTGCTTGTCTTTCATATTTATTGTTACAGAAGATTTTATGTCTGTTTTACTCCTAATTAGTCATGGTTGGTAGGTCATATGGACTTCTGGAAGAGGCTATTCATTAAGGATATTAAAGAATATGTATAATAGATATTTTTATTAATATAGCAATAAATATCCTAAAATTTACTATTACAGACATAAGGTTTTTACTCCAGAATTCAAGTATTTCTTCAGAAATATTCTCTAGCTGACTAATTGAAAGTACTAGTGGAATTTCTTCACCTTATTCCTTGCAAATTGGAACCTCTATCATTTTATTTACCCATTTATATTAACATTTTTCAGATCAAATAAGAAGGTTAGTACTCAACTCTAATTAGGAATTTATTTTGCATGTTTAAAAATTTATTATGATTCAAAGTGTAATAAAAGTTGCCTCTACCAACTTAAATTGAAGAGTAGAAAAAAAACCTGATTTAACCTGTGTAACAAAGGGGAAATAGTATCTTCTATTTTGTATACTTTTTCTTACTCTTTGTGGGGAAAGACAATCTTTCCAACACTCCCATCCTTGCTTTTCTCTAGTTTTTGTCTGAATCTATAGAAGGACTGAGGGGTTTGAGCCATCTCAACATGGTGGAGAAGTGAGCCTTATGGCCACAAGTTAGCTTCTGAATCCATGCTGGTTTCTGCTGCAGTCACAGGTCTGATCTGGCCCCTGCTCATTGTCCGTTTAGATACAGTTATGATACAGAAAGAGAGGCAAATTTTATTGGAATAAAGTAATTGTCAAGGAAGAGCAAAGAAGAATAGTTTGAAGGGGAATTGTTCACACTTTAAGGAAATGTAATGTGACTTCAGAAAGAAGACCCATTTGAGGATGGTGATCATTAATTTATTGAGAAACTAGCGAACATAGCTGCATTTTTCCTCCATTGATTCTGGGGCAAACAGTATAGAGTTGAATCCAAGCAGGGTTGGGTTTTTGCTAAACTAGCTAAAGGTAGAATAGCACGGTTAAGAGAGTCTCAGTCTAAGGAGTTATTGTTTTGATGGCGTCTTTGCTGGGTTAAGGGAGAGATCAAGACTTGAAGGAGACAGAGAAGAGCAAAATGTAGTGGGGCCGATGAATAGGGAAGCATTACTAGAATTGCAGTGTAAGCTGGAAAGTGGAAAGGAGGCATGATCAAAATTAGATTTATACAGGTACTGCAGTTATAATAATATCTAAATATGACAATAGATGTTGGTGACTATGGTAATTGATAATTTGACTACATATGAATCTGGAGTTATATATCAAAACAAATACAAAAATTTGCAGCATATACAATAAAGGGCTAATAAATGTACCAAATATCTTTTTCAAATCAATAAGGAAATGAAAAACATCCCAATAAAATTGGGAAATACAGGCTTAGGCAATTCTCAGAATAGAAATACAAATTAATAATAAATATATGAAGAACTATCCAAGCAAATTAAAGCATCTGTCAAACTGGCAACAATATTTGCAAACTGTAGTATCCAATGTTAGCAGATTTATAGTTATAAAATCACTCTTGTACAATGCTGGTGTAAAGGGTAAATCAGAACAACTTTCTCAAAGTCACTTTGGCAATTATTTTTAAGAATCTAAAAATGTGCATAGCCTTTGACTCACTAATTCTGTATCTAGGAATTTTTTCTAGGACACAATAAGAAATATGCTTCTGATTTTTATTTCAGCATTTATTTCACATTATATTAGTGAAACATTGGAAATATCTTAAAGTTGAAACATCTTACAGGAAATGATTAATGATAGAATGAAATATTGGGCAATCTTTGAATATCATTTTCAAATAAAATTTAATAACCAAAAAATTATTTAGAACGTACTAGGTAACAAAAGCAGGCTACAAAATGCACACAGATATTGTTCCCTGAATAATTATGTGTTCCTGTGCTGTGTTCAGGGTGTTACGTGTGTGTACAGTAGCATGCATAAAGCCTGGAAAACAAACTCAGTTGTCCTTTTATCTGGATGCTGGATGACTTAAAAAATACTTTCAAGCTGGTCTCAAACATAACAAAACCTCATCTCTACACAAAAAGAAAATTAAATAAAAATTAGGAAAATAATTTGAGTAGTATTCATGCCCAAGACCGTATGTGAACACCCAGCTACAGCCTGAGAGCAGTCAAGTAGAAGGAGAGGTGAGATAACAAAGTTAGGAAAAGGAAGTCTTGACATCATTTGGGTTTCTGAATCTAGTCATGCATAAACAGTTCCCTATTATCTTTCCTATGATTTTATTGAATATACAAATATGTTGCTCCCACTTTTTTGTTTTCTGTTTTTCCTTATGTAGATTTCAACTGGGTTTCTATCACTTGAATCAAAGAGTGGTAGACAAGATTAATATAATCACTATTACAAATTACATAACAGTGAATTCTTGGCACATATATCTTTGTCCAATTTTTACCCATTTTCTTATAAGAGATCCCTAAAAGGGACTGAATGTATCAAAATCTTACTGGCTGCTGTGGCAGTTAAAAGAACTGTAGCATAGAGATATCATCCCAGGGCCAGCCAGCCGTATAGGCAGGGGTTCAAAACACGACCATAGGTGAATGTATCCACCAGTTCTTTTTTTTTTTTTTTTTTTTTTTCCAGACAGAGTCTCGCTCTGTCACTCAGGCTGGAGTGCAGTGGCGTGATCTCAGCTCACTGCAATCTACGCCTCCTGGGTTCATGCTATTCTCCTGCCTCAGCCTCCTGAGTAGCTGGGCCTATAGGCGCCCACGACAGCGCCCGGCTAATTTCTTGTATTTTTAGTAGAGACAGAGTTTTGCCGTGTTAGCCAGGATGGTCTTGATCTCCTGACCTTGTGATCTGCCCACCTCAGCCTCCCAAAGTGCTGGGATTACAGGCGTGAGCCACTGCACCCGGCCCGTTGTTCACTTTAACAGAGGTTTAGTTTATTTTGCACGGAACTGCATGGCACCTCTCTCATTTGCTGGCTCAAAAAATATTTATTGCATGCACTCTGAGTGCCAAGTAGTGTTTTAAGTACAGGAAATACACCAGGATACAAAATAAATTTAATTCCTGCCCATATGGATCTAACTTAATGGAGAGGGAGGCAAACAATAAACAAGATAAATGTATAAAATGTCAGCTAGTAATAGTACTAGTAAGTCCAAAAATGGAGTATCGGCATGGAACATAAGTGAAGGATGTGTGATTTTTCAATGGAATCGCCAGAAAAGCCTCGCTGAAGTGATATCTGGGGGAAGAGAGAGGGCTGTGGATATAAGGAGAAAGGGCATTTCACCTAAAAGGTAAAATAAGAACAAAGCCCCTGAAACACGAGGCTTTAGACATGAGGCTTGGATAGCTAGAGATAGGAGAACTAGAGAGAGAAGAATGGGAGATAAGGTCAGAAAGATCATGCAGGAGCCAGACACAGATTTTTAGCTTATACCCTGAAAAAGATGGGAAAGCCCTGAAGAGTTTATAGTAGACAGTAACAACACCTGATTTACATTTTAATTGGATCGCTAGAACTTCTGTCGCCAGGAAGTCTTCAGGAGGCAAAGGCAAAAGCAAGATCAATAAAAAGATGTTGCCTTCACTTTTCTCTCTACCCTTTCTCTATCTATCTATCTATCTATCTATCTATCTATCTATCTGTCTATCATCTATCATCTGTCTATCTATCATTTTAATAGAGACAGGATTTCACCATATTGGCCAGGCTGGTCTTGAACTCTTGGCCTCAAGTGATCCACCTGCCTTGTCCTCCCAAAGTGCGGAGATTACAGGTATGAACAAACCACCATGCACACCCACCCTTTCTCTTTTTAACACACTCCAATGGTGTATTTGCTGTGACTCATTTTCCTATTAAGGACAATAATGATCTCCACCTAGGTAAATTCGGTTGTCCATTCTATTTCATCTTCACAGACCATCAGCACTTTGGCCTTGATACACTTTCTCACTTGGCTTCCAGGATAGCATAATCTCTCCCTTTATCTCCTAACTTACTGGCTTTTCCTTCTCAGTTTTCTTTGCTAGTTTTGCCTCATGTCCCCAGACTCTTAATGTACAGAATCCAAGAGTTCATTTTTTGTTTTCTCATCTCCAACTACACTGACTCCCTGCATGGTCTCATCCAGTCTCCTGGCTTTAGATATCATGTAAATGATAGCAGTTCCCAAGATATCTTTTTACAGAGACTTTTCTATTGAGCTATAACCTCATATATCTGATTATCTGAATAAACTCTCCACCTAGATGTATACTAAACATGTCAAAATCACTCTGCCTAACCAAAATCCTGATGTTCATCCCTAGTCCTTCTCTATCTGCAGCCTTATTTATCTTAGTTATTCCAGTTTCATTCTCTAGGTGCTTAGGCTAGAAACCTTGGGTTCTGAAATTAGGGTTTGAAAAGTGAGCTACAGATATAAATTTTAGAATTATCAGTACACAGATTATTTTCAAAAAATTCCCTAAAAATATGTTTTGGCTGGTATTTAACAGGATAGTCATATAAAGTATTTTTGTTTCTGTAAGGCACTCTTCAATACAAATGTATTTCTTACCTACATCTTATGTTAAATCTATAAACACTTAAACATTTAGTTAATTAGGCAAATAATTATTATAAATAACATTTATAAAGCATTAATTGATGAATGACTGAACTAATACAAAGTATTTATTATATGGCTAAACACAGATTTTCTGAAGAGGTTTGACTAGCTGGTCCATTTGAAGCTAACTAAACTAACAACAGTTATTTATTTTCTTTTCTCCCCTCTTTCTTTCAGATCCTGTAATCAATCTCTTAATAATTTTTGTTTAAGGATGACTTTCCCAAAAAAGGTAAAATCATTACTCTCATACAGATAAAAAATTAGCATCTGTAAGATATCTTACGTAATTCATTATTAATGAAATAAGTGAGCAAGCGTTAAACTGCTCAAAGGAGAAGTCAAAGAACAGACACATTTATGGATAAGGAATATTAAAACGAATTTGCAAATAGACACGAAACTGACTTATTACATAGTGGAGCAGGGAAGTCTCTACTTGACAGAATTTATTTGCATGTCTATAGAGAAAAATTATTTTGGGTCACTAGTAAGTGCAATTTAAGGAGTTGTAAAATAACTCCAAGAGAGTGAAGGGCACAGAGCCCCGCAGAATTAGAATCAGATAAGCCAGGGGAGGAGATTGTAAGTAATGCAGTTTTTCATTGGAGACACCCAGTATTCTTTTTTGCTTATTCCAAATTTTATTCTGTAAATACTTATACCCAGTATCTGTCATACAATAGAATAAAAATCTGAAAACTGGAGAGTAATAACATGAAAAGAGGAAGTTATTATTTTTCATTAATCCATATGTATTTAGCTTCTTCATAAGAAATGAAAAGTTATGTTAAACATAATAAACATACTTTAGTAACAACCATTCTTCAAAAACTTTTATGACATTAAAACATTGTATTTTTGGTTATCAAGTTTATATTCAAATCTTCTATTATCATAATTCAAACCACAATACCTCTAACAGACTATAACACTATTATTCTCTGTAAAAAAAAAAAATTAGCACTTGAGAAAAAATTGGTCTCCATTATCTTAAAGATTATCAATTAAATAACTCCAGTTAAATTTATATATGTGTGATATAATAAAAGATTTCTACTCCTTGTTATCCATTTCTGTCTTAGAGCTTCAAAAAACTTGGAATTTCCTGAGTGGAAATTTTCTGAGTCAGAGTATTTGTTAGGTTAATTAGGTGACTCATTATGGGACCTTACGCAGATTCTGAATGGGAGTTGGTCACTGAAAACACCCACCATATGATTGTGACTAGAGGACTGAAACTTGGGAACAGCTCAGTCTCTGGCAAGAACCAGGGGTACTAGAATTTGAGCTCAATCACATGGCCAATGATTTAATAAATTATGTCTATATAATGAAACCCCAATAAAAACTCTGAACCTGAGATTCAGTGCAGCTTTTGGGTTGGTGAGCACATTGATTTGCTAGGAGGGCAATAGGCCAGATTCTACAGAAGCGCATGGAAGCTCTGTGCCCCTACCCCACCCCAATCTCAGACCTTGCCTATATGCCTCTTCCATTTGACTGTTCCTGATATGTATCATTCATAACAAAACAGTAATTGTAAATACAGTGATTTTGGTGAATTCTGAGTCATTCTAGCAAATTATCAAATCTGAAAGGAGTGGTGAGAACTCTTGATTTTATAACTGGTCAGTCAGGTGCGCCTGTGGCCCTGAGATTTGCAGTTGATATCCGAAGTGAGTGTAGTCTTGTCTTCACAACTGTTTGTACAAACTTGTAAGGCCTGTGCTAACTCTAGGTAGTTAGTGTCAGAATTAAATTGAATTAAAAGGCATCTAGTTGTCAGAGAATTGGTTTTAGAACATATGTAGATACTGAGCAGTGTAGAATATTAAGTCAGCAATAATGGGAAAGTATTATGTTGAAGTATTATATTTAAGAAACACATAAGGAGTGACTGAACTTCTTACTGAGTCTGTCCATGTGCTATTCGATTATCTGCTCAATTCAGTTAAAATAAATCAAGCCACAAAACAAAGTAAGCTCTTCTATCTACGAGTATTGAGATCTATTGCATATAAGTTACAGTAACCTTTGCTGAAGCAACATTTCCAGAGGGTTTCCTTTTCTACCCACATAAAAACATAAAGAGGAAACTTGTGGGCCAGTTCTTCCTACTGCAAAAAGGAAAATGGCAAGTATCCAATGGTTGTGAATAGTGTAAGTGGTAAGCCTGGATGATGTCGGAAAAAAAACTACTTTTTAAGTCATCATATTTCATTACTTACACAATTTTCTGGCATCAGTGCATCTTGACTTCATCTAACCAATTTTTTCAGCCATCTACAAAATAAAAATGTAAGGCTTTTACAAAGAAATATTGGGTAAAATAAATCCAGACATAAACAGTATGTCTGCAGGATTGTTATAGCAGCTCCAATTATAATGAAAGCAATGTTTTTAAGCTTTCTTGCATTATGAACAGAATGCTCCCAGTATTACAGAATCCAGGAGTCTATTTATAATGGTCTCAGCCTCCCTCACTATACCAAATCCTTAGCATGCAAACTGAAGCCAGAAAACCAAGGATCCAAATTACACCATGCAGAATGCCAAAGCAAGTTTCTTTTTCATTTCCTAAAGCGTTAAGACTAAGAATGTAAAAAAAAAAGCTAAAAATATGCTTATCCTTGAATCTTCAAATGTGTAAAATAAAAAGGATTCAATCTCTATTTCTTTATTTCTTGAATCACATATGCATAAAGCAGCACTGAAAGTATTTTAAGCTGATTTTGTGGCAAAGAGGAAGCTTTGCAAAGAACTGAAACAGCACAAAGGAGTTAAGTCCACATAACACATCATCTTTGTCTTGCAAGACACAGTAGAGAGATCTCACTGATTTCAAAAGAAAAAGAAGTGCTATTATGTTAAAAGGTCTAAGCATAAAACTGCTAGAAAACAAAGTACTACAATTATATCTGCTATATGTAAATCTCAGGTAGTGAAAGGAACAAAATGATTAGATGGTTGATGAAAATCACTGTAAAACTGTGCTCTTGATAATGAGTAAAATTGGTTCCTTGAAAACCTTCATTTCCACATAAGTCATAATGAGAACACTGGTTTCATACCTACATGTTGTTAGGCCATTTTACAAACTAAAACACCCAAACTTCGGAATTTGAGCTATTTTTCTTCTGTTTTCCATTTCAACTATTGAATTAGTAGCAAACCATCACAACTGTTTGTTATTACACAAGTTAAAAGCTATGAAGCTCTGAACATATCCATTATAAAAATGTGTTACTTCCTAAAAGTACTAAAACGTTCTTTAGCCTGGAGATGTCCATAGTTTTTCTAATCCAAAAATGAATTCTGAACTGTTTAATTTCATATTTTCAATTTAGAAACAATAAATCAGTAATATTTTAGTAGACATTGGCTTTTGTTTTTTAAACCCAAGATATACATGGATAGATGACCTTCTCCTGCTCAGTAGGCATAAAACTTATAACGTGTAACATCCAACTGGACTCACATAAGTCCTGACACCTCATGCCTACAAGCAGGAGAGATCCTAGGCAAAACTTCAAGGCAAATGAAATGTCTTCTCGTAACCCTTAAGGTCCTTTTCATAGCACTTCACAGCTTCAGAATCCCTTCTGTTCTATGATCCCATTCTTACCAAGGGCTCTTTTGAGATTTTTTATGTTTTAAAGGGCAGTTTCTGAAGAGGGCAATGCTTAACAAAAAGATATAAATTATGTTAGATACATTTCAAGTATTTCATACTACTTGATCAGCTTCCACATTAGGCTCTTTCAGCCTCTGTATAGTGGTGGGGAAAACTGTCTTTATAATAGTGAAGCTAATGATTTAAGAATGCTTAGGATTGATCATTTAACCCAGAAATATTTTCATTAAAAAATGCTGTCTTTGGGTAGATGGCACTTATTCTTTATGAAAGCCTCTTTCTAAAGCTAGAACATTTAAATTATTTTCTTGTTCAACTTATCTATTATCTGTCTCTCTTGCTCTTGTTATATTCCTTTCTCTGCAATTCCATCCTGATTTTAATACTTTATCCTAAACTTCTAACTTTTAAGTTATTTCTTGTAGTATTCATAAACCTAAGTAACCTTGTGAAATTATATTAGAAGACAGTAGGCATTCTTACTGAGAAAATATGAATCTCAAAGACCATTTATTTTAGAAGTAATCATAAACACTACTTTCAAAATTCTCAGTCTTTTTTTATTACAGCACTTGACCTTGGTTAGCCCCAATAAATTCAAAAGTCTTTTAATAGTGACCTAATATTTTCTATTCATTTAAACAATATTTTATTCCTGGTGAATTACTAAGCTTTTCGATCTATTAAATAATCTCTTGTTTTTTAAACTAAATATTTTTTAAGTGTGTTCATAACACATTTCTGAGCAATTTATTTCTACATAAGTAAATAAAATTCAATTTAACAGTGTTACTTTGTTTTTATTATTTCAAATATTTTCAATGTGTTCCTGAATAAGAAGGCTTTTTAGCTTTTAAATATATTTTAAAAAGATAAGAAAATAAGTGCTATATTTTTCTTTTATGACTCTAGCAAGTCTGTAACCACAAATATTCATGTATAATGATTATTTTATTTACCAAACTAATTTGGTAAATATGTGTTCTCTATGGGCATATATAAAGTTCCAATAAAAATTTCACTTATTTGGAGGAAACATTTATAGTAATCTCTAAGTTTTTTTTTTTTTTTTTTTTTTTTTGAGACAAAGTCTCTCCCTGTCGCCTTGGCTGGAGTGCAATGGTGCAATCTCAGCTCACTGCAACCTCTACCTCCAAGGTTCAAGTGATTCTCCTGCCTCAGCCTCCTGAGTACCTGGGATTACAGGCACTCACCACCAAGCCCAGCTAATTTTTTGTATTTTTAGTAGAAAGGGGGTTTCACCATGTTGGTCAGGCTGGTCTCGAACTCCTGATCTCATGATCTGCCCGTCTTGGCCTCCCAAAGTGCTGGGATTACAGGCATGAGCCACCACGCCTGACCAGTAATCTTTAAGTATGTTTTTAATTATGTTATTTGACAAATGAAAAAAGAAACCTATTCCTGTATATCTTAATGTCTACATTAACCTGGCTTCAGTGGTCTTTATGGAATTGTCTTTCTTGTTTACTACAGGAACTTTTGAAAAGACTTATCAACTTTTCAATAGAAGACATAAACAGACAGTTAACCTAACAAGATTCTTTGAACCCCTTGCCTAAAAATCTTGGCATTGCTGCTTGTACCAATTATAGCCTCTTATGTCATAAGAATTTCCCAAAGCTAATCAAGCTTCCTCCTACAACCCCTTCTTCCTGCCCCATTCCCTCCATTGCTTTCTTTAACCAAGTTTCAGAATCTCAATAAAATTCAATCTTGCGCTTCCTAGTCTGAGACATTCCCAAAGCTCTGTTCAAGTGGTGTTCTCCCACACTACAGTGAGCAATAAACTTAACTTTGTCTTATCCACAGTTGGTGATATATGAGGAGCTGGCATTCAACATAAACATAGTTGAAAACATTTTTTCTCTCCCTCAAAATACAAATATTTCTAAATTAAACACAATTTTGGACCTATCATTTAAATTGGCTGGAAAACATACTTTTTTTGGAATCTCTTTGAGAAATTCTAAATAAGTGTGTATTATAGCTTTAAAGCTTTGAAATGGTTACCTGAGTAATATGGTAGTAAAAAGTTCACAGAAAAGACAAGGTTTTTCATGTTATAAACATAGTAATAGAAAGGAATTTTTCTCTAAACTTTTTCCAAGTTATTTTAAAGGTCTGTTTACTGTGTTTTTTATAGAATTTATGAAGTTTTACCACAAAACGCAAAGCATTGAAAAGGTCATTCACTACTATGTTCAAAGGAGTTGGAAAAAATCACAGTTGTGAATTGCCCATCTTCTTTTTAGAGAGAAGAAACATACATTAATTCCTTTAAAAATTGTCATGGTTAAAGTACTTGTGGCAAGACCTTTCTGAAATTTAGATATAGGTCTACATTCATGACTCATTCCACTGGACCGTTCCATATTCCTACAGTGTTGCCCTAATGTAGAACCTCATATACTACAGTTCTGTTCAACAGCAATGACAGAGCCAAACTCATGCTTCTTATTTTGAAAGTCCTGTGTTTCTTAAGGGTAGGATCCTTGTCTTCTACCCATTAAGTAAGCAAGAAGTATTTTAATGAAGCCAGTTAAAGGAATGAGGTAAAGGCAGGCCAAGAAAGTGGAGAGATGTCCAAATGGGGGAAACAAGTGAGAAAGAGCTCCCAGGGTTTATGGACTTCTACTAGAGGGTGAGGAATATGTGGAAACACATGCACTGTTAAGTTCAGTTAAGATGAAACAGGAAGTCAGAGATACAAAGACACACAAGTGTACTTTTATTGTCTAGAATCTTGTAGATCCTTGTCAAGCTCACTTCTTAATTACACAAACACACACAATCATCATATGATGGTCAGTTCACTTATATGCTAATTGGTAAGATTTCTTAAGGATGGTTCTAGTATCCTTTGAAATTAGCTTTAAATTGATGCCAAGGTATGAAACATTAGTTTTTATAACGGCCCATTCTAAGGATGCTTTGCTATTGCTTATTTTGAACTGTGCCTTTATGCTTTATCCCAGGTACAAGTGCCTTTCTTTAAGAAGTATTCAACTTAAACTCCTGTGTGCACACAGGCTTCAGGATATCCTTAAGTGGGTAGATTCCTTCCTTTTTAATTAAAAAATGAGATAGTATCTTTTAGATGCCCTAAAACTTAACTGTACATCTTTTTCATGTGTGTAGGTAAACATTGGTCCAGAAAGTTTGAAATAAATTTTATTATATAGAGTGTGAAGATAATAGTGGGCTATCCATTTGAAAAGTACGTAACACATTTCTGGAGAGAAATTCTGGCAATTATTTGACAGCAGTTTTTCAATTGCCTGGCACCATCACTGATCTTGGTCTGATGTCTCTTCCGGGTCTGCAAGCCCATGATATTAAAACTTTTAGATTTTTATCTACCTTGAAAATATATGTCATTTTAAAAATTAGATAATGAAAAAAGTCAACTATTTTAATACCTGAAAATTTGATTAAAAAAAAACAGTGCTACCAATTTTTGTTTGTTTTCTGTTGTTTTGTTTCATTTGGAGTGGAAAACCTATAGGAGATTTTGCCAGTCATAGAGCTAGTAGAAGATGGAAAAATTGGATCAAGATTAAATGTAACAATTTATAGAATATGCAAAATTTCTAACACAGTCCATACATACCATAGGCTCTCAATAAGTTTAAAACACTCACTAGGCTCTCAATAGTTTAAAACACTTACTTCCTATTCTGTGTTAATGACTACGTACCTATTTACTTGCACTGTATAATCCTCGCACTATGAGAAAAATTAGGATATCATTAATCCCATTTTCCAGCTAGGAAACTGAAGTTAGGCAACTTTCCTAAGGACAAAGAGCTGATAAATGATAAAGGGGCTTTTTAATCTGGCAGTCTGGCTCCAGAGTCCCGGCTTTTAACCACTGAATTATACTGCTGTTTCAATTGTTGTCATTAATACAGTTGCTTACAGTGGGAAATTCTTTAAATATTCATTATATTGACAGATGAAGTAAAGAAAAAGTGGAGATGCATAAAATCAAGATATGCCATTTAAGCATATATAATTTTCCTTGTTTGACTTATATTTTAAAAAGCTATATGAATAGTACCTTTGAAGTTTGACACTTAGGTTTGAATTCTGACTTTCCTAATTACTAGTTTAAGTTATTGCATCAATATCAGATTTGTTTACTCACATTTGAAACCATTTACATGTAAGGGTTATTGCAAGGATTAAGTAAGTTTTAATGCACATAAAATGCCTAGTAGATAATACACACTGAGTAAATGGTTGCTGTTGTAGCAGTCATAGGAGTTTTTATGTTCTTCCTACTCACTCTCTATTTTTTTTTTACTCCCTCTTCTCAAAGGAGAAAAGAAGAGGCACATAGGAAGATCCTGGAATGACCTAGTGGCCTTGGGCTATAACGTATTCAACTGTCTGAGGTGGGAAGACAGGCAGAAACTATACGTGCAAGGCCCTGTGGCCAGAGGAATGATCACTAAAAGCAATGGATTGAAAAGGCAGATAATCTCAACTTTAGAAAGTGAAGAAGCAGATGAGACTGGAGAGGTATCAAGGTACCAGATCACAGGGGCTTGTCAGCAATTTAATGAAGTTAATCTTTATCCTAAGGACACCGGGAAGTCACTGAGAGATTTTTATGCAATAAGGTACATGAACAAATATGCCAGATTCTTATTTGACTGCAGTGTGGAAAACAGAATTAAGAGGCAAAAGTGGCAATCAAACAAATTAGGGTCTGGGTTTTTTTGTTTATTTTTGCAATGTCTAGTCTAAAGAAATACGATCTGGGTCTAGAAAGGTGCTGTGGGAGATGAGGTGCTTTGGGGATCTGCTTCACACTACCTAATAAATTATTACACTAGGAAATGAATTCCGTGGTAAGCATTGTTTTTTCTCATGGCAGCATCATTTCTATCTAAATCAATTATCCCCAATTGTCATCACCCCCACATTCTCTTTTCTCAAGCAATATACTTGCACACTTTTACAAAAGACTTTATATTTCGTTGGACTTAATAAAATAAAAAACCCTCATAAAGAAAAGTCTTTAAAAGAGAGAATAAAAATTATTAATTATAGAATGAACCATAGAGAAAATCTTGTGTCTCTATGTACTTGTTCCAGACAAACAATTACAAATATTTGGTGAAAGAAGTCAAATGGCTTTCTACCTACTTGGTCTATTTTTAAAGTCAGCAGGTATTTTTATTTGTTGTATAAAAATTTATTGAATTTATGAAGTGCCTGTTTGGTGCAATTTTCTATGAGTGACACTATACAAACTAAACAAAATTTTTTTCAAAATTAGAAAGGTTCTTTTTGAGAAGATGCAATTCATTCAAAAGTTTATTTAAATAAATTATGTATTATAATGACTCCAGGAAAAAATATAGCCACCTCTAGAAGTCCTACCCTTCATGGATTTTACCCATTTGCAAAGCAACAATTACATCACAATAAGTAAAAACTAAAGATTCAAGGAAGAACAAATCAGGTTTTCTAACCTAGAATGACTACAGAAGTTAATATTAACTTAAAATTAAAAGCAACATTTTGTCTCACTAGAGACCATGTTATATAGCATATAAAGGACTTATTTTGAATTGTAGCAAATGTAAACTGTAATGTCATCCTTATTATTTAAGGGGTCTCAATTTACTTATCTGTGAGGATAAGCATATTCACTTTGAATTGTGGGGACTGGAGGAAATAATGTATGCTAAATGTCTAGCTTGGTGCCTAACACATAAATGGAATTAACCATAATTAACACACTGACAGGCAGATCCCAAACTAAATCTGCATTTGAGACCAATACCTTCTCTATCTCAAATATGGATTCATTAGAATAAGCAATGTAGCACATTATTGAATGCAGGATTTGGGGTAGATATGCCAGAAATGATAAAGAAGCAGGGATGGATTGTTGCGGGGATAGGAATGGGCAGCATTTCTGAGTAGTGTGGTTCCTGATCTGAGATTTCTTTTTTCCCTGGGTAGGAAGAAAAAATATATAGAAAATTTACACATTTAAGATTTTGCATTAATTTAAAATTGTTACAACATCCTGGAGAATTAGACTAATCTCACCCATGAAAAACCTCACCTTTAGAATAAGAATTTCAGTGTAGAATGATTTAATCAAAATGTTAAAATAATAGCCAAGGATTCATAGAATCCTTCATAGAACAGCGCACTGTGTTTTAAAAGTGTGCTGTAGTTGCTGTGGATTTTCCTATCATTTAGGGTCAGGATGTGAGGCTAGACAAAAGGGTACAGATGATTCAAAACCACTAGATTGATTTACTTTTAACTAATTATAATTAATATCACTTCAAGACTGTTTACATTTCTGCTGTCATCCATATGCATTAGCACCAGGTTAATGTGATAACCATGAACCAAATAATAGCTTGCATAAATCTCCACTGTATTCAGATAGTAAAGTCCATTGCCCTGTTCTTACTTCCTGGAAACAACCTTTGATCTTCAGATCAACAGTAAAAATAATTACTGGCATTGGCCAAACCAGGATTAGTCATTTCTGTTCTGAGTAGCTGCACAGCTGGAGACAGATGTGCAGGTCTCTTTGCACAGATCTGAAAGGATCATCTCCAAGCGTTTATATCATGCTTGTCATTCGTTTATCAGAGGCCAAATGTTTTTCTTTGTAAACGTGTGTAAAACATTCTCAGAATTTTAAACAATAACAAATCAGGGCTGAATGTGGCCAACATGCAAAGAGGAAATCTCCCATCTGTCCAAATCAAACAGTTGTATTATTAGAAACTGAGGGCTAAAAACTGTGCACATACACAGACACACATATTATTTTAATATAGATTTTCAATAATTGGTCTAGGATAAGGATAATATACAGAGAACATGCCAAAAGTTTAAGCAAGAAGAAAACAAAGACTGTTACTATGGAAAAATGAAAATAGATTTTAAAACATGTTAATTCACGTTACTTTTTGTTAAATTTACTTTTCTTCTTTCACTTCTTACCTGTCAATGTTATTAATATTTTTAGGAACAATAAATCACATTAATTCCTTATCTCATGTGAAATTTCATATTTATGATTGATACCTTTAAATGTCATTTGTTGAAGGAAGATTATTCATTTTTTCATTCAATAAATATTTTTTAGAATAATAAGTCCCAGGCACAAGACCAGTATTATGTTCTAGGCATTGGGGATACCATGTTCACAAGACAGACTATGATTTACAGGATCAGATGTGGACTCTCAAATTCGACTGAGAATAAAACAGACACTAAACAAGTAAATAAAGTTAATTTCAAGTTGTAATTGATGCTAGAAAGACAATGAAACAGAGCCATGTGACCAATGAGAGAGATGAGGGTGGCAGCAGCCTGTTTTAGATAAGGTACCTGATTGGTGGGATTGGAAGACCTCTCTGAGATTAGTGTCTTCAGATATGCCTTAATGATATGAAAGAACCATTCATGGGAAGGCCTAGCATTAAAAACCGTCTAGGCAGAATGAGCAGCAAGTGCAAGGGTCCTGGATAGGAATGAGCTGGATATACTCAAGGAAGAAAGAGAAAACCAGCATAATGAGCAAATTAGCTCAGGAAAATTTGGCAGGCACTGATTTTCACTGGGCCTTGTAGGCTATGGTTAGCAGCACCAATTTTATTTTAAAGATGATTTGGTGTTTCTAAGCGTATTTTGAATCTTTTCCCCTAAAGAGCATTGACAGCATGGAAAAGCTAGAACTCTCTCTTTAATAAAAGTTAACGAATAGGAAAGAAAAATAGATAGAATCAGGCCTATTCTAACATTTAAAAAATCACAGACTCCTCTTGTTTTGAAAAAGAAATATATAATCCAGCCAAACTGTTTTCTGCTCATCTCTTTAGGCTATTGTTAAACCCATGACGAAAAGGGAAATTTCAGGTTAGATTTCACACCCCTGGGGGCTGATTTTTACATTTTATTGAGTTTGGCTCCTGGATCATATGATTTGAAAGAGCTGATTTTACTCGGGTATTACACAGACACAGACTAAATAAATTTGCAGCATTTCAGGAAATCCATTGTTTTTATTCTAGTTGGTTGACAGAGTTGAGCCCCTTTCTTGCTCACTTGAGAAATCGCCATTCAGAGGCCTTACCTCACTTGAAATTAGCTCATGATTGACATTCTCAAAGCTAAGCAATAAGTTCCCAAAGAAATTAATAGCACTTTAAAGAATCATTAAATAGTATTTTAATTTATCTTCCTAAAGTCAATAACTTTATTCTGATTACTGAATAAAATTGCTCCTGCTGTGGATCTGTGCTTTAAGAAGTGTTTCCAAGAAAATGCACTGTTTAAGTAGAATGTAAATACAGGATTACTGATGAACGCACAAGCAGAAAAAAAAGTATGAGAAGGTAAAATCCTACCCTAAGAACAGCATAACCAACATTGGAAAGTGGGAAGAACAATTAAATAAAATAGGCGATATTACAGGTGAAAAAGGTGGGCTTGCTATAGATTTAAATTGTATAGAAGAGAGTAGAAATACATTGAAATAAAGATATAGAGCAAACTTGTTCAAGCCATGGCCCGTGGGCCACATGCAAACCAGGACATCTTTGAATGTGGCCCAACACAAATTTGTAAACTTTCTTAAAACATTGAGATTTTGAATTTTTTTTTTTTTTTTTAGCTCATCAGCAATGGTTAGTGTTAGTGTACTTCATGTGTGGCCCATGACAATTCTTCTTCCCGTGTGGCCCAAAAAAGCCAAAAGATTGGACACCCCTGAAGTGAAATATATTCCCTTTTATTTTAGACCAGTTAACTAAATTGCCTGAGCCTGCAATTTCTCATATGTAAAACTAAGGTAATAAAAGCGATACGAGTCTGACTCTATCATAGGAAAGAAAGGAAGTCAACTCTATTTTATGAAAAATTTACGGTACAATCCTGATCTGTCGTGAATAAGAGGAGAGCTAAGCTGTAAGCACATCTAAAACAAGCCACGTGTTTATCAGACTTCCCACTCTTCTTCCCTCCTGCTCCAGTACGTCTTCCATTCATTTTTTTAAAATAAGAGTTTTCTTGAGATACAATTATATATCATAAGGTTGACCTTTTTAAAGTGTTTAATTCAGTGACTTTTTAGCAAATTCTCAAACTTGTGCAACCATCACCAATAATTTCAGAACACTTTCATCACTCCCCAAAAAACTTCATACCTATTAGCAATCACTCCCCATTCTCCCTCCCTCCAGCACTAGGCATCTGCTAATCTACTTTCTGTCTCTTTGGATTTACCTATTCTGGATATTTCATATAAATGGAATCATATATAGCCATTTGTATCTGACTTTTCTCACTTAACCTAAAGTATTCAAGGTTCATTCATATTTACCGTGTATCATAACTTTGTTTCTTTAATCTCTGCTTCATTCTTCTTTTCTCTGTCAATGGAAGGCCTTAGCTGCAATGGCCCACATGAAGGAAAACATGGCTGCCAATACATCCAGAGCTTAACTTCTTACAGATTCACACAATGAAGAGAATGGTTATACTCTCTGGGATCCAAATGCAGAGAGAAGAGCTCAGGATGGATAAACTTTGATAAGGCTCATCTTTAGATCAATCCATGAGACTAATGTACAAGTAGCTTAGTTTTGGTTCTTCCTTGGTATCAACCAACCGTAACCAGGGAAAAATTTACCAGGTTATAAAATTGTCAGATTTGAGGAAGCCTTTTGAAATAGAGGTGGAATTGGATCTGGGAGGTACATTTTTCAGAATATTTGGGGATAGTTGATGAGTAGATGAAATAATGTGCTTAGTATAATACATATCTGTCAAACTAGTGAAGAATAAAAAAAATTAATAAATTAAATACATACCAGTATAAAACTGTCAATTGGCATATCCAAGAAAAGCTTAGATATTAAAAAGAAATCGTGGAAGGATAGTGGAAAAAAAAAAACAGTTGCCAGGATTTTGATGAGTGAAGATTATAAACATTTTCCTTTAATGAGCACTGATAACAACATTTAACTCTTTATCTAGGAAAATGTAGAGTTTTGTGAGATGGAGTCAAAATTTCTAATTTTCTTTGAATCAAAAGAAAGGATGTATTAAATATTGATTAAGGCAGCTTTTTATTTTATTTCAATAACTCAGTTCCTTATTTACCATAAGCATCCTAAAAACAGAGGTGTTTTTAAACACCTTATGCTACCATCACTAATAATATTGATCAATTTCTAGCACAGATTGTTGACTCACTTAAATATTGTGCTGCAGCATTTTTTCTCCATAGCCTATAAAATATTTGAAAAAATCCTTGCATATTATAAAATTAGCATCTTTTTATCAGTAGTTTTTCTGGTTGCAAAGGAGGTTATAATTGGAGCTTGCAAATACTGACATTTTAAAACTAAATTGTTAAATCATTTGTTCAATTAAAACTATTCAAATGTAAATATCATAGCTATTTGGTACCTATCATTATAAATTTTAAAAATATATGAGAAGATAATCAGAAATTTTGCATTACTTATTTTGAAATTATACTTCCAATCTAGTTCTACCAAAAAATATTATTCATATTTTATAATCTTACCTAAATAGGTTACATATGGAACATCTTGTCATAACTATAACAAAAGGATATATATATATTTGGAATTAAATAACATTATTTTCTGTAACTCTAACTGTAAAATTTTTCAAGGTTCAGTTATTCAGATTATTATTGAATAAATATGTTTAATATATTAAACATAAAAATAAAATGTATTTGAAAGTGTGTGTGTGAAAATTGGTGTGATTCTAAAATTAGTTGGTGTATACGTAGATGAATATTTCCATCGCTGGAATGAGACAGGACTCAACATAAATTATATAGTTAGTTTTCACATTGGGAATATAAATTGTATGAACTTCAGTTACCTATAAATAGTTACATAGAAAAAAAGAAGTCTATCTCTGGATTTATCACTTAATTTTTTTAATACCCCTTCAAAGTTTTATATTAAAGTTACAATAAAACTTACCTTAAATACATATATGTGTGTGTATGAGTGCGTGCACGTATGTGTCACCCAGACTGGAGTGCAGTGGTGCAATTATGACTCACCGCAGCCTTGGCCTCCTGGGCTCAAGCAATCCTCCTGCCTCAGCCTCCCA
Organism: Homo sapiens; assembly: GCF_000001405.40. NCBI lineage: Eukaryota > Metazoa > Chordata > Mammalia > Primates > Hominidae > Homo > Homo sapiens. Next base: position 55,718,252 of record NC_000006.12, read on the forward strand.
TGTAGCTGGAATCAAGCGCAGATAATTTTTCTATTTTTTTTTTTTAAGAGATGAAGTCTCACTTTGTTGACCAGCTTATCTTGCACTCCTGAGCTCAAGTGATCCTTCCACCTTGGCCTCCCAAAGTGCTGAGATGACAAGTGTGAGCCACTGTGCCCGGCCAAAAACATTTTAAATAATATACCAGATTATATCTTATTTAAATTATTTCTAATTTTGTTGCATGAAAACAAGTTGTGTGAATTGCAAAAAGTTTTATTATACAGTCATAAGAGTAATGATCTTTTTAGTTACCCTAAGAATAAGTGTCCCTCAGTTTTGTGCCTGGATGGGGGGTTTTTACCCTTAAAAAAGTAAGAATCAGGATGGGTGAGTGAGATGTGTTTATTTCACAACTTGGGTAAAGAAACGACAACAGTGAAAGGGGTAACTGGAAAGGAGTAACAGAAAACTATGTTCTCCAGGTAGATCAGTTTTACACTAGTACAGATGGAAGTTGAGGATATGGATCCCGATTCCTTTAAAAATTCTGGGTCTGCTTAAGTCCAGACCCAAAGGTCTGAGTGCCTCGGTTTTAAGACAGCTTGTCTTGAATGGTGGTCTCCAAATGAGGTGCATGAATCCAAAAGGATGCAGAAGACCATCCACAACAACGCACAGGAATAAACCGACGCTATATTTATATTTTGACCCAAATTTAAAAAATTTTTTTTTACATTATAAAATATATGCATTCACACTGATATCCCTTGTATCTAGCATTATAGTAAGTCCTGGGGAGAGTGAGTGCCACATGATCACTCATTTGTTTTCAGCATATTGCCACAGATTGAACGCCATTGTTTGCTTATGTGAATTTTGGGCTCTTATTATTATAAGTAACAGAATCTTTATAACTCTGATATGAAATGGAAAACGATCATGAAAAATTTTGTGTATCCCACATAGATTCACCAGTTACTGCATGACAAAATATTTAAAGAAGTTGTTGAATATAAAACTTGACCCAAAAAAGAATTTTAAAAAGCATAAAATACTATAATACATTTTACTATGTGAAAAATTAAGAAGGTATACTCATCAAAAATACCATAAAAAGTATATAAAAGTAAGCAACAATTCAAGAACATATATTTCTAACTCATATTGCATATTCTTTTTTTTTTTTTTTTGAGACGGAGTCTCGTTCTGTCGCCCAGGCAGGAGTGCTGTGGCGCGATCTCCGCTCACTGCAAGCTCCGCCTCCCGGGTTCACGCCATTCTCCTGCCTCAGCCTCCCGAGTAGCTGGGACTACAGGCGCCCGCCACTGCGCCCGGCTAATTTTTTGTATTTTTAGTAGAGACGGGGTTTCACCGTGGTCTCGATCTCCTGACCTCGTGATCCGCCCGCCTCGGCCTCCCAAAGTGCTGGGATTACAGGCGTGAGCCACCGGCATATTCTGAATGTACATTTAACTTCTACAGATCAGTAAGAAAGCATAAAATACCCTGCTACCACCATTTTACATAAAAGGAATTAATAGAAATTTAACAGAGTAGGATACAAAAATGGCTCTAATCTTAAAAGATGTCCAATCCTAGTAGTAATTAGGAAAATGAGAATTAAAACCAAAATGAAATACCCTTTCATATCCACAATTTGTCAATACCATGTGCCCATGAGAACGTGAAACAACAAGAATCATTTTACTATTGCTGGCATAAGTAAAAAAGTGGGCAACATATTTGGAATATGGTATGTATCACACAGTAAGGTTGAACATGCATGTAGCATGTATCCAAGAAAGCCTACTTCTCAAGAGTTAGGTGTTAGAAGCTTTTACACGTTTTCCCAAAGGTATGCATAATAAAGTTCATAACAACCTTGTTAATAATAACAAAACAAACAACATCCGGCCAACCAAACAAAATACTTTTGAACAATCCTAAAGTCCATCAGCAGTAGAAATAGACAAATAAGTGGTGGTGTATTTATACAGTGGAGTATGATTTGATAGTGAAAATGGGTTAATGAGAATCATAGGCATCAGTACATTAAAATCATGGAGATGTACTATTGGGCAAAAGAAGTCACGAATAAATATATGGTATGATTCTATTTATATAAAGTTCAAAGCCAAATAAGCTACTGTTTATGATTTTCTACATATATGTATGTATAAAATCTGTGAGGAAAGCCAGTAAATTCAATATTATGGTTAACTGGTTGCAGGAGGAGGCACTGGAAGTGGGCAAGTAAAGTCATAGATAAGGAGCTTTTAGAGTACAAGGTTTTATTTATTAACTTGGTAGTGGCCATATGGATATACACATTTTTTATTGTTTTAAAATTATACTTGTAAATTTTCATTCACTTTTGCATATGTGGCTTATTTTACAATTACAAAAATTATTATTGCCCTCAGGGAGGGAAAGAATATGAGTTATGGATATTTCTTTTACAAAAAGACAAATGTTTCAAATGTGCTGCCCTTTTCTGCAAAAGATGACTGACCAACATTTATATGTTGCCAAAGACATATTTGGGGATGGGGAGTGAGAAACACATTTTATGTAACCTTCAAAGTAAAAATAGTGTTTGTAAAAAGGACATAAGAGAGAATTTTTCAAATTCTTTTAGAAAATTTTTATCATTACAAGATTTGTGGTAAAAAATAATGTGCCTCACCTATGAAAATTATGTGTACACATAAAATTAATTTGAGAAAAGAGTATTGTTAACTACTTTTCAAACATTCCAAATGAAAATTTTCAATGGGTTTTAAACAAGTTTATTAACATTATTAAAATAATACAACTTCCCGGTGATAGGTGCACCAAAATCTCACAAATCACCACTAAAGAATTTACTCATGTAACCAATACCACCTGTTCCCCAATAACCTATGGATATAGAAAATAAAAATAAAATGGTACAACTTCAAAAGAATATTCAGGAAAAATCAATTGAAATCAAGGAAGACGAAAATTTTCTAGCCAAATTGCAAAAATTTTTGATCTATGTATCATTGTGAATTTTCTAGTTATAATGGCAGCAAAACCAAGCTTGAAAGCCAAAAACACCCTCAAAATCATAAAATACTCCCTCTGAATGAAGTTAAAAGAAAATAAACATAAGATATGTTTAAATTGGTGTATCATACATTACTAAACAAATATTCTAAAATTCATGAAGCAAATTTAGTTATGTTGCACTTACTACAATGTTGGTATTTAAAATGGTTTCTACCATTAATAGAAAAATTAAAAATTCCTTAAATATTATATTTCAAAAATACTGATTTCAATTTTATCAATTTATTTCAAAATCGTATTTCAAAGCTAACAGTTTAGCTCACCTTTTAAATGTATATTTAGGGTATGCATAATGAACAATAATTTTCTGCCATTCCAGTGGTTTATGCATGTAATTTATATATGAATAAATATATGCATATTGTATGTTCATGCTACAAAACTATAGTGATAAGAGTGCATGATTCTAAAAAGTTTGGAGACCAATGGTCTAAAAATCTTTCGGCAAATGAAATATTAAATTTGGGTTTCTTGCCGTTCACCATAGACATGCGGCCAGAGGACCAGATTAGCCATCAGATTAAACATGTATTAAAATTCCAAGTCCTTTGCCATACAAATCTGTATTCTTTTACAGGTATCAACTTTGCAACGTAATTGTTTTAAATATTAATATAGTTTGTTTCATTCTTCAGCATGAGTTGCATAGAGTTTGCAAGTGTTTTCTGGTTTTTCAATATTCAACGTACCAGTAGTTAAATAGTATGTTATATAGACTATAAGAGTGATTGAATTTCTAAACAAGCAGGACATGATTCAGAAGGATGAATAATTTCTAATACATGAACTGTATAACTATGATTTTAGGTCCTTTGTAGTTCCAAACATTACAAAAACATTTTATATTTCCCCATGTGAAATGTCTTCCCTATTTCTTCTGGAAAATACTTTGAAAGTCAGCGGCAGTGGCTCACACCTGTAATCCCAGCACTTTAGGAGGCTGAGGTGGGTGGATCACCTGAGGTCGGGAGTTCGAGACCAGCCTGGCCAACATGATGAAACACTGTCTCTACTAAAAATACAAAAATTAGCTGAACATGGCGATGCACGTCTGTGATCCCAGCTGCTCGGGAGGCTGAGGCAGGAGAATCACTTGAACCTGGGAGCTGGGAGGCGGAGGTTGCTGAGATAGCGCCACTGCACTCCAGCCTGGGCAGCAGATTGAGACTCTGTCAAAAAAGAAAAAAAAAAAGAAAGTCAGTCAGCAGATGCACCAACTACTGGAGGAATTTTCCCCTTTTCCTCAGCCAGATTCAGTCTTTTTTTCTTTGCTTTTCTCCCTCCTTCTTGTATGTTTCATTAGATTTTTAATTATTCTTATTACTTTTACCATAATGAATTGTAATTGTACGTAGCCAGTTGTTGTCATTTGCGTTTGAATTCATTTATGAATTGCAAATTATTTGAGGACAGACTTTGTCTTATTTAAACTTGTAAGAGATGATTCAAGAATTATTTCTGAATAAATAAAATAGGCATACCTTCAGCATTCCTTAAGTCAGTGTTTCATAAAAAAAATTCAGAAGAACAGTACTATCTTGATAGTCTCTAGGTAAAAGAGTTCCATTGTCAAATAATCTTGTTTGGTACGTAATAAATATTACACTTCCCTTCTGAAAATCAAAAATGCACAATAGTCAGAATTCCTACCATAAATAAACCTGTTTAAATTTCTTAATTCAGTATTTTTCAAATAAATATTGCAAATCTCTTTTTTTTTTTCCTGGAACACACATTAATGTCCTGTGGAAGTGGTTTTTCTATGTAATAATACTCTGGGAAATGCAAAAATGCTACATTTCAACATTTATATTGTTCAATGTGCATGCAGAGAAAGTAATTAAGGGGGAGAACTATAATTATACTTATGTTATTCAGGGGGCCATGCTGCAGCTAAAGGAAAGGAAATGAATTCTAAATAGTTAAATTATTTATCCATGTAGAACCGTGTCTTTTGTTTATATTAAAAACATATGTTGTAAATTGAGAGATAAATTTTATTCCATGTACATTTTTAAAGGAGAAAGATATGACTTTGTCTAAGAATGACTATCATATGAAAATGAAAAAATTAAGCTTTAAATTAACTAAATCAACAGAACTCATAAATTCAGCACAACAAATTTATGCTGCCCTCCATAGTGTTAGCCATCAGAATTGCCATATTTAAAACCATGATGTTAAATATCTCTGAGGAAAGTTCACCAATCACAAAAGGAAATCATTCTCATCTATTAATTTTGGGCATCAAAGAGCATTATGAATTTGATCACCAATTTTATTCTTCAAATTTAGATTTTAATTCTTAGTCTATTCTTCTTAAAGAAATTCTTAAATGGTATAAATTGTTACTGCTGAAGTTTCGCAAAAGGACTTTATTGAGCATATGAAAGTAATTTTAGTCGATAAGATTGATTCCAAAATAAAAATTGACATTTAAATATCAGTTTCATTCCTTCAAATAGCTGCCATGGTAGGAGTGCTTCTAAATGAATTTAGTAATGAACATGTTAAACGTTTGAGATACTCTTAGGATTACATATTTTATTAACTAAAAGAGACTATTTAAAAGAAATATCTTTTAGACAATTGAAATGCTAAAAATTGCAAATATAGGCCTGCGCGGTGGCTCATGCCTGTAATCCCAGCACTTTGGGAGGCTGAGTCGGGCAGATCACGAGGTCAGGAGATCAAGACCATCCTGGCTAACACGGTGAAACCCCGTCTCTACTAAAAATACAAAAAAAAAAAAAAAAATTAGCCGGGTGTGGTGGATGGCACCTGTAGTCCCAGCTACTCAGGAGGCTGAGGCAGGAGAATGGCGTGAACCCCGGAGGCGGAGCTTTAAGTGAGCCCAGATCGCGCCACTGCACTCCAGCCTGGGCAACAGAGCGAGACTCCATCTCAAAAAAAAAAAAAAAGAAAAGAAAAAATTGCAAATTTAGATCATCTTTATTCATTCTTTCAAAAAGTATTAGTTACCTATATAACTAAAATGAGTTAATACCACTGAAAGATTAGTTTTAGAATATCTGTGTGGATAGTAAACCAGCATAGTGTTTCGCTTTTTTTTTTAGTATCAGAAAATGCTATTTGATGAATGTTTTTTCACATGGAAAAAAATGACTTGTTTTATTCAATCTCAAACATGTGATTTACAAGGCAAAAGGGCTGGAATAAACATAAAAACACAAGAATCTGACCCATAAGGCTTTGAAGCTCTTTATACTGCTGATTGGGATCCAGTCCTAGTGTATTAATATACATTCTGCAAACTCTTACTCTTTACATTTGTAGAAATCTTCAACACTAATGAAAGAAGGAAGTAATTTTCAATATCCTATATATATTATTGTGTTCTTTTGGAGAAGAGGTCAAAGGATAAAAGTCTACTTTCTTCCAAAGAAGCATCAGAATTAAGGGGAATGTATCTTAATAATGAGGAAGCATAACATTTTCTACCCTTTTACATGATTAAATTGTCTAAAGTCAGTACACGTGTACCATATGAAAGACTGTGAAATCACCAAGATTTAGGAGAAAGTACTGGGCTAATTTTTACCCTTGAACCAAATATCTCTAAGGGATTTTCTGTCATAGAAGAAAAAGAAGGAGAAAAAAAGAAAGATGGGACAAGAAAGAGAAAACTAACTTTGTACAGACTTTTGGAACACATACTTTTGCTTTTTAGAAACTTCTTTGCATGGAGTTCTCTTTCCTGTGCAAATGTTATTAATAACACATACGTATTATTAATATAAATATAGACTGGAACTGAGAAGGATATTTAACAAAGAAAAGCTTATGAGTAGTGAGAGGAAGGGATGAAGTTGTTTATAAAAGCTGGAAGATGCAACGTTCTTTCCATACATAGTGGAGTCTTGCATGTTTATTTTAATACTTGAGTTTGTTAGCTTTTTTGAAGTATTTATTAATGGCGCTTACTCTGGTTTTCAATAAAATCCATAGCTGCTTCCTATTTCTATATATACAGCACTGTCATTGTGTGAATTTTCAACAATTTACATATTTTTGCTTAAGTCAAACAAATTAGTTTTATATTTTTAAATTTGAAAGACTGATGACTTGAAATCACACATTCATTTCTACACATTTACATGCACAGTCACAGTACTAATATGTAGACATGACTATAAATCATGCCAAAATAGAATGCACTGAAGCATATATACTGCAGTACCTGCAGTCTATATAGTGTGACCCTTGTTTAAAAAATGCCAGTTTCACAAAGGAAAATGTTAACTTGTCTGAGAAATATTCTATTGACTTAAAATTTAATTCTATAATCTAGCCTTTTCTTGCTTTTAAGAATGTCAGCCATAATTGCTAAAAATGAAGTTTTAATCAAACTTGGTGCTTGGGCCAAATAGTCACAATTGGGAAGGGGAGTGGGTCATTCAGTGAATTCCAGAGAATAGGCAGATAGAACAAGTGTTTACCAAAAGATGTGGGGGCTACTGAAATAAGAGAAGTTTAAGGAATCAAGAATTGAGCTAGAAACAGAGTTTAGTGAGCTTTAGAGATAAGTCCAAATCAGGAGTCCAGAAAACATATCAGAAAGTAGAGGCATAGAAACTGGCAGGGAAAATTATATGGCTGCAAAGCAGGGAAGGCTTCTGAACAGTCATCTAATATGCAAACTATTGTCTGAGGCTGGTGTTAAGAAATTTATTGAGGGTGGCCTATAGAACATCTGTCAAATAAAGGACTGCCACTTTGGATTGCCTTTGATATTTTCTTTTCAGGGCACATTTTTTCCCCAAGCAAATTAACTTATAAACAATTTGAGAGAAGAAAACAATCTCTTTTAGCTTTTGTCCATTTAAAGGAGAACAAAACAAGGTGTCAGAAGACCTTGATTTTGGTTTTAGTATTTGTATAAGTTTTCTATTGTTGCCATAATAAATAACCACAAACTCTGGCTTAAAACAACACAAAATGCTTATCTCTAAGTTCATAAATCAGAAGTCTAAGTTGGCCCAACTGGTTTCTCTGAGTTTTACAAGGCTGCAGTCAAAGTGCCAGCAGGATAGGCTTTTACCAGGAGGCTCTAGGAAATAATCTGCTTCCAGATTCATTCAGGTTGTTGGCAGAATACATTTCCTTGTGGTTGTAGAACTGAAGTTCTTATGTCTTGCTGATTGTTGGCTGACGGTTGTTCTCAGTTACTAGTGGCTGCCCACATTTTCTGGCTTGTGCCCCTCTTCCTCCATTTTTCACAGTTCAGTCTCCTCTCCTGCCTCAAGTCTCCAGCCTTCCTTTTCTGCTGCATCTCTGTCTGGCTCTGCTATTTTCATTTCCTGCTTTTAAGAGTTCATGTGTGTATTAGTCTGTTCTCATGATGCTAATAAAGACATAGTTGAGACTGGGTAATTTATGAAGAAAAAGAGGTTTAATGGACTCAGAGTGTCACATGGCTGGGGAGGCCTCACAATCATGGCAGAAGGTGAAAGAGGAAGGCACGTCTTACACGGTGGCAGGAAAGAGAGCTTGTGCAGCAGAACTCCTTTTTATAAAACCATCAGATTTTCTGAGACTTATTCACTATCATGAGAACAGCATGGGACAGACCCACTCCCATGATTCAGCTACCTCCCACTTGGTCCCTCCCACTATATGTAGAAACTATGGAAGCTACAATTCAAGATGAGATTTGGGTGGGGACACAGCCAAACCATATCGATGTGATTGCTTCGGGTGTACTCAGATATTCCATGATAATCTCTCTATTTTAAAGTCACCTGACTAGCAAGCAGAATTCCATCTTAACAACAATATCTACATTAGAGTGTGATTAAGTAACCCAGGATGGGACTCTTGTGGGGACATCTTTAGAATTCTGCCTGCAATTGTTTTATGACCAAAAAAATTGTGTGAAGCTGGCAAAGCAGGCATCTGTTTTGTAACTCCTCTTAGATAGTCTCCCATTGAAAAACTCAGAAATTAGGCCAAATAAATGTTAACTTTCACTTCCAGCTGTCTATACCTAAAATCACTTGACTTGACTTTAATATAATGTCATGTAATCAGTTGCTGCCCAGTGAATATATGTTTTTTGAGATGAAATAAATAACCTCAATTGTTGAATACTTGAACTTATACTTTTTGGCTTTGTTTTACAAAATTGTATTATATTAATAAAAGTTCACATAATTTGTTATTAATATATTCTATTATATATCTAAGTAAAAGTTCATATGACATTCTTACAGAGTAATACTGGCACAGAGCTTTTTTAAAAAATAACTCCACTACCAAATTCTCTAACTTCAGGACTGGTAAATCTTGCCTATTATTACATCTTCCAATGCTAGACTTATGACTTCCAAAAATATTCTTTTACTTCTCTATTTTGATGTAGAATGTACCTATTGCTTAGCTACTATAAAAGATGAGAAATTTACCAAAACCGCATTTCTCCACTTACTCACATACTTCATATTGGTGACTGTGGCAGATTGTATTTTCCAAGATAGCCTCATTAAGATCTCCCACCTCTCATCTTACAGCATGATGCTGACTTTCCACTCATCAAGATGTGGGATGTTTTTTCCCTCACCTTGACTCTCACAGACTTGTGAAAACAGTAGAGGTGTTGCTACTTGACTTCCAAGGGTAGGTCATATAAGACAACCAGCTTTCTCCTGGTTCTCTGGGGATGCTTATTCTTGGAATACAGCCAGCATGCTCTGAGGAAACCCAGATCACAAGTATAGGCTATGTTTAGGTGTTCTAGCCAATAGACCTAGTTGAGGTTCCTCCTGACAGCCAGATCCAGCACCAGACTCACAAGAAAGCTTTGGAGATGATTATTGTCCCCATCATCATCTGGCTGTAATGACGAGAGACCCAGCTTGAGAACACCTAGCAGAACCTGGTCAACCCAGAAACATGAGAGACAATAACATGATTATTGTTGTTTTAAGTTATCAGGCTTTGGGTCAGCAACAGGTAACTGGAACAGCTACAGCTGTATTTTATATTCTTAAGTTTTATTGACTCAGCATTCTGTCAGAAGTTCAATTTTAATTTGTTGAATGATTTTAAATATTTTAAAATAAAAATAGAATTTAGTTTATTATGGTTATATATTAATGAATGCAACGTAATAAAGAATAAAGAAATGAGACTAAGTACCTAGGGGAGGAAATGCATGCTTGTCACTAAGTTCCTGAAACCCAAAAATGAATGTCTCAAACACAAAGGTCTGGTAAATTCTCTGCTAATATTTTTATAGTTGTAATCAGCTATCATTCTTCTTGTACCTGAAGACTTCCTCTTTTTATGGCCCTTTTTTATTTTCCATTTTTCTTCCTTACTGTCCTTACTTTTTTTAAGTAAATTTTTTTAGAAATTAAATTACTTAAGGAATTTACTTTTCTTATGTAACTTTTTTATTAGGAATAAATGAGTGGAAATATTCTGGGTTATATACTTTTAAATGTTTTTATTTTATACTCTTGCTTTCTTGATAGAGTGGCTTGATATGAAAATTTAAGTTTAAAATATGTTTTTAATTGAAGACATTGTATTTTTTCTCATGTCCTCTATTAGTCATTAATTGATCTTAATTTCTTTGTATGTAAGCTATTTCTTGATCTCTAATGGGTGTTGGAAATTTTTTTCTTTTCGGTAGATTTTAATTTTTCACCTAAAAGCATTTAGATGTAGGTATCTCTTAGTCTATCCCTTTTGGCAATTGGGAGTCCTTTCAATTTGAAGAACTATGTCTTACGGCAGCTTGGAAAAATATATATATATGTATACTTGATTGATTTCTACCATCTCTTTTCTCTGCTTCTGGATATTTTATAAAATGATCTCCAAGATCTATCATTTCTCTTTTACTTTCTCTCATGCTTTAATATCTGTCTTTAGCTTTGCATTTGGGGAGTTCTTTGTGTTTATGTTGTAGATCACTAGCTTGGTTTTTTAGCCTAACCCATTGTATTATTTAGTTTATTCATTTGTTTTGTCTCATTGTTGGAGATAATATTTGTCATTTTTGTCTTGATATCTAATCGTTTATTTTTAGGAACAAGTTGTTTTTAATTTATTGATATCTCAAATCTCTGTAAAAATACCCTGTGTTTCTTAAGAGAATTCCCCCCAATCCCAAGATATTTGGCAACATCTGGAGACATTTTTGCTCGTCACAATTGTGAGGGTTGCTACTGTTATCTGGTGGGTTGAGGCCACGAAAGCTACTAAATAGCTAATAATTAATTCCTAGGACAGCCCCCTGTAAAAAAGAATTATCTGGCCCTGAAAGTCAACAGTGGCAACGTTGGGAAGCCCTGGAATATAACTATTAGAAATATGAAAAATTCTCATTATTCCATATATCACTTTTGATTCCTCTGGATTTGATGGATATATTTTCTTCTTTCTTTTATTTTGTGGTTTTTCTTCCCCCAAATATGTGTTGATCTTAGCTCCTAGTTCTCAACATGTACAAAGTTGAGTCATAGAATTTTCTCTCTGGTTGTGTTTACCTATTTTCCCAAGAGCTTCTCCTTTAAATGAGAGGGCCAACCACTGATTTCTCTTAGAGAGCAGGGTCATGTCAACAAATCAATACCACTGTAGGGTGCTTAGGTATGGAGCAGGTAGGCTAGAGATCCCTTCAATTATCAAATTAAGAAGAGTTTTACTCTGGAGATAAAGTATTTTACTGTATTTCACTACTAGATGAAATTTTTGTTTTCTTCTTTTACTTGATATTTTCTTGGTGTCTGAAGTAAATGTCTGGAGCTATTTCTTTTTTTTTTTTTTTTTTTCAGTCATTATTTGTTTGTACAGCTGTGTGAATTTTTTTTTTTTATTATTATACTCTAAGTTTTAGGGTACATGTGCACATTGTGCAGGTTAGTTACATATGTATACATGTGCCATGCTGGTGCACTGCACCCACTAATGTGTCATCTAGCATTAGGTATATCTCCCAATGCTATCCCTCCCCCCTCCCCCGACCCCACCACATCCTTCTCTACTTCTCTCTCAGGCCAAAACTCATTCTAGAATACCTCTCCAGACAAGTGTTAGGTTCTAGCTTGGAGGCAAATACTACTGCTGTCAGCCATATCATCTGCATATATTCCAGAGGAGGAGAAAGGAAAAGGTCTCTCTAGGCCCAGCTATTAATAAAGCAGTTGTTTAATTAATTAATTTCCATGATGATTCCCAGGACCCTCTCCTATTCTTTGTGTTGATGTCATTGAGTTTAGAATTTCTCATGGGCTCCATCAGGATTGATTGCTCTCACTTCTGGAATCTTGGCTTGAATTCTTCTGCTCTGTTTTCTCCATTAATCCCATTCCACCTACTTTTTGGTTTCCAGGGTTTGTTAAAACTTTCTGGTCCACTGGTAGCACTTTTTTCTGTTTCCCAACACCATTATTGTATTTTAAAATGCTGATCCTAACCATTTTGATGAAACAGTGTGCAAGAGGAGAAATAAACATGGAAACCAGAAGCTACCCTGAATCAATCATACATCCCAACTTTCATAGATGTTTGTCACTTTTTCATTGTTAGCCCCCCTGTATTAGATCATGTTCCCTGGTAGCACATCTTGAGCATGTCTTCTGCAAGTGATTTATTGACAAATGCTCCTAGGGAAATGGTATGGGAATACAGGGAGCAGGATGGGGGAGGAGGAGGAAAAATGCCAAGTCTGAAAGGCAGAAAACTGCCACACCAAAAGACGTCCAAGTCCTAATCTCTGGAACTTGTAAATACATTACCTTACATGGCAAAATGTACCTTACAGCTGTGAATAAATTAAAGATCTTGAGATAGTGAGATAATCCTGGATTAGCCAGGTAGCCCAAATTTAATCACAAGGGCCCTTAAAAGTGAAAGAAGGAAGCAGGAGTATCAGAGACTGAGAAAGAGTTGAAGATACTATGTTGCTGGCCTTGAAGATGAAGCAAAGAGCCACAACACAGAAAGCATATGGCTTCTAGAAGATGGAAGGCAAGGATGGCAAGGATGTGATTCTTTCTGAGAACCTTCAAAAGGAATCCAGCACTATCAACACTTTGATTTTAGCCCAAAGGAACTAATTTTGGACTTCTCAGGCAAAGTCCATGGGAGAACATCTTTGACCTGATCCCGCACGAGAGTCCTATGGTGTAAGTACTGCCTCAGAGTTGTCCCACTGATGACAAGGGGTTCAGACTTTAATACTGACACACCTATATATTTTCTGGTTATAGTTAAATTCCCAGGTATTTCTGGCTCTCCACCTGAAGTTGGGAGAGCACACGATTGTCAAAAGGGATTCAGAGCTCTGAAATGAGCAGTGACATTATTCGCTAGGCCTCTCTTCACCTAATCTTCCTTTTAGATACTCAGCTATTATATATTCAGAATCATAGAGAGGCGATGCATCTCTAAATGTCCATTTCCAAGCCTAGATCTCCAGCAACCAACTGATTCTCTATAACCCTACTTTCCAGTTTTCTATCCAAAAGAGTTTTATCTTGACTAAAATACAATCCATTTCTATTCCTTGCACCATAAAATATGAACAACAAAGAAAATGTGGGGTGGGAAATCATTCTTCAGAGAAATGAAATGAAGTAGAAGGCAGCAAAAGTCTTTTTCCAAGGTGGGAATCAAACAGCTTATACCATGAAGTGATGACACCTGATTAAAGATATAATCAAAGGTCGTGAGTAATACAGTGTCCTAGAGAGGAAAATATCTGGGCTATTGTGAGTCTGGTGCCAGAAAACAGTATAAATGGTATTAAAAAATCAAAGGCTAAGAGATGGATAATTAATTCTGGATTTGAAAAGTTAACAAAAAAAGATACTCATTTAAATACTAAGTATTAAGCTCAAGGCAAAATTCCAATAACACCCATTTTGATGTCTGAATCTCTGCCCTTAACCTAATAAATGAAACAACCTAAATGAAGTTATTTAACTAATGCATCCTTTTGCCTACTAATGCGTTTATAATTTGATTATGTCTATAAAATGTTGGCACCTGTCCGGATGCTAGAAATAAAGAAAAATAGTACTGTGCGTATTCACAAACAATCTTTGCCTTCAGATAGCTTATAGTCTCATAGTGTAGGACACTTATAAGAACCTAAATATAAAATATACATATATCTTTGTAAACATAAGATATTAAATATATTATTTGAGTTCTTTGATTTCATTATAAGTCTTATAATAACGTAATTCTTGCAATTAGATTATTAGAGATAAGCAGGTTCAACAGGTGCTATGGTTGATTAAATAGTTATCTTGAAAATTTAGGACCGACAAAATGCCCAATCTAACTCACAGATTTCTTCCTACCGACACACTCTTCCTGATTTTACAAAGATGTTTCCTTCAGTTTTTGTTTGAGAAACTAGATTACATATCATCTTCACCATAAAAAAAGTAATCAGATCAATGTGGTAGTTAAATACATAAACATTTAACCAGCTGTTTATTATTTCACCTATCTTTCATTTTACTCATATTAATATAAAATTCAGACAATTGTGTAATGAGAATTCAAGACTCTCATTGGTATAAGAAATGAGCTTGAAATTTAATTTTCATATTGACACTTTATATAATCTTAGATTTGGAATTGTTGGTTTGAAAATAAGATTCCATTGACAAAATAAAACTATTTTGCTATCCTAGAAACTATTCTAACTTATATTATAATTAAATAACACAATCAAGTTGTATCTATTTATGGTAATTGAGTAATTAAGTTATATTTCTTTGTAAGAATTTCCCCCGAAGATACTCAAATTTAAATCTTTAAGATATTTATGCTTAATTTTCCTAGGTTTGAAATTGTATCCACAGATTTTGTGGTAAAATGGAAGTTTTAGCAGCCTAACAGAATGCTGATAAATTGGCTCTATGTCTCTGGTTTGTCAATTTAGTTGCTGAAATCTAGAAGACAGCAATCATGATTCAACTAGATTGACCCTTTTCGTAAGCCAAAATTACTTCAGTCAAAATTTTAAAATGTTAATATATGATTTTTAAAAGATCCTCATCAACATTCAAGACTAATTGAAACGATTAATATAATCCAATGACCAATATTTTATAGGTCTTTCTCTATTGCTTTTGAAATACTTCTCTTAAGGATTTGTAGTATTCTTCCTCTGCTAACAAAAAAAACTGCTATGGCATTTATTTGTTTTTGTTTTTGTTTTTGTTTTTGTTTTTGTTTTCACAGGGAGTCTCACTCTGTCACCCAGGCTGGAGTGCAGTGGCGTGATCTCAGCTCACTGCAACCTCCGCCTCCCAGGTTCAAGCAATTCTCCTGCTTCAGCCTCCCAAGTAGCTAGGATTACAGACGTATGCCACCATGCCCGGCTAATTTTTGTATTTTTTAGTAGAGATGGGGTTTCACCACGTTGGCCAAGCTGGACTCGAACTCCTGACCTCAGATGATCTGCCTGCCTAGGCCTCCCAAAGTGCTGGGATTACAGGCATGAGCCATTGTGCCAGGCCTATGGCACTTATTAACTCACTTTTCATTGGTTTTATGTGGCATACAGAACTTTTAGCCAATTATCAATAGTTTATTAGTTTATCATTGCTGCTCCTGTTTCAGAAGTTTGTTGGTTTTTTTGTTTTGTTTTGTTTTTTGTAGCAGCTAATGTTGTTTTTGCCATGGAGCTACAGACACAATGCCATTGGTTGGACTTTTATAAGGAAGAACATAGCTAGGGGTTCAAACTCAATATTACAGAAAGTAAATCCTTCAGGATCAAGTCTTGGCCAAGAAAAGTCCAGTAACTGACCCCATTTGTATCTCCATATTACCCAACTGTACAAAATCTCTTCTCCACTGAATAGTTTCCAAATTTCCTGTTATCAAATGTATCAGTTTCAATTTGTATCTGAAGTTTGTAACTTCATATTTAGTCTTCATTTTATTGACACTGAAATCTATTACTTGAGGTAAGATGAAACACTGAATTAATGATCTCACCCTTACAACTTCCCAGACATAAACATACTGAGAGCAGAACCAATCAAGAATGACACCTAGTGATACATGGTATTTGGTTTTTTAAGGATAATAGAGAAGAGACAAAAGGAATTTCTGGCCTCAGAGACCCATGCAGACATTCCTAAACTGGACTAGCAAGAAATATGAGACTTCCAATTACCTGAGAGGGAAGGAATCTGAATTGGTATGCTGTTCTAAGAAAAAATTATTATCTTAGCAAGAGGGCTAGGGGCAGACAAAGAGGGACATAGTCTTTCTATTCTACATATTTTCCAGGACCAGCCCTTGAAGGATGTCACCAAGTGAATACTTTCCTAATGGATTTCTTTCACTATAGTATACTCTTCCAGAAAAATTTCCAGTTATAAGTGTTTTGAGTTTGTAAATGAAGTTTTAATCTTATATCTCTCACCCAAAAAATAATCAGTCATGTCAAAAATAACCTTATGTTACTTAAAACATAAACAGCCAACAAACAGTCAAATAACTGTATAATACAACTATACAGGTAAGAAACAGATATCTGTATATATGAATATATAGTTGTATACAGGTACACAAATTATAAAACAAAATATATTAGCTAGTAAGAGACAATATCTAAGTCTCAGGATTTTTCTACCATGTAATTAAATTATAAACTCTCCTTTTTCCCCCAAGATCTTTACTAAGTATTTACTTAAAAAGAAATTTTAAAAATATTTTTGGGAAATAATTTAATCTTTAGGTCCCCCAAAGTGACATTTTGAGAACTTTCAACAGAAACACATTAGTTGTTCTTAATTGCCATAAGTACTCATGGAAGATAAAGTACATGATATAGGACTATACATTTACTTTCTGCAAAATTAAAGAATAAGAGATAATGTGAAAGTAGTTTCAACTGTAAGTAAATGTTGTTGGTTTAAAGAATATTATAATAATCACTTCTGATTTGACAACCATAATGAAATTTACTTGATATGAACAGCAAAATTAACTTTAGTTTCTTCCTCTTTTATTATAAATGTAATATGGACTGTCATCTTAAAAGTAGATCTTGAGTTTCATTCCTATGGAAAAATAAACATATATTTATTCTAGAAATAAGCTGTAAAATACATTGATCTCTGTGCTTGCCCAGAGCTAACATTGCTGAGAAATGAGAGCATAGTAATATTTACATTGAGAGCCTTTCTTATATCAACAAAGTGTCAGTCGGTGGAGCCAAGATGGCCGAATAGGAACAGCTCCAGTCTACAGCTCCCAGTGTGAGCGATGCAGAATACAGGTGATTTCTGCATTTCCAACTGGGGTACCAGGTTCATCTCACTGGGGAGTGCCGGACAGTGGGTGCAGGACAGTGGGTGCAGTGCACCGTGCATGAATTGAAGCAGGGCGAGGCATTGCCTCACCCAGGAAGCACAAGGGGTCAGAGAATTCCCTTTCCTAGTCAAAGAAAGGGGTGACAGACGGCACCTGGAAAATCAGGTCACTCCCACCCTAATACTGCGCTTTTCCAAAGGGCTTAACAAATGGCACACCAGGAGATTATATCCCGCACATGGCTCGGAGGGTCCTACATCCACAGAGCCTCGCTCATTGCTAGCAGAGCAGTCTGAGATCAAACTTCAAGGCAGCAGAGAGGCTAGGGAAAGGGTGCCTGCCATTGCCGAGGCTTGAGTAGGTAAACAAAGCAGCCGGGAAGCTTAAACTGCGTGAAGCCCACCACAGCTCAAGGAGGCCTGCCTGCCTCTGTAGGCTCCACCTCTGGGGGCAGGGCATAGGCAAACAAAAGGCAGCAGTAACCTCTGCAGACTTAAATGTCCCTGTCTGACAGCTTTGAAGAAAGTAGTGGTTCTCCCAGCATGCAGCTTGAGATCTGAGAAAAGACAGACTGCCTCCTCAAGTGGGTCCCTGACCCCTGAGCAGCCTAACTGGGAGGCACCCCCCAGTAGGGGCACACTGACATCTCACACGACCAGGTACTCCTCTAAGACAAAACTTCCAGAGGAACGATCAGGCAGCAGCATTTGCAGTTCACCAATATCTGCTGTTCTGCAGCCACCACTGCTGATACCCAGGCAAACAGGGTCTGGAGTGGACCTCCAGCAAACTCCAACAGACCTGCAGCTGAGGGTCCTGACTGTTAGAAGGAAAACTAACAAACAGAAAGGACATACACACCAAAAACCCATCTGTACATCACCATCATCAAAGACCAAAGGTAGATAAAACCACAAAGATGGGGAAAAAACAGAGCAGAAAAACAGGAAACTCTAAAAATCAGAGCGCCTCTCCTCCTCCAAAGGAATGCAGCTCCTCACCAGCAACAGAACAAAGATGGATGGAGAATGACTTTGATGAGTTGAGAGAAGAAGGCTTCAGAAGATCAAACTACTCCAAGCTAAAGTAGTAAGTTTGAACCAATGGCAAAGAAGTTAAAAACCTTGAAAAAAATTAGACGAATGGCTAACTAGAATAACCAATGCAGAGAAGTCCCTAAAGGACCTGATGGAGCTGAAAACCACAGCATGAGAACTACGTGATGAATGCACAAGCATCAGTAGCCGATGCGATCAACCGGAAGAAAGGGTATCAGTGATGGAAGATGAAATGAATGAAATGAAGCAGGAAGAGAAGTTTAGAGAAAAAAAGAATAAAAAGAAATGAACAAAGCCTCCAAGAAATAAGGGACTAGTGAAAAGACCAAATCTATGTCTGATTGGTGTACCTGAAAGTGACGGGGAGAATGGAACCAAGTTGGAAAACACCCTGCAGGATATTACCCAGGAGAACTTCCCCAATCTAGCAAGGCAGGCCAACATTCAGATTCAGGAAATACAGAGAATGCCACAAAGATACTCCTCGAGAAGAGCAACTCCAAGACACATAATCGTCAGATTCACCAAAGTTGAAATGAAGGAAAAAATGGTAAGGGTAGCCAAAGAGAAAGGTCAGGTTACCCACAAAGGGAAGCCCATCAGACTAACAGCTGGTCTCCCAGCAGAAACTCTACAAGCCAGAAGAGAGTGGGGGCCAATATTCAACGTTCTTAAAGAAAAGAATTTTCAACCCAGAATTTCACATCCAGCCAACCTAAGCTTCATAAGTGAAGGAGAAATAAAATCCTTTACAGACAAGCAAATGCTGAGAGATTTTGTCACCACCAGGCCTGCATTACAAGAGCTCCTGAAGGAAGCACAAAACATGGAAAGGAACAACTGGTACCAGCCACTGCAAAAACATGCCAAATTATAAAGACCATCAAGGTTAGGAAGAAACTGCATCAACGAATGAGCAAAATAACCAGCTAACATCATAACGACAGGATCAAATTCACACATAACAATATTAACCTTAAATGTAAATGTGCTAAATGCTCCATTTAAAAGACACAGACAGACAAATTGGATAAAGAGTCAAGACCTATTAGTGTGCTGTATTCAGGAAACCCATCTCACGTGCAGAGACACACATAGGCCCAAAATAAAGGGATGGAGGAAGATCTACCAAGCAAATCAAAAACAAAGGCAGGGGTTGCAATCCTAGTCTCTGATTCAACAGACTTTAAACCAACAAAGATCAAAAGAGACAAAGAAGGCTGTTACATAATGGTAAAGGGATCAATTCAACAAGAAGAGCTAACTATCCTAAATGTATATGCACCCAATACAGGAGAACCTAGATTCATAAAGCAAGTCATTAGAGACCTACAAAGAGACTTAGACTCCCACACAATAATGTTGGGAGACTTTAACACCCCACTGTCAACATTAGGCAGATCAATGAGACAGAAAGTTAACAAGGATATCCAGGAATTGAACTCAGCTCTGCACCAAGAAGACCTAATAGACATCTACAGAACTCTCCACCCCAAATCAACAGAATATACATTCTTCTCAGCACCACACCACACTTATTCCAAAATTTACCACATAGTTGGAACTAAAGCTCTCCTCAGCAAATGTAAAAGAACAGAAATTATAACTGTCTCTCAGACCACAGTGAAATCAAACTAGAACTCAGGATTAAGAAACTCACTCAAAACTGCTCAACTACATGGAAACTGAACAACCTGCTCCTGAATGACTGCTGGGTACATAACAAAATGAAGGCAGAAATAAAGATGTTCTTTGAAACCAACGAGAAAAAAGACACAACATACCAGAATCTCTGGGACACATTCAAAGCAGTGTGTAGAGGGAAACGTATAGCAGTAAATGCCCATAAGAGAAAGCAGGAAAGATCTAAAATTGACACCCTAACATCACAATTAAAAGAACTAGAGAAGCAAGAGCAAACACCTTCAAAAGCTAGCAGAAGGCAAGAAATAACTAAGATCAGAGCAGAACTGAAGGAAATAGAGATACAAAAAACCCTTCAAAAAAATCAATGAATCCAGGAGCTGGTTTTTTGAAAAGATCAACAAAATTGATAGACTGCTAGCAAGACTAATAAAGAAGAAAAGAGAGAAGAATCAAATAGACTCAATAAAAAAATGACAAAGGAGATATCACCACTGATCCCACAGAGATACAAACTATTATCAGAGAATACTATAAACACCTCTATGCAAATAAACTAGAAAATCTAGAAGAAATGGATACATTCTTCAACACATACACCCTCCCAAGACTAAACCAGGAAGAAGTTGAATCTCCGAATAGACCAATAACAGGCTCTGAAATTGAGGCAATAATTAATAGCCTACCAACCAAAAAAAGTCCAGGACCAGATGGATTCACAGCCGAATTCTACCACAGGTACAAGGAGGAGCTGGTACCATTCCTTCTGCAACTATTCCAATCAATGGAAAAGGAGGAAATCCTCCCTAACTCATTTTATGAGGCCAGCATCATCCTGATACCAAAGCCGGGCAGAGACACAACAAAAAAAGAGAATTTTAGACCAATATCCTTGATGAACATTGATGCAAAAATCCTCAATAAAATACTGGCAAAGTGAATCCAGCAACACATCAGAAAGCTTATCCACAATGATCAAGTGGGCTTCATCCCTGGGATGCAAGGCTGGTTCAACATATGCAAATCAATAAATGTAATCCAGCATATAAACAGAACCAAAGACAAAAACCACATGATTATCTCAATAGATGCAGAAAAGGCCTTTGACAAAATTCAACAACCCTTCATGCTAAAAACTCTCAATAAATTAGGTATTGATGGGACGCATCTCAAAATAATAAGAGCTATCTATGACAAACCCACAGCCAACATCATACTGAATGGACAAAAACTGGAAGCATTCCCTTTGAAAACTGGCATAAGGCAGGGATGTCCTCTCTCACTACTCCTATTCAACATAGTATTGGAAGTTCTGGCCAGGGCAATCAGGTAGGAGAAGGAAATAAAGGGCATTCAATTAGGAAAAGAGGAAGTCAAATTTTTCCTGTGTGCAGATGACATGACTGTATATCTAGAAAACCCCATCGTCTCAGCCCAAAATCTCCTTAAGCTGATAAGCAACTTCAGCAAAGTCTCAGGATACAAAATCAAGGTGCAAAAATCACAAGCATTCCTATACACCAATATCAGACAAACAGAGAGCCAAATCATGAGTGAACTCCTATTCACAATTGCTTCAAAGAGAATAAAATACCTAGGAATCCAACTTACAAGGGACGTGAAGGACCTCTTCAAGGAGAACTACAAACCACTGCTCATCGAAATAAAAGAGGATACAAACAAATGGGAGAACATTCCATGCTCATGAGTAGGAAGAGTCAATATTGTGAAAATGGCCATACTGCCCAAGGTAATTTATAGATTCAATGCCATCCCCATCAAGCTACCAATGACTTTCTTCACAGAATTGGAAAAAAAAAACTACTTTAAAGTTCATATGGAACCAAAAAAGAGCCCGCATTGCCAAGTCAATCCTAAGCCAAAAGAACAAAGCTGGAGGCATCACACTACCTGACTTCAAACTATACTGCAAGGCTACAGTAAACAAAACAGCATGGTACTGGTACCAAAACAGAGTTATAAACCAATGTAACAGAACAGAGCCCTCAGAAATAATGCGGTACATCTACAACTATCTGATCTTTGACAAACCTGAGAAAAACAAGAAATGGGGAAAGGATTCCCTATTGAATAACTGGTGCTGGGAAAACTGGCTAGCCATATGTAGAACGCTGAAACTGGATCCCTTTCTTATACCTTACACAAAAATTAATTCAAGATGGATTAAAGACTTACATGTTAGACCTAAAACCATAAAAACCCTAGAAGAAAACCTAGGCAATACCATTCAGGACATAGGCATGGGCAAGGACTTCATGTCTGAAACACCAAAAGCAATGGCAACAAAAGCCAAAATTGACAAATGGGATCTAATTAAACTAAAGAGCTTCTGCACAGCAAAAGAAACTACCATCAGAGTGAACAGGCAACCTACAGAATGGTAGAAAATTTTTGCAACCTACTCATCTGACAAAGGGCTAATATCCAGAATCTACAATGAACTCCAACAAATTTACAAGAAAAAAACAAACAACCCCATCAAAAATGGGCGAAGGATATGAACAGACAATTCTCAAAAGAAGACATTTATGCAGCCAAAAAACACATGAAAAAATGCTCATCATTACTGGCCATCAGAGAAATGCAAGTCAAAACCACAATGAGATACCATCTCACACCAGTTAGAATGACTATCATTAAAAAGTCAGGAAACAACAGGTGCTGGAGAGGATGTGGAGAAATAGGAACACTCTTACACTGTTGGTGGGACTGTAAACTAGTTCAACCATTGTGGAAGTCAGTGTGGAGATTTCTCAAGGATCTAGAACTAGAAATACCATTTGACCCAGCCATCCCAATACTGGGTATATACCCAAAGGATTATAAATCATGCTCCTATAAAGACACATGCACATGTATGTTTATTGCAGCACTATTCACAATAGCAAAGACTTGGAACCAACCCAAATGTCCAACAATGATAGACTGGATTAAGAAAATGTGGCACATATACACCATGGAATACTATGCAGCCATAAAAAAAGGATGAGTTCATGTCCTTTGTAGGGACATAGATGAAACTGGAAACCATCATTCTCAGCAAACTATTGCAAGGACAAAAAACCAAACACCTCATGTTCTCACTCATGGGCGGGAATTGAACAATGAGAACAAATGGACACAGGAAGGGGAACATCACACACCGGGGACTGTTGTGGGGTGGGGGGAGGGGGAAGGGATAGCATTAGGAGATATACCTAATGCTAAATGATGAGTTAATGGGTGCAGCACACCAACATGGCACATGTATACATATGTAACCAACCTGCACGTTGTGCACATGTACCCTAAAACTTAAAGTATAATATTAATAAAATTAAAAAGAAAAACAAAAAAAGAAAAACAGTGTCTTTCACCACTGACAATGAGAAGAAACCTCATGAAGCAAAATAATAACTTATGTTTATAGCTCTGTAACAGTAAGCTAAGGCCACAATAAGGCTGTGTAACAACCAACCACTAAAATCACAGCAGAATCCACAAACAATCACTTATTACTCACAATCATACAAGTGTTTTTCAAGGATTTATTCATGTGACACCCTTCAAACTTCCATTGGATAAAGTAAGTCATGTGGTCCAGTACAAAGGCGAGGAGTGGAAAAACACACTTCACCTTTTTAGTGAGAGAAACTTCAAAGTTCAATAGCAAAGGGTATAGATGCAGGGAATGATAAACAACTGGATCTATTAATACAGTATACCATAAGCCTCCCTGGAGCACATAAGAGTCTCCTCCAGCTTTACCTCTGGCTGCCTTTTCTAACTCTATGGGCCCCAAGAGACATCATACTTCCCACTGTTAATTTTTATTTGCTTTTGAACGCATGTAATATCATTTCTCACTTAACGATCTTATGCAAACATTCACAATTAATTTTAATATAATCAAACCTCTCTTGATTCACAAAGGCCTCATTCAGAAAATACCTCTTTCAATCTGCCTATTTGGGGAAGTATTTTAGGAGAATGTGATGTCTGAGGCTCATTCTTTGTAGGAATGTGTGCGGTACTGCAGGCCAACATTCGAGCATCACCTTTTAATGAGGGCCTTAGTAGACACCAGTGCACAACAGTATGAATGCAATAACCGAAGAGCAAAGAATAACAAAGTGTGTTGGGAATGGATATTCTCCTACCTGGCTTCCTGTCTCCCATCCATTCTCTAATTAAAGCTAGGGTAGTATTTACACTATTTCTTTCTTTCTACATTTTCGGCTTTATTACATCACCTCATTTTTAAACATTCTTCCTTACAGGCTATATACATGCAATGTGACAGAAGGTAAACAATGAAGATGAACAAATCTCAATAGTTTTAGCAATTACTTTGAACACATTTAGATGTTTATCCACAATTATCTAAACAATTTCTCCTCCCTGAAATTGTTTAGATTCCAATTCCAGAGTTTCTATAATGAGCTTATTACTTTCACAAGGATCCTAAGAAGAATCAAGAATAATCTTACAGTATTAGGGTTTCTGACTTCCCATCTCATGCATTACCAAATAGCAAATAACCAATGTTTGGCTAAGAAAATGTTCAGTTTCTTTAAAATAAGTAATCTATATTTTTCAAGAATCAAGTAGCTTCATTTGAAGGTAATAAAGTACCATCTCCGTGTTCTTTTCACTGGCCTGATTAATATGGACTTGAACTGTCTGGAATTCAGGAGGAAAGTTGTGCAAACATGTTCAGGATGCTACAGAAAGACTTATCTTCAGAATATCATTATACCCTGATAATATCAGAAACTCAGGAAACTTGATCAGTTATTCAAAAAATCATCTCAAAGATATTGTACTATTAATTCTATTATTAAAATGGCTTTCTTCAAGGCTGGTTTGTATGCAGCGAACTCTCTTAGCCAATTTGTTTGCCTTAATAACTTCTTGCTTCCTACAGTCATACTCCATGGTAAATTTTAATGGAGTTTGCGCAAGATTCTCATGCCATCAGAATTATAGCTACCATTCACTAATTTTCCTCTTTGTGCCAAGAACTATATTTGAAAATATTATTACAAATATTCACAAGAACAATCAGGTAGTTTTTGTTATTATTCTCAGTTAAAAATGAGAAAACACACTCCAGGACACTGAGTCTTGTATGTTAGAAATCTAGGATTTTTTTTTAAATAGGTGGTAGAAAGTAACTGAAGAATTTTAAGCAAGAGAATGACATAATCCGAGTCACATTTTGGATAAATTATTCTGGTGGCAGAACTTAACTAATTCTTGGGTGATCTGCCATGGACAAGAATGAAAGTGGATGCTTGTTAGGAGGTCATCATACTGTAGTAAGGGTGATGAGAAACACTACAGGCTGGAATTAAGGTAGTGACATTGTTAGTGAACTTCAGCTTTTTAATTAGTTTTAATGTGTAAACTTACCCTAAGACCTTTCTCAACAGTCTTTCATGCAGCCTTTACAAATATATAATAATTGACATCCATATAAATCATTTTTGTTATTCTTGCCAAGATTTGTGGTTCCCTACTATACACATATGTTTTCACACTGCAGCCTGATTACTTGTATTAGCTACAATGGCGAATGCCCTAATGAAGAGAAGCCAAAGTAAGAAAAAAATCTCTCTCACTCTATGTATTTCTCTCTTTCTTTCTCTTTCTCTGTCTCTCTCTCTCTCTCTCTGTCTCTCTCTCCCTCCCCCCCGCTTTCTCTCTTTCTCTCTCTCCACTGACTGAAATATCCCACATTTCAGTAGGAGGGTAGGGAAACAGAAACAATCAACTTTTTTTATCCAAATGAAAAAAATATAGCACACAACACTTCCTCTGCCATTCTTTAGTGAGAACTTAGTTACGGCACCAGAACTAGCTGCCAGGTAAGCAGCTAGTTTCCAATAGGTCAGCTATATGTCTATAATGAAGAGAAAAAATTGATCTGAAATGACAACTGAAAGTGTACAACAAAATTCTTCCTTACGTTTTTCTGTGTCATTCTCGTAAATACAATTCTTCAATGATTTTAATTGCCGCCCAAACTTTAAACCCTTTCTCCTATTATTCATGTCCTGTTTTATCTGACTCTTTCCTACATACAGGGTATTATTTCCTGTTGCTGTCATTTAAACCTTGTTGTTTTAGTAAAATAAATAAATAAATAAACAAATCCCCCCTTACTCCTTTCCCTTTTTTGCTTTATCCTTATATTTTCTATTAGATTGCAATGCATTCTGACTTCCAAAAACCCTAAGCCTGCATATCTTCTAATCCCATATTTACTGTTTTTTCTGCTACAGAGCCTGACTTGATCCCGCCAACCAGAATAACCCTTCTTCCATTGAACATCTTGAGGTCTTGACATATATCACTTCATAGGTGTTAATCATTTGATTTTTAAAAAATTTAAGCACTTTTATTATTGAATATTGCACATATGCAAAGTAATATATAAAAATAAATGTGATAGATTGTTGCAGTAATAACCCTCAATTTGTTCGAGCCTCTTGTAGCTGTGTTTTTGTGTAATTATCTCCCTCTGAGGTAAAAATCGCATATACATTTTTAAAAATTTATAAGATCAGATTTTTAACTATCATTTATACTAAGAAGTAGCATTATAAATATCTCCCTCACCTATTAAATACTGTGCCATAATTTTGGGATAACCATCATGAATTTTAAAATTTTTAAATCATTCCCTTGCTATCCCTTAATGTACATACATATGTGCCTAAAATATTGAGTTTTGCTTTATTTTGAGTTTATAAAAAGTATATCATACTATATGTAATCTTCTATGATATACTTTATTTCTAAAACATTATGTTGTGGGATTCATCTATAGAATTGTGACTAATTTATTTTCACTGATATATAATGTGATATATTTGTCCATTTTCTACAGATCAATATCTGTGTGACATCTGTATTTTTAGTTATAACATACATGCCTGTATTTATTATTCTCCAAGATAAAGAGTTTTGTCATAAACCTTCTCACATAATTTCTAGGTTCAGATCTCCAGAAGTGTTCCAAGGTAAAAATTTAGGAGAGGAATCCCTAGGTGGTAGGTATGTGAATGTTCTTCTTAACATTATTATATTAATGGCTTTCAAAATTATTTTACCAATTTATACTCCCACCAGCAACATAATAATGCATAATAATATTTTCTTCAACCATGTTAAAACATTCTTTAAAAATTATTTGCCAATCCAGTGTGTATTGTGACATTACTTTGGTATTTATTTGTCTTTTCATAAATGTTAGTGGAGTTGAACATTGTTTTATATATTATTTGGCCATAACTGGCTTGATAACAATTATTTTAAAACAGATAAAGTATTTTTCTTTCTAATTGATGGTTTGGCACTCTTTATGTCCTTATGAGGAGATGCTTGAAAGAAAAAGTAAGAAAACATACTTCTTCAATGTGTTCATTCTAGTTTAACACACAGCCATGAAAGAGGATAAGCTCTTTCAAATCAACTCCTACAACATTATTTAGGATGTAGCATTTCCTATGAGAGCTGTTAGAAACCTTGAATAATAAAACAGATAAAATATGAAGCATTTTAGAAGACTTCTTCAGGCTCTAGAGACAAAGTTTGAGGTACTAATGTTTAAAACTAGTAAAGTTGAAATAAGAGAAAGCAGCACAGATTTTAAAAAGTCATCCAAAAATTCTACATATTTTATTAAATTAGTATTGTCAAAGAATACATTATTTGTCTAATAATAACATATCTTAACCCAATAATATATTCCACTTACAGAATGATCACACTAATACTACAACATCTAGAAGTGTTTGGATTAATAACATTGTTTCCCCACGACACAAATTCTTCTGGACTAGTACTAACTATTCTTGGAAAACCAACTTTCTTGATAACTAGGTCTTAATGCAAAAAATATAGCAAGTTTACAAAAAGAAAGTAGATGTAATTTTAGCACAAAGTGAAGCTGTATAAATCAAGTAAATCTTAAGAATATATAAAGGAACTTAATCGAAAGTAAGGCAGAACTATCTTGTCAATGGTGAGAGATGAGGATGATCAAATATTAACATCTCTTCTGCAAAGGGTTTTTCAAAGCCTTTTCTTGGAGAGCCATTTTAATGTTCAGTGATATTTTAAATCAGAGAAACCTTCTTTATGTCTCTCCTAAACCTTTTATGCTACAATTTAAGTTCCTTTTTCTCACCACATATACAGTATTGGTGAAAAATACATATTACTTTTTTTGTTTGTTTTTCATTAAAAACTCATCTTCATGTAGCATTTACATCAATGAAATGTTATACAAATGTTCCCAGATGTTTAGCTTCATTTTTTTTTTCTCACTGCCGTATTCATTTTCCCAAAAGCTCCTTGGACTATCTAAAAGTTTCAGCAAGTGAAGACATTTAGTAACTAGTACCTAGATTTTATTTTCTGAAAAACATATAGAGATTTCCAAATGACCCTTCTTATTAAACAGAGATAATGTGATTCCATAAGAAACATCCCCAGCACTATGCTGATGGACTCCACCTCAATACCTGTTTTCCAGAGGTAGACCCTGGTGTGATTTAGCTGAGTAGAAAAAGTTGGAGAAGGGTTCTTATTTACTTCCAGTACTTCGCACCTACAGTAGTAATCTTTCTGAGTATATGGTTTTAAATGCCATTACTTGCTGATGACTTACAGATTTATATCTCTGACGCATATGTCTCCTGCAACATCAGGACTTACATTTCTAACTGCTTTCCGGGCATCTCACTCTAACATTAACATGCCCATAACCAAGGTCTCAACTCCTTGGAACAATTCCTTTCTGTCCTATGCAGAACCTAATAAATGATTCCTCCTTCTTTCTAGTTACTTGAGCCTTATTAACAGGAGTTCTTAACTCACTTTGGATGTTTGTCCCCCCAAATCTCATGTTGAAATGTGATCCCCAGTGTTAGAGGTGGAACCTGTGGGGGGGTGGTTTGTGTCATGAGGGCAGATGCCTCATGAATGGCATGATGTCTTCCAGGTGGTTCTGAGTTCAAGCAAGATCTGGTTGTTTGAAATGGTCTGGGACCTTTCTCTCCTCTCTCTTGCTCCCTCTCTTGCCATGTAACACGCTGGGTCCCCTTTATGCCTTCTGCCATAAGTAAAAGCTTCCCAAGCCCTCACCATAAGCCAAGCAGATGGTGCCATGTTTGTATAGCCTAAAGAACCATGAGCCAAATAAACCTCTTTTCTTTAGAATTCACCCAGTCTCAGGTACTTCTTTAGAGCCATGCAGAATGGAATAACACATTCGCTCCCTTCTCACACCCCATTAACTCACCTTATCAACTCTGCCTGTGAAATATTTCCAGATTCCAATTACCTCTCATCACCTCTACCATTACCACACTAGTCCAAGTTACCCTATTCTCTAGGCCTGGCTTATTTCAGTGTCTTCTAACCTGCCCTCCTTTCTTTCTGCCTTTACTGTAACACCAAGTAGTCTCCTCACATGGCCAGATTCCTTTTAAAATACAACTCATGGCCTCTTCTGCTCAAAAACTCCAAATGGCTATGCATCGCTGAGTAAAAATTCAAAGTCCTTCCAGTGGCCTTCAAGATCCTATACAACCTGGCTGCCTACTATCAGCCTACACTTATGTTCTTCCTCTTTTCCCATCAATCACTCTGCATGGCCACACTGGCCTCCTTGCTGTGTCTCTAATATGCCAACCATACTTCTGCAATTGGTGCTATCTTTGCCTGAAACTCCCTTCTCATGGATATCTACATAAATCATTCATTTTGTCTCTATGTCCAATTCTGTATCACCACTATGTGAATTAGGCAACACTTTCTACGTTGGTTGGAAGCTTTTTTCTCCTCTTATAATTTAGAAAAACGAAATCATCCTGTGGGTTTCATATTGTGTTTCTTGTTTTATCTAGATTAGCATACTCTAAAAGTGAAAGATACTGGGATCTATTGGTTTTAAAATAAGGAAATTAGTCCCCTCACTTTCTCAATTTTGATGATGTTCCTTTTAGATGTGCTATCTGTTTCCCATTAAACAGTAAATTAGACCATTTTCCAGTTATTTCTAAATCATTTATTGAGCATCAACTCTGAGAATATCTTTGTGATAACTTTTTAAGGAATTGATAAATTAATGAACGTGCTAAGATTTCCCTATCTCTCAATGTAGAGGGAGAATATTTCCAAATAACTGTAGTAACTGACATAATGGTATGATGTGAAGCATGTATCAAAATAAGAGTGCTATAGTTATTTATTAGAGGGATTAAATACACATGGTTTTGTGTATTTGGTCATTTTGAAGGAATTCACAAATGAGAAAAGTCTCTAGGAATCAATAGAATATCAGCAGGCAAAACTTAGAAAGGACGTTACTGGTGAATAAAAAAAATGTTTTCAAGGTGCATTGGGCGATACAGAGTAGTTAAACTTATTTTCACTTAATAACAGCCCTCAATAATAGAAGGTTAGTGTGAGATGAGATTCACTGGACCCCTATGTTCAATAGCCAAGATTTTTCAAATATTTCCTCTTTCTATCATGACATCCTTGGAGAAATGCTTGCCATCTCAAATAAACTAAAGTTCTAAGTAGAACACCTTAGAAAGGCTTATTGCCCTCAAGATGTATTGTTTGGTACAATATTGTTGACTTTCACCTTTAAAACAAGTAATTGTCAAATAACCAGCCACTATGTGACACGTGTCTTTGCTCCTCCATCTTCCTCCATGATTGTGAAGCCTCCCCAGCCATGTGGAACTGTGAGTCCATTAAACTTCTTTCCTTTATAAATTACCCATTCCTGGGTATGTGCTTATAGCAACGTGAGAACGGACTAATACACCTGTCATATTTGCTTGAAAATAATGTATATTCTGCCGTGTTCTACATATGTCCATTAAGTCATATTTGTTAATAAGGCATCTGCTGTATTCTCAGTAATCTTTTTTCTGTTAATCTATCAATTAATAATAGAGTTTGCTAAAAATCCTTCACTAAAATTGTACACTTTTGATTTATCCTTATAGTTCTAACAATTTATAATTTATTCACTTTTAAAACATAGTATTAGGTACACTTAAGCTTATTAAGCTTAAAATAATGATGATTGAAAACCTTATCAATATGTGTTGATCTTCATTGTCTCTAGTAATGATTGTTTTGTGTTAAAGTGTGAACACACTTTATACATATGATTAAGTCAGAGTTTTTGTTTCTGTTGTTGACTATTGTTGCCCTGATATATATTTCCCTTCATTTTACTTTAAACTTTTCTGTGGTTTTGGGTCTTTAAATAGCATGTAGCTACTGGTTGAAGTTATTATTTTTAAATCTAATATGGTAAAAGTGACTTTTCAATACACTTAAACATTTAAAATTTCATGAGTTTATCTGGATGTGTGTGGGGGGGGATGTGGTCGGGGGGGCAGTCAGGGTCTTACTCTGTCACCCAGGGAGGAGTGGCATGATCATAGTGCATTGCAGTCTCCATCTCCTAGGCTCACATCATTCTCCCACCTTAGCCTCCCATGTATCTAGGACTACAGGCACATGCCACAATGCCAGGCTGATTTTATTTTTTTTAAGTAGAGATGGGGTCTCACTATGTTGCCCAGGCTGGTCTCGAACTCCTGAGCCCAAACAATCCTCTCTCCTTGGTCTCCCAAATGCTGGAATTACAGATGCGAGCCACCACACTCAGCCTAGATTTATTTCTATCATACTACTCTATGCAACATTTCTCCCTTTTAATGTGTCTCTTTTATCTTTTCCTCCTTTTTTTTATTTTGTTGAAATAATTGCATTTTATCACATTGCAATTACCGGTTTAGAACAGGGGTCAAAAGTTTACAATTCAAGGACCCAAATCCAATCCAACACATCTTTGTAAATAAAGTTTTATTGTAATAGACCTACACTCGTTCATTTAGGTATTGTTTATGGTTGCTTTCACACTACAGATGCAGAGTAAAGTAGTTGGAACAAAACTACAAAGCCTAAAATATTTACTGTTAGGTCTCTACAGAAAAAGTGTGCTGACCCTGATTTAGAAGATATATATTGTTTTTCTGGTATTTTATCTTTGCACTTAAAACTTTACCATGAATTCTGAGGCCAAATCAAATTTAATCATCATCATCGAGTAAAATGCAAAACATGTATTTTCAGTTACCTACCTTCTTGCATACATTCCGTAGTTTCACTGTATTTTAAACTCTATCTTAACTCTTTTAACACTATTCTAACTCTACTCTGCTTTTTTTAACCATGGTTTTTAGACAATACTATTTATTTTAATCTATCCCCCATGTTTACTATTTTTTCTTATCAGTTTTGCGTATATTTCCTTTTGGAGTTTATTTTCTTTCTTCCTGAGGTATAGCCATTAGCAGTGGCTTTGCTATTAATGATAAATTCTTTTTCAATTTTCGTTTTATTGTCTCAAAAACATTTTAATTTGCCCTAATTATTGAAGATAGTTTTGCTGGATATAGAATTCTAAATGGCAGTTATTTTTCCTTATCAATTTAAAGACAGTAATTACAAGTTGACTGACTTTTAAGTTGAGAAAACAGTTTGATTGAGGAGCCAACTGTTAGCCCAAAAATTGTCCCCAATTTTCTGGAAGACTGATTAGATGAATGTTAGAGCTCCTTTAATCCCCATGTACTTTTAGTTCTCTGTTAGATTTTCCATCTTTTTATCTGGCTTAATGCTGCCTTCTGGATAGTTTCTTCAGATCTGTCTGCCAGCTCACTATTTCTCTTGTTCCTGATATCAAAACCACTATTTATCACATCCAATAAAGCTTAAAGATTTTTCTTCTTAGATGTTCGATATATTCATTTAAAATATGTTTATACTTACGTTCTTATTCTTTCTTTTTGAAAAATCACATAAAATATACTTACTTATATTCTATATCCAATAATTCAGTAAACAGGACACTTATGAGTTTGGTGTTACCCTTTTTTATTTCTTATAGCTCTTATGGTGCCTTGTTTGTACATTTATTGTGATAGTTTTTGTTTTGTTTGTTTGTTCCTTTGGTTGTTTTGATGTGAGCTTATATTCCTTGGCATATTTTCAGTGGGATTTCCTTGAGTCCTAGGTTGAACGTCAAGTTCCAAAAGATAAATTTCGCGTTTGCTTCTCTCAAATGCTTTTTCAGCTTCACTAATCAGATCAGAGACTTTTAAAACTTACATTTATGCCATAACTGCACACAAGTATATGTGTATGTGTAGATGCCATACATAGTGTGACTTCTAGTCTGAAATCTGAGCTCTGATCTGAGCTCCTGCCCTGCACAGACCTAAGGCTTTGGTTCTTGCCACATGGAATGGTCATTGACCAAAGCTCCAGGCTAATAGCAATCAGAAAATGCTACTAATACAGTACTCATTTCTCCCCTATACACACGTGTGTGTGTGTGTGTGTGTGTGTGTGTGTGTGTGTGTATTGGAGAAAGTGATATGTAGTCTAAGCTATCTTATTGGGCTTATGCTCAGGTTTGAGAATTTTTCTCCTACTCAGCTTTTTCTGTAGATACCTGAAAGAAAATAAATATAGTCCAGCTTTTTAAGTAAGTTCTACTATATTTCACTATATAGTATTATGCACAATGAACTGAAAAATATATTGCTTATATCCCACTAAACTCTTGGGTTAGGTCCTGTTTCCAGACTGATTCTTGAGGCTGTTTATGCAGTATTATCTACTTTATTCTCTTCTCTATAATTTACAGAAGTTGAGGCTCTACTGTATCTACCCATCCCCTACCTTGACCCTTCAGATTTGATTTGATTTGATTTGATTTGATTTTTGAGATGGAGTTTCGCTCTTGTTGCCCACGTTGGAGTGCAATGGTATGATCTCAACTCACTGCAACCTCTGCCTCCCAGGTTCAAGCAATTCTCCTGCCTCAACTTCCCAAGTAGCTGGGATTACAGGCATGTGCCACCACATTCAGCTAATTTTGTATTTTTAGCAGAGATGGAGTTTCACCATGTTGGTCAGTCTGGTCTCAAACTCCTGACCTCAGGTGATCCACCCCCTCGGCCTCCCAAAGTGCTGGGATTACAAATGTGAGCTACTACGCCTGGCCCAGAATTGATTTTAGGCTAGCTGCCTTAGTGAAGTTGAAACAAGGATGCAAAAGTTAACATACATGCTTTTAATTTTTGAAATTTCTTTGTAATTTTCAAAGGCTGTATCTGATGTGACTTTTCCTGTCTTTGAAATCTCTGTATTTAAAACAGCCTTTAACAAATATCACAATAGACTTTTAAAATTTTGCAGAGCCTTTGCTATTTTTTTAAAATTGCTAACTTGGATATAGCATCATTTTCTACTTAAATAAGCATTGACATTGATTGTTACTTTTTGTACTTTCTCTTCAATTATGATCTTAAAGAAACTTGATAAAACACAGATGTATACCTGTATACCAACAATTTTTATGCTTTATCAGCAAAGGCATCTTCACTTCTAACTTTAAAAAATTCCAGACCAAAAAAAAAATTGTGAAAGGAAAAATAGGTAATCTGAGATGGAAATTAGATAATAGATTGAGCACTGGACTGAATGGTTATGAGATGGTTACTTGTGTTTGGGAATGAGGATTTCTTCTGCCTTGAATGGAACTGGAACATAAGCTAATTATTCATTGTAAATGTCTTGGGAGATGATATCTGCCAGCTTGTGAAGTACCCAGTAGACTCTGGCTTGGGTTTGATGATGATGATACTAGGATTATAAAATGACAGTTCTTAGTTGAGAAAAAAATAATTTTGGATTTTCTGCCTGTGTTTTCTTAATTTCTTTAGTTTAATGTAGACTATTTTTGCCTTAGTTTTAAAGAATTTGAATATTTATGATTTATGCCCTTCTATTTCCAAAAAGGATTATGGCCACTTTACAAAGTAAAAACAAGTATAAAACAGAAAAATTAAAAATAAACAATCAAAAAAGTGAGTACATCATTAACGAACTAAAAAGACCTGAATGAAGACCTGTTAAAATAGGTCAAATTATTCTGGTGTCTAGTAAGAGCTTGAGTATCACCAAGGTGATACTAAGAGTTTACTGTAATAGTTATTAGAAACTAATGTGACCAAGTATATGTGCGTATTATGCTACACATATGTAATTTTAGAAAATGCAAAAGCACTGATGCCAATTACCTCCCTTCTCATATGAAAAAGAACAAATGAGGTATTTCTCCATTCTAATTATTTTTTGCTATTTTTAAAATTTGTTGTTTGAACAGATTAAGAAAATCTTTAATTCATGGATTGTTGCTTTGCACATTTAATAGTGAGATAATTATTAACAACACAAAAAACAATTTTGGCAATTAAGAACAACATAAAGAATCATGTGATCCACAAACAGTTTACATTTGATAAATATTCTTATTGTCTCAATTTATGATATACTTACATTTTGTATTCCTTTTAAATAAAGAACCAAATCAAGAACAGCAGAAATTAGCATCTGTTTAATATATTTTAAAATATGGAAATATATTTAAACAGCACATTTAAAGAATAAAACAATAGACTTCCATTTCTTATTCTCTCAATGGTACACCATTAATTAAAAATATATTACTTAATGTACCCCTTAATATAGTTACTGTCAAATTTTCTTTAAGATAAACTGTATTTCAAAACAACATTTTAATATACCCGAATTACAAACAAAGCCATAACATTTTTGAAGACATTTTTGGTATACGTTTGGTTTGAAAGATCCAAAAGGATGATTAATAAATGGTGCTTTATGAATACTTTAGATTAACGGTAAATAAGCCTAACCACAGAGTCACCATAAATAGCAAGTTATCAATCTAAAGATCATTCTTCAAAAAGTCAGTGTGTGTTAAAGAAAGGCCTTAGAGGGCATTCTAATAGATAGAGAAAATAAATTAATTTTAGAGGGAAGAACACACATGCACACACAGACACACACACACACACACACACAACAGAACCTTCCTGTTTGGAATTATTTGTGCTTGGAAGAAGGTTTACAAAATGCCTTTACAAAATAAGGTTTTCATTGAGCTCACTCTCAAAGATATGAAAAATGAATTTCAGCTGTTCTTTAGAAATGGCAATTCTGTCAAAGCCATTCTGGGACTTTTGGTAATTTCCTCCAGTTTAGTTTCAGTGCTTTTACTTCTAAATAAAATCCCTTGCATCACATCAATCAGCAAACTCAGTTATAAAGGAGAGCTAAAGAAAATGGTTCTTTCGGCATCTTCTGCTCTTGTACATTTTACGCATGCAGTGACTCTTGCCTGTGGGGAGGAAAGTGGAGCACATGTAAATGTTTCTTTATTTTGGACTAGGTTTTTAAATCTGAAAAAAAAATTCTGCAGCAGTAGTGTTCTAGATAATAGGCAGACATGATTTATTTGAGGTAAGAAGGTTGTACTACAATTAGTGTTAACTTGGAAAGCTATGGACACAGGCTCAAGCCTGTCTCCTGAAGCTTTGAGCTCTTTGCAAAATCTACAATCCACAAGCCAAAAAGGAACATGCTCCTACAGTTACACCACTTCTGTTAAAGCAAACAGTTAAAACAATTCTGTGCAATCTTTCAGCTTCTATGTTCTGCCTACCGTTTATTTATTCAAATCCAGTTCAACATTTCACTTTATCTAATGAAGCAGGAACTCTAAAAGAGAAATTGTGTTTATCCAAGAATTTTTGTTTGGGTTGTTATTTTTTTAAGTCTTATTTCTAAATAAATATTCTATCATGGTTTTCATTGGCACAATATAACTAAATTATTCAATTTCCTTCCACAATATTAAACAGTCAAAGGAGTTCTGTCTAATCTCAGAAAATTATGTAAAATTGTATTAGAAAAAAATGTTGAAATGGAATTGAATGGACTCAGCATAACCCATTGAAAATTATACTAGATGATCTATTGTATAATGTAGTGGCCTATGAAATAGATTTTATTGATAAAGCCTCCACAGAAGAGAATATATACGTTTAAATAAATAAAAATGACTATATACATGATATTGTACATAGGAAAAGAGTCAAAATGAGCCAGACTAATTTTAGGAAATTCCCCGTTTGTCTGAAAGTATGCTTTTTATTGCAGCCATAAACCTTAATACAGATCTTTTTGTTATTATCAATATTATTTAATATTAGTGGCAGCCACATGAGCGTACTACCATATTTCTATATTTTTTCAAAATGACATTGGAGCTGTCATCAAAGTACAGAACAGAGATGGCATTTAATTTGGTTGGAGCACAACAAGGCTTTGGTACGTGGTCAGGAAACATCAGATGAACCTGGGAAAGAAAAAAGGTTTTGTTTTATTAAGAAATAAAATATACATTCTTTTGCAGTTTTAAAATGGTATGATTATTTTATCACTCATAATCAGGCACACCATTAAGCTGATCTCCCTTCTCCCATTTATTCCATGACTGGGGTGGGGGACTGAAGGATGTATTCTTAAGCATTAACACCTGGAATCAACCCAGCCAATTCAATTATGTGTTTGAACCTTGAAAAATATCTCACCAAATAAAGAAAACTTCCTCTATAGAATATTCAGTGGAAGTTTTCCTAGGGAAAGAACACAGCAACTAGCACGTTGTTGCTTTTAGTTGAAATAACTGTTCCTATATATATCATGAGGAATATGGAAGTTACAAGAGCAAATCAATGAAAACACATAGTTGCAGAAAGATTTGGATCTAAGAATTATCTTTTAAAAGGAAAATTAAGCAATAAATCATACATTTTAAGCCAACTCTTAATTTTCCATGGTAAAAGAAGCATAAAAATCATAATAAAATAAAATCCACATATAATCCAATACTTGCCTTAGAGCAATGATTTCAGCTCTTCATAGAATTTTTTTATCACATTGGCTGGAGTTTAATATCCATTTACTTTTTTTCTCCCTTGCCTGCCCCCTAGACAAGTGCCAAAAAGCAGGCTAAGCTAAATCAGAAGCAAAGGGCCTAGAGACTTTACAAATGAACATCCACCTCCCCAAAAGCCTAAAAAGGTGTCTGTACATGAAAAGTGAAATGCTTAAGTAAAGGGTTGATAATAATTTTGATCAGACTGGCAGTCTGCCTATGATTTGAAATAATTGAGAAAAGAGCCAGAACACAGTTCCCCCATTTCCCACCCACCTATTCTGGCCCTTCCCCCAGAGGAGTTTATGGGAAATCCCACTGATGAGTCTTACGGGATCCACAAAAAGCAAATACAGCCTCTTACAGTTTTGGCTGTACAACGTCCTGGCTGAAATGATATAGGGGCCTTGCATGTGGACAGAA
This sequence comes from Homo sapiens, assembly GCF_000001405.40. Lineage (NCBI taxonomy): Eukaryota > Metazoa > Chordata > Mammalia > Primates > Hominidae > Homo > Homo sapiens. The sequence goes on from NC_000006.12 coordinate 55,756,688, forward strand.
ACAGCAGGAAAAATGAGGTGATCTGACATGAACTTGAAATTTCCTAAGGCCTCACAAAACTAAAAGTTGGATAGTTTCTACAAATTTCTGATGCTGCTTATGTCCTTCATCAGCTTTATCTTCCATAACCCACACATACATGATTGATAATCCTGCTGTTTCAATGGCCTTGGCAGCCTAACGGAAAAAAAATGGATTGTTCTTGAATGGTTTCTCAATATATTAGTCACAAACATGCTTTCCTCCGTCTTTTTGTTTCATGTCCTTCACAGAACAAACATAAAGCGTGCACAACACCAGGGAAAAAAAATCAAACTTCACGTGTATGCTCCAGTTTTGCAATGACTTATGTCCTACATCCCAGGGTAGAGATACAGAGCAGACTCTTGTTCAAAGTTTGTGTCAGATTTTTTTTATATTTGTTTTTTGATACTTTACTACAGCCATAAGAGCTGAAAATATGTATTTATTTATTTTAAAAAAGAAAAAATGAGAGAAGGGGGAGTATTTGACAAAGGGTATTTTTCAATAAGTAGGCATTGCTTAGCCTGAGGGAATTTTTGATACATTAGATCCATATCTAAGGAAGCAAAAGTCTGCTTTCATAGTCATCAAAATGATGATAAAAAGAGGCAAAGAATTTTCTGAGAAATTAAATAGCATTACTTCAACTGATAGGAGTTATTCTATGACCTTACAGAAAGACAGTGATCATGAAGTTCTCTTCATAGGATGAAACAACAGCATTCTTCTTTATCTGATATGCTTTCATGTCAACATGAATTCTCATATACAAAGAGAAAAGTTAGCTTCTTAAAAATTCTTTTAGTGGTAGAAGTTTGAATGCAAAACATCCATCCTTGCAAAGCCTACCTACACTCCATACTCCTGGAAACACTATTCCATATAAAGAAGAGCTTATACTTACAGATAGCAAAGGTGAAGTCATATCAGACTTTAAATCCCCCCAGAAATTTACTCTTTACCTTGTATATGGCACTAAAGTAGGCATTCTCACTGGTCATGAATCAATAAAAAGAAGAATACTTATAAATAATTTATTATCAAAATGTATATTTGCTTTATCTTTCTGTTGCTCTCTAGCCCAAGGTTATTTCCAGTCTTTGATAACGTTCATGCTCTAGTTGTTATAGATTGCACTTTTTGGTGTCTAGATATTCTGTCGTATTTTATTAAGTCAATAAAGATGCCAGTAAATATCAAGTCATTCAAGTATTTGCTTTTGCCAGTTCACAGATATCATTGTTTATTCCTTAATTCAGCTTTAAGTTTTAAATTAATTGTGGGGGAAAATAGCAAACTTATGGAGAGTCGAATCTTCACAAATTCTAAGAGTAATTCTTTCTTTTTCCATAAATAAACCTCACCCACAAAGACAAGATTGTCTACTATCTACTTTTCTCTTACTGGCGTCCACCAAATAATTCCACTCCCATCAAGCCTTGATTCTAAAATAATGTGTTCTCTCCCATTCTTCTTAAATACAAAAGTTAAAATTTTTATATTAGCCCAAACATTGATTTAAAATTATGTCACATAGTCTGGTATGTTTTCTAGGAGCCTCTCATTTAGTCTTAGGGAGATTGTTCCTCTGCCAAATCGATAGGCCAGATGCTATGAGGTACATCAGACTCTCAATAGGTTTCATGAGCTCATTAGGTACAAGGCAATCAGTTAATCACGTCAACCCTTCAGTACATTGTTCATAAAAATAAGCCTAGATTATTAGAGATTTAATCACTGCTAAGTTTCTGAGATTGAGGAATAAAGAAAAGGAAGTATAATTTCTACTTTAAAGATTACAGGAGGAGGAGGAGAACAATAAGAAATAGAAATTAGCTTCCTATTTGTATACTACATTGAAGAACTTTTATAATACCAAAGTATGTTATAGAACATTCTTAAATAATTAAAAACCCTCAGATGAAATTTAGTACAGCTATTACTCAATGTTTTTGCAATGATTACTAATGAATTGCTAGGTTAGAAACAGCCCCAGGGAACCTGTGTGCTTAGTCATACTGTGTAATGAACAAACAGTTCAAGATGACCATTTCATGTTATTACTCCAGTTTTCCTAGCTGAATCCTTCTCCATTGTGTAACTGGGATTACTCTAAACCAGCCCGAGTTTCCTGACTATACCCACAGTTGTTACTTCAGCTCTAAAAAGAAACAAATGAGTTTGAGAAGATAAAATAATGCATTAAAATTGTAAATAGATGCTTTCCTCTAAAACAACTTTATAATATGCTTGCATTCTAAGCTTTTCTTAATCCTTCAAAAACAAAGCTTACCAGAGTCTGAACTATAGCGTGGTTGGTGGCATTCATATGGGCGTTAAGTGGAAAAGAACATTCTCCATCACAATAAAATGCAGCGTATCCTTCTGGTGCTATAATCCAGTCCTGACACATACACACACACACACACACACAAAAAAAAAAAAAAAAAAAAAAAAAAAAAAAAAAAAAAACAACAAGAAAAAATATCACCAAAGTAAAAATTTTTAAAAAATCTTAAAAGTTATTGAAATATATTGTATCTGAATAGGTTTCTATTCTTGGTCCAACAATTATTCTAATGGAATTATCTTCCCCACACCCTTTAATTTTAAGCTGAAGTTTAGGACAAAAGTATAAATATTTTCACAAGAAATTGTCCTCTCTAATTACTCCCAAGGGGTAGTTATGTAAGATATTCATAGTATGTATTAAACATGTATTCACGAATAAAACTATTATAAGAAAATAGCATTCTAAATATTGTTTAAACAGGAAATGATGAACTCTGGAAAGTTCAAGTGAACCCGAAAGAAAAAGGAGAATCAAGTTAATTGAGATCATTCTCATTACTTCTTAAGAACTCATTCTTAGTTTTATAAGTCTGACAACATCCTAAAGCCTTAATATTTTTTCTGCATGCTGTTTTTCTTTCCATTCATGCATTAACTTTATGGTCTCTTTAGAAAAAATAAATTGGAGCAAATTCCTAAAAACTGAACATGATAAATTTCGGGAAGCTAAAGAATTGGTACATGAATGGTTGCCTTGATATTTTTCCCACAGAGAAATAAAACTTGGCACAAATGTAGGAATTATTGAGTTATTCATGTGGAAAGTTTATCATGAATTTTGAATATATTTACATTTTAATAGTATTTCTCAATACAGGAACTCATATATGAGAATCCATTCTAATAGAATATTAGGAGAAGTCTTAAAATTTCATTTTAAACTGTCACCACATAGAGCCATTAAAAAATTACTTTGGTGAAATTTTCCTCCTCATCCTGTTTCTAAAGGCTACCCAAAAGATAGCAATACATTTTTAAGTGCAAGAAAAAAAAATGTCTGTCATCTTCCCCATGACAGGGACATTCCAATAGTTGGAGACCCTCAGAGGCTTAGTGGAGTTACTTATACTAATATGAACAAATCTTCTATTTACAATAAAATTAAAAGTTTGGAATACTTAAACAACGGCACTCTTTTTTTTCTTCCTAAATATCTTAGTGTTCTATGTCTCATTCAGCGTAGTTTTTTTGTTTGACTGTGATACCTACTAATCATGTTTCAATGGTAAAAGGTTAATTGAGAAATGAAAATAAAGTGAATAAGCCATATTCTAAATGGTCATGTCAAAAATCATTGGGTATTATATTGGAAAATTACTGCCAAAGACTATGACTTATTAAGGATTTATGATAATTCAGAAAAGAAGCACCAAAGTTGACTGAAAATTCCTACCTGCCATCCCAGATCCCGGAAGCTCACATAGAGTTCGTGCTTCTTACAGGCTTGTTTTTGCTCACTTGTGTTATAATCTGAAGATAAAAACCACATTTTGAATAAATGGTTGCTTACAGATATACTAATACTTCTTTTGTGAGATCACTGGTAAGATTTTTTAAAGGGGTTTTATTTGAAGTTGTGGAAAAATGAGTTTCAATCTTAAAGTTAGAACTACTTACTAACCATGTGAACTTCAGTCAAGTTACTTGTCCTGAGTTTCTTCTTCTGTGAGATGTAGACAATACCATTTACCTGATGAAGCTCTAACATGGATTCTGTTAAGCCATCTACTTGACAGGGCACAGCATGGTGTCTGTCGTTCATTGAGTACCATCTGCTCAATGAATACTTATTCATTAATTCATTCATACTCTAGGGGTACTTAATATATTGAGAGAGATTATATATATATAATATTTGTGCAATAACTTGTAACATCTTCCATGAGGCAGATACTGGGATCTTACTTAGCTGATTTTATTTTAATAAATATCTTAACCTCAGGATACCACAAGTTGAGCTTCTAATCATCCCCCAAAATCCTGTCCACCTGTAGACTTCATTCTTGACTAATGGTAGTTGCCTGGGTTAAAAAATAAAAACCAAAACAAAACAACAAGAATCAAAATAGTTCTTTTTTTTTCTTTCATTTACACATCCAATCTGTCAGGAAATCTCACACACTATCTTCAATAAGTCCAAAATGCACCTGCTCTCACGCCCTTCATAATTGGTCTTGGTCCAAGACACCATCATCTCTGGCATGAATTACTGCAATATCCTCATTGCTAGTCTCCCTGCTTCTGCCCTTGCTCCTCTATAGCAAACTAGTCAAGTGGACCTTTTAACAAGTAAACTTAATTACATCACTTCCCTGCCAGTCCCTCTATGGTCTTCATATCATTAAGAGTGAAATATTCTCAGAGTGGTTACAAGGCTCTTTACATTTTGGTCTTATTACCCCTCTGACTCATTTGATCCTATTACCCCTCTGACTCTCACTTCTTCTCCTTCACCTTGCTCCAGCCACCATACCTCCTTGCTGTTTCACTCACAGTCAACCTTGCTCCCACTTTAGAGCCTTTTCTCTCACTAGTCCCTCTCCCTGGATAGCTACATGGCTAATTCCTGCATCTTCATGTCCTTGCTTAAGCAACATCTCAACAAGACCTTCACTACCCTTTTAATATTGCAACTCTCACCCTGATACACCTGATTTCTCTCACTCTGTTCTGATTTTTTTCCATCTCAATTATCACTTTTAGAAATGCTATGTCATTTCCTCATTTATTTATGTGTGGCTTCTTGTCTGTTTCCTCCCACTAAAATATAAGCGTCATAGGGGCAAGAATCTCGTTTGGCTCTGTTTTGCTCACTGATGTATCCCTAGTGCCAGGAACAGTGCCTGGCATAAAATAAACATTCAAAAAAGTATCTGAGGAGTTAATGGACAAATTTCTCATAGTGTTCCATAAGTGATTTGAGGCAAGTGAAATACTATCATTACATATTTTGGAATGTAATCTGAAATACCCATAACTTTTTATAATTGTTTTAAATTATTAAATATAAATGTAGAATTTCAATCTTGCATCTGGAATAAAGTAAAATACTGAAGAAACACAGAGATTTATGGAACATTTTTCATTCTTGTCTTGTGTTGGGTTTGCTCACATTTTGTACAAATAACATTCGAAAAACTAGTCCACTTTGATTATTTCTAAAATAAAATATTAAAGAAATAAAATTAAAAAATAATTTGTTTTACAGTTTTTGTTAAAGTGTCACCTTCCTGTTTAATTACTCTCAACCTCTAATGAAAGTGTAGGCAAGTTAGAGATCAAAGGAGCCCATCATAGAGGGCCTTGCTTCTCATGGTTACTTCAAGTAATTATTTGTTTAATGTTAATCTAAAAAACAAGCTAATGATTAAATTTTGAAATCAAGGTATTTTTCTTCTAGGTTATTTATTCCTACTATGCAATTAACTTCATTAAAACAGATTAAATAAGTAGATAATGGGAAATGGGGGAGAGAGGATTTATTTCAGACTCTACATTCTGGTTCTTCTTCAGGGAAATATCTCCCTTGCAGCTAACTTTGTTCAGGCAATGGATAAATAACACTTTAACACTAAACATGAAATGGTTAAATTTCCTCGATCGTGTTTAGAAAAAGAAATAATTGATTCTACTATTGGTTTGATTTCATAAACTCCTTGATATACAAAACGGGGAAAAACAAATGTTAGCTATGCATTGGACCAGGGGTCAGCAAACTTTTTAAAAGTTTTTTAAACTTCTTTAAACTTTTTTTTAAAGAAACTGATAGTAAATATGTTGGGCTAAGTGGTCTCCTTGCAACTACTCGATTTTGCTGCTGTAGTATAAAAGCAACCGTAGACAATACGTAAATGAATGGGTGTGGCTATATTCCAGTAAAACTACCTATGGATACTAAAATTTGAATTTCATATGATTCCCACATGCTGCAAAATATTGTCCTTCTTTTCCACGCAAACATTTTCAAATGTAAAGACCACTCTTAGTAGGTCATACAAAAACAAATGATAGGCTTAATTTGGTTATTAGGCCTTACTTTTTCAAACTCTGCATTAGGTAATAATGGGAATATTTATCTATTCATCTTTGTCTTAATTAAAAATATTAAATATGAATAACAACATTGTAGCCAATAGCACATACATGTTTATATGAAAAGCCATAAACTACAAATATGATTATTTGAATTCTATGTATATAAAAAATAAAGAAAATAAAACTTTAAAGTCAAAATATATCTGTTCCATATATATGTCTTTTTATGCAGGCTAAGTGATGTATATAATGTAACATCACATAAATGTAACAAGCAATGAAATGTATAACAGAATCTGGTTCCAAGAGTCTGATTTCATAGAGCATTAGGACCATATGCTTATTCTGTCAGAAATAAAAATTAATGGATAGTGAGTGAAGTAAATGTTGTACCCAAACTAGAAAAGCCTGCAGTTAGGTTTACTCTAAATGCTTGGCAGAATAAGCCGTAGGAGGAAGGGCAAGGAAGTTAGATTTATGTCTTTTAAAATACTGATGGGCAGCCTTTAGGAGATTAGTATGAAATGGATATAATTCTACTGTTAATGAGCCTGCCTACAAATGAAGAGTCATGGCAAAAATTATTAAAATGTTCTACAATCAACACTAGAAAAAGTAAACCAACATGTCTTATCCATAGTGCAAGTGTTATCAATAATATTTCTCTGTTTTGTCTCTTAATAGTAATAATATTAGGAAGCCCATGCCAAAATAGTAAACATATTGCTAAATACTTTATGCAAATTTCTTTATGGTCAATTTCTAGATATTGTATAAATTTAATCTTTAGTTCGATTTTCTTTAGTTTGATTCTTTTTGTCTTAGAATAAAATCATGAAAAACAAAATAAATACGTGGAGGTAAAAGTTGGTAAAACACAAAAATTCCTGAATATGATAAGAAGAACACTAGTACACTGTTGGTGGAAATGTAAATTAATACAACCTCTTTTTTGAGGTTCCTCCCAAAAGTAAAAGTAGAGCTACCATATCATCAAGCAATCTCACCACTGGGTATATATCCAAAACAAAGGAAATCAATAAGTTGAAGATACATCTGCACTCCCATATTGATTGCAGCACTATTCACAAGATACAGAAGCAACATAAGTGTCCATCAGTGTATGAATGGATAAAGAAAATGTGGTACATATACACAACAGCTTATTATTCAGCCATAAAAAGAATGAAATTGGCCTGGCGTGGTGTCTCACACCTGTAATCCCAGCACTTTGGGAGGCCAAGGAGGGCGGATCACGAGGTCAGAAGATCGACACCATTCTGGCTAACACGGTGAAACCCCGTCTCTACTAAAAATACGAAAAATTAGCCAGGCGTAGTGGCGGACGCCTGTAGTCCCAGCTACTCAGGAGGCTGAGGCAGGAGAACGGCGTGAACCCGGGAGGCGGAGCTTGCAGTGAGCGAGATGGTGCCACTTCACTTCAGCCTGGGCGACAGAGCAAGACTCTGTCTCAAAAAAAAAAAAAAAAGAAAAAAAGAAAGAAAGAAAAGAAAAAAAAGTCAATTAGAGCAAGATGGATGAAACAACTGGAAGATGTCAAGTGAGATAAGCCAGGCACAGAGAGACAAATAACCCCTGTTCTTAGTCATATGTGTAAGCTAAAAAAAAAAAAAAAGATCTCCTGAAGATAGGTAGAGAGTAGAATGGTGGTTACCAAAAGCTGGGAATGGTAGCAGAAAGAGGGGATGAAGAACAATTGGTTAATGAACACAAAACTACAGCTTTTTAAAAAACTTACAGAAGAAATCAGTTGTAGTGTTCGATAATAGCACAGTATGGTTACAATGGTTAGCGATAATTAATTCTACATTTCAAAATAACTAGAAGACAAGATTAGGAATGTTCCCAATGTAAAGAAATGATAAATATTTGATGTGATGGATATCTTAATTACCCTGATTTGATCATTACACATTGTATACATCTATCAAAATATCACATGTACCCCATGAATATGTATAATTATTATGTATCAATAAAAACAAATTCCAGAAATCTGCATGGACTGTCAAAGTTCTGCATACTAGCTCCTGAAAAAAACAAATAAATAAACATGGGATAGACTTGCTGTGAACTGGACAAAGACAATCCAGGCCAAAAACCTTCATATACCATTTTTTTTCTTCAGAACATAGTATTAGTTTATTAAAGGGATGAAACACAGATATAGCTATAAAAGCAAAGAAAAATCAGAAATAAAACTTAACATTTAACCATGACAACAGCTTCAATGAGCTAAATATGATGATATGCTGCTGTTTCAAAGCAAAAGAGGAGATGTTAGTGTTTTCACTCTTATTTCCCAAAGAGAAAGAGGGAAAAAGGAAGTTGATACCTAAAGCATCAGAAGACCTTAATTTATTTATAAAAATTTAAAATGATAAATGAATGAAGGTACAAGAGTTGAAAAAGCAGGAATGGTGCTACCATAATGTGGATTTTGATATGACCTTGGGGGTAGAAAAATTCAGGATAAGCCCAAAAATAAATAACAATCCTACCCAAAGATAAGGGGCTTTAAAATGCTATTGTTGTTCTAGCTTAATCATTATTTTCTATACCCAGTGAATTATTCACTTGCATTTACACACAAGCCAGTAATACGTACTGTTGTTTATTTTGTAGATATATTAACACAATTTTGTGTTTGTGTAGGTACCAATGTGTGACGCAAGACACCACAAAATAACTCTGTAATGTGTTTGCATAACTCTGCTCAGCAAAGTATCCATGTGGATCATGTAATTAACATCGTCACTTTAGAGCTCCTTGATATAAAAATCTATCCACAAACCTGAATTTGCTAGACACCTCTAAAGGACAGTTCCCTGACGCCTCCTGCTCACTATTTCTACTTCTGACCTCACACTCAATGTTCACTATTTTTGTTAATAGGACCATCAGTCGTCCAGGCCAGAAAATTTAATAAGCTTCTTGATTTTCATTTTTCCCCTCTGATCCTATATTAAATGGATCCACAAAGCCTCATTAGTTGATCAATTTCACTATTTAATCTAGGTATCCTGTTGGAAGCCCTTTGCACTCTTAGTTGCCTCATACTTCCTCAATGTCCTCTTCTGCTAACCTTTTCTAAAATAACACTTTATCCCTGCTCCTCTTTGACATCTCTGATTTTTTTTGGCTTATTTTATGGAATTTCTTTTTCTCCTCTGCCTGTACTTACAGTGTTGATGTTCCCCAAGGAGGCTCCATCTTATATTTTTTCTTTCTTTGTTTCCTGTGGCATTTGGTCAGCCTCATCCTACATCTAACAATTTGGCTTATAGCTATATCTTTTCCCTACACATTCCACTTACTCTCAACACTCCCCTCTCCAGAGTCCTGGGTTATCCACCCTCTTCAAACCCCTGCTGGCCTTATCCAGTGTGTTTTGGTTCTTACATCTCTCTCTCCAATCTATGATCTTCATTGCTTGGAGTATTATACTAGACCCTAATCATTATTTGAGTTTTCTGTCTCCACCCTTGGCATTCCATTCTGCACTCCATGGCCAAAATTAACTTTTTAAAATGCATATCTGGTTATGATTCTTCTTTTTCCAATTGCCTATGGGAAGACATCACTGCTCCTTATCATCACATACCCTACTCTTTATGATTTGGCCCCTTAATAATTTCCTAGCTGATACCACATTCCTCTCACATAAAAATACATGCATACCCCAGCCATTTGACAATGGTCCATGGCTCTACAACTGTAGAGCCATTTCATTTCTACAACCTGAAATGGTTTCATCCATGTCTGTTAATTCTAGAAAATGTCTATTTATTCTCAGATAAGTCCCTCATGTAGTATTTTGGGCCATATAGTTAATATAGTGCATGGCATATAGTTATATAGCATATAATGCTGTGCCTGGCATATAATGGGAGTTTATTTGATATTGAATAAATATTATTTATAAGAAATTATACCCAGATATATTCTTCCTGTGGATTTTTCCTAGAGAGAAATTTAACAACAGACACAATGCCTTAATGTCTATTGGCAAGTCTTTTTTAAAGTGTGTAGTTAATTGCTAATATAGATTAGCCAAATTAGGTTAAAGACTAAAATTTCTCTTGCTTCTAAAGTCTCAAAAGATAAGAAATCCTGTGACCACAGGTATGAGTACTTATAAGAGAGAGTGTGAACTTCTGGTTTTCTCTGATGTAAGAGTTTGAACTCCTTTTGTACCAGTTCTATAAAACCAATTATAATGTTCAACACTTAATGAGCATTTGCCGTGTACCACTATTTTAAATTAGTTATATATAATAACTCATTTAATCCTCAGAACTCTTGTAATCCTGCTCTGCAAGGCAGGTATAATTAACATTCCCACTTTATACATGAGGAAACAGTCAGAGAGAGGTAATATATCTTGTGCAAGATTATACAACTAGTAAGTAGTGAAGTCAGTATTAGATATTAAGTGATGGATAGATGATAGATAAATATATAGATAGAGAGAGCTAGCTAACGACATACTATATGCATCAACATACTTGTTTCAGGAGGGGTTTCCAGAATTTTTCATGATTCAGGGCACAGATAGCAACTTTTAATATTAGTTACTGTCATAATTACGTGGATTAGAAATATTCTCACTTGTGCAGCATTGCAGGATTTTCAGTACAGCATTTATTTTGAGAGTGCCAACTTGGAAAAAAAGCAAAATGTCTTTTTGGAGTGACATGATTAAATAAACTGATGCCAATACTAAGCTGCAACAGTTGAAAAGAATTAGCTCACGTTATTTGACATATGGCTAAACATTGTTTATAAAACCTGTAAAATATATAATTCATGTAATTAAAAGCATATAACAAAAATACATTCTCTCAAAAGAGATGAGAGAGAGGTTTGTACCATGTTGATATCAGCATATTAAGGTAATCTATTATGTATGGATTAGGTAAACAAGGGAGAACTTTAGCTTTATTTATGATTTTATTATTTCTAAACACTAAAACAGTGTATTAATTATATAATATAAAACATTCGATGGAAATAACTTCAATTAATTATTTTCTTGTTTTGACTAATATCTGTTTTTCCAAGAGGCATAAATTTACATTGTATTTATTAGGCAAGAGATAGCGCCTATCAAATTTGAGAACAAGAATAGAATGTTTCAATTTTAGTAACTATGCATTTTATCTGATTTACAATGCTTTGACTTAAGATTTTTTAAATTGATGATGGTTTGAAAGCAATACACATTCAGTAGAAATCATACTATGAGTACCCACACAAGCATTCTGTTTTTCACTTTCAGTAGAGTGTCCAATAAATTACATAAGATATTCAAAACTTAATTATGAAATAGGCCTTGTTTTAGATGAGTTTGCCCAGCTGTAGGCTAATGTAAATGTTATGGGCATGTGTAAGGGAGGCTAGGCTAAGCTATGATATTTGAGCTTATGGTACTGCAAACTTTATTTGGGTTTATTGGGATATAACCCCATTTTAAGTTGAAGAGCACCTGTATACCAAAGACTTGCCCTACGAAATCACCATGGATGTAGGCAGGGCCACTACATGATTGGATTATTTTTCGAAGATTCTCAGTATCCAGCATACAATAGCAATCTTTCTTAGCAGTTCTGTAATGATCCAGGACTTGCCATTTGCCCTGTTAATTCTTTTGGATTCTTCATACAGGCATATGTCAGAGACATTTACTGGGGAGATATTGTGAATTTAGTTCCAGACCACTGCAATGAAGTGAACGTCACAATAAAGTGAGTGTCACAATATTTTTTGGTTTCCCAGTGCATGTAAAAGTTATGGTTACATTATACTACAGTCAATTAAGTGTGTAATTGGATTATATCTTTAAAAATGTACATACCTTAGTTAAAAATAATCTATTGATTAAAAAATGCTAGTGATCATCTGAGTCTTCAGCAAGTTGTAATCCTTTTGCTAGTAAAGGGTCTTGCCTCAATGTTGATACCTGCTGACTGATCAGGTTGGTGATTGCTGAAGGTTGATGTGGCTGTGGCAATTTCTTAAAAGACAACGATAAAATTTGTCACATTGATTGACTCTTCCTTTCACAAAAGATTCTTTGTGTAGTGTGCAAGGCTGTTTGATAGCACTTTACTTTGTGAAGGTCTTCTTTTAAAATTGGAGTCCATCTTCTCAAATCCTGCCTCTACTCTAGTAAATAAACTTATTTAAAATGCTAAATCCTTTGTTGTCATTACAATTGCATTCACAGTATCTTCACCAGGAAGATTTTATATCCAGAAACCACTTTTTTTGCTCAACCATAAGAAGCAACTCCTCATTCATTCAAGTTTTATTATGAGATTGCAGCAATCCAGTCATATATTCAGGTTCCGCTTGTAATTCAAGTTCTCTTGCTATTTCTACCACAACTGCAATGATTTCCTCCACTGAAGTCTTGAACCCATCAAAGTCATCCAGGAGGTAGGAATCAACTTCTTCCAAACCCTTGTTAATGTTGATATTTCAACCCCTCATAAATCATGAGTGTTCTTAAATGGAATCTAGAATGGTGAATCCTTTCCAGAAGGTTGCCTAGATCCTTCAGGGGAATCACTATTTATGGAAGCTGTAGAATTACAAAATAAATCTTTAAAATAATAAAACTTGGAAGTCAAAACTACTCTTTCATGCATGGGCAGCAGAATGGATGTTGTGCTAGCAAGCATGATAAAAACAATTAGTCTACTCGTATATCTCCATCAGAGCTCTTGGGTGATCAAGTACATTGTCAATGGGCACTAATATTTTGAAAGGAATCTTTTTTCTGGACAATAGGTCTCAACAGTTTGCCTAAAATAGTTAATAAACCATGCTATCAACAGATGCACTGTTCATCCAGGTTTTGTTCTTCCATTTGCAGAGCCCAGGAAGAGTAGATTAATCATGATACTTAGGGGTCCAAGGATTTTCAGAATGGTAAATGAGCATTGTCTTCAATTTAATCTCACCAGGTATATTAGCCCATAACAAGAGAGTCAGATTGTCAGAAGATTTGAAGCCAGCCATTGACTCTTCTCTAGCTATGAAAGTCCTACATAACATCTTCCAATAAGGCTTCTTAATCTCCATTAAAAATCTGTGGTTCAGTGTAGCTACCTTCATCAGTGATCTTAGATAGATCTCCTGGATAACTTGCTATAGCTTCTTCATCAATACTTGCTGTTTCACCTTGCACTTTTTTGCTATGGAGACAGCTTCTTTCCTTAAACGTCATGAACCAATATCTGCTACTTTCAGACTTTTCTTCTGCAGCTTCCTCAGCTCTCTCAGCCTTCATAGAATTGAGGAGAATCAGGGCTTTGCTCTGAATAAGGCTTTGGTATAAAGGAATGTTGTGGCTGGTTTGATCTTCCATCCAGACCACTCAAACGTTCTCCACATCAGCAAGAAAACGATTTCGCTTTCTTATCATTATTGTGTTGATGAAGTCATACTTATAATTTTCTTCAAGTACTTTTCCTTTGCAGTCACAACTTGACAACTGTTTGTTTGGCACAAGAGGCCTAGCTTTCAATCTATCTGGACTTTCAACATACCTTCCTCAATAAGCGTAATCATTACTAGCTTTTGATTTAAAGTGAGAGATGTTTAAATCTTCCTTTCATTTGAACACTTTTAGGCCATTGTCGGGTACTAACTGAACTTATTTCAATATTGTGTCTCAGGGAATAGGGAACCCAAGAGAAGGGAAAGAGATGGGGTAATGACCGATCGTTGGAGCAATCAGAACACACACAACATTTACTTCCCATCTTATATGGGTAAAATTTGTGGTGTCACAAAACAATTACCAATAAATATCAAAGATCACTGATAACATAAACCATAACAAATATAATAATAACAGTAAAATTTTGAAATATTGCAAAAATTACCAAAATGTGACACAGAGAAACCAAGTAAACAAATGCTGTTGGAAAAAATGTCACCAATAGACTTGCTTAATGCAGGACTGCCACAAAACTTCAGTTTGTAAAAAACACATTATCTTTGAAACACAATAAAGCAAAATGCAATAAAACATGGTATGCCTGTACTCTATTCTTTTCAACACTGAATATACTCCTTCAAGCAGCATCATGTTCTGGAGGTTTTTAAAAAAATCTTATCCACCTAGTGCCTTTATATCTTCAAGGATAGCTAGCTTAGAATTTAGCTATTGGCTCCATTTTCTTTCCTCTCATACACAAATTCAAAGAAATACCCTTTGCACTGCCTCAACATGAAACAGGAAATATCTTCCACAATGTGTCTGTTCAACCATCTTGCCAAAAACCTGAAGAGGAACAAGCAGTGCCGGGCAGTTTCTGCAGGAAACCTGGAAGTAATGGTTCTATATACCTTTACTTGAAAAACGAAGTTAGTTTTTCCTATGCTGTCAGCACGTTAATTTACTCAACAAGTATTTTGGGGACTCCTATTCTGTGCTGGTTTCTGTTCTAAGCTCTCCCACAGGAATATGGAAGAAAAAAAGAACATCAGGAAGTCAGAAGGAAGAATCGTTGAAGTAGAAAAGAAATGTGATAAAGATAGCAGAAATGACTTGGGTTTTAATTCTTCTGTACTAATGGAGATTTTCAACATTTGATAATATGCTTTGCAAAAAACCCAGCAATCAGGCAAACAGGCAATACAACTTTCCTCCCTAACTCCATCCCCATCCCACCCCTTCTTATCCATAGAGCCTTTGCACAATATCTTATTGTAAAATCTAGTTACTATTACAACTTTGTTATTTATATTTGGATAATTTTTAAATTTCACTGGCATTTCAAGTCTCTGAAGTATCAAATTTTCTGTTTATATTAGCATTCCCTTTCCTTAAAGCCTTGTCTTTTAGACCAAATCCTATGAGGATTTTCCCAGACTGCTTGATTACTACCTATTGAAAGGTTAAGTCTTATAGACACAAACCAGCTACTTTCTTTCTTCTTCTTATCAAAATATGAACACACTCCAAAACCATCTACCACATATTTCACAGAAATGGTTGCCAATGACAAAATTTCAAAAAGAAAATATTGGTCTATATTAGAATAATTTTGTACTCTAAATGGTGTTAGGAAACTGGTGAAAAGTTACGTGATTTCTGCTCCATGTGTTTTATTCATCTCTGCTTATAGACGTACATTTGTTTCTTGTGGTTAGGAAGAGAAGATAAATAGAGTTAACCAATAGGGAAAAGGACTTTGATGATTTCAGTCACCGGAACACCTCTGCCAGAGTCATTATGAGCTCAAATAATAAGTATGTGACTTATACTTTTCCCTTTGTAATTTCCTCCAAAATTATTTACTATTCTATTCAAGGTTTAGCAAAACTTTTTCTTAATACAGTCTGCTACATTAAATTAAAAACATTTCAACCAAACTTAGAACCATTCTACATGAAAAGAAAAATATACAAGTTTGACAGCCTAGTATTTACCAGGAAGAAAAGGTCTTAGAAAGTTATTTTTCTCCATCTTTCATATTAAGTAATTACAGCTTTTTGCCAAACTAAATATCTTGTGAATATCTTTAAAAAATAGCGTTGTAATAAGGCACTAGTGTCATGCTTTACTAAAAGTGGTTAAATTTCTTTGTTGGAAAATTATTTTAAAACATCACCTTATAAGCAGCATTTAATTCAGTATAATGCAATTCCATACAGAAATCTTCCCTCCTGCTTCTGTTGCTTGCCACACAAATAGGACTTCTAACGTGATTCTCCTGGTGCCTACCCTTTAGGAAAAGTCCAATGAATTCCACCTAGTAGTTTTATGGAGCGTCTCTGAGCAAATAAAAACAAACAAATAAAGGTCGTCATCTATTTCTTATCTAAACACTCATGCATGTTTGAGTAATAAATAGCTGCTGTATGACCTGTCATTTTCAAGTAACCTGAGAAAAATGAAGATTTTAGGAATAATGACAAAGACTGTTTGAAGTTAGAATTTCAATTTGGTAAAATAATATATATAGGAATCATGTATCTTTTGCTTATTAGTTCATCCATCATGCCTGGCAGAGTGCTATGCATAAATTGGCCATTATCACAGAAGAATGCATATTTGACAAATAGATAAGTATGTGATACTACATTGAGATGTTCCAGGATGAGTTCCCCCTTCAAATTTATTTTTATACATGAAATCAATTTTTGAACTAAAATAGCCACCATTTTCATCTAACAGCTTACTGTTTGCATCCTGGACTAAACAAGGTACTTCTTGGTATAAATAATACGATTAAGCCACTACAAATTTTGGCAGTTAGATGCTTTCTGATCAATTGAAATTTGATCCCTCTATAATTAACAGATTAATTTGCAAAGACTGACATGAATTGTGCATTCGTAATATTTTGTTGAAAGACTGTGTGTGTGTGTGTGTGTGTGTGTGTGTGTGTAGACACACCTGAAGAAAATTAGATAATAGTCCTCCAAATAATGAAAAGGTAAATATTTTAATCATTGTCTTCTTATGTCTTTCTCCTGCTAATCTCAGAAAAATAAAACTGAGTAGCATAATTCACATGTATTGACTTAAGTACGAAAGAAAGGATTTTACATTTAATTTACCTGGTTGACCATCCATTTTTGAAAGGCCCTGAGGAAGTTAGCTCAGCAAGTCATGTAGCTCAGTTCTGGCTAGATTGTGTTGATTAGCCATTTCATAATTTTATTACTGTCATCTTGACTTTAATTTGAACTGAATCTTTCAACATATGAAGGCAACTCATATGTATTTTAAAATGAATTACTGAGTGATTCACTGATGAAACATTCTGGGATGCTAGAAACATCACTGGAAGATTTAATGTACCATCCGAAGGTATACATAGAGGGTAAATTTATTGTGGCTACTTGATTTGCAGCATACGACCCCATAACTCTCTGTGCATAACTGCTGCTCGGGTTTATTCTTACCTCCAACACTGGACATTCTGGAGGAGTCCTGATGAGAGCTGGATTTATTGCGGTTTTGATTTTTTCGTTTGTTGGCTGCTCTCACGGATCGAAGAAGTACCTCACTCGCCTTGAAGAAGGCCACCATGAATGGTTGTTTTGACTGAGGTCCCTGTCTTCCCACAAGACCAGCAGATTTTACGTTGATACTGCGTCCTAGAACGTAATACAAAAGCACTTGGTTTATGAAAAAGAAAGAACAATTACCTGATGTGAATGAATTCTGAGGGTACTTTGAAAAGGGGAAAAGTTTTAAAACATTATCAGAATGCCTTCCTTACAGGCCAAGATTCTTATAAATATTGAGGCTTACTATTACAGACAATTATCCATCTATGGTGTTACATCTTGCATCATTCTTCCACCACAGAATACCCTCCAGCTGCTTTCACTCACTGAGAGCTTCTCAGACCTTGAAGTCAAGAATACTATAAATTGGAAGATTTGACTACTCATTCGCCTGGAAATGTCCACATTAAATAACAATTTAAAAAAATATTAGCTATGGGCTCTTCGGCACTAAATGCCCTGTAATTTTCCTTTAAGTTATAAAAGCCGAATACTTGGCAGGGTGTTTCTACTTTCTCCAGCCTATTCGAAGCCTTTCAAGTGTTAATTAGTGGTGATAGCCTTTCCACCTTCACTTCTGGCCAGTGCCCAGCAACCTTTACTAAGCTGCACTACACTTAAAGTTCTTCACAAGTCATTCTGGAAGCCTAGTCTGGGGATGGAGGTCTGCTTTAAGCCGCAGTTATTAAAAGTAGTGGCAAAAACTGCAATTACCTTTGCACCAACCTGATAATTATCAATATGAAGTATTGTGAAATAAACATAGAAATTTTGGAATTCCTCCCCTTCTGAGTTTTGACACACCTAAATGTTTACTGAAAGGAATTCAGAAGAGGCAAACCAAGCCTGGAGACTCTCAGAAAGAAGAATAAACAATCCAAGTGAGCTTCAAGACTCAAATTTGCCTATAAACTAGCCTGTGTCTCAGACCCTTATGTGTTCTTTGATGTGGTTATATATCAGTGAAAAGGGACACAACAAGTACCAATATAGGAGTGAGTTAAAAGTCAAGGTGCCCTAGAGATAAAGTTGATAAAGTACCTCTCCCATGTGGGTAGTAATAATAATACTTAAAACTATGTCAAATCACTTTGGAGTGGTTGCTGTGCTAGGCATCTTTCTAAGTAGTTTCCATGCATTATTTAATTGGATTCCACAAATGCCCTACAGTTAGGTATTAATAGTATCCTCTTTTAGTAGTTTTTATTAGGCTCTTCTAATTTAAAATAATCACTGAAAATTATATTTTATATATATGTGAAAAAGAAAACCATTGATATCTGGTTCAATGAAAATCATTCAAAGATGATATTTAACCTTAAATTGTAAATTTGGTTAAGAATTATGTATATCTTATGCAAAGTTGCTACTCTAGATACAGAAGTTAGCAATCTTTTAAGAGTAACATATAATGTGGTTTGAAATATGTGCATGATTGACTCTGGCTTGCCCCATGAGAGATGTGCATGTTTTCTTAAAATATTTATTCAGTAAAGACTGTGGAGCAACCTCAGTCCATTATAAAACCTGACCCACCTTAGAAGAAAGGAAAGGAAAGCAAGTCCCCAAAATGGCATCAATGGCATTTTAGCAAATAAACCCTTGCTCTTAACAAAATTTATTTTGGCAGCATAAAAACTTTTGTGTATACTTCCATTGTGCAGAGAACAAGACCGTCAGAAAATGAGACCGTGTCGTATAAGGTTGTGCAGCTGTTGAGAGGGACGGACACAGGGGTTCTTCAAATGTGGAGGTATTGGTTGAAAAAAAAAAAAAGGCTGCATCAATTTAGACAGCATAGGTATCCTCCACAGTTGTCTTACAACCTACTGGGAAAAGTTGTCCAATTCCTACAAGTATTAAAATGGCCATCTGCCTCACAAATGCCACTATACTGAGTTCTACAAGAGAAGGGACTTACAAATAATCAAAGCAGTAAACCTTAAACAAATAAGCATATAGATTTCTCTTTTAAATGCAAACTTACAGTGGCTCTATGCCAGAGTCTATATTTTTTAGAAAAACTCTATCACTGGCATAAATGAAAGAGGCAGTTTGATTTGTGGTCCGAGCAGTTTCCATTCTACTTCCACTGTAACAAATGTATTAATTCAGCTCAGACTTCCTCCTTCTGGCAGCCCTTTCACTGTAAAAAGAGAAATTAGAAGTTCCAGCCAAATACCATACCTTGAACTGACCCACTTCAATACATAAACACTTTTACAACATGTTTATTCAGGTGTAGCACTTGAAATTGGTTTAAGATGTTTCCAGTGACAGAGAGCTTAGCAAAAGAAAAAAAAAAGAACTGAGAAACTTAACTGTTATAGAATAGAATAACTAGCAATCTGTTCTTTAAATTTTTTCATTTTTTTTTTCTGTCTTGGAGTACAACATAAAAAAGTATTTGACGAAGCTTTTATTTTGATATTTTAATGAAGTGTTAATTTAACAGGAGCTAAATTTTAACTTGTATACATTGATGACTGCAGAAATCATTTTTAATGTATGATCTTTCTAATACTGAAATAGGTTGCTGAGAGATGTTCATAAATGGAATACAATAAAATCAATTTTCCATTCATTACAACACACACTGACTCTTTTATAGTTAAATAAGCACTTAACAAGAAGTTCCAAGTTTCCTTTGGGTTGCCAGGGGGTTTCTTTTGTTATTATTCCAAAGACTTTCAATATTTTAATTTTTATCTGTGGAGAAATAATACGGATCTGAAGATTTATGTTCTAAAAACTGAAAAGATGTGTGTATGTTACAAATACGGGTTTCTTGGGTTTTACAAAGGTGGATATTGTATTTGAAGCAAAGTACCCTCCAAACCAATGTGAACTCCCTTTAAAATAACTTTTAATATTATTAAGTTTCCTCTTGGTTTCCTTTTTACTTCAGCAATGGAGTGACTATTAAGATTCCACAAGTTAATGCTTGCTCAGTTACCCTTGGTCTTGAGCTACACCATAGATGCATTAACTATTTGACCTAGTATTTCAGAAACAATACACTTATATTGATTATGTTGACTAAACCTTTTCAAAGACTGAATAGTTATTTTAGTAGAAGTACTGAGAGAAACCCAGACTACACCGTATGTATTAAAAAAAAAGTAAATTCTTTATAAAACTTTATTTGAACTTTTTAAATGATATTATTAAACATACAGTATGTTTTAGATATTGCAAATATATAACTGAAGAAGCCTACCTAAAGCATTTTGATTTAGAAACACATTACCTTTACATGTGTGTATCAACATGGATTTAATTTTCAAAGCTGATTCTTGTTTTAGAGTAGTTTCTAGTTTAAAAACATACATAAAGATGAAGCATTGAATATACAGTGGAAATGAAAATGGGGGTGAGGTAACAAAAAGAACATTAAAATAAAGTATGGTAAGGATACCAGCTTGAGCCCAAGCTTAGTCACCTTAGGATTCAGACACATCCAGGCATAGCTAGAACAGTGATAGATTTGATTCGCCAGGCATATATTTAAAGAAGATTGAGCAATTTTGTGGGCAAGAAGTCATCTTAAGAAAAAGATGAGCTGCAGTGATATTTTTTTAAGTCTATAACTCAGAGTTACTTCTGGCACAGCTTCAATAGATGCATGTTTAACTCCTAGAAAGAAAGGGAATCAAAGAAAATCTAATACATCCCTTTTACCCAAAGTCTCTAAAATACTGGGAAGACAAGGTAGCACTACTTTGGAACTTAGTTAACAGACTGGCAGAAGTGGTGAACAAAGATTCTCTCTATATGAGAAGAATGGCTTCTGAGCAGTTCCACATTGGGTCAGGATGGCAGCAACAGAATGATCTCCGAAATTATCTTCTGTATTAGTCATCAGCATTGACTTCAAAGAGTAGTACCAGCTCAAAGCTGAGCGGAGCAGCAATCTGACAACACTGGGAGTTTTAATGTGCATCAATAACTATACCAAAGCAAAGCAAGAGACAATGCCAGTAATGGGATAAAGTGGCTCCAATTGCAAGAGAAAAATTCCCTTGTATGATATCCATGTCTTGATGTGGACACTGGAAAGAGGGTAGGGATGTGATCTGCTAAATGGATGGGGTGGTAATAGGAGGTAAAAAGCTTGGTTGCTGGAAGCTGTTCAAGCTTAAACACACAAATGGGAGGGAAGAAGAGACAGCAGAGAGGAGATTGAAAGGGTTCTTGAAGGATGTGCCAACATTTCAGTGATCTTGCTGGTGGCAGTTAGACCCAAAGAAACATTGTTTATTCCTAATTATTTCAGGTTTGGGTATCATATAATACTTGGATTATGAAATGAAAGTGGTAATGACTATAACTGTAGGCATCCAGAGTTTGTTATTGACATAGATATTGTCTTTTTGTATTTACAAAAACAAAACAAAACAAAAAACAAACAAAAATATTAAATATTTGCTCGTGAAAAGTTTTTTAAGAAATATTTATACCTTGTCCATCTTATTTTCTCCTCAAAATTATTGTACCAGAATCATAAAGAAACAATTTGAGCAGCAAATATATGGGTATATTATTTTACAGTTTTATTAACTCAGTGAACAAAGATAGGATTGGACTGATATCTTCTAAGAAATTATTATTCTATTCATAAAGAGATCAAGAAGGATGTAGATGAGGCTGGAGCGCTGAACTACTAAATTTTGTCATAATTGGGGCTGGAGATTCAATCCTTCTAGATCTGCTACTCTAACCCAAATGACTTCATATAAGTACTGAGGTTAGTGTATTGTGGTCACATTTGCCTAAGAACACAACTGAAACTATTTCAAATTTATAGTCACAGGGAAGGTAGACTGGCAAACCAAAGCTCTATCCCAGACTCACCGGTTTTGTATTTCAGACCACTCCTTTTGGAAAATATGATTTTCAAAATGTTTATTTCTTTCAAAACAGAGTTATTAAAGGAGATTCTGACATAAAACAGCTCTTCAGACACATGTTGATGTTATAAGGATAAGTGGTTCCAAATATGATCATTGAGTTTCCCTCTAGGATACACAGTTTGAAAAACATTCATTTGAGGATTTATCAGAGTCTAAACGTTGATATCACTTTGAGATGTTAGCATACATTCCAGTTCGTTTTTTTCTCCTCTAAACCCACGGTAATTGACTGCTTAACCCAAAACACCTGTGATGGAACTTGTGCACAAATTATCTTTTCTTCATTTCAAAAATGGCTCTTGCAGTATCCGTTATGGACTCCTTAGCAGTAGTCAAATCAGTGTATTATCTCCCATCCACACATCTATCTGATCTTCACTTATTTTCAACCTGTGATTAACTTTGATTCTGGTACTGTGAAATTATGGATTATATGACTCTAAATTATACTAGAATTCTACCCTTTTTAGAAACTGATCATTTAAAACGTACAGAATTCACCACCCAGCATACAGAATAAATCATTTTTATATGAGATTTTAAGGAATGTGAGGAAGATAGAATCTTGTCTACTTAAATTCTATATATACTTAAATTTACTATAATCTTAAATTAAGTATATTGTAATCTAGCTACAAATTTCAACTTTGTTATACTTTGATGAAAAATTTGCATCTTTTGTAGTTTTATTGTAAAAGCGCAGACCTGTTGCCAGAGTTAAGTATACAGACTTGAAGTATCACAAACAGAAATTTAGCGTTCCTCCTTATTACTTTCTTGTTTTTCAAATGGTTTACATTGCTTTATAAATTCAAACAAAAATAAGGAAAAGTTGGGATTTTAAACTATTTTTTAAGTATTAAAATTTTCTTTTAACTGTAGAGAACAGGATAAGATTTTTGAGTGATTCTTCACAGTAATTCTGGGGTTCTGTTTAACAAATGAGGTTTGGCGTACAATACCTTGGCTGGACTTTTCTCTTCTCTTCTTTTTACTGACATTTAAAAGAGTAATCTAAAAAAAAAGCCACTTTGCCAGTATTATATATTGATAATTATATATTATTGGTAATGTGTGAAAATCAAAGGAAGGGACAAATGTAATAATATGTACAAACAAGCATAGGATTCTGTGGCTCATAAGTAAAGGGGAAAAAAAAGACGGACTGGAAAAATGAAATCCAGGAAGGGCTATTATTAGTAGCAGTACCCTGACACACTGATATGAACTATGAGTTGAGAGTTTTCTGTGGATAAGAAACGTGCTTATGGCCAGGAATGGTGGCTCACGCCTGTAATCCCAGCACTTTGGGAGGCCAAGGTGGGCCAATCACAAGGTCAGAAGATCGAGACCATTCTGGTTAACACAGTGAAACCCCATCACTACTAAAAAAAAAAAAAAAAAGAAAGAAAGAAAGAAAGAAAGAAAGAAACGTGGTTACAACTCCTGGTAACATATAGCAGTAGAAGAAATCCATTTTTCTATATGATTTGGGTATGTTAGGGATAAAGAAGTTTAAAGGGGATAGAGATTTTTTAAAGTGTTGACATTCTTTCTAAAAATTTTGCAGAAGATACTGTCGTGCCCCACAGTTTGATAAAGTGACGGGGCTTAGAAAAGAAACGGGATATTTGGTCAGAAACATTGGCAGGATAACTAAAGTCATGCAGGGGGAGAAACACAAACCCTTGAGAACCCAAGCTCATGAGGGTCCAGGAAGTAGGGCCTGAGGACAGAGAAGCTGAGAACTGTAAAGCAGCATGGCCAGAGGTTTGTGCCCAGTTGTGGAAGCTGTCCAGAATGCTGAAATGTTTTATTGCATGGAGGGCAGGACTGAGGTGATGGAAAATGATTAGTTTCCTTCCATGGGACATCACTCTGAAATGAGGGGCTTGCTGTCTCGGGCATGACAAGCCCAACAAATGTGTTTTACTTGGTCCCTATTTTCAGCCGCTAGAAATATGAATCTCACGCTAGGGATTGTAGTTTACCTCCACAAAAGCACTTACTTTTTAATAGCTCTTGTCTTTATATATAGCACCTTTCCCCTGAGGTCCTATGAACTTTACAGACATCATCTGTCACATGCCCCAAAAAGATTGGTTAGCAGTTGGTCTTATAGCCCTCATTTATTTTAAGAAAGTAGAAACATTCTTTTCACAAAATCATGAGAACAGTGAATTATTTTTCTTCTTCTTCTCCAGTTATTATGTGACTTTTTAAAATAAAAATTATACATATCTTAAATGAAAGAATCTTTTCCTTCAGAAGCCTGGGGGATTTTAGTAAAACTATAGGGAAGCAGAATTTCAGCAGAAATCAACCAAAAACTTTAAAAACTCTTTCTTTGTGTTACAACATCAATGACAAAAAGCTTTTAGATGTCAAACACATTTTAGTTTGTTTCACAGCAGTGAAATTTTAGTATTCTGCATTTTACCTATAGTAATTAAAGTGGTCTTTGAAACTTAGTTACTTGGGAAACTTACTGAGTATCTAAAGGAGATACTCTTTTACCAGCTACTATATTATTCCAAATTTTTTTTTTTTTTTTTTGAGATGGAGTCTCGTTCTGTCGCCCAGGCTGGAGCGCAGTGATGTGATTTCGGCTCACTGCAACCTCAGCCTCCCAAGTTCAAGTGATTCTCCTCCTTCAGACTCCTGAGTAGCTAGGACTAGAGGCATGTGCCACCACACCTGGTGAAGTTTTTGTATTTTTTTAGTAGAGACAGGGTTTCACCATGTTGACCAGGCTGGTCTCAAACTCCTGACCACAGGTGATTCACCCACCTCGGCCTATCATACAGAAAATCTATTTGTTAAATATTTGACCTTCCCTTTTGATTTGTACATGAACCTATCAAATGATCATAGGCTACTTCCAGGATCTTTGGATCAGTCTAGTACCAGCAAAATAGAAGAAAAATAAATTATTCGGCACCTAATAAAGAAAGTGAAAAAAAAAGTGAACTATATTTTCTAAAATATGCAGTAGAGAACTGATACTGAGATACCTAATGTAATATGCCATAGTAACTACTTCTGCAGGAACACATTTTGAATGCTGCTACCACAAAGAAATAATAAACGTTTAAAATGATGGATATGATAATCACTTTGATTTGGTCATTACACTTTGTACACATGCATTGAAACACCACATTGTACCGCAAAAATATGTGCAATATTGTTTCAATTATAAATAAAAAGTAAATTTAAAAATGTGGAGTTTTAGTATTTGGGGCTTATTTTCTTCACATATGAAGGCTGATCATAAAGCATTCTTCTGAGTAGAAGGAAGCAGAATTTTTCTTCACCATTTTTTCATGTATCTGGCTATGGCCAGAAGGCCATCTAGCCTGCCCCACATAAGGGACGAGTTACAAGGTGAAATCTTACACCACCATGATTCCTTGCTGGCCTCCAGAACAAAAGCATCCTGAACCATTTGCATGCAAAATAATAGCTGGTTTCCAAGAGTGTTTTCTTGTGCTCAATCTAGGTCAGCAGTGTCATCTGACCTCATAGCATAAGTACAACTTCCATATTTCTATCAGTTGTGTTACTTCAGAGAAAAATAACGTGAAGAATACTTCTACATATAAACATAACTGGTACCTGAGAGTAATAAGAAGCGTGTCTGAAAGGATCAGGGACATTGGGAATTGAAAAAGCCAATTCAACATTTCTGAAATTAAGAGAGAAGCAACAGCTGCCATGTACTGAAGACAACTATTTTACCAGTTGATTTGTATACATCTTATTTACTCCTCACAGCAAAGCAACTGTTATCCTCTTAAAATAAGGCTCAAAAAAGAGTCAGATTTTTAACTCAGCCTTGTCACACTACTAAAGTAGTATGCTTTTCCTCTAAGTACACAGTAGTCCACTTTTTAGAGATTGGTGAATACTTTCATCTTGGGTTCCTGTATAAATATTTTCACCTTGAGAAGAATGGAGGAAAAATAGCCTGTCAGTGGCATACGTATTGTAGTTTCCAAGAATAATGTTATAGCTGCTTCTTTCGTTAAGTTCAGGATCAGACTTTCCTTAGTAAGTAAGTAGGAAGATGAAGACTCAATACTTCTTATTAGCCATAAGAAGGCAGGTGGCTTCCCCAGTTCCTATTCCACTCTAATTGAAACTTAGATTCAATTACTGTCACACTACAGAGAAATTAGCATACATTTTTAAGGAGTGGGGATATATAATTTAATTGTCAAAGTAGTATTAGTCTAATCCAAATTTTGATTGCCACTTCCAATATATACTACTGGATTTGATGGTTAGATGCCTTTGTTTTTTGTTTGTTTGTTTCTGTTTTGGTTTTCCTCTCTCTCTTATAATCTTATTACCCGCATGCCAAAATTTAACTCTCAGCAGTATAGATACACTGTGGTTGCTCATGCCTTATAAGGATTAAAGGTTCTCTTTTCTTCTCACTTGTGCTCTCTGCTCAGGATACAAATACCAGCACTACTGCTAGTTTTGCAATATATCTTTGAGAGATATGTCAACAATAAGTTAAACTTAAGTAGAAAGAAAAGAAAAGAAAGAGTCAACCCTAGTGTATGATGACAATAAGTAGTATTTTATATTTTTCATGATCCTAAATTGATATTACCATGAAAATATTTACCCCACAGATCATCAGTTTAGCTAGAGTCTAGAAGAGAAAATATAACAAACAACAAAAACTAAAAAATATTTCTGACTTTGGCATTTGTTTGGTAAGACTGGTGCTCTATAGTTACTGTTCTGAATTAGGGAAAATCAAAAACAGAAATACAGATGTAGCCAAGCACTTCTGAACCCCTTTTCATTAAAAGAAACCTTAAAAATTAGTAAAATATATATTTTGCCAGATAGTGAACCACAACTAACTCCTGTTTGTAACTGCTTACTTTAAATCAATAATTTTAAAACCTTTTTTCATATATGTTTTTTAGTTGCGATGCTGAACTTTGGATAAGCAAACTATGTTAACCATATGGCTCTCATTCAAATATAAATAAACTAAATTAAAACAAAAGCTAAGACTTCCGAATTAAGTTATTGTGATCTGCCAGTGTAAGATGTTCTTAAGTATGATCAAACCTGCAATTCTCCCCTTACATATGTTACCTGCTTTGGGACTTGAAGAAGAGAACTGTCGTTTCTTAGTAACTAGACTATGCCAAATGTTTCAGATATTATTCTTTTTAAAATGTTTACTGCTATGTAATTATCCTAAGAGGACATAACAAAGAGATGCAAGTCTTCAAAAGAAAAAAAGACTATTTTTAAAATATTGTTTATACAATGTACATGATAAAACAGCAAAATTTAGTCTTTCAATTTATTATTGAATATATTCTATAATCAATAACTATAAAGAGAAATTATTTCCTGCCTAAGAATCATCATACAAGACTAAATTAAGAAGAGGGGGTTTGTTATCAAGTTCTAAATAAAAAGATTAAATTTGACTAAATTTCATGTTGAAGTGAATCATCAGCAGATGAAAAGTTTCTTTTTCTCCTTTCCTATTTATTAATTTATCAAATTAACTATAATTACACAAAGAGACAAAAGAAAAGGTTGATTTAGAAAATAAAAAATGTGACAGAATTACTGTTACATATTGTGGACCACATCACAATTAAACTCCAGGCAGAAAATATAAAAACCCAAAAATAATTCCCAACAGATACAGCAAAAATTCAATTCTCTCCCTTATAATCATTTTTAATGGCATTGTTTTATTTGGAAATTATAACAATACAATTATTTTTCAGTTCAGAATTTATAAAAGACTAATTTAATTTGTAAGAGTCAGCATATAAGAGGGTGGCTCTGAAAACAAATCGTTTTCAGATTTATTCTTAAGCTACATTTACTCGTGTACAAAATGGGTTAAGAAGAAGTAGATATTTCATTTAAAGAGCTTAGCAAAATGGTTAACACTGAGTAAGCTCTCAGCAATGTTAGTTTCCACTAATGTTATTTATTTGATTTCAGTTGTCCATCACAGGAAATGCATGGTTTAAATTCTTACTGAAAATGAATTAAAAATATACCTAGAAAGTTAAACCTGGATTAACTATGTAGAATTTAAAAATACTAAATATTAGCATGAAAGAACAAATTGATATTGGCAAAAGGTATTGCTGAAATCAGCGTATAAAAAAGAGGATATTTGTATAGACAGAAAATAAGTTGATAAGAAGAATGTTTGAAAATACATGGAGTATATTTTATGAAAATTCTATATGGCTAATAAGAGAATTAACGAGATCTCTGGTTGAACCAAGTAGAAATTTAACAGTGATCCGTTATTTATGTTCAGTTACTCCTGCCATGAAAGACATTTTGCTCATTTGTATGCAGTGGGCAAATGACAAAAAACTAAAGCATACAGGGAAGATTTATGTTCTCCGATGTGCTTTAAGACATTACGCGAGTTAGAAAACCCATGGGTCACAGCATACGTGGGTTTGGAAAATTAACAAATACTGATTTCAGACCCCAAGGGAAATCTATGTCATATTTATTTTCAGTAGAAATCTAGTCATGTTTACCATAAATGTACAGGAATTCTCAATGACACTTTTGCTAAACATTCACATTAAAATGACCAACATAGTTGTTTCTCTTAGCCACATCTTTTAAATATTTCTCCAAGGCTTGATTTCTTGCAAAAAAAAAAAAATTTTTTCAGAAAGTAACACATGGCCATAGATAATTTATGTTTTGATGTTTTTGAAATTTGATGAAAAAATTTGATAAAAGTAGAAGGCACTCTAAAATGTTATGGAAAAATTTAGATTGAGTTTTATGTTTTGCTATGATACTAAAGCATTTAGTATGGCACTTAAAAAGAAAATACAATCCTGCTAAATGCTGTAAAAAGAACTCTCTAGAAATCTTATTATAGATTTTCAACTATGAATTTATATTTGATCCCTAACACAATTACTTGAGAATGTGTATATGCCTGGGTATTCCATGTCTACACACCCATGCATGCGCACAGAAAAACATGTCTAACTTTCTCGCTTCTCTTTACCAGTTTCTCCATCACTATTTTTATACCATATCTTAAGTTGGGGTTTGAATGTAACTGTTTAATACCAGCCTCCTCTAAGACAATGCATTTCCATTCACTGTACCCTCTCTACATATAGTGTTTTTTTATACATGAATATAATGCTTAAAGTATAAATATATGCTTAAAGATTACAATTGGCGTACCATTCCATGATGCAGCAAGGTTGTAAGTGACTGTAGAAATTACCTGAAAATTTACATTATGCTGTATAATTCCTAGACAAGAAGTCAACTAAATAGTGAATTCTTCAAGTCACATAGAGCTTATTCCTCACAGAACAAACAATTCTAAGGCCATTGGCTTCCATTATTCAGGCTTTTTTTTTCTTTTGTAAAGAGCCCTCAGTTTGCCTTTTATGCACATTGATTTAACTTGTGGACTGTAGAGAAAAAGTTCAATTTTATTTATTAATTTCATTTCTTCAGGTACTGGAAGATAACTATTCTTCTGCTGTCTTCCTAATTTATTCTTAAATATTAATCCAGAAGTCAAAGCTAATTATCCTTAAACATTAGACAATACATAAAGAACTACTTATTTATAACAATATTTATCTAGAGCAAATCATAAGTGTATATCTTCTTTTTTCCTTTCAGAACCTCCAGCAAGATATGTGATTCTTTCAGTTTCTTGGATATAGATACTCTCTCATTTGTTTATTTAAAACCAATTGTCATCACCATAAATTCAGCAAAAGGGGAGCCATATGGTTTTATGAACAAAAATGACTTAATTACTTCAAAAGATAAGATTCAGATAAGAGAAGGAAATATTATCAAATCTTAGAATGTTTAAAAGATCCTCAGATAAGTGGACATAATTCAACTTTTTGAACTTAGATAAATAATAATGAGAAACTGTAGTCAAAACAGCAGGAGAAAAAGAAAAATATCACCCTTGATCTTTGAATTTCTTCTGCTACTTATTAGCACTGTCAGCTGATATTCAGATTACCCAGCCATATAGATCATCTAACCCTTGACACAGATAAATTAAACCTCTGACAACACAGAGGCTTAATTTGGAGCTCTTTCCCTGAGGTAAAAACCACTCTCTTAGGGATACGAAGAATAACACAACAAACTTAGGCAGATACTTCCATTTAAAAATAGCAGATTCTAGGACTTACTAAATTTAAGTAGATATTATATTAAGAACTCTGCATTTCTCACACAAATACACTTAAATTTTATAAACCTAAAAGAATATTCAGTTGTAAATTATATCTTTGTTTAATATATAATCACATGTGGACTTTAGATACTGGAATATATGTTTCTAATTAGGAATATACTGCAATTCAAAAGATGTGGCAATTTTGGAAAAACTGAGTTTAACAGAATACATTTAGGAAATATTACTGGATATTTTAATTTGGAAAAGAAATGTTATCAGTATGTTAAATTACTGTGCAGGTAGGAATGAAAAACAACCCAATGTTGAAGAAAAAGATGAATCCTGTTCTTTGTTAACATAGCTGTAACAGTTGTCAATTACTGGGAATGAACAACAACAACAAAAATTATCACAGGTTGAAAAGGAGAGAACACAGCAACATCCTGGGTAATGAAATGTAAAATTACCCACTTTCAAGATAATTGTCCTGATAACAAAAGACTTTATTTGAAGTTTGCAGAATAATATTGGCGAAAATAAAAGAGGATTAAACTGTTGGTACTTTTAGAAAATCTCTGATTTTCTAAAATCTAAATCTCAAAATCTAAAATCTCAGCTTTCCCAGCATTTTTTGGGAAATACCATTTACATGGTGGAGATTTTATATGGTTTGGTATAAACATCAGCACAACATGTATTAGGGACCATTGGACCCTACTCTTTATCAAAGACTACTAATATTTATTTGATCTTGTGTTCTATGAACATTAAAATCCTGCTTGTAATTCAATTATCTTTGTAAGAATCCATTCTACTGTTTAACGCTTACTAATAGGTTTATTAACTCAAATACTAGTAATTTGTCCTGAGGCATTTTAAACAGGAGTTTTTATGCTAATGTTGGCCAGCCTTTAATAAATTAGCCCCATATATAATCCTATTGCATTACGAAAAGCTTGTTTCCCTTATTTTCATTGATTAAATTAGTAATCTCCAAAAATATGTTGTTTTTCTAAGAACAAAATGGGTTCATTTCTATTGACTTCACACCCTAGATTGAAACAGGTTAAAACTTTCTTATTAGTAATTATTTTATCAATCAATGTTATTAAACATGAGCTTAATAACATAACTGCCTATATACTCTGCTGTCAACTCAAAGTTTCAGAATATACATCAATCTGACCTTTTCCCTGTGGACTATCACTTGTGAATTTATCTAAAATGTATTTAAATCATCTGCAAAACCTCCACAATAAAAGAACTAGTCCCAAGTTAAAGGAGTGATAACCAGAGCTAATGTAAGTGAAAAGTCTGTGCAATCTCTAGTCCAATTTATCATACAGAACTTTATTTGTGCCCTACCATGTGCCAGCTACTATCATCTAATACAACTTCACATACCTTGTGAGGTAATTACTATCACACTCATTTTATTGATGCAATGCAATGGCTAGAATGGTAAGTATTTTATCAGAGCCCAGATTTTAATCTAATTTTCCTAATGATTTCTTTTTAAAATGTTTATTTCCAGAATGTAGCTATCTGTTCATTTATCCTCCTCATTTAAATATCAAAACTTTAAATTCTAAGTTACTGTAAGCAATGTTTCTTTATTTTACATTTAAGTATCAGTTACCATATAATTTAATTTGACAGTTTAATACCTCTGAAATCTTTTTTTTTTCTTGATTTGGGTACAAAATTTAGTGAAACTTTAAACTTTCTGACTTTAAACCTGAAGTTTTACCTTGATGTGGTTGAAAATTATGCTGACTTTGTTTTCAAAATGGCTCTTAAGTCCTACTTCTAAAAAATAACCTTATAATGTTTCTTGGACATTAAACAACTCTCTGACAAAACGACATTTTGATGACTTGAATACAAATGAATCAGAAACATACGGATTGAATTTTTCTTGATGTATAAGCAAGTTTGAATAGAAAGAAAAAAAGTCACTGGCAAAATTCATTCTGAGTATTGCCAAACCGAAAATGTCTGAAAACATAGGGCTTTTTAAAAGACATTCTAATGAACCCCAAAATGCTATCTTTGTTTTTCAATCTCTAAATTATTCTATAAACCCAAGTTTGAAAAAAAGAATTAATCTACTTGGAAGGCTTAAGCTATATAAAGCATCAAACAACGGAAAATTATAGTGTTTGGGGGGAAAACTCAAGTCTTTAAAGTTAGATTAAATTGCTATCTGTGTAATAAACTATGTGCATATGTGTGTAGGAAAAATCATTACTGTAGATTTATTAGCAATGTTAATAAAGACCTAGTATGTCAGTTAATTAATGTATCATTATAATGTAGGGAACTAGAAATCTTACAATAATTTAGGACAGATTTAAGCCTACTCATTTGCTATTAAAAACAAAAATAGAATTTATTTTATCATAGAGGTTTATTAACCACCATGAGAAAGTGCTTGAGAACTTTAAAACCAATTTTGTAAAATTGGATATAACATCTTGTCTGGAATGTCTAAATTTTGCCATTAAGAAGCGGCAATATATTTTTTCATTTGCTTGCTCATATGTTTGTATTATTTTGCTGAAACAAACATATGGAGCTCTGAGAATTATCTATTCAGCATGAAAAAATAATAAAATATTCTTGAACTCTCTTGCCAAATACATTGCAGTTCATTTGTCAAATTTCTAAAAAGAGTATTTCATAAACTGACATAATTTCCACAGGCTCTCTGAGGAATCAAAATGCTACTTTTGATTTCAGCAGCCTTTTGATTCCCAAAATATATTTAGACCTTTTTGGTATTTTTTCTTCACAGGGGCAGGCTAAACAAAATTTAATAATACACATCACTGACTTTCTCCTTTCCTTATGATTTAAACTATTTAATTTCTGTATTGTGGTTTGCTCTACAAAATTCTGCTCCTATGTTACATTAAACTGGTTTAGTTACTAATTCCAAAACTCACAGTTTGGAATGTCTTCTTAAGAGGAACATGTTCAGTGGCAAGTGAACTACAAGACCTTTTTAATTACAAACTCACTCAATTACCATTCAAGACATTTTCAATACCTACGACCTGCATTGTGCCACGCACTGAGGGTACAAGTGCGAATCAGTGATACAAGTCCCATGACCTCATGAAACTGACATTCATTCAAACCTGTAATCACAGTGGTGTTACTGTGATTGATTAAAGTAGTAAGTTTAGTTCTTTTTTATGGCTGACGATCAAGCTACAAGAGAATATTACATTTAATTTAGATTTCATATTCCTTACATGATTTGTTTACAGATCACTTGCCTAATAGCATCTGCAATCACATTTTACACATGAAAGTTGTTCTAGCCAATCCTGGACTGTTAAATTTTTCCAGAATATACCACGCCATTTTGACATAGTGTGCATTTACTTACTGTTTCTTCATCCAGGAATGAATTATCCTGCCCTCACCATCACTTCGCATACTTCCATGACTTCCCTTCCTCTTCATCTGTATTTCTTACGAATCTAACTGCTGACCCAGTTTCAAGGCCACCGCTACCATGGCTCTTTTGGCTCCATCCCAGGTGTCTTTAGCCATGTATGTTCTGCTTTCCTATGGTGTCTTTGTTGTATCACTATTTTTCAGTATTAGGGCACTTTGTTATTTCTAAAATTAGCTACCTATATCTGTCTCTTAGGTGATATGCTTTTGTAACCCGCTACCTTGCATGCACAGATACTCAATAATTATATGTTGGACAAATGGATAAATGAATAATAGTTTACAAATGAATTTGAAAGCAGACTTTCCTATCATCCTTTCATGATTTTCAACTCCTTTTGCTTAGAAGAAAACGTTAGGAATATATTACTGAAAATAAAAGATGGTCTGTCTGCTCTGAAGCAATGTCACATTGAGAACACAAGCAGTGGTAATGAGTGAAGCTGTAATAAGCTGAAGCATCTGGTTATTCATATTTATAAGGAAATGTCACATGTATATTCTCCATGAAGTTGCAGTTAATAAAACTAAGGTGCCCAGAGAATCAGTTGCTTTCCCAAGGCCCTATCTCTTCCACCTCTGGTTAAAATCTGTTTTAAGTACTGCCTAAAAGCAAAAAGCCAGCTAGCCTAGCATGTTTAACCATTTGAAAATTCTTCAAATTAGACAATATCAAAGAGATAAGGAAAAGCAACAAAAGGCTGTATATTTCAAACCAAACTCTCAAATATGGAATTTGGAAACCTTTTAAAGGAGTAAAACATTAGTTTACTCTAGGCTAAAAAATAACATACTAGTAATTTAAAGTAAAATTACCCATGTAATATAAGAGAAAATTAATCATAGAGAAAGGGAAAGTCAAAATATAGACTAGTTCTCAGAGAGAAAAAGATAAATTGAAAACAACATAGAAGTTAAATTATGGAAATAGTAAAAGAGAGAACCAATACAAGATAAGAGTGGGGGAAAAAACAAAAAGAGAAACTTTAGAAAGTCCACGTGGAGCAAGAGGGAAGATGGAAATTAAAAGGAAACAGGCTGATCATATTTCATAGATTTCTTGATTTGTTTAGTTAGACATTTCAAGCATATCCCCAAAGAGGAGAGTGGGAGAAGCACATACCACTAATTTCATTTTTCTTGTTTGGGCCACATACCAGGGAAGGAACGATTGGCTTACCTCCCCAGTGCCAATTTCCCAGTCACATTTCTGACGATAAATGTACAGTAGCTTAACATTGTAAGAATTCTTGGAAGATTATTTAAATTTGTGCTTTACTCAGTCTACATTTATAATGCTTGAACTCTGAGGATCCTTTAATGATAATCGTAAAGCCATAATTGTACTCTAACCTATAATCCAGAATATTTGAATTGTTTATGAAAATTCAACATTGTAATTAAAAGCTATGGAAAAATCTGGATTTGAGAGCATAGGGAAGGTCTGAACCTTTGCCTATAATACTTTCAGTAAGAACTTTCTTTTTCTAGATCAAGATTTGAGACCCTGCCGGGCGCGGTGGCTCACGCCTGTAATCCCAGCACTTTGGAAGGCCAAGGCGGGCGGATCACGAGGTCAGGAGATCGAGACCATCCTGGCTAACACGGTGAAACCCCGTCTCTACTAAAAATACAAAAAAATTAGCCGGGCATGGTGGCAGGCGCCTGTAGTCCCGGCTACTCGGGAGGCTGAGGCGAGAGAATGGCTTGAATCGGGGAGGCAGAGCTTGCAGTGAGCCGAGATTGCGCCACTGCACTCCAGCCTGGGCAACAAACAGCAAGACTCCGTCTCAAAAAAAAAAAAAAAAAAAAGATTTGAGACACATAAAACACGCACTAGACTAACCCTTTAATATATTCAATTTGTGTGTGAACTTCATTCCATATATACAATCTTTGCAGTCACAGCATCGGTAATGGTATTATCCATAGGCTATGAAACTGGCTGCAGGTAAAACAACGCCATAGTGAAGTCTTAAGCATTTATAGCAATAAATCTCCTTGAAAAAGGTCCAAGACAGACACAGCTTTTACTTACCTCTGTGGTTTATTAAACAAGGCTTTTGTGTAACACCGCAATGAAAAATGAGGGAGGTAGACTGTAGGCCTAATGTTTTTCTTGCCTGATTCTGTGACAACAAGAAGCAGTGAACCTTAAATAAGATACGTTCTCTTATTAATGATCTTTTTAAAAATTATCCTCCCTGTCCCTGGTGATAACATTTTTAGGGTAGAGAATAACAGCACAATGTAGATCTCCATGATGTTTTTTATAAATATTTAAAATTAAATATTAAGTATTTAAAGGTAGGACACCATTAAATTATGTCTTATCCTCCTATCATGACAAATATAATTTTAAATGACCTGCAAGTCTAGATTTGAGTTTAGAGTGTTTGAACTTTGAGTGATCAAAGGGCAACAAAGATCTGAATATATTGGCCTTGGCTTCCTGAGCCTTCTGAGCAAATATGCCAGTATCACCATCACCACAGTCTGCAAATTCTGTTCCATGTGTCTGAATTGCCTGCCCCCCAACTTCTTCCCCTAATCACATCTTCGTGTTTCAGATTATAGCTCAAATCTAGTCACCATCCTATGTTCACAGATCCATTGAACACCTCAGTGTGCTGTGATATGCATTCACTAATACTATTGTGTTATTACTACCTCGTGCATCACTCAAATGCAAGTCTCATAAAGCCATCTGCATTGGCTCACTTTTATATCTCCAGAATCTCACCAAGTGGCTCTTTTGGCTCCATCCCAGGTGTCTTTAGCTGTGTATGTTCTGCTTTCCCATGGTGTCTTTGATGTGTCACTATTTTTCAGTATTAGGGCATATAGTAGGTGCCCAGTAAATACTTGTGAGCATAAGAATTACTTCTGGACCTTCTTAAAAGTGAAGATTTCCCACAGACCCTTCCACAAGTACTTCTGGAGCAGTAGTCTTTGATCAAACATTGCAATATGTAAAGAACTAACTTGGTATTATTTTTCTGCAGTTTTTTGTGACTCATTCCATCCCCATCTCCTCTCTCCCACTTTGTATTATTGGTAGCTCCTTTACTTCCCTAGTGTCTTTTTTGATACATATTTATCATTGTTTTAGTCGAGCTTTAAGACATAATTTGCATATAGTAATATTTATTCTTATTTGATGTACAGTTCCATAAATTTTTACAAATCGTATAGTTGTGTAACCACCACAACTATATTATTTTGGTATTGTTGTATTAGAGTAGTGCTACTTACTTACATATACAGGTCTTCAACACTAGACTAAAAATTCCTTGAGAACAGTAGCAGTACCTACGTCTTCTTTACCTCCCACCCCAGAGCCTGACAATAAATGTATTGGATAAATGTGTTCTGAATTGATTAACTAACTAATATAGTTTTGCACTACCCTATAGAATGCGTTGACTTGGACATCATAAATATAAAACATATATTGGTTATATCACATAAAAAACGATAACTCTCAATGTG
Organism: Homo sapiens; assembly: GCF_000001405.40. Classification (NCBI taxonomy): domain Eukaryota; kingdom Metazoa; phylum Chordata; class Mammalia; order Primates; family Hominidae; genus Homo; species Homo sapiens. The sequence continues at coordinate 55,794,236 of NC_000006.12, forward strand.
TCAAACAAGCTTCACAAAAAAATATATAAAATTCAGTGCTTACCATCCCCTGTTTCTGCACAGAGCTGTAAGCCCAAATTATTCTGGGGATTAATCACCCAATGATTGCTGGTCACAGTGATATCAAAGACAAGCCAACCCACATCTAAAGCTTGGGCCTTTCTTGTGTCTAACAAGAACAGATCTGCATCCCTAAAAAGAAAAGGAACAACAAAAAAAGTTAAAGGTTTAAATGAACATCATTATTTCCTAGACTTAAGTGAAAACATTACAAAAGCAGTTTGTAAAATAACAGCAGTTAGTTAAAGAACAAGAGGAACAAGTGACTCAAGTGATGAGTAATAAGATACAAAACCTTTGTTACTAGGCTCCCAACCAAACCTGGTACAAATTAGTAATCTCTATCTGAAAGTAATTTCCATTTTCCTGCTTTTCATTGGCCTTTATAAACTGACTTAGTGCTCTTAATTTGATCCCTGGTCATCAGTGTTCCCGGTAACCACCATCTGTAAGTAGTCCTCAAAACAAAGGATTAAACTGAATAGAGTCAAATGAAAGTAGTTGTTCCAGTTTGGATGAATGTGAATTCTCAAATGAATGGAACACAGGCAGGATGTAATGCAATCATCTGTTTTAGAAGGAGTTTTCTAATATTTTTTCTATTTTTATTATATAATTATTTTATGGATACCAAACACCAAGAGAGTATTACAGAGTAATACCACTGGTTTAAGGATAAATCCCATGAGTTGAGTGGCACAATCTATGAGAACTTTTGTTAATATCTTCTGCAAGCTTAAGTCCCCTTGGGACAGTAATGGCTGTGAATATGAACTTACTTATATATTTTAGAATAATCTGCACAGTGTTACTGTTATTAACGTTTATGGTTGTATTGCTGAATCTTAATTTTAGCATTATATTTATAAATGTATAAACATTTGTTGAATTATAATGAATAATTTATTATTCTCTTACTACAGGCAGTTTCTGAGCTAAAATTACCTATTTCTGACATTTAATCTTTACAACAGCTCCTTAGTATTGAAAACATTCAGGCTCAAATAGGTTAACTGTAAAACACTGTATCTCCCTCAAGATAGAGTAGAAATAACACCATTATGCATTTTATGACCTTTGATATTGTATTGAATCTATTTAAGAGCATATTATTTATATAGAAAACAATAGAGCTATTCATTGTTTAATATTATTATACTAGGTTAAATATCAACATACTGTGTTAAATACTATTTTACTGCATTTTCTGTCTGTATACATCATAGAAGTCACTTTAAGGGTGGCTTACAAAATGTGAAAACACATTTTTAATAAATCATACTTTTTTAATGAAAAATACTCAAATTTAAAAGTGAACCATTTTAACAAAAACAAAGTTAAAAAATGTGTATCTTAGAAACTACATCTTCGTTTCTTAACTAGATTTTTTTCTATTAATCTAGAGAAATTCAAATAAATGTAATATGATAAGGAAATAATCTAAATATCCTAATACAAACTATGAATGTTTTATTGTCTTTTCACAATTACAGTCATAGTGTTTACCAAAGGAAGGATTGAAACGCTTGCTTTTTTCACATCTGATATAGGATTCAGTTTTAGATACTGCAGACTTATAACAAGCATATCATACAAAGCAGTAAAATGATTCCTTTAGTTCTCACTAGAATTTGTAGAACCCTTTATAGTCCCAGTGTGATAGCAGGTCAGTTAAATTCTTCCTCTTCCTCCTAAATTGAAAAATCCTCCAAATAAGCAGACAAGAAAATAAGAATTGTCTTAAAGTTTTGAGATATTTGGTAAATATCTCTGAGACCTTAATCTTGGAATTAACTCATTTACACTGTTCACTTCTTAAACAGGAGCAGTCACCCTGTACCTTGGGAAATACTTGAGTGCTACACTGATTTCAGGTCTGCTTTCATTTGAAATATGGCAAAAATGTCCTAATCAATTCTGCAAGGCTCATAATGTCATCCCTTGGCATGATATTAATAAAGACATGAAAAACAAAAAAGAACAAGGAGGTAAACTTTCAGAAGCAAAATTAACAAATTTCTTTTGGTAGTCATTTCAATGATATTTTCTATTATTTTTAAATTGTGCCATCTCTTCAGGAAAAAAAAATTCTCCAAACTCTCCATGTTCAAATCCCAAAACTTTCCAGCATGTCTATGAAGGAGACAGTTCCAGTTTAAATGTATATATATATATTTTTTTCTTATGGAATTTGTATTTTTTTTCTTTTTTTTTATTATTATACTTTAAGTTTTAGGGTCCATGTGCACAATGTGCAGGTTAGTTACATATGTATATATGTGCCATGCTGGTGCGCTGCACCTACCAACTCGTCATCTAGCATTAGGTATATCTCCCAATGCTATCCCTTCCCCCTCCCCCCACCCCACAACAGTCCCCAGAGTGTGATGTTCCCCTTCCTGTGCCCATATGTTCTCATTGTTCAATTCTCACCTATGAGTGAGAATATGCGGTGTTTGGTTCTTTGTTCTTGCGATAGTTTACTGAGAATGATGATGTATATATTTAGAAAAAGCATCAAGAATGGCCTAAATATCTGAATTTCGGTGATGCAAATTGCAATTCATTGGAAAGTAAATCTGGGAAGATGAAGTGGTATGGTCTAAAAAGAGCCATATATTTCTAGTTCACCTCTGAAAAGTTATGAAAGTTTAATTGATTTCATAAGTGCACAGTTTTCTATTAATGGTCAAAGCTATTTTACTTTTGACTGACAAATTATTTAATTTCTCCTTTCTCCTTTCATATACGAAGCTCTTCTGCATTACCTATAGACAACAGAATATGCTTGAGGAGAATCAAGACTATGAGTAATAAACACAGTGGTAATAATTCTGTAATTTTTACTCATATGGCCCCTTTCATAGCAGGTTCTTAAAAACAAGTCCCCCCCAACCCCATTCTGTAGAATGTTAGAGGGGATTTATTTTGAAGTATAAAATTTCTCCACTAAAATATGGCACTTATACTACCGGGAATAGTAAAATATCCTAAGTATTTCCCATGAACAGTATAAAATAAACTTGTTAAAGTTGTCCTGCCTCACCAGTTTTGCTTCACTTTTTAAAAGAAATTCTTACAATATCCAATAAAAGAACATTTTAAATAGTAATGCATTTAAGAACAGTGCGATAGAGAAAATACATGTATAAAGAAAAAACATATTTATTTGTAGCAAAAATAATTCCATAAATCCTTTAAATAAGGTGCAGTTACAATACTTGAAATTAAAGCCTACATTGTAGCAAAGAAAAAGCCCATTTACATGAATGTGCATAAGCAAATATTTCAGAATGGTGTTTGTGATTATTTTCTTTTCTTTTTTTTTTTTTTTTTTTTGAGACGGAGTCTAGCTCTGTCGCCCAGGCTGGAGTGCAGTGGTGCGATCTCAGCTCACTGCAAGATCCACCTCCAGGGTTCGTGCCATTCTCCTGCTTCAGCCTCCCGAGTAGCTGGGACTACAGGCGCCTGCCACCACGCCCGGCTAATTTTTTATATTTTTAGTAGAGACGGGGTTTCATCATGCTAGCCAGGATGGTCTCGATCTCCTGACCTCGTCATCCACCCACCTCGGCCTCCCAAAGTGCTGGGATTACAGGCGTGAGCCACTGCGTGTGATTGTTTTCTAAGGCTGTCATAACAAAATACCAGACTAGAGTTTGCAATTGATTTTCTCTCATTTCTGGAGGCTAGAATTCCAAAATCAAGGTGTCAGCAGGGTCGGTTCTTTCTGAAACCGGAGGAAAAGATCTGTTCCAGGCTCTCTCCTTGGCTTGTAGACTGTTGTCTTCTCCCTGTATCCCTTCTCATCATCTTTTCTCCTATGCATGTCTTTGTGTCTAAATTTCCTCTTTTCATAAGGACACCAGTCGTATTGGGTTAGGATTCATTCTACTGACCTCACTTTAGGTCAACTGCCTTTGCAAAGACCCTATGTCCAAAAAAGGTCACATTCTGAGTTACTGGAGGCTAGGACTTCAACATCGGGGGAGAGGGCACAATTCAACCCATAATACTAATACTAATACATAATACTAATAAAGCGGGTTTTTTTAAGGTGGGAATGTAAATATTCCTGGATGTGAATAGTCTGTCTTTATTGACAACATAGCACTTATCAAGACTGAGAGGTTTTCAAAAACAAATATGTGAAAGTAAATTTATATTAATAGAAATCATAATGACTAAAATTTGCATTTTCTTTTTCAGGTAAAATTTCATTGTTCATCTTGATTGTGATATAGATCAGTATAATAATTTCCTCTATGGTTAATAAAGTCATCATGCTGTTGTTAAATACAGAGTCAGGTTTAACAGATAAAGTTAGATTTGTAGTATCAAATAAGCTTATCAGATATGAAATATTTTGGAATATTAAGTTTAGCTGCTCAAAGGTGAATAGTAATATATAATATATACATACATTTATTGTCAATACAAATACATTTGAGCAGGTCTGACTCATCATGACCAGAAGTTTAAACATGTCTAGTTATACATGGGCTATTGGTATGTTTGTGTATATTTACTTGCATGAGTGCCTTTTATTTTAGTGAAAGAAGAAAGAGTTTTGCATACATACCTTGAGAATCTTAAAATACCAGAAGGACACTACACTAAAGACTAAACAGCAGGAACCAAAATTCAGCAGAATTTAAGTTACTACCATTAGCATAACTCAACCGAAGATGCTAATTGGTGGAATGAGAATATAGAAGCTATATAGCTAAGAAATTAATATTTATCATCTTTTTATCAATATCAATCTAGTGCTATAAAGATTTGGAGATCAGACAGATCTTGAACAATTAAGGAATTCCTCAACCTCAATTTCCCTGTATATTAAAAATGGTATGACAATCCCTGCCTTAAAATGTTTGATCAAGACCAAGTGCAATACTTTGAATATCTATCTGGTTAAGAGGTAAATTACACTTAAATCTGCAATCTTTTATAGGGTCTGCCATAATACAAATGTCTCTAAATTGCTTCATTTTGACCTATGAGTTTTGGGAAAGTATTATTTAGAGAAGAACATTACCTTCAAATAACCTCTATCAGTGTTAATTTTGTATTTACAAAAAGGGGGAAGAAGAAAAAGAGAGGAGCAGAAAGAGGAGAAAAGGAGAAGGAGGAGGTAGAGAAAACAAGGCACAAAAAGTTTAGAAAGTATTTCTGGGAGTGTTGTTTCAAAACTTCAACTATTGACTGTCTTTAGAAGTTTACCTGTGGAGGCCAAAGCAACTCCATCTTGAAAGCTAATCCACTCTATTGGCTTCTGATTAACTTCTGTTCTGGGAAGCCCTCTAATATTTTCAGTTTATCTATCTTCCTTGTGTAAGAGCAGGTACTTACGCAAATTCTGCCTTTAGGTCAAACAACCTTTATGTTATCATACTTCAATTGTCCTACAGCTCCCTTCTGAACCATCTCTGCTCCCTGGGTGATGGTGTGGGAATCCACCATCTCAACTTGCTGCTGCCCGAGATACAGACATGGCTTCTGTTCCTAAGTCCCTATTAAATATTTCTTCCAAGGAAACTGGTTTTGTCAGCCTGTCTCTTCAGCCTCTCAGATTCCTGGGACTTTGGGGTAGGTTTGCACAGACCTCCCCACAGTGAAACATCACCTTTTTAAAAAGCACTTATATAAGTACCCTTCCCTTATATAAGAATAGAGTTAGAGGTTGCATTGTGGATATAACATTTATGCATTTAAATAAATGCTAAAAAACAACAACAAACACACATGTATACACACACACACAACCTGTGGATTCCTGCACTTTCGATAGCATAGTATTTCCAATGACAGTATCATACACAAATATACAAAAATGCTACTTTTCAAACAACATAGATGGATCTGAAGACGATATACTTATTAACACTGTGATATATGATTAAAAATGTGATTCTAGTGATAAAGGCATAATGTCAAAGATGCATGAGACAAGTTTGAAGAAAAAGCCATCATATATATGTTTTGAGAGTGAAACAAGGAATACTATATTAATCATTTCAGACAACATGTGAATTAAAATATGTATGCGAAATATTAACAAACTATTATAGTTTTGTCTATTTTAAGTGTATTCATTATCTACCTATGCTTATACAAAAAATCAAGTGTATAAACATTCAACTTCTTGCTCTAATTTGTTTGATCTTTTACTTGAGTAAAGGGAATATCATTTGATATGATTATATTATGATAATGTGTTCTCCTTATAATTCGATATATAAGGGATGTGAACAGGCCTAGTAGCACACCAGGCATGTAGTATTGGAAATGTTAACTTCCTCTATTTTTCTAGTCAGCTGAATAAATGGAGTATTCTCATTATAAGACAAAAAAAATTGACCAAGAATGTTTGATGTGAAATCAATGAGTCTGGGATTTTAACTCTGAAAGTGACCAAAATAAATCACAGAATACTAGAACTGAGTGAGATATAAATTACTTAGCCAAACTATTTTTTCATAAGGAAATTTAAAGAGAAATCAAATAATTTTCCATGTTCACTTAGCCAATAGGGGGATCAGAACCCAGTTTTCCATTTTCAGAACACTTTCTCTTATAAAATATCAGCTCCCTTTACTCCCAAACCATAACTCAATTGCTTTCCTTATCTTGAAGAAAAGCACTGATATTTGGACTGGACCACTGAAAGGTTGATCTGAGCCACTAGCCTAAAACAAGTTGGGTAGAAACAGCTAAGAAGTGACTTTGGCTGTCATTTCACAAATCCATCTATCTATTAATTCATTTATTCACTTTTTCAATTTAACGTATTTTCACACTCCATGGTGGTTTTATACTATATCAATTCAACTAAGCTGGAACTACTGTGTATCGTTTGGGATTAGGGTTGGCTGCAAAGGAAATTTGGGTAACATTTAGAAGGTGGCAGCGAAGCAGTAGCCATATTTATGCTTAGAAGACTACCTTGTGGTCAAGTGTTATTGCAACTTAGACATATTGTGGAGATCTGCTGGTTCATCTTATTGGTGTTGAGCATGCAGCTCCTTCAGATCCCACTAATTCTCCCTATTTAGTTCCTCTGAATCTAGGGCAAGGCATCCGCTTCTAAAGGAAAGGACTTGGCGGCTAGAAAGTCAACTGCATCATTGAAGTTGGAGACTTGGAGGTAGGTTCCACTTTGTCCTCATGGGTTCCAGATTATCTTCACAGGTTCTGTTTTGTCCTTGTTTCCCCCAATGCATCTTTCCTTTCTGACTCTGTCCTGTGGACCTTAAGCCCAGCTTCAGATGCAGAGCAACAGACTTAAATAGATTGGTTAGCTCTAGGAATGCATAAGGTCAAATCTCTACCATAAATCCTTGCAGAAGCATTTCCCAGGAGGATAAATCTCCACTTTGCTCTTGGCTAATTATACTGGAACACTTACTTCAGTACTGGAAGGGCAGTACTTCGTTCTCTCTGGAAAGGGTGCTCTGGATATGAATCTGTCTTCTTTGTCCATGATGCTTCTCCCCAAAATTACCACACATGAACTTCCAGAATGCCTTATTCACTTATCCATAGAATTCCATACTGCATCGCTTCTGATAAAAAATGGGCTCATGCTTACGGAAGTCACCGGTCTTCCCATGCTTCCCATCAAAAGGATGGCCTTTTGAAGACTCAGTTATGCCACAAGTTGGGTACCAATATTTTACAAGAATGAACTGATATCCTTCAAGGAAGCTTTATATGATCTAAATCAGTAACCAATATAGCAAGGATGACTGTTTCTCTCATAGCCAGATGTCTCATGGTCTGGAAATCAAGGGGTGGAAATGGAAGTGGTTCCTCTCAACTCACTATCTATGATTCAACTAGCAAAATCTGTGCTTCTGACTCCCAAGACATTGGGCTATGTTGGTCCAGAGCTCTTAGTTCCCAATGGTACAATGCTAACTCTAGTGTCCATGGCAATAGTTCTATTAAATTGGAAGTTGAAACAGCTACCCGGCCACTTCGACTCCTCATGCCAGTGAATCAAGAAGCCAGTAAGTGGTTACTATACCATGTGAATCAATGATTCTAAATATCAAAGGGAAATTGGACTACTACTACCACAATATGAGTAATGAGGAGTATGCATAGAGTACAAGAGATCACCTGGAACACCACTTCGTACTCCCTTGTCATATGACAAAAGTAAATGGAAAATCACAGTTCATTGCAGGCATTATCGCTAATGGCCCAGACACTTCAACAATAAATATTTGATTTACCTTACTAGATAAGGAAAAGTGACCAGCCATGGTGCTTGTCAAAATAAACAGAAAATTGATAGCATAGTAAAAGAAGGAAATTATAAATACCAACTGCAACCATGTGACTAGCTGCAGAAATGAGTATTGTAATATGGTATTTATTCCTTATTTTGAAATTAATATATTTATGTTTTTGTATTAAATATATATGTATTTTTGCCATTACTTTTAATGGCAAAAACCACAAGTACTTTTGCACCTACCTAATATATATTAAATAATTCTTTTTTTCCCCTTTTCTTCCCCATCTACCTCCCATCTAGTATAAGCAGTGTTGATAGTAGCTAATCACATATTTCAGTATTGAAATTACAATACTTCAAAGGGGGAGTATGGCTCAGCTAGAAAAGGAATGAACAACATCCAAAGATGGATTAAAAGGCAGAATTACTTTGCTATTACATTTTTTATAAGTTATGAATGGTGCCGGGTGCGGTGGCTCATGCCTGTAATCCCAGCACTTGGGAGGCCAAGGTGAGCAGATTACCCGAGGTCAGGAGTTCGAGACCAGCCTGGCTAACATGGCAAAACCCCGTCTCCACTAAAAATACAAAAATTAGCTGGGGTGGGGGGGTGGGGGGGGCAGGCGCCTGTAATCCCAGCTACTCGGGAGGCTGAGGCAGGAGAATCGCTTAAACCCAGGAGGCAGAGGTTGCAGTGAGCTGAGATCACGCCATTGCACTCCAGCCTATGTGACAAGAGCGAAGCTCTGCCTCAAACAAAACAAAACAAACAAAAAAAAAAACAGGAAGAAGTTATGAATGGGTATAAAAGATGTATATTAGTGCCAAATTGACAAGGATGGACTGTTGTGACTATGTACATTGTCATATTACCTAAACAGAAATGACAAATTCCAGAATTCCCTTGGGAATTTGTTTGGGGCTGCTTTGAAGTTAGCCATCAGAGAAATCTGCACAGGAGTTGGGTAGTGGAATGGAAGCAGCACCCAAGTTTATGATTGGATAATTGGTAAAGTGCCAGGCTTTTCTGCTGCTCGCATACATTGTCACTGATCTGCTAGCTCACCTTACTGTTGGGAGCACCTGGGCTCTTTCAGCTTCCATTGAGTAACAGCTCCGTCAGCTTCTCCAAATTCTGGCCCACAATTCCTTCTGCAAGATCACCTCCTTCAGCTTCTCTACATCCTAAGCAAAGGAGTTTGTGGAATTCATGGTGAAGCATACCAATCTCCCCTGCAGGCCACGCACATCATTAAAGTTGGAACTCCAAAGGCATGAGAAAGACATGGTTTCTAATTTGTCCTTGGGGCTCCAGCATATCCTGAAAAGTTCTAGTTCTTCTTTTTCTCTCCAATTCTGTATCTGTTTTTCTTCCCAGCTGCCTATGGGAAGCTAACTTTAGACCCATCACAAGATAGAGAAGCAACAGCCTTACAAGAACTATTTAACCAGGTCCCATGATTGCAGAAAGTCAAATCCCTATAATAAATATCTTATTCCTTATGACTCACAATAATTTTATTTTTCTTATCAATCACTATCTAGCTTACTCCCTGTTATGGGTTAAATTGTGTCTTTCAAAAACATATGTTGAAGTACTAGTCCCTCATACTTGTGAATGTGATCTTATTTGGAAATATGCTTGCAAATGTAATCAAGTTAAGATGAGGTAAGCCATATTTCAATATAACCAGTATCCTTATAAGAAGAAGAGGAGAGACACAAAGATAGAGACACACAGAAGGAAGAGAGCCACATGAAGATGGAAGAGGAGATTGGAATTACAGTATCTTCACACAGCCAAGGAACTTCTAGGGCTACCAGAAGATGAAAACGGGAAGGAAGCATCATCCTCTAGAGGTTTTGGAGGGTGCGTGGCCTTACCAATTCCTTGATTTGGGAAACCTAGCCTTCAGAACTGTAAGAAAACAACTTCCTATTGTATTAAGCCATCATAGTTTTTAGTCATCTGTTATGGCAATTCTAGGAAACTAATATATTCCCCTGATTAGGATATTTCACATATTAAATAGGGAATGATCAACAATATCAAATACTGAGGAGAATAAGAAGAAAGAAAAAGTATAAGATCTGGTAAAGAGGAGGCTGATGGTAGATGACTAGTTGAGTGGAGTTATGAAAATCAAATTACAGTGCATTGAGGGGTGAATTAACTATGAGAAAGAGAAGGAATTGAAAGTAAAGTTTTATATCTGTGAATATGGTTATGATGTGGAAAGGACAAATACTGTGGAGTTTGGGGAAATAGGTGCAAACAGTCATGTAAAGGGATTTTTAATGTGATAATCATGAGGCTACTTATAGGATGCATTTAAGTTTGTATGTGGAAGATAGAACTTCTTGCACTATTTCAATGTAAGAAGAGATGTATGTACAGTACAGAAAATCTTCTGGAATAAGCAAATGCTTATTTACCTCTCTACAACACTATCCTTAGAGTTCAAATGCAAAATTTCATTATAAATGAAATCACCTCTTAGCAAGAGACATTGGGTAAACTAATATGCACTGGATGGGATGCCCATTCATCTTTTGATGAAATCTCTTTTATCAAGAGTACTATATTATAGACACATGGCAAAAGTGTTTGCTTGTTTTAAAAATATAATTGAACATTTCTCATTGGTATCAGGTGCCAATAAGCTGTAAGACTCACAGATACTTGATTTTATTTATTTAATTATTTTACTTTAGGTTCCGGGATACTAGTGCATAACCTGTAGGTTTGTTACATAGGTATATATGTGCCATGGTAGTTTGCTGCACCTATCAACCCGTCATCAAAGTTTTAAGCCCCACATGATTAGCTATTTGTTCTCATGCTCTCCCTCCCCTTGACCAGATTCATCCATGTCCCTGCAAAGGACATGATCTCATTCCTTTTTATGGCTTTATAGTATTCCATGGTGTATATGTAGCATATTTTCTTTAACCAGTTTATCATTGATGGGCATTTGAGTTAGTTCCACGTCTTTGCTTTATAGCAGAATGATTTATATTCCCTTGGGTATATATCCAGTAATGGGATTGCTGGGTCAGATGGTATTTCTGGTTCTAGATCCTTGAGGAATCGGCACATTGTCTTCCACAGTGGTTGAACTAATTTACATTCCCACCAACAGTGTAAAAGCATTCCTATCTCTCCACATCCTCACCAGCATCTATTGTTTATTGACTTTTTAATAATCGCCATTCTGACTGGTGTGAGAGATGGTAGCTCACTGTGGTTTTGATTTGCATTTCTCTAATGATTAGTGATGTTGAGCTTTTTTTCATATGTTTGTTGGCCGCATAAATGTCTTCTTTTGAGAAGTGTCTGTTCATATCCTTTGCCCACTTTTTGATGGGGTTATTTTTTTTTCCTTGTAAACTTGTTTAAGTTCCTTGTAGATTCTGGGTATCAGACCTTCATCAGATGAGTAGAATACAAACATTTTCTCCCCTTCTGTAGGTTGTCTGTTCACTCTGATGATAGTTTCTTTTGCTGTGCAGAAGCTCTTTAGTTTAATTAGATCTCATTTATTACTTTTGGCTTTTGTTGCAATTGCTTTTGGCATTTTCATCATAAAGTATTTGCCCATGCCTATGTCCTGAATGGTATTGCCTAGGTTTTCTTCTAGGGTTTTTATGATTTGGGGCTTTACATTTAAGTCTTCAGTCCATCTTGAGTTAATTTTTCTATAAGGTGTAAGAAAGGGGTCCAGTTTCAGCTTTCTGCATATGGCTAGCCAGTTTTCTCAACACCATTTATTAAATAGGGAATCCTTTCCCCATTGCTTGTTTTTGTCTGGTTTGTTGACAATCAGATGGTTGTAGATGTGTGGTGTTATTTCTGAGGTCTCTGTTCTTTTTCATTGGTCTATCTGTCCGTTTTGGTAGCAGTGCCATGCTGTTTTGGTTAGTGCATCCTTGATGTATAGTTTGAAGTTAGGTAGCATGATGCCTCCAGCTTTGTTCTTTTTGCTTAGGAATGTCTTGGCTCTACAGACTCCTTTTTGATTCCATATGAAATTTAAAGTAGTTTTTTCTAATTCTGTGGGGAATGCCAATGGTAGTTTGATGGGAATAGCACTGAATCTATAAGTTACTTTGGGCAGTATGGCCATTTTCATTATATTGATTCTTCCTATCCACAAGAATAGAATGTTTTTCCATTTGTTTGTGTTCTGTCTTATTTCCTTGAGTAGTAGTTTGTAGTTTTCCTTGAAGAGGTCCTTCACATCCCTTGTTAGCTGTATTCCTAGGCATTTTATTCTCTTTGTAGCAATTGTGAATGGGAGTTCATTCATGATTTGGCTCTCTGCTTGTCTATTATTGGTGTATAGGAATGCTTGTGATTTTTGCACATTGATTTTGTATCCTGAGACTTTTTGGAAGTTGCTTATCAACTTAAGGAGTTTGGGGGCTGAGACAATGGGGTTTTCTAAATGTAGAATCATGCCATCTGCAAACAGAGACAATTTGACCTCCTCTCTTCCTATCTGAATACCCTTTATTTCTTTCTCTTGCCTGATTGCCCTGGCCAGAACTTCCAATACTATGTTGAATAGGAATGGTGAGAGGGGGCATCCTTATCTTGTGTCGGTTTTTAAAGGGAATGCTTCCAGCTTTTGCCCATTCAGTATGAATTGGCTGTGGGTTTGTCATAAATAGCTCTTATTATTTTGAGATTTTTTCATCAATACCTAATTTATTGAGAGTTTTTAACATGAAGGGATGTTGAACTTTATCAAAGGCCTGCATCTATTGGGATGACCATGTGATTTTTGTCATTGGTTCTGTTTATGTGATGGATTACATTTATTGATTTGCATATGTTGAACCAGCCTTGCATCCCAGGGATCAAGTCAACTTGATCGTGGTGGATAAGCTTTTGGATGTGCTGCTGGAATCGGTTTGCCAGTATTTTATTGAGGATTTTCACATCGATGTTCATTAGGGATATTGGCCTGAAGTTTTCTTTCTTCGTTGTGTCTCTGGAAGGTTTTGGTATCAGGATGATGCTGGCCCCATAAAAGGAAGGAAGGACTCATCCCTTTTCAATTGTTTGAAATAGTAGCTAAAGGAATGGTACCAGCTCCTCTTTGTACTTCTGGTAGAATCCGGCTGTTAATCGATCTGGTCCTGGTTTTTTTTCGGTTGGTAGGCTATTTATTACTGGCTCAATTTCAGAACTGTTATTGGTCTATTCAAGGATTCAAATTCTTCCTGGTTAAGTCTTGGGAGGGTGTATGTGTCTAGGAATTTATCCATTTCTTCTAGATTTTATAGTTTATTTGAATAGAGGTGTTTATAGTACTGACATGTGTTTATATACTGACATGATGCCAGTAGGAACGCTCCTGTATAGGGTGTCTGATGATCCCTGTTGGAGGGTCTCACCCAGTTGGATGGCATGGGGAGCAGGACCAGTTTAACAAAGCACTTTGACTGTTCCTTGATGGAGGAGGTGTACTTCAGTGGGGGGAGAAACCCACTCTTCTGGGCTTCCTGACTTCCTCAGAACTAGCCAGAGGAAAGACTAAGTCTGCTGGTCTTTGGAGACTGTGACCACCCCTCCCACTAGGGGATCAGGTCCAGGGAGATCAGAGTTCTGTCCCTGAGCACCTGGTTGGAGTTTTAGAAGCTCCTGCAGGAAGGCCCTGCCCAGTGAGGAGGGATGGGTCAAGGTCAGGCCTGAAGAGGCACTCTGTCCACAGTATGCCACAGCTGATGTGTTTGGCTGTGAGGGATACTTCTTGGGACCAAGCCATCCAGTCTCCCTGGGTCCAGCTAAGGAAAAGCACAGCCTGGAGCTATAGAGATGGCTGCTGCCCTTCTCCTGCCATAGGAGGTTAATGTATTAGGCAGTTATCTGTCCCGGTGTTGGCTCTCACCCTCCCCCAAGGACCTCAAATGGCTTTGACAGCAGTCAACCACAGCTGTGGTTCTGGTCACTCCTCCCTCTGTGAGCTCAGCAGGCTTAAGCAGATTCTAGCTTACTGGCTGTTGAGAACCTGCACAGGTCCATGGTTGGGACCCTAGGCACTGGTGGCGTGGGCTCACACGTGGGATCTTCCAATCTGTGGGCTGCACAGTTCCATGGAAAAAGCATGTTTTCCCAGGTTGGATAGCATGCTCACTCACCACCTCCCTTGGCTGGGGGGTGGTGGCCCCTCTGCCCCATGAGGCCCTCAGGTGGGCCACCGCACCCCACTGCTCTTCCTTCCTCTCCATGGGTCACACCAGCTGCCCAGTCAGTTCTGATGACAGAACCTGGATACCTCGGTTGCTGGTGTAGGATTTGCATGCTGTTGTGGTTCTTCTCAATGGGAGCCTCCTATCGCTACTGCTTCTAGTCAACCATCTTGACCCACCCCACAGATACTTTAAAGAGCCACACTATCCATGTACCTTCATGAATCTAGGAACCACAATCATAGATGGAGTTGGTGCCTGCTTAATTTCAACGCTGACTTGCTATACTCAGGCTTTACTTAATATTAGAAAAAAATCATTATGTTCTTTAAAGTCACCTTTCTAAAGTTATCTTCCTTCTTCTTTAAATGAAGATTAAAAGAAGATTAAATGAATATTCTCTAAATGAAAATTAAAGTAATTTCTACCTCAAAAATCTATTGCAAGGATAAAAGAATACACAAATAAAAATGATATACAAATTACTATAATTGCTACTTTCTTAACAAACTACATGTATAGTGTGTAAATGTATATGAGTTGTATGCATTATTCTTGCATCCAACTCATTATAGTCAGAAGTGATTTATGCAATTACAAATGTAAAAGTTATTTAACAACCTGTACTTAGAAACTTTGGAAATAGAAATTTATTCATCTTCTTTAACTTTAGGAATATTTTTGATACATAATCCATAATAAAACCACCTCTCAGTTCTACTGGAGAAAAAAATGGGTTGAAAACTTATAAAAAATAAGTAAAATCATTTATATAATCAAGAAGAAGAGATAAGAAAAGGAATATTAACCCTGGTTGTGGTTGTGGTTTCAATTACATGAATATATGTATATGTGTGTATGCATGCATATATTATATACATATATATATGGAGAGAGAAAGAGAGAGAAAAAGGATACTTAACCAAGAGGATAGCCACATATTTTTTATATTCAAAGAGAAACAAAAAGGAGAAACCAATAGGATAGCCACTCTACTATCTAATCATGAAGCACTTAAACCTGGTCCAGAAAAGCTTTAAGAAATTATCTAGAAGCTACACAGACAAATTTTAGAGGAAAGGATGCCACACTACTTTATTTTCATAAAGTACAAAACTTGTAGTCCACAACGACATCTCCACTTTTCCCAAAGCTTCTATTATTATAACTATTTCACTTTCTTCCATCTCCTTTTTTCCTTGAATAGCTTATCAAGTCCAATAAAAATATAATGATGGCCACCCAAGGAGAAAGCATACATCTCTCTCTGGGTATTTGTCATAAATACCATCATATTATTCAAGAGACTACAAATTAATAATGGTAAATTCTAGAGTTTATAAGGTTCAAAGTTTCCCTCATCAGCAGCTTTTAGCTTATATGGGCTAGAATTTGAATTGGGTTTCAATTCAAATTGATCAATGTTTTCAAATGGTAAATCGCTTTTTTTCCCCAAAATAAATGTGGGATTATACAATTCTATAAATCTTACTAACCATTAATTTTCAGAATATCTAATTCCATGCTGCATTTAAAAGGTACAGATGAAAACTGGTAAAATAGTAATATTAGATGCAATTGAATGAAAAGCATGGCAGAAATGAAAAAAAGTTGGAATCTCACTAAGAAAATTTAATCACTTTTCACTGAGCAGAATTTTTTTAATTGCCAAGACATTTTTAATATTTAGTAGGTTTCCTGGCATTACATCATCTCACATTTTTCCCCTGCAGAGAAATTTAAACATGTGCTACCAGGTATACACCCAGGAGGTCCCCTCATTCAACAAGCAAAAAGGACATGAGGCTATTACACAGACAGTTCAACCATTTTTCATGCAGTGAATGAGCAATGTACCCAGTACAAACTCCTAAGAGCTCTTTCATCTTATGAGTCTTATGATCCAAAATATTAAATGGTCAAAGCAAAATTCACTGACATATTAGCTTATGGCACAAACTATTTCCACTTTAGGTTTATATCTTAAATCTTCAAATAGAGCAAGATTTCTCAACCTTGGTACCAAGGACATTTTGGATCAAAGCACTCTGTGAGGCAGAGGAGCTGTCCTGTCCATTTTAGAAGGTTTAGCAGCATTCCTACCCACATTACTACTCCAGCATATCTACGCACTAAATGCTAGTAACAATACACACACATACCTGCCCCCTATCAATTGTGGATGACAAAATAAAGTGTTTCCATACATTGCTAAATGTCTCCTAGGGACCAAAATCACCCCAGGTAAGAACCTCTAAAATAGAGCATGATCCCCACACACTGAAGATATGCAAGCTATGCTTGTGTACCGTTCTAGACACTTTAGAAACATAATCTCCCATCTGAGTGTCCTGTTCTGGCACCCTGCTCTCAAGAGCCCAGGAAATCTTCCTGAGTGGAAAATGTCAGAGTACCTTCTGAAGTATGTCCGCAGAAGAATCACAAATCTTAGAGAAGAAGGAGGCAGGGGGAGATGATGTAAATATGAAGCTGACTGTGAACTGGAATGATGACAGCTTAACTATATATATCCAAGTACTGAAGGTGGCTAATGACATCGAGCAGGCTAGCTTAAAATGTTTTCACAATGGAGTACAGAAATTTATATTCATAGCAGAGCATTAGGAAAAGGTTGATTCTACATAGCACATTTTCTTTAGGGAATACATAAATATATATATTTGTGAAAAAATTAATTCAAGTAAAGCACTTAGCACAGCGCCAGACACATGGTGAGTGTCCATTAAATGTGTAAGTGCTGGATGCTATTCTTATTAGTAGTAACACTGGCATTGATCATTTTATTGTATTAATTTAATTCATTATACGCTTGAACTTTTTTATACACTTAAACATTTTAGTGCTTAGGAACATTTCTTCTGGCATACACCTCTGCCCTCTCTCTCTCTGTCTCTCTCTCTCTCCCTCCTTCCCTCTCTCTTTCTCCCTCTCTCTCTCTTTCTCTCTCTCTCTCCCTATTCTTTCCCCATTTGTTGTTTTGCCTATGGAAACTTCCTACTCTTCTTGAAAAGTTCAGCTCAATAGTGAACTCCTCTCAGAGGCTTTCCCTAAGGTCCCTTACCCTTCCAAGTAAAAAATTAACTTTCTCTTCATTTCTATTTCCACAACACTTAGTGCATATTTACATCATCGTTCTTAGCACATTGTATTATAGTTATTAAAGTCTGTGTGTGGCAGCCCCACCACAGTCCCTGGCCTCCAGGCTATGAGCTTCTGAGGCCCTATTTACTCGGCCTTATGTCCTCTGTGCTTGCCACATGGTAGACGCTCAACAAAAGCACTCCAAGCTCAGCTGAATTATCTGGAAAATTCAATCATGTGGAAACCTCCTTTCCCAATAATGCCAGATATATGAGGTGTGACTATAGAGCAATGCCTTCTATATAGAATTTGGGGCTGTCAGCCTTATATGAAAAGATTAAATAAGTGAAATGATGCAAAGTGTGTTAACTTTTTACCAAGTAAAATATAGATTTGGATAAGTATCAGAACACTCCTTTAAATTACACACATTTAAATATGAGTAGGGATAAATTGGGAAGGTGGGAGAAATGGTAGGAATAAAATATATAATTTTAAGAGCTATAAGTCTCACTAAGATAAATAAATAAGAAAAGAGGTGACATAATGGATCTACCATATTTTAAATTTGATTGCATAACACTGTCAAATAATTCATAGATTAGATGGTTAATAGGTCAGACTGTGTCTTGAATATAAAACATATCCATAAAACATCAGTCCAAATTACTGTACAGATCTCCCTTACCCAGCCAGTCCTAGGCAGTATCTTAGGGAAAGGAAACTTTACATATGTGAAAACATATATGCATTGTCAAATAAATTACATTAAAGAGTACAGTCTGCCCTGACTTTTCAATTGTTTCTGAGTTTAACTGAAAATACGAAGTAGATAAAACCCACAACTTTGACACAGAAGTTTTGAGAGGTGACTCTGCTTTAAAAATAGCCAGAGGTACTAGTTCCTTTTTCTACTTCCACTTTAGTTCTTTAAGAAGTATATGAAGCCACAAATAATCAATAGTTAAAACAATTAATAGGATTTTAAAATTACTTTTCAAATTGAAATTCCATTTTAACTGTGATCATGTGATATGTAAATAAAGTATTTTTAATGCAATACTTGTCTCAGAGAATTAAAGTCAAAGTTCCAAAGTTGTGGTAACTATTTTCCAAAAAATATTTACTCTTCTCAGAGAATTCTCAGAGAATTAAAGTCAAAGTTCCAAAGCAGTGGTAAATTTTTTCGAAAAATAAAAAAGATACTATTTATCTTCATTTCCTATGAGAAAAAAATACCTTCCATGGCTTAAGAAAAAATGAGAGCAACTGATTTTTAAATCCTAGTGTTTTTTGTTTTGTTTTGTTTTGATTTTTTACTCTCTATACCTGGCAGAAGTTGGGAATGCTATTTTGTAAAGATGTGTGTAGCATAAAATCATTTCATTACCTTTTTTCTCTCAACTATAATTATTCACATTGCTGTTTATACCAATAATGTTCATCATAAAAATTTTAAAAACACAGAAAGTGTTGAAGAATTAAAATGTAAATTACCCACAGCCTGCAATGAATATTTGATGGGTTCCTTCAATCTGTTTTATATATAAATTTATTTAAAATAGTATAATAATGTATATAATAATGTTTCTTGGTTTGGGTCAATTAACATTATTATTTGAGCATTTTTCAGTGTTAGTAAATAGTTTTCAAAAATGTAATTTGGCCGGGCGCGGTGGCTCACACCTGTAATCCCAGCACTTTTGGGGGCCGAGGCGGGCGGATCACGAGGTCAGGAGACTGAAACCATCCTGGCTAACGGTGAAACCCCGTCTCTACTAAAAATACAAAAAATTAGCCAGGCGTGGTGGCAGGCGCCTGTAGTCCCAGCTACTAGGGAGGCTGAGGCAGGAGAACAGCGTGAACCAGGGAGACGGAGCTTGCAGTGAGCAGAGATTGCGCCACTGCACTCCAGCCTGGATGAAAGAGCGAGACACCGTCTCAAAAAAAAAAAAAAAGGTAATATGTGTTTTCTCTGTGCTATTTTTCCAAAAATTATACCTTAACTTTTTTCTTGTTTAATTATGTTCAATTTGTGAATTGTAAGCAATAATACAGCGATAAACACTTTTACATGAATCCGTCTACATCTGTCTATATCTGCAATGTTTCTGTAAGATAAATTCATAAATAAGAGCTCTCTCATCCCACACTACCCTTTCCCCATACTTCTCAAATGTATTTTAAAGAGTTTGACTATTTATCTAAAACTTGTGTTTTCAGCTATTATTCACAGAAAGATTCAATGATATTGCTATTAAATTGGGTGGCATTTATTTTATTATTACACTTCAAAACCTACCGATTTATTTTTCATATATTAAATTATGTAATAAAACTAATTATTTATTAAATAAAGACACCTAGAACATTTTACTTACTTTATCTTTACATAAAGGTAGGTGTCAGAAAACTGTACCTACTGTTATTATAATAAAAAACAATTTTTTGCCATTATGTATATAGTTCTGTAAACTAACATAGATGCTCATATGAAGTTATATGAAAATATATTGATGAATGTATTTATTATCAACTATGATCTTTGCATTGGGATATGCATTAGCCCTTCCCACATCATCTGAAATTATTTTTCTTGATCTGAAATACTTTTTCATCTGTTTTTTATTTTTTCAGATTTGCAAACTGAGACTCCAAGAAATATAGAAATTTCCCTATTTGGGAATTTCAAGTCTATGCTCTTATGGCACTATATTATTATTTTCTGTGGTGACTTTAAAGTCCTTCATAGAAACCTGAAATATTCTATAAGACATATCGCTATTTCTATGTGTTCTTTCCCTTAAACATCTTTCTTTGGAAGAAAAGGGGGAGTACAGAAAGTGAATCCTGCATCTATAGGTAATAACACGGCACAGAATTGCATTTTCTTACAATGCAGAATAATGAACTTCTGTCAATGAACCAATGCTTATTTTAAAATAAAAAAAGTGTTTTGCTAGAGATTGTCATACCTGATCAACAGTATATAAAATTGAAATATGGCCAAGCGTGGTGGCTCACGCCTGTAATCCCAACACTTTGGGAGGCTGAGGCGGGTGGATCACCTGAGGTCAGGAGTTCAAGACCACCAGCCTGATCAACATGGTGAAATCCCCTCTCTACTAAAAATACAAAAATTAGCCAGGTGTGGTGGTGGGTGCCTGTAGTCCCAGCTACTCAGGAGTCTGAGGCAGGAGTATCGCTTGAAACCTGAAGGCAGAGGTTGCAGTGGGCTGAGATAGTGCCATTGCACTCCAGCTTGGGCAACAAGAGTGAAACTCCATCTCAAAAAAAAAAAAAAAAAAAGAATTGAATTACGAAGTATGAGTCTCTGTGAATATTTCAGGATTGAAAAAATAATTAGTAAAACATTCCAAATACATTAGCAAAAACAAATATCACAGAGGACAATAAATATACTATAACCCTAGAAGATAAAGTAACAATCATAATTCAGTAACACTACTCAATAGCAGATGTTCAAAAATGTGAACTTGGTAGAACTGAATTAAGATTGAATTGAATTTTTAAAAATACTATTTGGCAAATTAAATAGAAACCTATCAAATCTATATCATCCCAGAGTTTAAAATGGCAGTGGAAGAGGATGCCAGGTAAAGATATACATGCACTTTAGATTTTACAAATTAAGTCAAAGGAATTAGGAAAAATATCAGTGAAATCCTAAATCTGAGAGTAGATTTAAACACATGTTAAAATAAAGTCTTAGCCAAATTATACCAAAGAATACTGAAACAATACGTAGCTATAGTAGCAGAAACATTAAGAGTAATATTTTTTAAATCAGGTATAATTAGAAAAATATCAGAGGTGCAAGATAAACAAACATTTCATTTTTGTAAGGATAATTAAAATTTCCCAAAACTATGAAGTCACGTGAACTAAGCATCAATATCCATAAATATTCCAAAATGGACTGTTAATAAAAATAAGCATTAGTTTATTTAGAAATAGACTATAAAGTATTAATAGACTCTTAGTTCTTTATTTTTATCATTTTTGTCATGTGTTAAATTATACCATTCACATCCTTAGAAAATAGAAAGGTGAAAGTAAGCTCAGAGGGAGCTTCATTAGATGACATTAAGAAATATACTGAGCAGACAGAACAGTGGGCATACAGAAAAGATAGGAATTTTAATTGTGATCAATGTAAAATTCTGCAATTAAATACAATTAATAAATATATTCTAGAGGATAGAAAACTGGTATGCCAATCATTCCTGAAAAAAATGCTTAGGATATAAATAACCAACTATAAACTCAACATACATAAAATATATATAACTGACAAAAAATAAACATAATTCAAACATTTTAGGATATGTATATGGAAGTAGTATTCCAATTTTGAGTAATAATGATGTCAAAGCATTGAATCATACCGAGGAAAATGGTAGTGCTGAGGATAAAAATAAATAACTTATCCTTATCTCTTCTTTAAAAAACTCATAATCCAAGTGTGAAAACAGACATAGAAAAAGATAACTATGAATAAAACAATTTGTTAGTTTTGGCAATATTATTAACTAACATTCAGAATATTATTTTCAACTCTTCTCACTAATTTTGAGATATTATTATTATGTAACATAAAAATAACATATTATAGTATTCACTATATATGCCTGGCCCTATAAGAAAATAATATTAGTATCTTAATTTTATAAATGGAACCATTAGATTGAGATTTTTTAAAAACGTAACTTATCTGCAGACAAATAGGTAGTCAGTGTTAAAGTTGAGAAACAAATATAGGTCTTTCTGCCTTCAAATTACTGCTGTTAAAAATAACAATGCATATCAGTCAGTACGTATTAAAGTGAGTTCTGCTGAACTAGCATTCCATAGGATATTAATAAGTACTACACACCCAATGAATCCATAGCCAGATAATTTTGAGGAAGACTAGTTAAAATAGAATTGAGAGGGCATGTGCACGTACGTGTGTGTGTGTGTGTGTGTGTTGTCACTGTAAAGCCTTTGTAAGACTTTAATATCCAGAATCTACAAAGAACGCAAACAAATTTACAAGAAAAAAACAAACAACTCTATCAACAAGTGGGCGAAGGACATGAACAGACACTTCTCAAAAGAAGACATTTATGCAGCCAACAGACACATGAAAAAAACGCTCATCATCACTGGCCATCAGAGAAATGCAAATCAAAACCACAATGAGATACCATCTCACACCAGTTAGAATGGCAATCATTAAAAAGTCAGGAAACAACAGATGCTGGAGAGGATGTGGAGAAATAGGAACACTTTTACACTGTTGGTGGGACTGTAAACTAGTTCAACCATTGTGGAAGATACTGTGGCGATTCCTCAAGGATCTAGAACTAGAAATACCATTTGACCCAGCCATCCCATTACTGGGCATATACCCAAAGGATTATAAATCATGCTGCTATAAAGACACATGCACATGTATGTTTATTGCAGCACTATTCACAATAGCAAAGACTTGGAGCCAACCCAAATGTCCATCAATGATAGACTGGATTAAGAAAATATGGCACATATACACCACAGAATACTATGCAGCCATAAAAAATGATGAGTTCATGTCCTTTGCAGGGACACAGATGAAGCTAGAAACCATCATTCCCAGCAAACTATCGCAAGGACAAAAAACCAAACACCTCATGTTCTCACTCATAGGTGGGAATTGAACAATGAGAACACATGGACACAGGAAGGGGAACATCACACACTGGGGACTGTTGTGGGGTGGGAGGAGGGGGGAGGGATAGCATTAGGAGATATACCTAATGCTGAATGACGAGTTAATGGGTGCAGCACACCAACATGGCACATGTATACATATGTAACGAACCTGCACATTGTGCATATGTACCCTAAAACTTAAAGTATAATAATAATAAAATAAAATAAAATAAAAAAGAAATCTGCCTCAGAACTGTCCACAATGACAAACACTCCTACAATCCAGAAGCCAAGGCGTAGCCTAATTGAATGTTAAGCAGCTGAAATAGCTTAAAACCAGAAAAACAATGTACATAATGGAAACCCTGATGAGTCCATCATATTGATGGTCTTCTGTGGTTGCAATGATAATAATAATACTTTATTTAAAATAGCCAAGGTAGAGACAAAAGTCTTTGTGTATTCAAGCCAAACAACTCAGATGAATGGCACCCCCAGACTAACTTCTGAGTAAACCATACTGTGATAACATAAAGCCCTTTTGTATGTCAGGAATATCGGGAGGTGCCATTAGGCTGGAAGACCTGCATATATTCATATATTGTCCACAGCCTCCTTTTGGGTTCTGGTTGTCTACATGGGATGACTTTAGATGACATGTATACAGGGTGGATTCTAAACCAGAGATAGAGCAGCATTAGTGTCTGGCTTTTTTTTTTTTAATCTTTTGGTACCTAATTTGCAAAGCCACTCAAAATGACAAACATAAGTGATCTGATTATTATATCAGACGCATATAAAAAGTTTCTATTTCCTTACAAAGTTTTTCTGGCTCTCAAATATAATCACTGTTTTGTTTTTCTGTTGCTGTTTGCTTTTCTAAAGAATCAGAACAAGAACTTCCCTTATTTTAAGATAAACTATTAGTCTCAAACTTTGGGCACATCACAATGTCCCAAATTAGATTGTATTTAATTCAAGACCAAAATTAAATTGATTTAAAATAAAAAATTTTAAAAAAGACTTTAATATTCTGATATGCATTGTGAATCTCCGAGAGGATAGTCTAACAGGAAGGCTTTAGCAATAGACATGACCTCAGAAGCTTTTTAATTTTTTCTTCATTGAGTATTGCAAGGCACTATTGCGAAATTCTGCCAAACTGGAAGACCAAGACAAATCTAAACATCAAGAACTGCAAATATTGTCAACAAGGAGAGAACAGCACCTTACAGGAGACAGGATAGCAATCTTTAAATATTTTTCTAATCAAAAAAGGATATATTATTTCATCAAAAGGAAGACCTAGATGTGAGGAATGAAAGCTACTGGGAGAGAGATATCACCTCAATATAGGATTTCAAATAGATTTAGATACATGAGAGATAGATAGATAGATAGATAGACAGACAGACAGACAGACAGACAGACAGATAGATAGATAGATGGTAGATCTGAGCTGTCTGACAAAGGTAGATTCATCACCTGAAAAAATGTGTTATCCAAGTGATTTCTGCATTTTGTTAAATATCAGAGAAAATGACTGATATTTAACACTTATTTTCAATGGTTCATTTGCAGTCATTATCAACTGAGGTTTTTATGCATTTAGTATTTCAGACTATCTGTCCATTTTTGTATCATTCCGAATTAACCAACTTATAGACAGAGGACATCAAAATACACATAAAAATGAACATACAATTTTTACACTCATGTCAGTGAAAAGTAAAGCAGTGCTTCTCTAACTTCCAGAACACCAAGTAATTTCATTATCTTAATTATACATTTCATGTGGGCAGAACAAAGTGGAAGTTTTCTGGGATGAAGGACAACTTTACAAAATGAGACAACAGACCTAGAAAGCACATTTTTAGAAGCATGAGACTATTTAGTATACGAATTGGTGTCAGGAGTAGGGAGCAGCTCTGGAATGTAGGAGAAAATTTTCAGATCGATTACGGTTACCTTTCAATATCTCTACCTGGCTCTAAATGTTACTACATTGCCCCCAAAAAAATAATTTGTTTGATAGATCACATGAGTTATCAATGGCTTTTACTAAAATTTTACATATATTTGCCAGGATAATAAGTTAAATAAAAAGATTATACCTATTTGTGTATTCCTTGATGATTTGATATATGCTAATCTTAATTGTTTCATTTTCAAATCGGTTGTTGCTCCGGTCCTTGTATATCCGGAATTCAGCTGCTGTCACTGCCTCTCCATGAGGAATTTGGGTAAGATCAAATCGAAATTCTTTGTAATGCCTTCGCTGGTGAGAAAAATCCTTGTCTCTTTCAACTGAAAAAATAAAGGGGGTTGAGGGGGAAAAAAGTTAGTCTTTTATAAAATATGGAAATTAATGATAAATTCTCCAGCTTTGAAAGAAAACAAACAAGCAGGATAGTATAAAACTGGAAAAACCCTAAAACCACAAACTGAAACGTGTTTCCAGTTAAAGGAAATTCCACAAACCAACAGCCTTTAGTTCAAAAGCAATATAACCTCTGCGGTTTTATACAAATTCCTGGATCCTAAATGGAAAGGTTATCCAAAAATGTTTTTAAAAGTGAAGGCTGTAAAATGATTACTACTATGTATCAAGTATCAGACCATAGAAAATTTTATACAGAAATTCTGAATATGTTACCGTAACCTCCAGAGTTCCAGGTGAAATGACTGGAGAGACAGCACAGCCATGGGAGGGAAATGGGAAAGAGGACTGAGTTGCAAGTATACAAGGACTGTGTTTATGGCCTTTCAAAGTTCAAGTAAATAAAGCAAACTAATTTTTACAAGAAAGATTGTTTCTAAAATGTCTTCCCCAGAAAATTTTTTCTCTTTTCAGCAAATAAAATATTCTTTTTCTTAAAAACATTTTTTTTTTCTTGAGAAAGGTCTCACTCCGTTGCCCAAGCTGGAGTGCAGTGGTATGATCACCGCTCACTGACGCCTGGACCTCCCAGGCTCAAGTGATCCTCCCACCTCAACCTCTAGAGTAGCTAGGACTACAGGCATGCACCACCACACCCAGCCAATTTTTTTATTTTTTGTAGGGGCAGGGTCTCACTATGTTACCTAGACTGGTCTCGAAATCCTGGGCTCAAGCAATCCTCCCAATTTGGCATCCCAAAGTTCTGGGATTACTTGCATGAGCTACTCTGCCCCGTGTTGTTTGTTTGTTTGTTTGTTTGTTTGTTTGTTTGCTTTTAAAGCATTTTTTATAAATTCTTACCCCTGGTCCAGTACAAAGTCTCTCAAAAACCTCTGTCATTATTCAGAATTGAGAGGGGAACATATTTTCCCTCTTTAGTAACCTTCCAAACAAATGAAGTCAAAGAACTGTTCCTTTTGGGAATATTAAGAAATGCTGAAGAATTTAGGACAGTAAGTATCAGACATATTATTATATAATCTGGCTGTGTAAGATAGTGTATTGTACAAGTGGTATTAATTGATTCACAAAGCTCAAAAATTGGAAATCTTTAGAAGATTAATTAAAATTTATAACACTGCTATACATATATGAAACTTAGGATCCTAAGCTAGAAGCATTAAGATTATGGAAGGGAAAAGATGATAATGACCATCAGGAATGATGCTGCGGAGACAAGGCTGCTAGAACATCATGTTCTAAGGCCAGATGGGTGGCCACATTTGAAGCTCCTGACAAAGGAACCCACAATGCTTTGCCTTCATCCTCCATAATAATCTCTGGTTTATTTTCCCCAGAAAAGTGGAAGGTGGTTCAGGAGAGAGCAAGAAGCTGATCCTCACCTCCATCTCAGAATCTAAAGCAGGCATACAGAAAAATGTAGCTACATTTGGGGGCATATTTTTTTAAATTTTATTTTACAGAAACCCTGGACTCAAGCCATCCTCCTGCCATAGCCTCCCAAGTAGCTGGGACTACTATAGGTGTTCCCCACTGCACCCAGTTGGAAGCATTTTTGTCCTGTGGATCTTGGCAAGGATGATGCTCTTTGGCTCTCTGACTACAGTAACACCACCTCACATGATTCATAAAATTATTCTCTTAAAATATCATTATCTTGGTCCTAAGAAAGGTCCATTTCCAGAGAGATTATTAATCAATTTTTCCTAAATAAGGACAAAAAACCCATTTGTAAGATGTTATTTTGGTCCATAATTTAAATCTTGTCTCTGGTGATAGTGCAGACTGCCATGATAGTGCAGACTGCACACTCCTCCTTCCTCTCCCTTTTGTCCATTTGACTGGGCTGTGTGAGAGTGGAAGTCTAGGGGAAGAAAATGCCTGCTACCTAAGTAGCTAGTAACTGATGTGCATGTAAGAATGCTAAAACTAGCCACAACTTTTGCTTTCAGGGAACTAAATCTAACTCACTGTATTCTTATTTTCTTATCCTAAATTTAAATGAAGTAGATGACATCATGTGACCATATCTAAATAGCATTTATATGCCAGACTATATTCTCAGTATTTTATCATCTTATTAATATTAACATATTCTGCCTCATAACAGCCTACAAGGTAGGTTCTCTTATTATCCTCATTTTAGAAATGAAGCAACTGTGGAAGCATGGGGAATAAATACCTTACCAAAAACTTTGAACCCAGGCATTTGGTGTCACCAATCCATGGTTGTTAAATGTCAGGATATGCTGCGTCTGCTAACACACTATGGCTTTGTCCTATTTTGTTAACATAGACCTAAAATCTTGTATTTACAAGTCCAAAATCCAAAACATTCTGAAAACTACGAGTTTGTTTTCAAGCTCTTTTGACAGAAGAACCAGAAGTTAACTGACATGAAGTGATTTAAAGTCTCTTTTTATCCCAGTTTCTATAAATATTTATTGCTTTGCTGCAGAAATTGTCATGTGTTGGCCTAGGTGGCACTGTCCCAGACCCTGCTTGACAAATACTATACTTCATGATATATGCACCAACCAGCCATTTGAAAATATATTTTCTCCATTCTGAAGGTCAATATTCATAATTCTAAGTGATAACAACCATTATTCATTTTTTCATTAATATTAAATTGTATATTTAAAATTTTAACCAAAAAGCAACAAGTATAGTCCTAAAAATAAAGGCTAAGACATGAGTTTGCTAGGATCCAACCTAAAGTGTGCACCTGCTTAATGCAGATGAGTATTGAATTCATGTTATGTAATCTACCGTTCTGGAATCCCCTGTGAGATGTTAGTGTAATAAAGTAGAAAGCTAGAATTTCAGCCATTATTATAAAATTTCAGTTTTCTAATCCAAGCTATTTAACTTAAACCCTTAAGGGGACTCATTTTCAAAGAGTTTAATAAAATTTTATATTAAATATACCACACAGAACGAAGTTGCATTGCAGACTTGTCTGGTGATTCAAATCCTTATATCCTACTGCTTTGAATCATAATTGCAACAATAAATTCCATGGGACATATTGGAATGAGTAATGGAATAAGACTTACAGCCTAATGATGCCCACAAATATTCAACAATGTAATCTCAGTTACCTCAAACAGTAACACTAGGGAGGTGGCAAATATTAATATCCCTGACTTAAGAATAAGAAATTGGGTGATGACAGCTACATAGTAACAGATGTCTGTCTCCTAAAGTTTATTATAAATCTTCGTTCAATACCTATACCACCTACATAATGACATCCTACTGTTCTGCACTTAGAGGCTAGTTCATTGTTAGTTTAAACAATGTCTTTCAGCAGTACACAAAAAAGTGAAGAACAGAATAAGGAATTTGATCACCAAAAAGTATATAGCATCTAACACATCACAATACATAATCCAGAGAAATCTTTTAATAAATATTAATTGAATGAAAAATTGCATGAATGGGTCAAAATCTAGTCATCTCTTTCCACTCAGCAACTCCTGCTGCATTCCCCCTTGGCTGAAGCCATGGTAACTTATTTAAGTATCATTTGTGTGGTACATATTTCATTTAATCCCCGTGACCCTACTTAAGTCCACTAGTTTTATAACTTGTCAAAGAGCCCAAAACTTGTAATCGAAAGATAACAGATTTCATCCCAGGATTTCAATTTCTAAGCCCTCATTAACACAGCCGGAGTGTGTTTTTCTGAATATTGTTTTGTTTTGTTATGTTTTCAATCTAATTATTTCTTGGGAAAGTTGACCTTGTTTCAGTGCTTTCGTTATCCTCTCTCCAAAGAACCCTTCCCCTTCCCTTTATGATGCTCCCATAATAAAGACATGCCATTCTTTCTGGACTCAGTTCATTCTTTTAGAACACACCTCCTCCTATCTTTATCTTAGCACATGTGTTTTTATTCACTTATTTAATATTGATTACATTTCTTATCTAAGGAATATTTTATGAATAAACAAATGATTATATAATTTGAGTATTATATACTATATATGTTAATGTAACATCATACTTTCACTACAACCATATGTTGAAATTTAATTATAGCTTTTAATTTTGACATAATTGTGATTCACCGGCAGAATTCCTTCATACCCAACCTTTTATTTACCAGAGCTGCTACCAAAATCAAAACTCCCAAAGTAGATGAAAAAGAACAAACACACACATTTAACACTCCTTAAATGTCAGCTTTTTAAGAAAGATCTTTGTCTTATTCACATTGTGACAAATTTGGCAAATATTAAGCATTCTGTCTTTCTGTATATTACAGTATGCTATAACCTACTGCAGTGGTAAATGACTTGGGAAGGTTAAAAGATACACAAGTAAATGAGAAGAAAAAAAAACAGAGAAGTGTATACTATTATTGGCTTTGAGATTCATGTATTTGGCCCTTTTAATTCATTCCTTAATGTATATTTTACATCAACCAAATACCATGAATTTCCAGAATCTTTACCAGTATTTCCAGTAAAATCTGTTTTATCAGATATAGATACACAAGACTCCATAAAAGCCCTAAACACATTCCCTCTTTGGTGGTGAAAAAGCATCTCTTAATTACCATATAAAAACAAATAAAACAAGACAAACAAAAAGGCAGAAGGTTTGGCTCATTTAAGCCAGACCCAGACTTGTTAAAGGGGATAGAAGGACACAGAGTAAAGACACACTGAGATCAGGGGTTAATGCTTTTTTTCCTAGTACCATCCCTTATCTCAGACCAAAAATGACATTTCTCTCGTGTGAGAATAGAAAGAGTGTTTAGTAACAAACACTTGTGTCAATCAATTTGCTTCTAATAATTGTATTTAAAAGGAGACCACAGCAGCCTGTTCAAATTCTTACATGTGCTGACCTGTCTAACAAGACCAAGAGGGGGGTGCATTTTGCAAACAGCCATACATAGACTTCACTAATCCCAGACTCTTCTCTCGTTGTCATTTATGACACACACGTTTTGAAGATTTCCAGGTGTAAGCCATTTAATATCACCATAAAAATGAAAAAAGGAAACTTTACAATGATACACTTTATGGATGGAGGTGTAGATCATCCCAAATATTATCATGTAAAATTATTCCATTCAAATAAGTCCATCAACATAGGGTTGTTTATTTATTAGAGCTGATGGTTGCCAACAGCGCTCTCTAAAAAAATTAAAACAAGTTGCTTTCCTATACCCACACACACATACACAAACTCACAGAAAATAAAACATCAAAACTTCAGCAAAACGTATGCATTTTACCACCCAAATCACAAACACAACAATGATGGTAAACACACTTCCTTCTGCTTCTAGGGAGCAGGTTTCTTTGTGTGTACTCCAAACTATGTGAAATTACAGAGCTATCTAGAGAAATAGAAAACTCAACTGCACTGCTAGAAGAAGAGAAATAATTTATTATTATATTTTGGTTTAAAAAGTGGTAACATCAAAGCATACAAGATGTAAAATATGAATCAAATTATTCACATCCCATGATTAATGGACTGATAGTGAAAAGAAGCAGAATTGCCTTTATATAAGCACCAAACTATGTCCTAAGTGCTCTGAATTGTCAAAGTTCTGCAAAGGTTAAACTCTGTTTAAAACACACACTGAAGACTTTTATTGTTGAGATACAAGTTAACAGAAGTTAATGACTGATAGAAGTTGTTTTTTTTTTCCTCCCAAGCAGATATCTCTCTGAATGACTTTATCACTAATAGAAACTGGATGAAATTGTCCTGGGCTAAATATTTTCATGTCTACATTATCTGAAGAGTAGAATTAATTAACAGAGGATTACAGTTTTATCTATGTAGTGATTTATCTGCAGTTTTAAGGAGATGCATTCATGGGCAATCAGTCTTAATCTCCCACACAAGAGCTGTAACTTGGAAGACACAAATAGCAGCAGTAGCTGTAAGGCAAAGATAGCATTCTCCCAGGAGCCTAGCCAGCTGTTGAAAGAATACAGATCATTGTTTGCTGCTGAGTGCAAAAAATCATTAAGAGATTACTCATAGAATTATTACTAATCTGTGTTGCATTGTAAAAGTGAAAAAAAAGCAATGATATCATGTGACTACCAAGATGCATCACTTTCCAAGATATCCTTCGCTAACTAGTCCACCAAAAAACATAAACCTAGTTCTATAAAGACTTATTTATTGGTCAGTGAAAGAATATGTACATGTTTTCCATGAATGGATAACCATTCCAGAGAGTGTGGCAAACTCCAGATTCCAGAAGTCTTAAGAGCCTGTTAATACACAGTAATATGTGACCTGAATGAAAGAAAATTGTCTCCCTGAATGTTTTGTTTCAAAGGATAATTTCAATTGACTTTCAAATTTTCTACAGTTATTATCCTCTTACTCATAAATATTTCATGAATACAGTTTTATAAAGAAGCAAAATCTCAAAGAATTATTAGATAGTTAAATAATTGTAATATTCTACTATAACTAAACAAATTGATTTTCAAAATCAATTTAAATATAATGCATATAATTTTGAAAATTAAGACATTTAATTGTTGATTGAATATTAGTTTACTTTAAAAATATAATAGTTTAGAAACAAGAATTAAGCCTTACATAAAGCTCTAAAATTAGAATGAAGTTGGTCTCAAGGTGTTCCTGTTTTCTTTAAATTAGGCCTAGCAATGAGCTTTCAGTGATTATTTAGAATACTGTAATGATAACAGCTATGCATACCAAGCATTGGTATGAAAATTATATATTTAATAATTAAATTAATAACAAATAAACAATTGTAGCAATAAATTAATTAATGAAGGAGTTAATATAATTAATAAATTTTAATTTTTTGTTTCTTCCCTAATTTGATCCAACAAGGTGGAGCTTCCATTATCTCCCTCATGGTACAGATAAACAATATTAACTTTCTCACTGTCACAGAGTTAGTTATCACAAAGCCAGAGATAATATCTAGGTCTTATTACTCCTAATATTCTTTGCATGAAAGTTTCAACTAATAACAACTGCTACATCTGTCTCAGGGCAAAGTTTTCCTATTCCATTCCAGAACAATGTTTCTGCTTTAGCCTTACTCCCAAGCTCCTATGCTCATTCTTAGCGTGCTCTCTCCTCCTATGCATTTAGTTTCTTCCTTTTTCCTCTACCTTAAGTCAGTGTTGTGGAGACAATAGAACACTGGGAACACACTTGCAGATGAACAAAGTTGGGTGTATTGACTTGTTTCAGCTTGTATTATGAGATGGATGCCACAGCAAATCTCAGTAAAAGGCTGTTAGAAAGGACTCATTAGGATTGTTAAGTAATATAGTAGAAAATTCTAAGAGGAAGGGTTTTCCTCTGACCTGAGTGCTCTTAGGAAGCAGAGGTAAATTAATCATTTGGTATCTTAATATAATTTTCTAGAAGCTAGATGTCATTGTGGTTTTTTTAAAAATGTTTGTTATTATGGAGTTAAAAAAAAACCTGCAGGCTAGGTTCCTACAACAGTGGATAGATAAAAAATAGTTGTATTTACTTGACATCTTGTTTATATATTGGTGGAACACGTAGCACATATTTGAAGGTTCACAAATTGCCAAGAAATATCAGTGTAATCAAATTTACTGGTTCTTACAAATTTTTTTTAAGTCTTAAAGTCATTAAGTTATTTTTATCACTGAGGATAACAATGCATTCCGAAGTATACACATAGTTTACTATTGTTTTTATTATGAGCATTTTAGAAAGGAAAAATTATTAAGTGAATGTTAGAAGCAAATACACATCTTTTTGAGTTAAACGTTAATATTAAATGTCAAAAATTAGCTTAGAATACCCACAAAGGGTGGTACTTGACTGATTCATTCTGTATAATGAAAAATGGTTAATGATGAATGAGTATATTTACTACACAAATAACAGATTTCAATGACACTATGTACAAATATTTGAGAATGTTTTGTGTTTACCTGTAACAACTTAAAATAAAGGCATAACTGTCTGATAGCCATCTTTTGGTCAATATTTAGCTCTTACATTTTCTTTAGTGGAAAAAATCTGTTCCTTTTACAGATTGTCTGGCAGCTAGAGGTCAACCATTCTAATCTCACCAGATTTCACTAAATGATCTTGTGAATTCTTCTGCTCCATCAGTAAAATAAAACAGTTTTTAACCACCTTTAGGTGATAGAGGTTACAGTAAGTCTATGTACACAAAAGACTTTCCTTTACATCTTGAAATCAGTGAGTTGATAGTTTATCTACAGTGAATATTTGTGGTTACATGACAAAAACAGGTCAAAGGTTTTGTGAGTTTTCTTCTGAAATTGCTCAGTGCCTTCTCTAATGACTGATAATTGAAAACAGAGATTGGGACTATCAAATGTGGTGGGTGACAGATAAGTAGTAGATTAATGCCAATACTTGGTTACAAGACACTAAAAGGTCAGAAGTCACATGAATTAGCTATTGTGCTACTGTGAAAAGACAGACATCAAAAGTCTATTATCCCCTTTAACAGCTCTTAGCCTAGCTTGAAATCCATTCTCACTTCCTTAGATTATAATTTACAAGTAATCTCCATGCCATTTTACATATGATGTCAAAGTGAAGCCACTCACCCTAAGTATATCAATAGTTGGAGTTTGCATATTTTATTTACATAATAAAGAAAGTTTGTTTTTAAAAAATCACATTTTTAGTGTATTCAATGTTTATCTTGGTATATTTTAGGAACATTTTATTTAGAAAAAAATAATTATACTCAATGAAAAAAACACTTGAAAAAATAAAGAAGTTGACAAGTATATTTTATTTGCTCAATATTTCTCTATGGGGGAAATGGAGTGGGTTTAAGACACAGTTTGTATAGTTTAAAGGATATGAGGATTTTTATAGCTGAACAAACAAATAAATATCTGAAATCACCCACTTTTAATTTTAAATTGGTATAATATAATAGAGTTCACTCAAGTTCAATTTGTGGTTCAATCTGTCATTTTGCAAAAAGACAAACTATGAATTTTTCTGCCAAATGGGTTGCATCAGTGAAGTTTGGTACATGGATGTATAATCACAAAGAAATGTGATTATCATATGGAATAATATATAATTAATAGAGACACATTAGTTTTACAGGTTTCTAAGATTAGGAATAAAACTATAAGAATATATTACATATACACTCTAAAATTAATATAGGAGTAGCTGATGTTCTGTTCTGTTTAGGCAAGAACTGCAAGTGGCCCACGTTTGTTTCCTAAGGAGTGATTATTTGCTTTATGTCTCCCCCGGTAGATTGTAAGCTTGATAACAGCAGCACTTTTGTTTTGCTTACTACCGTACACTCTTCCTTACCTCAATCCCTAGCACACAGCAGGTATTCATATACATGTATAATAAATAAATATAGGAATATATGTTGGTTTTCTTGTTTTTTTTCAGATTTTTTTTTATTGTTTCATAAGGAAGGCTAAATCCAGACTCTGCCATTCCAGTGAATTCAAAAGCAGAACCCCTCAACCATCTACTGTGGCACAGCCCTGCTCATGCCACAAAATAGTATTAATATTAGTTCTAATAGTATATATATATTTTTTACTTCCTTCTTCAAAGGAAATTCAAATAAATAGTGATAACTAGACAGAATCCTAATGTCACACATTTATTTTCAGTTTCACACTACCTGTGTTGGTACTTAAAAACATATGCTAGTGTAATAGAATCTCTATAATTCTTTAATGAATATATTACTCTTGAGGAAGAAAAAAAGGTAATTCAAAAAATACATAACCATGCAAAAAAAATAACATTTATCTTATGGTTATTATCAGAATTGTATTAAAGTAATCCACAGAATGAATTACGCATTGTGAAACACCATATGTGATGTTTTTGAACATAATATGATAATTTCTATATTCTCATTGATTTTTTCTTATGCATATAAAAATATTCCACCAAACTGTGTATATGTAATATAACCAAATCTTTGGTAACATATTTATAATTTTTAAGCTTCTTTTTAAGGTATTAAAAACATTTGGTCCCTTCAAAAGTATGGTTGTTTTGTGTGTTTCTTTTACATTTGGTTGTTAGGACTGCTATTATATGTCATAAGTTTCCCTAATATCATCCTTACAAATTAAACTTTACCAGTCTTTACATTTACAGTTAGAAACTGGAATACATAATACATGACTTAACATCTCTTTATAGCACATTATTAAAATGGTGAGTTATATGAATCAATGTATTGTATTTAAAGATGTATTGTATAATTGGAGAGTTACTTCAGAACATATGTGTATTTAATAAAGATTTAACAGGTGCCAGAATCAATAAAGAAATCACATGATCTTCCTACATTTTATTGAATGAGACCACACTGTAATTAGAGTCAAGGGATCCTTAGTGGTCTCAGTTCACAGAGTATTCACATGAACAGTCTCATATTTGGGTTGACATGGTTTCACACTCTTGGACTTTTCCTTTGTATTGGGATTTCAGGTCAACCACAAAACTCAGAGCAAAATTCAGCTACGCATCTTTGAGCAGTATCTGGTTTTGAGTTCAAATATACAAACCCTTCAAGTTTCTTAAGATGCACACCTGGAAACAACAATAAGTCTTTTGAGATTTATGTTAGACCATCTTATTTTAGATTCAAATTTAATAATTTCCTGAGTCTCCAATCCAATGTTATGTTAGTTATCAGATGATCTGTTTTCTGATGCTTTTGCTGTTAAGTTTGACTTGTTCTTAATGTTATTTAGTAATCCATCTAACTAACTCATATATACTGTTACATAAAACCTAAATTTACAATAGAAAAGGCTGAATTAAAACAATTTAAGTCACATATTCTCCAAAATGGTCAGGAATTGATGATATCTACTATCTCCAGAAATGATTGTGTGAAGCAGATACAAGTTTGAGGTTAAAATAAGCAAGTTTGAGTATTAGAAGTTTACAAAGCAGGTAGATTCTTAGGTTTCTCTTCACATTCTGTGCTTTTGAGTGACTGTTCTTTCCTACATGAGAAGTTTAGACTTTTTTTTTCCTAAAGAAGGGAAAACAGAGGGTTCTTCACTGGCAACACCAGGCACAGTTAGAGTGTGTTAGCATACTCAAGACAGAGGAACTAGACAAGAATATTCACCCTGAATGCTAAATTCCCGGCTTCTTTCCCCACTTGGTTGCCAGGATGTCGACAGCTAGGGTTATATCTTCTAGGCAAGAGAATGAGAATCCTCTTTTTGAAATCTGACAAATCCAAGAGGAAAAGACCAAGTTTCCACAAAATAGCAAAGAAACAGCATCCTAAAGGGAAAATAATACTGACAAGTTCCGCCAATATGCTAAGTTGCTAATCAGCATTTTAATATCTCACTATTAAATAAGCACAGACAACCAATTATTACCAGATAGCTGAGAAAATTCTCCACCTTGAGATATAAACGTAAAAATTGATTTTTTTAAGGAAAGGAACTTGGAGGAACCTACTAAAAAAAACTACTATATTATCCTTTAAGGGCTAAAAGAAATTATTGCATCCATGGAACAAGTACTAATACAAATCCTATAAAATAGAAATAGAAACAGTCAATGCTAAAACATCTCTTGGAAGTAAAGCAGAAAGTTAATCTCAGTTTGAAAGATTGAATTGAGCAAATTCTCAAAAAAGAGAGCAATTAGAAGTGGAAAATTAGAAAAGAAGACTTTAAAAAATAAAAAAAAAATGTCCAGAATCAGCCAAATAATAGTTTCTGGAAAGAGAGATGAAGAAAAAAAGAAAAAGGAAATCATCAAAGAAATAGTTCAATTCACTTATCTGAAGTACAAAAAATTTCAAGACTAAAAACCAGTGTTCCCAGCTCAGTGGACACACATCGTTGTGAACATTTAGAACACTGGAGGCGAACAGAAGATTTTACAGGCTTCCAGAGACAAAATACAAATCACATACATATAAGAAATAAATAAACCAGAAAGAAGACAAAGACATGGGTAACAGGAGAGAGAAGGTCTAACACAGAGAGAGACAAAAATAATGCTTAAGAAGGGAGATTTCAGGACAACGGCTGTGCTCCAAGTATAGGAGGCAAATAGTCCGTACTGGAAAGCTATATTAAGGGCTAACATCACAAATATCCCATTTACCATTTGTACCATCTTTTGAACCTGACAAAGTCTAGGTGAGCAAAGACTTGAACTGTACCTACAAGTAGCTCTCCTGACATGTCTTCATGAAGTTCTTGCTTTCTCCTCAAAGCCATGCTGCCTCTTGGGTCATTTGAGAACACTCACTTCTCCCCAGTGAATTTTTGTTTTCTTTTTTTCCCTACTCCTGAGAGCTGTCTGTTGATCACAATGAGCCTGCAAACTGAGATTGCAGAAAAGCTCACCTCCCCTCACCATGTTTCAGTTGGCTGGACTGTACTTGGGCTTGCCACTTGGCAGATCCCCCAAATCCCCAGGACAATACCTCCCCAGAAAAGAGTCTTTAAAAACTGTTAGGCAAATTAAGCCAGGATTTTACTCAGAGGCTGTGTTTATCTCGTCCTCTGAAAGAATCCACTAAGCACCTGTATTTAAATATCTAGCTTTGTGCTTCTCATCTGTTTTAATAGTAATTGGTTTTACATGTACTTATATGTGAAATATATTTGATAAAACATGACATATCTAATTGAAGAAAAATTAACTTATCCAAGTTCATAAGTATAGTAATCTGTGGAGCATGCATTCAAATCGGTACCTAACCACATCAATGCCTCCTATTAAACGTGCCAGGAGGTTACTGAATTTCTTTTTGAGCTTTATCTTTTTGCTCTGTCACAGTGTTAATGCAAATTCCAAAATTCTGTGTCTCACTTTTCCTTTGGGTTTTGTTCATTTAAAAATAAGTCATAGTACAGGTGCAGTGGTCCATGCCTATAATCCCAGCACTTTGGGAGACTAAGGCAGGAGGATCACTTGAGGGCAGGAGTTTGAGACCAGCTTGTGCAACATAGCAAGACCCTGTCTCTACAAAAATTTAAAAAAAAAAATTATTGGGGAATGGTGGCACATGCCTGTACTTCTAGATACTCCAGAGACTCAAGCAGGAAGATGACTTGAGCCCAGGAGTTCAAGGTTAAAGTGAGCTATGATCATGCCACTGTACTCCAGCCTGTGCGACAGAGCAAGATCCTGTCTCTAAGAAATAAAAAATAAATAAATCAGAGATATTATGAATATCTAACACTAGGGAGCATTTTCAGTAATCTGCATGGCATTGACCACAGTACAGGATGTTTAGACTCTGCAAAATGCAAGTGTTATTCCTACAATCACAACTAAGTACAACAAAAATTGCTCTTGTATAGAAACAGCCAATGTACTTAAAGTTCTGCTTCATTTTCTCGCCCCTTGATGTGTGTTCACAGCCTCAAATAAGGCATGACTTTGAAAACATATCAACATCACTAACCAGCCTATGCCACATTGGTTTTAACACATAGTGAAAACAAAAATTATCTCAAACCTAAGTTGTGCTTTACATGTTTCCAGTTATGACAGGCTTTATTCTTTTTCGGCTTTTGAAGGAAACCAGCAAAACTTAAAATAACTCTAGGAAGCCATGTAAATAATCATTACACAGAACAGAGCTGACAAGGGTAATGGAAAGGATTAGGTGAACTCATTTGAAAGAGAAACTGAATGCATCTGAAAGAATGAAGGGCTAAAAAAGCTCATTAATATTTATTACCTAGTAAATTCAAGCAATATGTAAACAGGACAGCAATCTCTGAAGGATAAAAGTCTGTGTCGTTAACTATGTTAATAGTGGCACAGAAACTAAAGGATATAGTGTCTCTTTTCTTCTTACCCAAAATCATGCAGGATATCCCATGTTCAATCATGGAATCCTAATGAATTTATAAAGCTTTGGTGTATATTCAGAAGTCCTACAATGTCCAGAGAGAACCACTAACAACAATGATGATGACTATAAAAATTTTAATAACAGTTATGAGATATTATGCAAAAATCTATAATTTCATTTAATACAATATGTATTTAGTAAAAGAAAAAAGAGGAAAACAGTTTTCATGTCTATTGAATGATTATCATTTAGCCACCATTTTGGGCACACGATTGGGGAACAAAAGAAGGTGGGAAAATGGGGAACAAAGGGTAACTTCCTGCAAGCAATCACCTAATTACCCTCTGAGGTGGCTTGATTCTAGATGAAATATAGGTCATGGAACTAGCATTAGTTAAATTGAGCATTTTTTCATCTGTGATTAATGTGTTGCTTGTTGAAATTTTAAATTGTCTTGTTCTCTTGAAGTCACTTTAGGGTAGACTTTACTAACAGAAACTTCCTTTCCTCGCTCCTTTAATCCTGCTTTTCATTACCCCTAGTTATATTCTGAGAAAAGAATTCAATAATAAAAGTAAATATTACTAATATTATCTGCATTCGATTGATAAGCAAAACTAGATATTCATGTATGTAACATGCCTTGCCTCTTATCTCTGACATAGAAGGCCATATTTATTGTTTCTGAGGATTCTGAACTGACTCAAAGGGAACCTTGCACTCAGCTGCTTTCATGTTTGTTTGTTTGTTTGTCTTTTCAGGCCAATATACATTCATTTAGATTATGGCTATAAAAATTTAACTATCATTTTATTAAACTTTTTCATATGGCAGATACTATACTAGCTGTCAAGGGAATACACGCCATCCTTTCCCCCAAAAAAGTAAAACTCATAATTTACAAACCCTCATTGACTTAACTATAAAAATAAATAAAATAACATGTTTAAATGGACAGAAACAGATTCTATATGTGCTTACATACCAAACAAATAACATAAAATTCCATATGGAGGCCAGGTGCAGCGGCTCACGCCTGTAATCCCAGCACTTTGGGAAGTTGAGGCAGGTGGACCACCTGAGGTCAGAAGTTCGAGACCAGCCTGGCTAACATGGCGAATCCATGTCTGTACTAAAAATTAAAACAAAAAAATAGCTGGGCATGGTGGCAGGTGCCTATAATCCCAGCTAGTCAGGAGACTGAGGCAGGAGAATCATTTGAACCCAGGAGGCGGAGGCTGAAGTGAGACGAAGTTGTGCCATTGCTCTCCAGCCTGAGCAACAAGAGTGAAACTCCATCTCAAAAAAAAAAAAAAATTATATGTGGAGTGAGTTTGAGAAAAATTCATTGTGAATAGCAATTCTTATTTGGTCTTTTGACACAGCTTCATTAGCAGAAAAATATTTACCTTATTTTTCAAGATATTATCGAAAAATACTTTTATGAGAACCAAGACCCTGTCCCCAATTTTTCCCACCAAATTCTCAACAATGAAAAAATAAGAAAACTCAAGATTGGATCAAAAGCATATAAAAACAGATGCAAATGTGTAACATGGGTGGGGCAAAACTTCCTAACTGAGCAGAAATTATTTCCTGGATTTCAAATGCACATGTACAGGAACACTTTGACTTGGTTAAGCAATACTGTTTAACATTTAGCATTACATACTAACTTGCAAATCAACTCAAACTGCAAATCTAGCTCTATTCGTATTTACTGAGCACCTATTAGGTACAAGCTGCTCAGCTTGAAATTGTGAATGAAAAGCAGCTTTCATTGTTAACAATGCATGTTGTAGACAGTACTGTTGTGTTTAATGCTAAGCTATGTCGTTCTTTTCTCAGGAGTACATGGTCCTACTTTTCCTTCTCCCTCTGTCTGAGGCTTGGATTATGTTCAATTTCTAGAAATCCATTTTTCCTTTCTGAAATGCCAACTATAGCCTACATTGTGTTCAAGAGGGAAAGATAACAGAGCAAATTTGCAACACTTGAAAATCGCTTCAGTGGCAAGAGACTAAGAAAACAATTTTCTGTCAGAAACAATTTGGGGAAAAGAATTACAAACAGTTTTCAATTTAAATGTGAAACTAAAGTAAGAGATGAATTTAAAGTTAAACAGCATTAGTTTGGAACTAAACAATAGGGATGTAATCTATACCACTGTATGTTTTCAATACATTTTGATTTAACACAATACGGTATTTTCTTTCTTAAATATTAAATAAAATCATAACATCATC
This sequence comes from Homo sapiens, assembly GCF_000001405.40. Classification (NCBI taxonomy): domain Eukaryota; kingdom Metazoa; phylum Chordata; class Mammalia; order Primates; family Hominidae; genus Homo; species Homo sapiens. Next base: position 55,836,031 of record NC_000006.12, read on the forward strand.
TATATGTTTATTTAAATGTAGGCTACCTAGCTCAATTTTCCCAATCAAAAAATTAACAAATTTGTAAAGTTGATTAAGATATCCAAAAGACTCACAAAATATCACAGGATAAACAATTATTTTAATTGTAGATGATGTTTATTGAGTGCGTAAAGTATTTCATGAAATAAATTGAGTACTAAAAACACATTGTTTTATTAAGTACTATATAAAAATCAATAACTACTGTTCAGACTAAGCTTGAAAGTGATTATTATTGGATTTTTGCAACAAAATTGTTAGCATTAAGTAGCAAATATTAACCAAATTATATAACGTGTGTATGTAACTATTTTGCAAAGACTAGAGAGCATATTTTAAAAGTAAAAACAAACCAACAGAAACCTTTTTCTATTACTCTAGAGAGGTTTAAATCTAGAAGTCCAGCATGAGAAATCTAAATTGACAAAACTTGGTTAGCCAAGTTATGTGATAAATCAGTAGTCAGAATGAGATTTTTGTCTACTGACTTTGTAGATTGCCAGTTGACAATATCTGGGCTGTAAAGATCTTAACTGCCTAACCTCACCCCACCAACACACACACAAACACATACATACATACACACACACACACACACACACACACACACACGTAGGCATTACTGGAAGACCTCCCAGGTTATCTTGTTTACCCTCCCAGCCTTTAGACTGGTGCCAACTAACATATTCCAGAGTGCTGTCAACTCTACGTTCACACAGCTGTACTTTCATGATTTTTTATTCCAGTGCAAAGAATCAGTGTTAGGAAGTTCCTTGAATCTATCTCAAATGTTGTTTCACACTAAAATCTAAAACGCTTCTTAAAGTTAACTACAGGGATATAAAAATTTTAAATCAGGCAAAATATGTAGAAAAATAAAATAATTATAAGCAAACTTCTTCAAATTTGTAAGAAGTAGTGCTATCAAATGTGCTTTTTGGTATTGAAAGTATGGGAAGAATTGCTGAAAATTATGTAACTAGAAAAAGTTTTAAAGTAACTTTTTTTTTTTTTTCCTGAGAAAGAGTCTGCTTTTGTTTTCTAGGCTGGAGTGCAGTGGCGCGATCACTGCTCACTGCAACCTCTGCCTCCTGGGCTCAAGCCATCCTTCCCACTCAGTCTCCCGAGTAGCTGGAACTATGGGTGTGGGCGACCACAGAGCATTTTTTCTTTAACTAATTATGATAATTAACACAGTATGTTTAAGAAGATTGACTTAACTTTATGCTTTCAATAAAACAGTGAAAGAAAAAAATGACTCTTTATATCCTTATAAAACTAATTTAGATAGATAGATAGATAGATAGATAGATAGATAGATAGATAGACAGACAGATAGAAGAGATAGGCAGGCAGACAGACAGACAGATAGATATTTACTTTGGTATACTTTGGCTAAATCGGCCAAGTCTTTTAAATCTGTTTCATTAAGTACTCCTTTATTTTTTAAATTTTTTTATTTTGAAGTTTTGTGGATACATAGTAGGTGTATATATTTATGGGATACATGAGATGTTTCAATACTGGCAGGTAATGTGAAATAAGCACATCATGAAGAATAGTGTATCCATCCCATCAAGCATTTATTCTTTGAGTTACAAGTAGTCCAATTATACTCTTTCAGTTATTTGAAAATGTGCAATTAAGTTATTATTGACTATAGTCATTCTGTTGTGCTACCAAAGAGTAGGTTTTATTCATTCTTTCTATTTTTTTGTACCCATTAACCAAACCATCCCCATCTCCCTGCCAGCCTCCCACTACCCTTCCCAGCCTCTGGTAACCATCTTTCTACTATCTATGTCCGTGAGTTCAATTGTTTGGATTATTAGATCCCACAAATGTGAGAACATGCGTTGCTTGTCTTTCTGTGCCTGGATCATTTTACTTAACCTAATGATACCTAGTTTCATCCATATTGTTGCAAACGACTGGGTCTCATTCTTTTTCGTGGCTGAATAATACTCCATTGAGTACATGTTTCACAATTTCTTCATCCATTCATCTGTTGATGGACACTTAGGCTGCTTCCAAATCTTAGCTATTGTAAACAGTGCTTTAGCAAACACAGGAGTGCAGTTATCTCTTTGATATACTGATTTTCCCAGCAGTGGGATTGCCAAATCATTGGATAGCTCAATTTGCAGTTTTTCAAGGAACCTCCAAACTGTTCTCCATAGTGGTTATACTAATTTAGATCTCCAGCAACAGTGTACCAGGGTTCCCTTTTCTCCACACCCTCACAAGCGTTTGTTATTGCCTGTCTTTTGGATATAAGCCATATTAACTGGGGTGAGCTGATATCTCATTGCAGTTTTGATTTGCACTTCTCTGATGATCAATGATGTTGAGCACCTTTTCATATACCTGTTTGCCATTTGTATGTCTTCTTTTGAGAAATATCTATCCAAATCCTTTGCCTATTTTTTTATTAAATTATTAGATTTTTTCCTATAGAGTTGTTTGAGCTCCTTATATATTCTGGCCATTAATCCCTTGCCAGGTGGGTAGCTTGCAAATATTTTCTCCCACTCCATGTGATGTCTCTTCACTTTGTCGATTTTTTTCCCTTGCTGTGCAGAAGGTTTTTAATTTGATGTGATCCCAAACCCCTGGGGATGTTTTTGACATCTGGACTTCTCCAGGTTATTTATATCATTTAAAAAATCCTTATCATTTAAAAAATCTATCCTATTATTCCCCCTTGGAAACATCTATAGAATCATTTATTTTCATGATGCTTTTGCTGCCATGCTTATCTAGAACAATTATAAACTGTAAATAACATGTTCCACATGGTGTTTTCATTCTAATTCTGTTTTGCTCAAATTCATATATTTGTTTTTTAACAGAGCTCTTTCTTGAGACATAGTGAAATGCACAGATCTTAAGTGTACAATTGTATAATTGGATGAGTTTGAATAGACGAATACACTTATCTAACTGAATTCCCAATCAAGATATAATTTGCATCTCCATAGAAAATGTTTTGGAGATTCATTCATGTTCTCAGGTCTATCAATGTTCATTTTCTTTTTAATGCTAAGTATTAATATTATATCATCTTGTGAGTATGCCATAACATACCTAGATTGCATAAGTCTATTGATGAATCATTGTGTCATTTCAAATTTGGGGCTATATGAATAAATCTCCAATAAATATTCTACTTATTTATTTTTATTTTATTTCTTATTTCATTTTTATTTATTTAGGGGTTTTATTTATTTACTTTTATTTGTAAGGTTTTTATTTTTTATTTATTCATCATTTATTATTAATTTATTTCAAGGCAGGATCTCACTCTGTCACCCAGGCTGGAATACAGTGGTACAATCATAGCTCACTGCAGCCTCCTGAGCTCAAGCAATCCTCTCACCTCAGCCTCCCAAGTAGGGAGGACTACAGGCATTCACAACCACCAGGCTAATTTTTCAATTTTTTGTAAAGACAGGCTCCCAATATGTTGCCCAGGCTAGTCTTGAACTCCTGGTCTCAAGCCATCCTCCCACCTTGGCTTCCCAAAGTGCTGGAATTATAGGCATGAGCCACCATGCTTGGTCTGTGAACAAAGGTGTCTATTGTCTCTTGAATAACATTAATTAATACATAGGAGCACAATTGGTGTACCGTAGGTTATATGTACATTTTCTTTACCAATATTGTTGCTGTTATCCTTTTTAAATTTTGCTATTGTAGACAGTGTTATTTTAATTTACTTTTCCCTAGTGAATAATGATATTAAATACCTTTTCAGACTTTTTTTTGCCATTCATATACCTATAACAGGAGCTCTGCCTCCTCCTAAGTGTCTATTCAATTTTTTGTCTGTATACTATTAGGTTATTTATCTTATAATTACTTATTTGTAGAAATCAATATATACTTTAGACACGTGCTTGGTTCTGTATGTATATTGATAATATTTTGTCTGAAGCTCTGACTTTACTTTTCTTAATGGTGTCTTATAAACAGAAGTTTTTTATTTTGATGAAATCACAGTTCGCCTCTTTATTTCAGCTATGTTTTACAGTTTTTAATATAGAAATCTTAAACACGTTTTGTTAAATTTATTTTGATACTACGGTAAATATTTCTTAATTTTATTTTCTAATTGTTTTATGTCAGTATACAGAAATACAATTTTTTATATTAACTTTGTATTCTGTGACCTTGCTGAATCCACTAACTATTTTTCTTTTATTAATTGTGTAGGTTTTTCTTAGGACTTTAAAAATACTTATGTTGTCAGTAAATAAAGAGTATTTTATTTCTTCTTTTTAAATCTTTATGCCTTCTATTTCTCCTGACTTATTTTCCTGGTGAAGACCTCCAATTCAATGTTGAATTAGACATGGTGAGCATAGATAACCTTACTTGATTCTTTATCTGAGAGGGAACACACTCAGTATTTTACTTTCCAATATAATGTTAACTGTAAATTTTGTATAGATTTCTTTCATGATACTGATACTATTTTTCTGGTACTCTGACATTTTTCTTCCAGCATTTCTTATCATATAGGTTGTGTTGCTTTGAAATATTTGTACTTTCATTTATTTAAAATACATCTTTATCTACTTTAGTCATGTTTTCCTACAAAAGTATGGATTTTTATCTTTTTAAAGTATTATTGCTTTGTCATCTGATTTCCAATGTTTCAAATGAGAAATGAGCCATCATTTATATCATTGATTTACTACTCCATGTAATGTGTCTTTTTTCCTTTGGCTGCATTTAAGATTTTTCTTTGTGATTTTAAACTGCTTAAAGATGATGTAACTAGCTGTACATTTCGTAGTATAGTTCTCCTTAGGCTTCACTAAGCTTTTTAGAAAAGGGGTCTCCAACCCCCAGGCCCCAGACGGGTACTGGTTGGTGGCCTGTAGGAACCAGGCCGCACAGCAGGAGAGGAGGTAAGCAGTGGGTGAGGAAGCATTATGGCCTGAGCCCTGCCTCCTGTCAAACCAGCAGAGCCATTAGGTTCTCATAGGAGTGCGAACCCTATTTTTAACTGTGCATGCAAGGGATCTTCATTGCATGTTCCTTATGAGAATCTAATGGCTGATGGTCTGAGATGGAACAACAGGTTCATAGCGAAACCATCCCACCCTGCATCCATGGAAAAATTGTCTTCCTCAAAACCAATCCCTGATGCCACAAAGGTTAGGGGCTGCTGTTTTAGATCATTAGGTTGATGTTGATGTTTTTCACCAAATTTTCAGTTATTTTTTTCTACTTATTTATTTTCTCTTCTCTCCTTCTAGAACTTCTTAAAAGTTATTTTAAAACACTGAACAGAATCTCATTGGTCACTGGAGCTATGTTTTTCTCCAAAAAAAATTTTGATTCTCTTTTCTTCAGTTTAAATTGTTTCTATTGATTTGTTTTCAAGTATAATGGCCCAGAGTCCATATATATTGTGTTACTTTGCTAAGGCTGCCACAACAAAATGCCACAGACTGGTTAGCTTAAACCACAAAAATGTATTTCCTCATAGTACTAAAGACTACAAGACCAAACTCAAGGTGTCACAGGTCTGGTGGTGGTGTTTGTTTGTTTGTTTGTTTGTTTGTAGTCCTTTTCTTGGCATGCAGATGGTCACCCTCTTGCTGCCTCTTCACATGGCTGTCTCTCTGTGCATACACACCCCCTGGGGTCTTTCTGTGCATCCAAATGTCCTCTTTTTATAAAGACATTAGCTCAGTTGAATTATGTTTCACCCTAAAGGCTTTATGTTAACTTAATCTCATTTTAAATGGCCTTATCTCCAAATATAGTCACATTCTGAAGTACTGGGAGTTACAGCTTCAACATATGAATTTGGAGAGAACAAAGTTCAGCCCATAACAGAGAGAGAGAGACAGAGAGAGAGAGAGAGAGAGAGAGAGATTTTTCTATCCTTAAACATATTTATGCATTTCCAAATCCTTGTCTGCTAATTCAAATATCTGTATCATCTTGCAGTAGATTTCTATTAACCGCTATTGATCGTGACTTTACAACACTTTTTTAAAAAATTTAGTTGGACATTATGAATGATATGTTGCAGAGAGTTTGTATGTTTTCATTTTCTGGTCTGTTGAGGTTTGTTCTGGAAGACAACTAAATGTCTGGTGAATCCTCTTAGTCCCGTCAAAATTCATTTTGTGATTTCTTAGAGCGGATCTATTTCAGTTTGTTCTTAGTTCTAAGGCATGGTCCTATCTTAGGTATCTTTACTCCTAAGATGTGGCCTTTCTGGGACCCTAACCGAATGTTCAAGAAGTCAGCAAGTTCTCTCCACCCTGATTGGACAAGAATGTCCATGTTTACATGACTTGGCTTCTGGTGTGCCTGTTCAAGTCACCTCTGTAGCAGCTACTCTCTGCTAGGCCCTGCAGAGTCTCAGCCTACACATACAGAATGCAACACTCCCCCAGGTTTACAAGGAAAGCTCAGTGCCTCCACATAGCACCTTTATTTATAGTGTCTTTCCTAGAAAATTCGAACTGCCTCAGGAACCCCAGACTCCAATCACTGCCTCCTCAATTCACTGGCTGCTGCTCTCAGCTGAGGTTTCACCTTCTTGCATTACGCCGGCCCCTCAAAAAAAAAATGCCCCGACACAAAAAACCTGGGCAAATTGGGGTCTTCTTTTGTGTGTACACATTCTGTTGAAGATTATAATCCTCCACTGTCTGCTGTCTGATACCTAGAAAAGTTGCCTTATTTTTTTTTTTACAATTTCATTGGAATTATTTGTTTTGTTGTGTTATACTTCTTAGCTTTGAAGGTATAAGTCTAAAATTAATCTACCACAGGCAAAAGAGCAAATCACATTTATATATTTCTTAAATATTTCAGCTAAAATTACATATATCAACTGTAAAATATTATTTCAATTCACCCATTTAATTGCTTCATCTTTGCTGTGAGACTGAAAAGAATCTGATTGCTTGTTTACACCAGATGCAGCCTCCTAAGAATAAACATCACTAAATCTCCCTATAATTGAAACAGATTCTTATGAAAACTTTACAGCAAAAAAAGTAAATAAAATAAAGCATTAAGATTTTTTCTAGTTTGCTTAATTTTTTTATAAGAGTAATTTGCATGGCTATATTACACCATGCAAAACACGTTTTTCTCTGATATCATAAGTTAGGATATATATATTTATAAACTTACTGATAAGTAATTAGCTTTTAAAGCAGCCTGGCTATTTCATTAAATTGTTTCATAGAGGCATACAGTTTTTTAAAGTTTCCTTTAAATATTTAAGCATTTTATAAACTAGATAATTAAGACATTTCTGAAGTCAATAAAAACTACTTTAAGATTAAGAATACATCTTCATAATGACATTTGGGATCTCAGTTTTCAAATACTTGCATACCATCTTAACCATCTGATCATACTTATTGTAGTTTTTTTTCCTCCAATTCATAGTTATGTTGTTTTCTGCTGTAATGTAACACACTGAGGCTGTGTTTCATATAGATTAAGCTGCCTTTATCGCTAAAGAACTAAACGGTTTTTCTATAAGCACACTCATTTAGGAATAGAAAAAAAGCAACTATAGATCTATTATTATTCCAATTTTATGGTGGAGTAATCTGAGATTAAGGGAAAAAATAATCTGAAATAGGAGAAACTTTCTGGTATACTATCATATCAAATGCAATCTTTAACCCAAAGTATTAATAAATTTGTGCTGAATAAGTTAATAAGGCTTTTTAATAGTGCCTGAGCCAAGATTTATATGCAGGTTTGCCTGACTTCAAAATTCATACTTTTATTATCCTGCCTTGAACAAAAAAAGATGTTTTATCTAAATAATTTTAAAATACACCTTATGACATTCTTGTTTTTTCAAAGAGAAATTGTCCTTAAATTTTACTAGGTATCAGTCATGATTTTTCATGAAAAGTTAAACTTAGCTCCATTCACATCTCTATGAACATATACACTAAAGGTGAATGATCTAGGGAGAAGCTTGAATATGAATCTGTATTTATAATACAGGAAGGGTTGTTTTCAGTTTAATAAACTTTCCACCCACCCTTTCAACAAAGTATGATATTATTTATCCTAACACAGCATGAGCCTAAGAGTTGATTGTTCTGTCTTCTAGATTAAGCCACCTCCCCCACTAAGATTTTATATTCAGAAGAGCAAAAGCAAGTAAAGTTTGAAGCTGGTCCACTGATGATTTATCTGTTCTTTTAACTGTGCTGCTGTCATCATGCCTCATTAATCTAATTTTTATTTGGATAATCAAATAAAAACATTGGCAGATTCTCTTTCCTAACACATCAATCTAAAGATAGCAAGCTTTTTAAATTAAAACCAAAAACTATCAATGTAGGGAAGATATAGTATCATAAAGCTATACAATTTTATAGCTACAACAGATTACGCATATTTGTGAACTTATTTTTAATGTTATATATTTAACTTAGAAGTGATTTCCTTTCTTATAATGGATTTTTTTCTCGAGAGTGATTTTATGAGTTCTACAAATTAACAGATTACTTTCTTTTCCAAACTTGAGATGCCAAAATAGTTTACAGCTGATTGTTAAAATTCAATGTGAATTCAATAATAGGAATACCAATGCTTTTTATTAAAATTTTTATAAATCACATTATCTTCTGAAAATTTTTTTCTTGACCTTTAAAATATGGTAAATACACAGTTTAACTCTTGCCATAAGTAGTTTTGAAACTCTAAGAATACTTATAATTTCATATCAATGAAATATACAAGAAATAAAACTTATCTAGAAAAAAAGTAATAATGTTGTTTAGAACCAACCAAAATGTTTTCCAAAAGACCTAAATGTTTAGCTAAAAATGTATATTTTGAAATATTGACTTTGACATGTTTAATTCATTTTAAGTTCATTTCAAAAACAAAAAGACAACTTGTTTATATCATATAGCTTTAGTTTAATTCACCATGTACGTGACTATCAGTTATATTTATTATTGTCTATACACATGAAAAACCATAAACAAATGCTGTTCTTTAAGTTATTTGAAACATACTAAAATTTGAAGTCCCCTAAAGGACATTCAGCAAATTTTATGGCTAATATCTTTACATGGCACATGTGCATAATAAGAAACAGAGCTGTCATACTTACTTCAATGGACATTTATAATGAGATTTAAATTTTTTGCCGAGAAATTTCAGTTTCATAACTAATCAGTTGTGCTGAGACAATGAAAAATAAACATGGAACTTTATTCTGAATTATTCTGAGATATGATTTTACCATACAAATTACTTGACATCTGAAGGAACTAAATCTCTCTGCAGCATATTCACCTGGAACCTACAATGGGTCTATGGAGCAACTCTTGAAAAAAAAAATGATCTGGATGCTTTGATGTAGTGACATAACCACAAGGCGACGGGATTTCCATGGATTGTGTGAATATGTAACACTTCCCTTACTGTTAAGGTGAGTGTCTCCTACTACCTTAAGATGTTTCTTATTTACCATGCAGATCTCTGGGTGATAGCAACATTGTACTGACACTTTAAAATTACTTTAATATCCAACATATGGACCTTGATTAAAATATGAAGTTGAACCACCATAAAAGAAGCCTTTGAAGGAAACACAGTGGATTGAGAATTGGTTCCTCTTATACAGGGAGAGAGGTTGTGATGCTTCTCCCCTTCTATGATTTGGAGGTTACACCATGAACCCCCTGGACTCAAGTTTATCAAATTCCTTCATGTCAGTCTTCTTGAAAAAACATATATTGGTCAATTAGGCAGGTATTCTTAACTCCTTATTCCCATACTTTTATAGAGGAAGGTATTTGGGAACAAGAACACCAAATCCAATTTCTTCTCCATCCTGATCCTACTCCTACTCCCGCTCCTCTTTCTAAGGCACAGAAAACCTTGGAGGCAGCAATGCTGTCTCCTAGAGAGAGTTTGGAACTATGTAGAGACTTGGAATTTAGCTGGAAGAGCAAGTGCTATTTTCTAATGAGTCCCTCATAGTGAAAAATTTATTTTCTCAGGCCCCACACAGTCTTTGAATGGCCCACTAGACTAAACTCCCATAAATATAAATTGTTCATTCTTCAGTTGCTAATAATAATGAAGAGTTTTTACAAGAATGTACATGAAAATACCAGTAATTCAGTGAATGTTCAACTTGGAGAGCAAAGCATAAGTGGAGCCAAGACATTGTCTTGAAATGTACAACTCAAATACTACATGCAGATAGGAAATAAAATAGAAAGGGAAATATAAATATTGATTTGATAATTTTCATTTGGTTAATATTTTATTTGGTGTTATTGAAGACACATGGTAGTTGTTCAGGATGGTTCTCACTTACATTATTAGAGAGAGATGCCACCCAAAGTAGTTTAGAAAAGATGGCAACCTGAAGTGCTCGTGGTAGCGTTACTTAATACCCTCATTTGAAAAACTATAATAGTCTCTCATTTTCTCAACTTCTCTAGTAGACCATTTCTCTTGTCATGTACTTCTTCTTCAATTAAACTTGCACTCATATTCACACACAAATTAGTATCCTCTTTCATGTGCAACAGACCCAGTTTCTTATTTATCCAGACACTAATTTATATGCTCAAATCTCCCTGAATGTCTGCTCTTTCATTTTGATGTATTTCTTGAATGGAATGGGTTCTGACATCATGTCTCTTAAATTTGAATATCTTCATTACTGGTAGATGCAAACATCTGATATTTGTATTGTTTTATCCACCAGAGTAATACCCAAGTTTTATATATTCAAATATATAATATTTAATAATTTTTTATTCTTTTTATTTTTATGTATATGCCTCAGGTGATATTTTATAATCATATGTAGGTAGATTATATTTTTCAATGGTTTTCATTTCAGGGAAGCAAATATTTATAGTTAAAAAGTGGCTTCAATATGAAATTATTGCTCTAAAATTTCAAAAAAAAAGGAAAATAACCAGCAAGGGTAACCAGCAAGGGGCCCAGACCAGTCCCAAACATTGTATACCCTCTATTCCATTATCTCATAGACTAGGCACTGCAGTTCCTATTTTATCGATGTAAAATATAATATTCCAAGAGACTTGTTTGCCCAAGTTAGCACAGCTTAGAAAGTGGTGGAACTGAAATTCAAAGTCATTGCATTCCATAATACATTAAAGCCCCTGTGGTCATCTTTGCCAGACCCAGGATAAATATCCATGACTTCTCATCTTGTCCTGTCATTCTCAACCAGGGCAGTCCCAGCACTTCATTTTATGCTGTTTGTAACGTGTCCTTTTCCTATCCTGAGACAAAACTTGTATGCAATGTGTCCTACTTACCCTCACTGTCTTGAAAACATCAATACAAAATTAATCTTACAAAGTAATGTAGGCATACAACAGAAGTGATCATAGGTTTACACCACCAGGAATGCAACGGCCTTAAAGGTAGACTGATACAATTGCATTACCGTTAGTCGTATTATTTATCAAAACTGAAAATGATGCTTATTAAATTCCTGGGCCAAAAAAAGTGCTATTATTCATTGACTTCAATGACAAATATATTAATGGAAAAAAATCAATGTATATAAAAATGCAATAATTTTTTTTACTTTTATGTTAAGTGAGTTTAGTATCTAGGTTTTGATTTTTTCATCTACAGGAATGTCCAAAAGGTGGTCAGAAATTTTATAAAATGTAGTCAATTCTCCACTGTGTAGAATATCCATTACTGTAGAGTATCTTAGCCATCAAAATATCAGTGATATGTCTCAATATTGTAAAAATAAAAATTGCACTCTAAAATTTTTAAAAGGACTACTAGGGAAAATAGTATCACTTTTACTCCTATAGCTTTTTCATATAGATCACCAATATTGTTAAGGATGCTTTTAACTCTACTTCAATTAATTTTCCTTAAAAGGATAATTAATTGGATTTTAATTTGTACAGTTAATCTTTTAAGCCATTATTTTAAAAACAACTTTTTAAAAACTTCTATTTACTTTCCTAGTCAAAACTGCTGGTGTAGCCTAAGTTACATTTAGACTTCCCTGTGTGAGGTCAAAAGTTTCTACTTTCAACCAGAATGCTTCTTTGTGTATATTTCTATAACACTGCCTGTAAAATATTCTGTTTGTTGTTCTGTTTCCTGGAAGACCACCCTAATGTATGAATAAATATCCTGCAAAAATTCAGCTGACTCCTGGTTTCTGGTTGACCAACAGCTGTCACTTTGGTATAATCATTCAAAAGCCAAAAGAATGCAAATTTGTAAACAAAGAAAACACTGTTTCCCAGTCACTACACTTGATTCCCTATCTTTTCCATTTAGTAATAACACACAAAATTTAGATGAGTGATATACTACTTATAATTCAATATATTCATATTATTCATATATTCAATATATACATACATTTATACACATACATGTAAGTCTAGCTACGATATGATAAATGGTATCACAATGAAAAGAAAGTTCTTGTTTATCTCATTTGCTGCTGTAACCTCAGGGTTGAAAACACTGCCTAGCAAGTAGTTAGAGGTTAATAAATATTTATTGATGACTGAGGAGTTGGGAGTTTATGCTGTGGTCCGTGGATGATCATAGTTGGTTTTGTTGCAGAAAGATAATATCATCTCCTGGTTTTCAACTTCAGTCTCTATGTGATCTTTAGTCTCTGTCAGCCCTAAAATGCTATGATTCTAAATATGAGCCAGGTATCAGGTGGGACAAAGGATGCAGCAGGAATCATTTTTCCCTTATCTCCAGTCATAAAATCAAAGACTGCAGGATTAGACCAGCTCTTACAATTCATTTAGTCCAAATATGATCCTTTCTAAATCTTACCTAAGAAATTAGGCTGTCACTGGTTGAACATATTCAGTAACAGAGAATAAACACACTTCATCTCTGAACCACTGTGACTGTTATTAAAAATGGGATTACCATTAATTTAGCTCTATTTTAGATTATGTCTAATCACACTTCTATGCAAAAGCAATTCAAATATTTGAAGATAACAATTAGCCTCATTGCATTTTTTTCTTCTTGAAGCTAAATGGTCCATCATTTATTCTTTCAATCAATATTTGTTGTGACCCTTCTGTGTTTCAGGCACACTGCTGTGGTCTGGGGCTATAGGAGTGAAGAAAAGAGGCAAAGTCCCTATCCTTATAGAGTTCATATTCTACCGGAGAAAACTGTAACAGCAAGAACTAAGACTTGTTGAATATATAAATAATATCAGGTGCTGATAAAGGTCTTCTTATGTATGTGCGTACCTACACATGAACATACATATATGCAGACATGTGCACACATATACCAGGGTAAGTGAATAGAGAGTAATATGAATGCTATTTTACATAAGATGATTGAGGAAGAAATCTCTGAAAAACTGGCAATTTACTAACATGAGAGTAAGCAACACACATAGATTGGAGAGGAATATTTAGGCAGTGTGAATGGCAGGTGCAAAGGCCCTGTGGAAGGACACTGTCTTATTTAAGGAAGAGCAAAAGGAGCAAACTAAAGCAGAGTGAGCTGCAGGAAGAGTTAGGAAAAATGTAAAAGGGCTAGCCAAAATAGATATTATTTAGGGATATGTAGAACAGAGTGAGGAGTTTGAATTTTATTATATGTAAGATGAAAAGCTTTTAAAAGATTTCCTTCAAGCATTCCTAATATATAATTTAGAACACCCTCACACCCTGCATTTACCTCCTATGAACATGTTAAACTTTCTCTATATATTTATTAAATTATGGAGACCAGAAGTGAATGAAAATCATCCTAGATTTCTCTGATCAACATGTAGATGAGGACTATTTCTATCCTACCCTTGATAATCTATTCTACTAATAAAACCTAAACTTACAGTACATTTTCTGGTGGACCTATCAATTTGTTTCCTCTGAAACTTGTGCTTAAACAGCATTTTGAAGTCCTTTGCATACATAGTATCTTTCAAGGTCTATCAGGGCCATACTTTTTTAGTTTTTGACCAAGAACAGCACTTCATGTTTATCTCTAATACATCACCTTTCCTTGAAAAATCTGGATTCAAATCTCAGGTGTCATCTACAAGTTGCACAACCTTTACCAAGTTACTTGACTTTTAGCTTTTATTCATCTGTAAAATAGGGATTAATCATAGTATTTATATTGTAATTTTGTTGTTGAGGATTATATGAGCTAATACATATAAATCGCTTAGACATGCCTGGCAAATGTCAAGTAGAACATAAATATTTACCTGATAGAAAAGTTTATGTGTGTATTTATAGATAGGTAGTTAGGTAAGTAGGTAGATAGATAGATAGATAGATAGATAGATAGATAGATAGATCGATAGATATAGATAGATAGATAGATTAGAGGTAGATAGATAGATCCCTACCTAGGATATATTTAATATCCTTAATCAGGGATGCTGGGCCCCAGTGATATATACATACCTTATATATTCACACCACTGCTCAAGTTATTACTTTATCCCACAAAGTTCCTCTGTCACAAATTTTATCCAGTGTAAGCCTTACTTTGTGCACATTTTCTACCTTCTGCCTCCTCACAGTAATCCTTTCCTCTTCTGGCAAAGCATTCACAGTAATGCTTATTTGATAAAGGCACTGCCATTCATCATAAGCCATGTCTGTCTTTTATTAGAAATTCTTTCATCAAATATTTATTTAGCATCAACTAAATGTGTATCTGCAGGCTGTTTAGCATAGTGATTAAGAAAGTAGGTTCCAGTCCCATCTTCTTAACTCATTAGTTGTGTAAATGTGGGCCTCTCCAAACCTCAATTTCCTCATTGCAAACAGGAGATAATAAACAGTTTACCTTACAAGATGTAGAATGCTTTAAGTGATGAAATGTTTGTATACCATCTAGCATTTTCTGCACTGCATAGCAGTTGAATGGTAAAAGATAGCTACTACCAAAGTTACTGTTTTGATCTAACAGACTGAATTTCTTAAAAGCAGTTTTGTGTATCCTACTTTATATTCCTTAGAGCAAAGAGCATAGTGGCACAAAATATTAGTGTTGTGGGTTTTTTGTTTTTGTTTTGTTTTGTTTTGTTTTGCTTTTTTTTTTTTTTTACTTTAATAGAATAAGGAAAAGAAAAGCTATTTATCATTTTTTTTCTCTTAATTTTCTTCTCCCCATTCTAAGCAGCTAGACAGGTCTCTGTGCTATTTTTTCTTTCAGTGGATGATTGCGCTTTAAAACAGAAAACAGAGCTTACTTGTACACAACTTCCCTTCCTGGCTTCTTTCAGTCCTATGACAATGTCATGGAGTGAGGAATACGCTATGTATGTCACAGGAGAAGGGAGAGAAGCTAATGCTTTTAAGGGAGATAGGCAGGAGCAGTAGACAAAGCAAGACTAGAGCGGTTGTCCAGAGCCAGTTCTCCCATGGAGGCAGGTGGTAGTACCTCTGGAAGAAGTGTGGAAAGCTGGCTTCCACCCCAGGGAATATTACTAGAACATTTCTGGAGAGAGGAATAGGCAGTAGAACCACTGAACTGCAAAGGAATCTGTGGACTTGGAAAATAAAGTGAACTTCTGTTTTTCTTAACAAAACTTTATAGCATGATTTAGGCCATGTGCAAGTATAACTTCGGTAAAAATAAAAATCAACTTAAGAGGATTAAGTATTACAAAAGTACTTTTAAATTTTAAACACTTGTCATGGCCACAGTGTTAATACTCTGATTAGATGTCATAGAAAGCACCTGATAATAAAAAAAATCTACATTCCCTCTAGTAAATCACAGAAAAGATTCCTTAAAAGGTATGAAAAGCATCCTTTTAAGTATGGGCCATGTCAGATGTTGGGAAGTTTATTTTATTGCAAAGGTATCTTGAGTGAATGACTCTGCAAGAAAGTTGAAGATCCTTCTCATTTTTCAGTAAATTTAGAAGGAAATTGTATTAGCCCAAATTTTCATGCCTCCTATTCTATCCCCCCAAAGTATTGTTTTTATATGCCAAGCACTTATTAGTAAAATGAATTTATTTCTGTTAGTATATCTATCTACTCTCATGATATTAAAATCTATCCAATTCAGGAAGCATGCTATATACAATTTGTTCTATTATAGCAATATATAAAATATTAAAATATTTAGTAGGGCTTTAAAATGTACATTAAAATTTGGTAGGAAAATTACTAAACTTGCTGTTCCACTAGTTCTTAGCTGATTTTTATTTTAAGATGAGTTTTTTTTGTATATTTTTGTGACGATCCAAGAAAGATTCAGTTAAGACTTTCAGATTGATAGTAAATCTATATGCAAATAGAAAGACAATATTTCATCTCTCTTTTCTCATTCAGAAAATTGTGTCACAACTTATTTATACAAGTTTTTATTTATATAAAATTTAGTCATGAAAATCTTACATGTTCTTGTTAAGAATTCCAATTAAACTTTTCACACTATTATTTTGGTGTTTTTTTCTACTTCTACTGTCATTGGTATGTAATATTTTCATCATAGTCTCTGAGTGCTCTTTACATAGAAGAAATCCATTGTGTTTTTATTTTTAGTCTTATTTCTGCTCTCTTAGTCATACCAATTAATTTTAGTATGTTTTCAGTTGATTCCTAAAGAAAGCAATATTATCAACTGTATACAGTTAAAACTTGTAGCATTTCAAACTTCCAGACCTCTGTTAATTATTGATAGTGATAACCAGTACACTAGTTTGGTTTGCTGTCATTCTTCTGTTGTTTATTTTGCCTTAATTTGGAATTTCATTAGACATAATTTTATTATTAAAATATTTGTTGCTGGCCAGGCGCGGAGGCTCACGCCTGTAATTGCAGCACTTTGGGAGGCCGAGGTGGGTGGATCACGAGGTCAGGAGATCGAGACCATCCTGGCTAACGCGGTGAAGCCCCATCTCTACTAAAAATACAAAAATTAGCTGGGCATGGTGGTGCCCGCCTGTAGTCCCAGCTACTCAGGAGACTGAGGCAGGAGAATCACTTGAAACTGGGAAGCGGAGATTGCAGTGAGCCGAGATCGCACCACTGCAACTCCAGCCTGGGTTACAGAGGAAGACTACATCTCAAATACATAAATAAAATAAAATAAAATAAAATAAAATAAAATAAAATAAAATAAAATAAAATAAAATAAAATAAAATAAAATAAAATAAGATAAAATACAATAAAATAAAATTTGTTGCTAATTTGTGATAGATATTATTTATCATATGAGTAAATTATCTTTCTATTCCTAGCTCTCTCTCTGTCTCTCTCCCCCTCCCCCTCCCCCGCTTTCTCTCTCTCTCTCTCTCTCTGACTCTCTTTCCTTAATAGGAAACAGAATCAAGTTTTATTGCATGCCATTAATCTCCTATTAACATCATTGCTGTACCAAGGTTAGGTGGTTAGAGCAAGCCCCTCTGGGTTCAGGAAAGAAAAAGATTCACTTTCTGTAGAGGATTTAAAAACAGTAATACAACCAACTATTAGTCATTCTGCTTTTTATTATCCCCATGCCTCCAGCAATTCTAAACAGTGTCAATGACAAAATATTCCTCCCAGAAAAAATTTGTGTTGAGCAAAGTTTTAAAAATTGCTGTTGCAACTGCTGTATTTTCATAATATGTATGTAAGTTTCCAATTAGCACATTTTTATTATTTATCCTTTAATAAACATTGTATTCCATGGAAGCTAATGTAGAGAACTGCTGGTTATACAGTCAAACCCGATACACATGGGGTGAGTAAGAACTGAAGTACGGTTATATTTTTTCTTTACGATCACTGTGCTATCATTGTTTATATCAAATCTACTGTTTGCTTGCAGGAATATGTAGTACCTCATGACTTAGAGACACAAATACTACCCTAAGTAAGCTCAACCAATTTCAAAACCATTATATACTTCAGAATTTTTTACCAAATATAATATTGTTTTATTTTATTTTTTGTAAGGATATTTTAGCAAACATTTTCAAATGTGAAAACTCTGGAAAACCACAACAAATCCAAAGAAACAATGACAGACTGCATTATAATTTCTGAAATTGATGGAGAAAAAGGTTTCTATGAATTTCTAACCAATTTCTTTGTGTTTAAGACATTTTCTACTTTTATATATGTTGTGTGCATGAAAAAACTTTCAAAAATAAGATTTATATAAATTATGATTTTATCAAGTAGGAGTGAAGACAGATTAGCAGATCTGGACATCCTGATACTAAACAAAATATATAAAGATCATTTTGATAAAGTCATTGACAAATTTGCAGAAACCTTGGAAATGAAAACTATTTCTTATATAATTGACCAAGATGTTGATATTGATCAATATTTTTTCATTTCAATAAAATTAATGCAATTTAAGAGGGTTAATCTAATGTCTCTTTTTTATACTGTATTTTTTTCTTATTTTATTGGCATTCATACACATATATGTATATGTGTGTATATATGCATATATATTTATCATTCAATAAAGATAATTTTCACTGTATTTTCTTTTTAGCCTTATTTTACTAGACTCATTTCACAATTATTGTTGAAGATAATTTTGTCACATAGAGGAGCAAGGTATTGAAATGATTGGCTCTAAATGTCAAATATTTTAGGTATGCCATAAATTCAGATTAGTTTCCTAATTTTACCTCATATGCTTCATTGAATTGATAGATTCCCTAAAATTAAATCATCCTTTCATTTCTAGAATTAAAATCAATTGATAAAGACAAATGACTCTTTTAAAAATACTCAATTTCAATTTGCAAGTATTTTAATTAAGATTTTTCCACAGTATTTTTGATTTTGATTTGCAAATAATTTTAAGTAAGATTTCTATGCAAAAGACTCTCTTTTTTATATTTTTGTATGCATGTTATGCTAATTTATTAAAAAATACTATGCAGTTTTTCATATTTTTAAAATAGTCTGGACCAATTTATGTAGCATTTGATGTGTTTCTTTTTTTCTCTCCCCCCTAAAATGACAAATTTCCTCTTCTCCTTTAGAAAACAGAAAAAAGCTTTTGATCATATTTTCAGCAACTACCAATATTGTTTACCTATTTATGTTTCTCATTCCTGGGACATCTCGATAAGATTTTTAATGAGGTGCGTGGGGCATGCTGGCTCATACCTGTAATTTCAACACTTCCTTTTTAAATTTTTATTTATTTGTTTTTATTTTTATTCAATTAGTTATTTTTATTTATTTATTTTGGGGGAGAGTGTGGAAGGTCGAGGTGGAAGCATCACTTGAGCCCAGATGGTCAAAGCTGCAGTGAGTTAGGATGGTGCCACTGCATTCCAGCCTAGGTGACAGAGCAAGATCCTCTCTCAAAAGAAAAAAAAGGGGGGGGATTTTTAATATATTAGATATTAGCATAGAGTTAATGTAGTAATCATTAAAGTGCTAGTGAATATTTATACTATGTTATTTCTCTTTTTATTTGTTTGGGATTTTTCTATTTTTATTAAGTTTACCAGAAGTTTGTTGATTACTTGGTCTTGCAAATTAACAACCCTTAGACGAATTAATCCTATTGTTTTTGTTTTCTAACTCAGCACATTTTGCTTTCACTCCTGCATGTAGTCCTTTTAGGATTTCATGGAGTATGTTTAATCAGATGCTTAATTTATTAATATACATTTATTCTGATATTTTTCTTTTGGTACCAAACTTCCAAACACATTAATTTATCATACAGTTCTTTGGCTGCTACTTTTCTGTTTTGATAAATTTTTAAGTATTTTTTAAATGTTATTCCTTAAACATGTAATTTCCTCTCTTAATATAGCTGTTTATTTTAAATAGCTCTTTTATATATTTTATGAATACTTGATTGTAAACACGGCATAATCTGCCTCTGTAATTTGCTTTTACCAGTGAAATCTACCATTAGCTCTATGGCTTTTGACAAATGCAGAATCGGTGATCACCACCACAGTCAAGATACAGAATAGTTCCATTACCTGTTCATGGCTCTTTTGTAGTCAGTCTTTCACCCCACCTTTAATCCCTGGAAAATACTAATCTGTTCCTATATCTACAATTTTGCTTATTCTAGAATTTCATACAAATGAAATTAGACAATATATAGCCCTTTGGGTCTGGTATTTTTCACTTAGCTAGATGTATTTTAGGTTTATGTTTTAGCATTATCAATTGTTCTCCCCTTTTAATGTTGCCAAGAAGTCTAATTCAATGGGTGTGTCACTGCTTATTCAGTCACTGAAGGATGTTTAAGTTGTTTCCAGTTTTGGAGAATTGTGAATACAATCACTATAAACATTCATGTACAGGCTTTTGTGTGAACCCAAGTTTCCATTTCTCTAGGTAAATACCTGGAACTGAGATTTGTGTCATAATGGCAAGCATAAGTTTAATGTTATCAAAAAATTGTAAGATATTTTCTACGTGGTTGTATTATTTTGCATACCTACCAGCAATTTATACGTGTTTTAGTTGGTCTGCATCATTGACGCACTTGGTTTTCTGAGTTCAGGGTTTTTTATTTCTTTTTCTATTTTAGCCATTTTTATGATGTGTAGTGGTATCTCATTTTAGTTTTAATTAGCAATTCTCTAATAATTGATAGTGTTGAACATTTTCTTACATGTTTATTAATTATCTATACTTTTTATATTTTTACACTTACATACCACCCGATTAGTGATTGATTTAACTGTTCCATGGAATCTCAAAAATCATGATTTCATACATATCA
Source organism: Homo sapiens (assembly GCF_000001405.40). Classification (NCBI taxonomy): domain Eukaryota; kingdom Metazoa; phylum Chordata; class Mammalia; order Primates; family Hominidae; genus Homo; species Homo sapiens. The sequence continues at coordinate 55,856,774 of NC_000006.12, forward strand.
ATATATTTCAAAGCACAATCTTCATTATGTACCATTTAATTTAATATTATTAATTGTATTATTTAAGTACAAAATTATTTTACATTTGTATGTGTGTGTGTAGGCTATTATGCAGTATTAATTTTATGGAAAGATTTCACACTACAGTTTTGCTTCTACCAATTTTTACTTACATTTCTAATCATCTTTACCTTAAACATTTTAATTTATTACTTTCCATATACAGAGTTGACACTGCCGAAGCTTTGTAAAGTTTTATGTGGTTCATGATCATAGTGACTTGTTTTGTTCAATGTCATTCAATTTTTTGAATCCTAGACTTACTAATATAAAATTTTGAACACTGTTTTCTTCTGCTCATGCAGTCCTGATATACCTTATTATTTGATTTAGAGTTTATCGATCACTCAACTGCTTCTTCAGTGGCATTATTTTTGCAGCTAACACAATATGTTACTTGAATTTACATTAGTAATTGTTGCTTAAATGACATTTTAAAAACTATGCTATGATACAGTATTGAGACTCAAAAAGTTATTATGTATGATTATAAAATGTTTAAAGCTAAGAAAGGTTGATAAGATGATAAATATGTATAATGAAAACCTTACATTTAGAGACCAGGTTTAGCCAAAACAAAAATGCAGCCATACTTTCGCACTCTTTCATATCCCTTAGAAGTAACTATCAATCTAGAAGATACTAAAGAGATCAAGGTGCCAAAAGTGGGTTATGAATATCCTATATCATTGTGATCATTTAAATAATTGCCGATGGCAAAAAGTTCCAAAACATCTTGAGATTCCATGAAAAGAAATGCTTTGACTCAAAAATCAAACTTGATACTAAACTATAAAGTATATAATTTGTGGGTAAATGCATGCAATTACTACTCAATTGAAAAATAATGTATACATTTATTTAGTAATCCTTCTCTGCAATCCCAAAATGACAGCTTTATTTATTTATTTTTGGTTTTTTTGAGACAGAGTTTCACTTTTCTTGTCCAGGCTGGAGTACAATGGTGAGATCTCGGCTCACTGCAACCTCCACCTCCCAGGCTCAAGCGATTCTCCTGCCTCAGCCTCCCAAGAGCTGGGATTACAGGCATGCGCCACCAGGCCTGGCTAATTTTTGTATTTTCAGTAGAGACAGGGTTTCACCATGCTGGCCAGGCTGGTTTTGAATGCCTGACCTCAGGTGATCCACCCACCTCGGCCTCCCAAAGTGCTGGGATGACAGGCATGCACCACCACACTTGGCCAACACCTTTTAAACAGTGTTATAAATGAGGTATTACATCTCTGCCATCCAAATTATTCTTTGCTCATATATACTTGAGCGTTTTATAATTAAGTTATAGAAGGTTATTTGAACATCAAGTTATTTAGACCAAATCTATTTGCTCACCTCATTTAATTCTAAAACTCTAACTCCTTGAATATTATAAACACCTCATTCTTCTCAATTTTTTTTCAGCAATTACCTATAGGATGACTTTGAGCAATTATTTTCAAAATAGAATGTTGACGGTATGTTTTTAAAATTCTTAAATATCTGGAAATGTCTTCACATGACTGCTATTTACAAATAATGAGTTGAGTTGGCTGAAAAGAGATCAAAGCAAACAACAGAAAAAAAAGTAAATAATTATTAACACCTAGTCACAGGAGGAATTTCTAAGCATAAGCTGCAAACTTAAAACTCCCCAAAGAGAAAATATAAAAGATTAATAAATCTCAGAAGAAACACAAATAAAAGAGTATGTTTTAGATTATCAAGAATGGAAATACATAATATTAATTCAGGTTTCATTCTGGTAAAATAATACTAACGTTTACACTCATACAAACAGAAATTGAAACAAATTTACTGAAAAGCAATTTAGTGTATTTTTCAGGAGGCTTAAACGTGTATTTATTGCAGCACTATTTACAATAGCAAAGACTTGGGTCCAACCCAAATGCCCATCATTGATAGACTGGATAAAGAAAATGTGGCACATATACACAATGGAATACTATGCAGCCATAAAAAAGAATGAGTTCACGTCCTTTGCAGGGACATGGATGAAGCTGGAAACTAACACAGGAATAGAAAACCAAACACTGCATGTTTTCACTCATAAGTGGGAATTGAACAATGAGAACATATGGACACAAGGAGGGGAACATCACACACTGGGGCCTGTCGGCGAGTAGGGGGCAAAGGGAGGGAGAGCATTAGGATAAATGCATGCGGGGCTTAAAACCTAGATGATAAGTTGATAGGTGCAGCAAACCACCATGGCACATGTATATCTAGGTAACAAACCTGCACGTTCTGCACATGACGTGTATCCCACAACTTAAAGTAAAATTTTAAAAAAAAAGTTTAAAAAGGTATAGGATAGCAAGTGATTTAGCAGTGATATTGAAACACTGGTTAGTTTCAATTATCAGTGTTCCTGGGTTCATTTTCCTCAGGAACTCCTCAATGTAATTCTGTGTAAATGCATTAAAAAAGGTCACACCTTTTGCTCTAATAATTCGTTTTCTAAGAACAGACTCTAAAAAACTGGTCAGGAATGTTTAAGAACATATGAGTAAAAATAGCTATTGCAACACAGCACACAATAGTAAAAACTAAAAAAATTGCATGCCCAATAATAAAATACTGTTTATGCAAATATGACAATGAATTGTCTAGCTGATATTATTCAGTCATCAAAAATATATTCATAAGGAGAAAATGAACAAATGAGAAAACTCAAAAACTTAAAAATCAAGAATTAAGTAAGGGTACAACCTTACATAAACAGTTCAACTATACAAAAAGGTGTATTTTTAAAGTATAAGAGGAAATGTACAAAAACATCAACAATAATTGGCTCTAGATAATGGAATTGTAACTTTTTTCCTGCTCCTTTTTAATTTGACATAAAAGTGACTACAATGTCAACAAATTAAAGTATCATAACGTTCTGTTTGCTGTATTTCCAGAATGGCTTTTATAAACAGTCCTTCTCCATAAAGGAAAGTTTCTTCCAAATACCAATGATCAATCATGTTAAACACTGTAACTTATATCCTCCTTGCAGAGATTCATAATGCTCATTAGCATAATAAACACACTGAGGAATCCTGTCCTGAAAACATAAGAACCTATTGAATTAGTTTCTTTGCATAGTTCAAATTTATTTGGCCACAAAATTTCAGACAACACCTCTGAAAAGGACAGAGAAATGTTTTGGTGGCTCATGCCTATAATCCCAGCACTTTGGGAAGCTAAGACAGGCAAATCTCACAAGCACAGGATTTGAGACCAGCCTGGGCAATATAGGGAGACTTCATCTCCAAAACAATTTTAAAAATTAGCCATGTGCAGTGGCATGGGCCTGTAGTCCCAGGTGCTTGGGAGCCTGAGGTGGGAGGACTGCTTGAGCCCAGGAGGTGAGGCTGCAGTGAGCCGAGATCACACCACTGACCTCCAGCCTGGGTAACAGAGCAAGATCCTGTCTCAAAAAATTTTTTTAAAAAGTAATGTTTTCAACGAAATTCATTTCAGGAAACCCTGACAAAGAACTCTGATTAAAAAGAGTAAATGATTGAAAGTGGCCAAGAGATTTGAATATAATTATAGTTAAGCACATGTTTTATCATATGTCAATGAAATTAGTCTAATAAAAATTAAATGTTTGACTTATTCATAAGTTCATCTGACTTCCTAAGCATGTCTCAGACTAAATAATTAGAAATCAGATATTAAGATCCTTCACACTTCTAGCATTACAATTGGGCTATTGGTAGATTGGGTACGAGTGGCTAAAGGTAAAGAGAGAGAGAGAGAGAAACAAAATAGAATTTTTAAGAAGCAGCAGGTGATGTCTTAAATGCTCATTTTTACTCTTAGCTACTTCTTGCCTTGCTTTTCAAAGCAGAGATTAGTTTTCAGTGTTTTAGCTAAACGTCAGTATGTTAACAACTGTACCTACTTTTCATAATTCATTGTTTGGTTCCCTCTGTTTGGTATTGGGAGCTGAGGATAGCCGGGTCTGAACTGTCCTCATGTACTTCTGCATTTTGCTTTGAGAAATTTTGTAGCTCCAGAAATATTTTCTTTTGGAAAACAAATATATCCCAAGTCCTTACCCTTTAATTCATAAAATACATAAGGAGCAGAAATAATATATTCAGCTTTTGTGTGATACAGGGGCAATGAGTGAGCTATGGAAAGAAACTCACTTTACACATGCAAGAGATTAGGGCTGTAACTGCTACAAATCAAAGGATGTGTACTAAATATGGGATGTTATTAAATATTATCTAGAACACAGAGGAGTTTCAGTCATGACTAGCAAGATGAAGCAGAAGTTATCTGTCAGTTTCTAGCTGCAGCAAGCAGTAGGAGATTCCTAACTTGTCAGCTGTAGATGTTCCTGCAGCCCAAACTTCCACTTTAGTAGGTTTCTACTAATTTGCTGGCCAATCCCCAGTGGGGTCAGAGAAGCTGAGGCAAGGCACTCATACTTAGCAGCATGGCAGCCCTGCTTATATGGCCTTCTAGACCGGCCAGCAGGTTGGAAATCACCCAGCATACAATTAAACTCACTAATACTTTATTCCAATCTCCAACCCTTCTTTTAAGGCCTATTACTATTTGCAACTTTGATATTTTACCTCTTTTCTATTTTGCCAAATGTTAATCTTGTTTATGCCAAATCTGTCTTTTAAAAGTGGGAATCAATAACACAGATCAATCTTTCCACTCCTCATTACTGACCAATTAGATTGTATGTCACAAATGTCAGTATCTTTGGTGTCTGCACAGTGCTTCTTTTCCTCTGTTTCATGAGTATTTGCCTCCTTTGGAAGGCCAGCAACACAACTCATCTATCAAAAGCCCGTAACAGTTGAACTCCAGGGAGTAGACTCTTGGTAAACTCATTATTACAGACTTTCTTCTAAAATATTTTTATTTCATTTTATGCCATTTTATGTCCCTTACTGATGAAGTGAAAATAGTGCAAATTCAATATATAATATGTTGGAAAGTATATAGAACTTTACAAAGAATTCAACACAGCAGCCTTCTCAATAGCATTGACAAAGGCAGCACAGCATATCAGTGAATAGCTTGAGCTCTGAATCCAGTTCTTCCTATTACAGGAAGTAGGACTTCGGACAAAGGACTTCAGGGTCTCAATTTCTTCATCTATAAAACTGAGTGACTTTATGAAAAATTAAAATGTTAGCACTTGAAATGCTATTTGCATGCTCTCTTGCACATCATAAGCACTACGCTAGCTGTAGCAAACAGAATATCCACTAGAGAAGAAATCATTAAGGTCTTAACTTCTTCCACTTCTATTATTTCACTTTTATGATAGAATGCTTTGTTGATGTGAATTGATAGGTGAACGCTAACAACTATGATGGTGTACCAGTACACTTATATCCATATTTTGATGCAATTTTTACTTCACAATCACAGTAAACTACCAGGAAAGAGTAAGGAAGTCATAGAATATTGGTCGATTTTTCTCGACAATCAACTTAAAGTAATCATTGCCCAATCCCCAATACCGTAAGTAGATTCAAGGAAATGTATGAAAGTGGTCCTTATACCAATTCTCAGAATCCCCTTTTATTTCAATTTATAATTGTATCTCCATTGACTATTATATCCTGAAACTACATTATGTTCAATGTATACAGTAGCAAAGTAAACATTGTATACAGTCTTGTTAGCAGTAAAATATGGGTGAAAATCTTTATCCATCACAATTGAAGAAGTAAGATAGGGCCAGAGGTAAGATTTAGACAGCTCCAACAACTTAATTTTGAAAAATTGAATGCTCTTGTATCCTTATTTCCTGAATACAACACAAACAATGAATGTTTGAGACACACTTATATTTTGGAATGTACAATTAGCATCCAGTGTAAAATATAAAACCTTCTTTTCGGATATTTCCTTGAAAGTCACTGGAGCCTCCATACTAATAATTTCCCAGAGCTACACAAGCAGGCTTCTAACAGACTCTCCAAGCTTTGCTGCGACTTGGTTTTACCTTTGCTCCAGTCTTTTTGGACTAAAAGGCTTCCATAGGTTCTGTCAACTGGTAACAGACTTTTAAAAAAAATTCTTTAAAGGGATTTTTGTTGGTGTTTTTAATTTTACTTGGTGCTAGATTTTGGGTGTGATTTATTTAAAGTATGTGACATTGAGCAAAGAAAAAAAATCCTGGCACAAGAATGAAGGATTCTGGGCCTGGACCTGGCTCCTTTGCCCTGTGATTTTGGCAGTAAAACAGGCACAGTCTTTCGCACAGTGTCTGGCCCAATAGTAGGTAATCAGCTTATATTTGTTAAATGACTGAATGAATGACCTTTCAGAACTCCAGTTTCCATAGATGTGTGTTGTGGGATCATATCTACTTCCTTGAGGGCTATATACTGCGGTAATTTAGATCAAACCACATAACGTATATAAAGATGCTTTTAAAAAATATAAGCCATTATTATTGTTGTTGTTAAAAGTTGTATACTTTTTAACTTCTTCAAAATTTTGTTACAAAGCAAAGAATAATGGTGAAGAATATAAAAACTGTCGCCAGAGCATGGCTCCAGTAATGATTCTGCCATTCACTAGCTGGGTGACTTTTATAAGTTATTTACCCTCAGAACACCCTCAATTTTTACATCAATACATTGGCAGAAATATATTTACCTATGGAATTAAGATGTGGATAAATTGAAATAACGCATAAAAATCACAGAGTCCAGTCTCTGCCATGGGAACTACATTTATTGTTGTTATTATTCCTTTAATTATCACTGCTACAACCATACTAAGACCTGAAAATTTTATATACGATAAGCAGCCACATAATGACAATGTTTAGGTCAACATGGATTGTATATATAACACTGGTCTCATAAGATTATAATGGAGCTCAAAAATTCCTATCATCTAGTGACATCATAGCCATCATAATGTAGCACAACCAATTACGTGTTTTCAGATATGTTTCAATAAACAAATACTTACCATGGTGTTACAATTTCCTACAGTTTTCAGTGCAGTAACATGCTATAGAGGTGTGTAGCTTAGGAGCAATAGGCTTTACCATCTAGCTGAGGTGTTTAGTAGGATATGCCATCTAGGTTTGTGTAAGTACACTCTATAATATTGGTACAGTGATGAAATCACCTAAAGAAACGTTTCTCAGAAGGTACACCCCCATTTTTAAAGATGCATAACCGTGAATGCATCACACATATAAAAAAAAAGCTCACTTAATTCTGATAAATAAAATTATTCCTCAATGTAAATTACTGAAGAATGATAACTTTTAATGTAAAGTGTAAAGAGAAAAACCTTAAATGGTGGTTCGAATATATCAATAAATATGTAGCTGGAATCTGTACTTATTTTAATAACTACCCATCACAATTAAAAATCTAGCAGTAATTATCACTACGATTTGAGTATGTCCTCTCCTAAGCTCATGTTGAAAGTTGATTCCCAATATGGCAGCGTTTGGAATTGGAACCTTGTGAAAGGTGCTTGGATTATGAAGGCACTGCCGTTATGAATAGATAAATGTCATCTTGTGGGAGGGAGGGAGTTATTGGTCGCCTGGGAATGGATTAGTTCCCTTGAGAGCAGGCTGTAATAAGTCCAGTCTCTCTTGTGTGTCTCTGCACATACTCACGTTCCCTTCTACTTTCCACCAAGAGTTAAAACAGCATGAGACACTCATCGAATGGGCTGCCTGATCTTAGATTTCTCAGCCTCCTGAATCATGAGCCAAACAAACTTTTCCTTATAAATTACTCAGTCTCAGGTATTGTGTTACATCAACACAAACAGACTGAGACATCATATTAATGACTTATCTTCCAGCATTTTATCAAATAATGAGAAAACAATAAATCTATGTTTTCCCACTCAATATATAATGAAATATCAAAAATCAATGTGATGATTTTACAATGTGCATCCTGTAATAGAAGATGTCCACAGTTTATGTATGGCCTTTTGTGTGGCTTTGGAGACCAAACAAATACATTTTCATCCTGTTTAAAAAATTATAAGTTATTATAACAACTCAAGATAATTAACAAAAATATTTAATAGCCGCATCTGAAAAAAAAAACCCAAACAAATCGTCGAGGAAAGTCACAATACTTAAGGCTGAATGGTATTAAGTAGAAACAAAATTATAATAATGATTTAAGTAGTAATGAGAATAGCTGCAAATTATAAATCATAAATTCAGACATGATTTGAGTTACAGACAATACTGAAAGCTCCAGGATTGAAAGATTATTTGAACAGAGTGACTTTCCTGCTTAGAGTTTAAAAGTTTATACACCTAAATTTTCATCATGAATCAACTTCTTAAAAATTAAAACCCTCAAAGTGAGTTGACTTATGAAAATAAGCATTAAAAACTTTTCATTTTTTTTTTACATTCTTTCAAAGGGTTCTTTATAGACTGTCCATGTCTTTACAATCAAATATCTTCTAATTGTATATTACTACCTTGGCTTCTAATTAGTTTCCCCTCCTTAACAAGCAAGGAAATGGAACAGGTAATATCTAAAATTAAAGTAAAACCATGGAATAGTTCTAGGACTCTGACCAAAGGTAGTATGAAAAGCACCTTTCAGCAGCTAATCACAGAAAATGTTGCTTTTGGGTCCTCAGAGGAAAGCACCACAGTCCGTCTCATGAAGGCTCTGACATAGACTGACCTTTTCCAAAGCACTCTAGTGGGGGAACAGAGTCCATCAGCTGTCCAGCTTGAAGAAAGAGTCAATGAAATTCAAGGTTTTTCTTTTAGACAGAGGAAAAATTATGTGCATAATGTTTCAGAATTTCAGCAAGGCATTTATTTGACAAAGTCTTGTAGGCTGAATGTAGATTTCCTCTAACATTAGATCTCCATAGTATATTCTAGTAGAAATAGTTGTAATAGCAGTTGAGACCATTAATTTAGTATTTGTCTCATGTAGGCTCAAAAGTCTAGGACCTTACATTATACAGTCTTAACTCCAATTCTGTATTATGAGCTCCACTTAGATGAGGAAATAGTTTCAACGAAGTGAAATGGTTTGCTCAAGGATACGCAGCTGGAATTCAAACCAGTCTGGCTCCAAAACCCTAACACTGAAACCCTACTAAAACAGTTAAGGGAGAACCAAATGACCCTTCTTCACCCAGAGCAAAGAATACATCTACAAAAATTTTGACATAAAGCATATTTAATTAATAACCTTCATTGCTTCCCCACTAGATAAATAAGTCTTTTGTGTGTCTGCATCAAGGTTATTTGCAGAAGAGCCTACACAGTTTCTGAGTTGCACCCTCTCTTCCTCTTTTAATAATTATATAAGTGAAATTTCCAACTGTAGCAAATTTGATGGAAAACACAAACTGTACTGGAAAGGAGTTGTTCTATTCAGTGTTTCTCTGTGATTGAAGGGCAGGGAGTGGCTCTGGCCTCAAGGTTTAGTGCTTGATTATTTATGAGAACTAAATAGCTGACATACCTGCTCCACTACTAAATTCTGCCTCTCTGAGTCACAGATGGTCTGCCAGAGGAGAATAAAGGTAGCAAAGAAGAAAGACAATAATCCCTATCTACCTCATTCTAACATTATTTATGCCTGCAACATTAACTATGGAATGCGAATGCTGCATGTGAGAATATCATATGATTCCACTCAGAATTCAAAAAAGCTTTAACACACAGTCGTGGATCATCTCAGGAGGTATGGCATACAATTGACAATAAACAGGGATTTGAAAAATATATTGCTCTTCATTTTGCTCTACATACTTGCATATATTCTTCTCGTTCCCATACTGAATTTTTTCATTGGCAATTGCAGTCCGCAGTTCATATTGTGATCTGAAAGTGCTGCTTTTTCTTGTTTTAGGGGCTTCTGTTTTCTGGGTAATTTTTGTTTCTTAATTTCAATTTTCTCTAAAATGGTTTTAATATATCACCTGAAATTATTGACCCATGTACAATTTAAGGATTTTTTCTTTCAGCATGCCATGCTTATATTTACCACTTTATTTCACCAACTCCTGAAGTAATTATCTCTCACACTAAATTATTATTCTCTCTTGAATTTTACTATAAATTAACTAAATAATACAAAGATTAACATATATATCAGTAACTTGCACTGAAATTGAAGTAATTCTAGAACACTTGCTGACTAAACAACCAATGTTTATTTATCTACTTGTGCCAAATATCTTCCATTTGTACCTCAAGATCCACTCTCCACATTTCCCTATTCTGCTATTCTCACCAAAAGACTAACTTTTAGGAACTGCACCAATGGGTTCTGTGGCTCTCTGGCTTTCAGTGAGGGTGAACCAATGGAAGACCAAAGCATATGGTCTGGGTATTTATCCCTTGGTATCTGTATCCCCCCCGCTGAGTATCTAAGGATTAGATGCATGGCATCTTTCTCCCAATGCCACAGTTTCTGTCAGGGCACCTTCCCCACATATCTCTCCTCTGAGCTTTCTGGTAACTATGCCCCCTGCCCAGGAGTAGTGAAGGCTACCCTGCCATCCCAAGATACTATATGATCCCTTGTTTTGCTGCAACAAAACAAAACAAAACCTCTGCCCACAACACTATAAACATTATAACATCATTTAAACTCTCCTAAATAATTCAGTTTGCACATTCTGTCTCTTTTCTTCTGGAAATGCTGATACATCTCAGTGGGTGGGGCAGGCGGGAAGGGATGAATGGGACATGGTTTCTGTTGCCACAACATGTAATCAAACATGTAGGACTAGCATCACGGGCAAGTGACCTGCGCAGTTGCACAGGGTCCCGGGCTTAGAAGGGCCCTGCTCTTGGTGTAATACTCTGCTGCCACCATCTTGAAATTCTTAATAATTTTTGAATAAGGGGCTTGCATTTTCATTTGCATCAGGGTCCACAGATTATGTAGCTGCTCATGCAGATTATCTCAACATTCATCGAGGAAGGTGATCTTATTATCTGCACTTTTTAGATAAGCAACCAGACGCACAAATAATTTAAATAACTTGCTCAAGTTCACGCTGCTAGTAAGCGTGGAATATGGGATTCCAATCCAAGCATTCTGGCTTCCTGTATACTACTCTATTTCTGCCATGGAAGCACAGAAAAGAAAGCAACTAAATTTAATTTATAATTGAACTTTAAAGTCATGTGAGCAGTAATATGCCATGAACTGAAGATTCTGGAGATGGCTGTGTCTCCTATATAGAAAGGGTAATCACAGAGTCAGAACAACAAATAACATTGAACTTTTCATGTCATTATAGCATTAAAATAGCTGAAGGATTTTGTACATGTTAATAAATCTTTTCTTGATTTAGACATGTGTTATAGTCCTGAATAAAATCTAAATAGGATTTACATCTGTTGATCCTGACATTTTAAAACTATTTTCTTTATTCCTAACAACTCCAGGAAACCTGTTTAACAAGAACAATAAAAGTTGCTAATTTTTTTTCTAGAAAGAAATTGAACAAACACAATATTGAAGACAAGGATCTTCATTGTCTTAGAAGTCATAAAACAGCACAACCTCCAGTTTAATTTCAACATCCAACTATTCAGAATTATACAAGGTTTTAGTTTCTAAGAGTTATGTAATATGTATTTAATTCACTGCCTTCCAAGCCGAGGTTAATGCATTCTTTTTGATTTATGGGGTTTTTTGTTTGTTTGTTTTTGTTGTTTTTTTCTCCCCAAACCACTAAAGACCTTTCTTACTAATCTACAAATAGTATTTTTTTCTCTTTTTAAACATTGTACATTTTCATAGATTTTGTTTCTGCCTTTTAAAATTATCATTTATCCACAGCTTCTTGGTCAAGACTCATACAAACTAGGTGTTACTACTACTTGGTTATGCAGATTGTTTTAAACATCTCTGAAAAAGTCAGGTGAATACTCCACCATTATTTTTATCTTACTGTCAGACTTTGTGAGCTGAATCTTAAACATCCCAATCTGACATCAAAATCAAAACAGATCCCTTTTTCCTCTAAATAAATGAGCTGTTTGTCAGGGCTGACTAGTGTGTTTTAAAGGATATCTTAGCCAAGGGTATTATTTTAAGAGATGAGCAAATGGGGAAACCCCACGGCCCAGCCAATAAAATATGAACTTAAGGTGCAAAGAAGCACTCATAAATATTACTTAGAACAAGGGATTCATTGTTTCTCTCCAACCCTTTCAGTGGTTCCTCTGATCTCAGCCCCTCTCCTGTGCGTCAGGGAAGCCTCTTCCTTTAACCTGTGGTTTTTTAAAGCTGAGCTACTACATTATTTATGACTGTAAATGTGAGTAGCTTGTCTGTATGCTCCTTGTACACACATACTGAGACAACCCCCTCCTTCCCCACTTCGGTATTTTAGTGTGTAAGGATGAAAGGGTTTTCCCCTCGAGCTGATGTGGTTGGGGATGTTGAATTAGCTGCTGTTTGGTATGAGGTAGACTGAGGATTTCCCAGCATCTCCTCCACCTGTACAACTGAAAAACCAGCCTTTAATGACTCATTTCATTCCTTTTCTTTCTTTCAGGCTCTTTTTCAAAAATATTTTCTTTCTTTCTCTGTCTCATCCTTATTCCTGTATGCCTCTATATCTCACTCTTCGTCTCTTTATTCTTTCTCATTATCTCTTTTCAAAAAAAAATAATTTCTTCATGGAAGTGACAGAATATTAAATAAGGATAATAAACACAAAAGCTTTTTATAAACTAAACAGGAATGGCATGTTTGATGAGTGTTATTTTTGTTCATTGTTGATTTCTTTTTCTTTCTTTTACTTTTCTTGAAATTTTCCCTTTTAAATGTTATTTTATAAAATAAAGGCAAAACACAATTAAATTCTGTCAATGGGATCCTTAGGGAGAGATGAGGAGGCAAAGAAGAATGGGATGATGGAGAAACAATTACAGGGGATGGCAAGAGCCAGGGCAGCTCTGATGCCCTGGGGAGCTTTTCTCCCAGTGGGTGGAGGCTGCAGTTGGCACATCATAACCTTTTCCTTCTCAACTGGAGAGAAAACAGGAGAGTGTACCTCAATTCTCAAACTGTAACTAATTGATTTTCAACTAATTTAAGCCTCTAGCAAACCAGGACGAAAGGCAGACCCCAGGAAGTGTGGGAGTGGTAAGGAGAGGGGTGCCAAGAGAGCCTGGGGCTACAGAGACCAAGAACAAGGAGGAAAGGCCAAAAAATACTGGGATGAGAAGGGAGGAGGGAGAGTGGTGATATTACAGAAAATGGAAGAATGAAAGGGAAGGAGAGGTGGCAGCTGAGGCAGTCCCAAGTCCTTCTTAGTTCCAGCTAATACGTCTCATTAAACTTTTAAAATTTGATATTTGTGAGTAACCACTACAATTTGAAAAAAAAAAAAAAAGCATTTAATTAAACTATGATTATAACTATCTCTGGCAACCCAGAGTTTGTCTGTCATGCCAATCACTTGATAATCAACCATCTTTAAAGGAGAAAAAGAATCCCGTTGGTCGTGATTATGAATGTGAAGTGTTGTTGAAGAAGAGAGAAAAAGGTCTCCTCACTCAGCAATATTTTTCTCTTCAAAAGTTAAAACTTTTACAGAATGATTGTTGCTTTACCCATTATTAGCATTAGTTACTCCAGGCATAATTTATGAATATATACTATAATGGCTTTATATTATCTTTCCTTCCAACCCATCCCCCTTCAAAAAAAACTTCCATGTGTTTATGGGTGTGTTTATGTTACACAAGTGTTAATAACTCTGTTGGAGAGACTACATAGATAGGCATCTTTAGGTAGATTTGTATATAAATTACTTTCCACTGGGCACTTGATTCAGCCAAAAACAATAATAAATTATCAATGATGTCTTTCAAATCTGTCAACTGAGAACATAAAGCATTTTTTCCTTCCAGTACCAAGAGAACTTAATGATTAGGGTAAGTAGGCAAAAAAGGTTTAGTTTTTGAAAGCGTTTTTCTTTCATGATAACAGACTAAATATGTTTTTATATTTAAAAAATTTAACAACACATTTAAATACTTTTGTGCTTGGAATTAAAACGTATTCTTGAAATACATCTAAGAGAAAAACCATTAATAAACTCAAAGTTCAACTTTTTCCAGAGGAATATGTAGATACAAAGAATAATATAAAAGTAATTTTCCTGTTTTTACTTCCTCTAAAACATCTAGTGTTATGTCATTATGGTGATAATGTCACCAAGTAATCAAATAAAATTGGCTTCTAACTAAAAGATCTTAGAAATACACTACATGTTTTATTTGTGTAAACAAGAGATAAATATTGTAAGCAAATTATCTAATCATGTC